>NC_000018.10:27786206-28411206 GCF_000001405.40 Homo sapiens | reverse complement strand
TATGACAAATGAGCTAATTTTCACCTTAGAAGGTGAAAAGGTCTTTATAAGGGAGTGAATTTTAAAATTCATGGAGGTTTATTTAAATGGAAAAAGTGAAGAAAGCAGACAGGTAAAATATCACTGTTAGCTACAGGGGCCATGAAAATACCAAGCAGGAAGTTCCAACAGCTGGTCAGAACACTGCGGATAAGACCCAGGATAGAAAAGAAGTCCTGAGCATTAGGGTGCTAAAGGGTGATGGGGTATGGAATTAAATAATCCTGGTGAATTTTCCCAATGGAAGTTTTAAAATTGGTATTTCTGAAATTATGACTTTCTTCTATCCTGCATAAAATACACGAAGTTGTGTAATGTGGAAGGCTCCAAAGTATCACATCCCTAGGTGGGCATCCCATGAGAAAGTAGATTGTTGCTACAGCTGACACAGGCTTTGTCCTCCAGAAAGTCTACTTGGTAGCAATTTTGATTAATACAAAGATGAGTGTCCTAAATTACTTGTAACAGAGAAGGAAGAATAAGGAAATGTAGACAGTTCAGTAGCGGCAGTACAAGGTAGGTATCCTTTCTAGAATAAAGGTGGAGGCCTAATGCAGAATTCAATAGCTCTAGGAGCTGAAGGCAAAACAGAATATAATGGTCAGTTAGCAATCAAATGATAGTGGCTAACAAAGCTCTGATGGAGCATTAGAAAGGTTCTCTCCATTTTTATAGTCTGGAAATAATAAATCTAAGTATCTCAGGATTTTTTCCATAAGTGTACAGCAATATAAGGAACAATGCCATTTGGAAAAAATAAATATTCAAGAGAACATTATTTATATATCTGAAAGTGAGTCTGCGATACTTGAAGCCCTCCAGTAAATAGTGCCCCAGGAACCAGGACTTTCAAGATAAAAAATAGAAGAGAGACAATTGCTCTGGAGAACAGAGGGTGATGCTGTGTTAATATGCACACAAATGGGAGCCTTCCAGAAGTAAAGACAAGGAGAATAACTAGGCTCATGAGGAAAATTCTGTGAACAAGAGAAGAGCAAATTATAAGAAAAGTGTCCCAGCAAGACAAATGATTTTTAAAAATATAATCACCATTTTTCATAAGTTCCATTTAGTTTGTGAATGAAAAAGAGCCTTAGTCTGTTACTGCTGATCTGTGAGTTGGTGTGTCAGAATGATGCTATTCTCCCACCCCCAGATAGGGACATACCATCATCACCTAATCACATCGCTAAGAATAGATTTTCTGTATCTGCCTGTAGAGTCCCCCACTGAATGTGTCTAACTTTTCCTTAAATTTGATAGGGGTAGTAGTTTAATCAGAGAATCTAGAAACAAACAGTGAAGGGTCCTGAATCCTAAGCCCAGAGCTGCCAATAGCCTGAACTTGGACATTTAACTTTTCCTTAGTGAAGGCAAAGAAGTTCAACTAAAGAGATGTTATTTGTTAGCAGGCTTCTGACCCAAAACATTTCTCTATAAAAATGTTGCAAAGCAAGAATCAAACACAGCAAAGAAAGTGACATGAATAGAGCATAGAATTTTATCTTTATAAAGATATGGGCACCCCAGAAGTTACTCCTTACCTTCAACAACAAGCTGGCCCAAAAATTTTGACATGGGTCTTGATATTTAGGTGCCATAGACCTAGATAAATACTGTCAGGCCGGGCGCAGTGGCCCACCCCATAATCCCAGCACTTTGGGAGGCCAAGGCGGGTGGATCATCTGAGGTCAGGAGTTCGAGATCAGCCTGACCAACATGGCAAAACCCTGTCTCTACTAAAAACCCAAAAATTAGCCAGGTGTGGTGGCGCACGCCTGTAATCCCAGCTACTCAGGAGGCTGAGGCAGGAGAATTGCTTGAACCTGGGAGGCGTAGTTGCAGTGAGTGGAGATTGTGCTATTGCACTCCAACCTGGGCAACAAGCGTGAAACTCTGTCTCAAAAAAAAAAAAATACTGTCAAATTTCCTTTATTCTAGAAGGGCTATAATATGTAAACTCTCATTTTTTTCTAGATCACATGCAAACATACTTTAACATGAAAGTTTTTAATTAATTAATTCAATCAACAATAGAGTTTTAAGCATCTGCTATAAACCAGCTCTTACTGTAGGTCCTAGGGATAGAGCAGTGAAATCAACCGAACACACGAAAAAGAAAATCTCAATTCTCTTTGAATTTGCATTGCAATGGGGGGCACTAAGAATATATAAATATATAAATAAATTTATTTTGTGTGTGCATGTATGTACATATGTTAGAAGTAGTAAGTGTTTTGGAGAAAAATAGAGAAGGATAGGAAGTCAAGTGTTGGAAGAAGTTTCCAATTTTCTCAGGGTGAGTGTCATTGAGAGATGATCTTCGAGGAAAGATCTGTAAGAGGTGACAGCATGGGCCCTTTCTAGGCAGAAGGGACAGGAAGGGGCTGTGAAGACCACAAGGCAGGCACATTACTGCTTGTTACAAGAATAGCAAGGCAGCTGGTGTGGCTGGAGTAGACTAGGCAAGAGGAAGAGAGGTGGCAGATGAGTCAGGGAGCAAATGGGAAGCATGTTGGATTGAGGCTTTATCAGGCATTATAACATTTTTGGCTTTTAACTTCAATAAATTAGGAAGGCATTCTGGGGTTCGACAGGGGGAACAACACATTATGACTTCAAAAGTATTCTCTGGCTGCTTGGTGAGTATAGACTGGGGGTAGGGGTGGCAAAGTTGTAATTAGAATGTTACTACAATAACATAGGTGAGATATGAGAACAGAGTGGGCCAAGAGAGAGCCAGTGGCAATAGGGGTAAGGGATTACTTTCTGGATATATTTTGAAGGTAGAATTGTAAGTATTTGCAGACAGATTGGATCTGGGATGTGTCAGCAAAAGAACACTCCAAGATGACTACAACACTATTGGCATGGAAAACTAGAAAGATGGCATTGCCATTAACTAAAATAGGAATCAAATAGGCAAGAACATGCCTGTTTGGTTGAGGGGAGAGGAGTGTGTAGATCAAGTGTTTGGTTTTGAAGAAGTTACTATTGGCATTCTTGTCATATATTCAAAGGAAAAATCCAAGTAAGTGAGTGGATATAATGCCTATAAAGCCTGAAGTTTTGAGAAACATCAGGCTACACTAAATATAGAACTCATAAGTTCAGCATAAATTAGAGTTTATAGGCATAAGATTGATGACATCCACATTCACAAAGGAATGAATGAATGCAGAAAAGAAAAGAAGTCTGTGTACTGAGCCTTGGTCATTCCAATGGTAAGAGACTGGGAAGTGAAGAGTTACCCATCAGGGAAGCTAAGGAGTGGTCAGTTGAGGCCAAAAGAAAATGAGAGGAATGTGGTGTCTTGGAAGCCAAGTGAAGAATGTTTTTCAAGAAGAAAGCAATTAAGCAGATCAACTGAAAAATGACCACCAGATTTAGCAATAGCAAGGGGTAGAATGTTGATAGGACACTATTTTCTTAGCGAAGTAAGAAATGCTATTAGTTGAACAGGAAAGGAAAAGCTGTTTGGGATTTGAGGAGATGAAAAGGTGTGCAGTTGTCACCTAGGAAAAAGAAAGAAGGAAGAGGGACTGGATGAGGGACGTATGGTGTGTTTCTGATTCCACAAGTCCACCTCTGCTAGCGATCAAGAATTTTAAGTGGGATTAGTCAGCCAAGGTGTATCTTTTTCTACAGACACAATGAGCAGTGGCAGGTAAGCACAGAGTAAGCAGAGAGTGGGATTTAACCAGGATTGAGGTAAAGCTTTGCTGATCAGCATTATGAGGAAATGAGAGAAGGCCAAAAGAACCAAATATACATGCAAGAAAGTGATCATGACTGATCATGAAATTTAAACTGGGAAGAGAGGAATGAGGACATGAGGAGGGTGAAGGTAAGTGGGAATCAATGTATTTTAAGTTCCAATGTTAGAAGAAAGATTGTTAAAGTACAAGCACTAGTGGAAGTGAGCTGGAAAAAGAGGAGATGGTTGTGTGAGTGTGGGATACTTGAAATCGAAATTACGGAGGACTCAAAGTTACTGTCAATGGCAAGATCTAGGGTGTGCTCATGAGTGGGAGAGGCTGAAGGAGGTTGTTGGACAAGATCATAACAGAAAAGGAGGCCAAAATATTGAGAGCCCAGGATAGTGGAAAGATAATCTACATAGGTATACGATGGAAGCTGCCGAGGACAGTGTTGGAGAGTGTCAACTCAGTAAGCATGTGAAGGTCTTGAAATTTATGTATTTTTATTTTATGTTTTGGCATGCCTGAGAATTTTTTAAATGGTGTATGGGAATAGACCAACAAGGAATACATAGTGTACTTTATTTGAATTGATTTATGGAAGAAGCTTTGAGTTAGGTTTGCATTCCTCATGTTACTAAGCATTTGAATCTCTCTAGTGCTTTTCTGTGTGTGCTCTGGGCAGCATGTTTTATTTTATTGACAAAAATCTCATTTACAGTTTGATTAACGCAGTGGAGAAAACACGGTACATGCCAAGCCCTTCCATTCTTTATGATCTGCACTGTGATTCTGGCAAGCCAAAACCAATTAATTCAAAAGAAAGAGCAAAGGCAAGATGAGATTTAGTTCATTCTTACTAAGAACGAGTAATTCTCCTGCTCAAACAAAATCTATGGAAATATTGATAACAAAGTAACTGTATCATACAGTTTATGGCCTTTTTGACATTTTGCTCTCTATTACCTTTTTTGAGATTTTTGAAAAATGCCAATCACAACATTTAAACTCAGACCTACATATAAACACATAGAGCACAATTTTATCAGGGACATGTCATATTTCGTTCCCGTAACTGAACAAAATGCTTCATCTACTCTCTGTCCGGTTGTTAATATTTCCTTCCACAGTCAGCTGGGGAGTTTGCTGTGCCATCCTGTTGTTAACAGGTAGATGCACCTAAATCAATCATATTCCTTAAGTCAAGTTGCTGAAAATGTGTGTGCAGAATAGGGTGGTTGATATTATCCTACAATGTAGTATCCTCTGAGGATTGATTGACTTTTTATTCTTACTTCCTTCACTGGAGATTGTAATCTACTATCCACAATGTGCTATCAATTTTGGTACAAAATGTCTTGTCAAGAGATTGCTTAAAAACTGATATTGTAAAATGACTGATTTGTTATTTCTCTACTAACAGCTATCTAAAATAAAACGTTCCTTTGATTCTCTTCTATATAAAGGAAAAAGATATGATATGGCATAAACAATAGTAATCTTTTATTAATGCATATCTGCTTAAAATGAAAACAACATAAGCTGTGGATAAATAAATATGCCAAGGTGATATGTTCTTAAACTTTAAAAGATGGTCTGGCATTCTATAAAATCTTACTTGCAGCCGTTTCTTTGTAATATAGACAGTATCACATAATTTTTTAATGACAAAAATAAATGGTAGTGCATCACATTCAGAGTAAAGTTGTAGGCTTTTTCTTTATTTCTTTTTTGTCAGAAAAAAATGGCTATCTAACATTCAGATAAACTTGTTGATAGAAGCCCATAAAATGTGTAAAAGGAATTGAGTTGGTCAAGAATACAAAAGAAAAAACACAACAGTATTGAGTTTTATTATACAATCCATAGCAGTGAAAATTTGAACAAACATTAGAGGAAAATAAATTTTATTGAATAGACAAGAGGGACTGGTAATAGTAGATGATACTTAAAGATGATAGAAGGAAGTGAACTGAAGTATTAATTTAAAAATAAGGACCGTGTTTTTGCTTTTCTTTCTTTTTTGTTTTGTTTTGTTTTGTTTTTTTGAGATGGAATCTTGCTCTGTCCCCCAGGCTGGAGTACAGCCATATGATCTCGGCTCACTGCAACCTCTGCCTCCTGGGTTCAGGGGATTCTCCTGCCTCAGCCTCCCAAGTAGCTGGGACTACAGGTGCGTGCCACCACGCCCAGCTAATTCAGTAGAGATGGGGTTTCAGCATGTTGGCCAGGCCGGTCTTGAACTCCTGACCTCAGGTGATCCACCCGCCTTGGCCTTCCAAAGTGTTGGGATTACAGGCATGAGCCACCACGCCTGGCTGTGTTTTTGCTTTTCTCTCCTGTACTTAACATTGATTTACTTACATCTTGTACTATCTTACAATTTTAATCAGACTATGACCAAATTCTTAATTAGATAGAAAAACTTCAATTTTAGATATTTCTTTCTGTTTTGCCATTGTTATCCTCTCTTAAAGTACAAAACAACAGAAGGGGCATCCTAAATTCTTAGTAGTCTCAGTCATCACGGTTTCCTAACCATCTTTTTACTTTCCCTGATTCAGAGCTTCATCACACCCTGGACTAGTGGATGTTTAATTCATGCATGTTTGGCCAGGGTTGTCTCATCTACAATTTGAATAATACATTCTCCTACAATTCAGATTTGAATTACTACTACCAATAATAATATTAAATTCAACATCTGGTGTATGAAGCTGAAAGGCTCAAACAAGGAACACATGAAAAACAAAAGTATAAAGTAAAAGATCTTTACTGTTTCCTGAAATCTGCACCAGGCCTAACGCTGGGTCAAATGCAGCTGCGAACCTCTCCTGCTTTTGAAGTTCCACAGCACTTTATCTCTTCTCTCTTTTGGCAGCAAACTCTGTTCCATCTTATAGCTCCCATAATGGGAGTAAAGTAAAAATGAAGAAACTTCATCACTCTCTAAAACTCACTATTTTGTTTGAGCTCTATAGAAAGAGCTCCATGTGGAGCCCAGTTCTGTATAGGACCCTGTTAGTTAAAATCATAGTCAATCAAAAATACCGGTCATAGCTTTTCAAGCTTGCTATTGCATCCCACCATGACCTGTGAATTAGATGAGGCTAGCAAGCTGCTACAAAATGCAAGAGGAAAAACGTATTTTATCCTTGCACCAAAACCAATACTGACGTTCGTCGTCTCTCAAAATGCTGCCTCTCTCCAAATAAGAGGCTATTCTAGTTCCAAAAATGTATATGTTCTGAGGGAGTCATTACATTTCTGATGTGGAGCATGGACTCCCTGATTTCTCTCCATGCTAAGAATTGCTGAAAATAAAATGAAACCCCAACCCCAAATCAAGGATCTTCTACACAGAGATGCAGAAGTATTTAAAATGGGTAGTCATGTGATGACTTCTTACTCAGATATGGAACCTCTAAATGTTAGTTGAGCATATTTGTTCCCAGAATAAAGACCAGGTAGATCAGCCTTCACTGTGTGTATCTAAGTTCTGGCCAATGTAACATCCAGAAGTGCTGGCAAAACTTACAGAAAGTGTCCTGCTGACTGGTATACAGATGATATGACTAGAGCTAGAACACCATCTTGGACCACAAAATGCAAGTCAAACATTGAAGATGATGGAGAAATGAGATAGAAGAAACTTGGTTTTTGATGATAACGAAGGCTGTGAACCTCTTATTCAGATTATTACAAGAGAAAATTTAATTGGATGTTATTTCAGCCACTGTCATATTATTTTTTTCTGTCATATTCTTTTTTCCCATCACATGAAGATGAAACTAATCATAATTAATACATCAGAGAAGGCTAATGGTCTCAATTTATTAGAATTATTCAAAAACAATTATAAACTCCCTTTCACAGGTGTTCCTATGTGATGATTTCAATATTATATGCATTTCAAGAAGCATACTAGCATTGGACAATGTAATTAATTCAAGCCATTTGCTCCCTCACCCATCCTCTGAACTCTATATTCCTTTTAAGCTTTTAAGGTAATGTTGTAATTGTTACAAATGTTCGCAAAATATCTGGTTCTCCTTCCAGACACCTGATAGAGTTTCCCTTCTATGTTCTATGACCACTTGGAGTCAGGTGGCTGCCTAGTGCTTAGTGTGGCCAATGAAATGTGAACAGAAGTGACATATGTCACTCACGCGAGAAAGTTGTAAGAACCAATGTGAGATTCCAGAGGTCTCCTTTCTCCCACAGTGGTGATTATAGAAGAGCATCTCTGTCGCTTACTCCCTGAATGACTGTTACAAATACCCCTGCCTTCCCACAACAAACATGATGTGGAACAAGAAATCGCTCTTATTAAAACATTGATTGGGAGATAGGGTGTTTTTTCTGAAGTAAAACTTAGGCTATTCTGACGAATATAGACAGCTCTCTGAGCAGTTATCACTATCCAAATCATCCCGTGCATGACTTTATATCATGAGAGAGAATATTTAACAACTTCCTAAAGCTTCAACCAACTGAAATATCAAAGTCCTTTCCTGCCTAAAGGCGTTTCTCTCTCCACTGGACTCTGATGTATCCCATAAACGTTATTAGGTCTCTTGCATCTTTCTCTCAATTTGTACCTTTCCAAGATAGTACTTCAGTTATCCCTTTCATTCTGTTTCCAAAAATCTATAAAAATAAATCTATACTAACTACCTCCATCTCTTTATATCATTCATCATTTCCATTCATAATCACTCCTAAATCCTCTGTATTTCCTGTCCCCACCACTCTATTGAAAATGCTGTCTGTAGGATACAAATGACTTCATAGTCACCCAAATTAATGACAATCCTCCTGAACCATTTTGCCCCTAGGGCCCCTGATGACATTTCTCCGTAGCTTTAATGATGATACTCTGTCCTGGCCATCTTCCTTCCTCTCTAACCATTTGTCTCCATCTTCTTTCTTGGTGGCTTTTCTAACCTCAGCCACCACCAAGATTCTCCAATCAATCTCCTTTTCATTTGCTCTCTGTGCTTTTTTTTCTCTACATGAGATTCTCTACATGAGATTGTCAGCCCCATAGTTTGTGAGCTAATGTCTCAAAGTCTGAACCTACAGCCCAAAAATTCACTCAGCAGTTATTCATGAACCTCAGAAAGCTCTAATTTCTATTATCTCAACCCAGTATGCCAGAGTCCTCAGTTATTATTGACTCCTCCTTCTCCCTAACCCACAACCAATCAGTTTCTTCAGTCCATTTCTTTCTCTGTATTATCATTGCCAACTCCTATCTTAAGATTTGTATCATCTCTTTCTTACTTTATGAAATAGCCTCTTCATTAAGCTCCTGCCAATCCTCCATTCAGGAGACCATACAAATTATCTCTTTCAACTCTTGACTTAATCACATTGTCCCTACAAAATTAAGTATAAATTATCATTCCGTTAAAAAGCCCTCTAAATAATCTGATTTTATAATGTTTTTAGCTTTATTTCCTAAACTAACCAACTAGCTCTGTCTTTCAAAACCATAGATGACTCTGTGTGGGCCTCAACGCTTGTGCTTTCCCAGGCCTCCCCACTGTTACATTTCTCTATGATATTTTATGTTTCTATTGCCCCAACTAGACCATGAATTACTCTCTGTAATTCATCAAGAACATCAGTCTTGATGTTCCCAGCACCCAGAACAATGCCTGGTAATTGTTAGCCAGCAAAGATGTGTATTAATACTTTACACATAATCAACAAATACATAATTTATATGTAATTAACAAATACATATTTTATATATACTTATATATATAATCAGTTCTAAACTATAAAAAAATCCTAACCTTGTATATTTTCTGGTAAAAAAATCAATAGACCTATTATAGTTTGTCTGAACTATATTATTATTTTCCTTTTCAGTCAAGCTCAGTGTAAAAACTAGTTTTCACTCTTCATAAAATCTCCTGTTATCAAAAACAAATCTTTCATTTAAGTAGAAAGTATTTTATGATCTTTTATAGAAGAGGAAAGTTAGTGCTAAATTACTTAGAAACAGTTTCAGAATGCTGTAAAGTAAAAGCCATAATGAATAACTTGTTCATACTTTGTATGCTGAGACATTTTCAAGCAAGTCTTAAAAGCAATGCATAGGGATTTAGTCATGAGACTTTCAGCGAGATTAATGGAAGCAATGCTCCTTAAATCCCCTAGCACAGCTTTGAAAATTTCCCACGTGCTATCAGTGATATCTTTGTGACTTTAAATTTTGACTTTGGTTTCAGGTTGCAGATTTTAGGAAGCAATGAATGTGCTTGATATTGACAACCTTATAGCCTCAATTATATAATAACAGGATATCAGGTTTATATGATAATCTAAAGACTATCTATTCTATCTAATACATGAGTTCTCTACAGAGCTGGTCAAGTAATCATGCTACCTCCATTTGAACACAAAGGTCATTGCCTCCTAAATGTCTATTTCATTTTAGACAAACCAGAGAAAAAGATTAAAGGAATGTAATTTATCATGATGAAAGATATGATTTTTTCGTTCTTTGCAGAAAGAAAATTTCATCATTGCATAGCTCTCAAGTACTCCAATAAAACTTGAAGATTCTAACGATAATTGAGGGACAGTCATGAAAAAAGAGGCTTCATGTTTATTTATTATGAGATCATTAATGTTAGAATGTTCTTGAAAGTGGTATCTACACACACTTAGCTAATCATGAGATAGTTCTTTCTTGGAAATATTCTTAAAATAGAACACTTGTAAGGGAGGCTGAGGCAGGCGGATAACGAGGTCAGGAGATGGAGACCATCCTGGCGAACACGATGAAACCCTGTCTCTGCTAAAAATAAATAAATAAATAAATAAATAAATAAGTAAATAAATAAATAAAAGCCGAGCATGGTGGTGGGCACCTGTAGTCCCAGCTACTCGGGAGGCTGAGGCAAGAGAATTCCATGAACCCAGAAGGCAGAGCTTGCAGTGAGCCGACATCGGGCCACTGCTCTCCAGCCTGGGTGACAGAACAAGACTCTGTCTCAAAAAAAAAAAAAAAAAGAACATTTGTAAAAATCTCTCCCAAGAAGGAAAATTTTTATTCATTTGTGGTAGGGAGAGGAATATTTGGAAGGTCTAAGATTAAATTTAAACAAAAAACCGTCTTTATTTTGAAGAGACAAAATGCCCTGGAGGCTTCTAGAACTAATTTTTTCCTTTCAGGGATGTTCCTCTTCACTAAAACAATCCTTAGATTTGAGGAGACATTCCACAAACTCGTGCCAGTCCATCCAATTTAAATCTGCAGAGTAATCTAGCCATTATGGAAGGCTTAACAACTAGCATTATAAAATTCCACATTCTTCTACCCCTGCAGACAAGAGGTGAAATATGTTAATCTTTAAAAATAGTATCTCTTTGTTATAATATGTAGGGCATCATTTCTCTGTTGTCAAAATCATTTTAAGCAACTTCTATAACACTAAACTTCCATTAAATGTGCCACCAATTTAAGCCAAAAGGATGTCAACAGCAAACATATTTTCATATGAACTATAATCTATATCTCCATAGAGATCACTGTTTGTAATGCAGAATTCGGCCAGAGTGCCAACTTAAGAAAAAGAGAACCGAATTTGTTTCAAAATGAAAAGACTTTTCGTTTTAAAACAGATTTGGTTCTCTTTTTTTTTTTAGGTTGGCACTCTGACCAAAAAGTTCAAAGTATACCAAGCTATAATCTAGTTATTTAACACTTCAATTCATAAAGTAACTATGATTTTATGATTTTGCATTACTTTGTTCCCCCTGACACTAGGTAGAATCCTCATATTTTGAAGGCAATCATACTCACTAGTCTAAATTATTTTAACATGAAGTAGTCCTCTACACAGATGTCATTATCAGTTAAATATGTAAAATGTTTAATAAAATCTTCACTGGGACAAAATAGCAATTTCTCATTGAAAGTGTGTGCTCCTGTGGGGAAAATTCTCCAAAACTCGTAGACTGTGAATGTGTATTGAAAGATCTCTATGTTCTTTTGTTGCAAAAGGATAGTAAAATACATCTGAGAATAACACCCTCTGAGTTCTGTTGACCTGATAGGTCATGCAGATTTTCAAACAATACCACTGGAAGGACACAGGTGGTAAGGTAAAAGAGGATGCTTTCTGTAATTTTGGGAGTATTTAGAGGATGAGAGGCAAGGAAAGGAGATGAAGGACAGGACAGAAAAACCCCTCCAAAGCATTTCTCCTAAAAAGTGGATGAAGAAAGAGAAAATATGTAGCTAAGAGATGTCAAAATAGATCCACAGTTGGATTCAGGTGCCTGCAAGGAAAAGCCTGCCTGTAACATTGGGAAGTGGATAGCTGAGGACAGAGAAATTTCACAACTCCAGAATGAAAGTAATTGAGAGGTGACACATTTTTAGCCACTATTCTTTTAAAGTAGATTTTATCCAGAGTCATGGAGGCCAAAATACATTTAAAAAGATTTAACTCAAAAAGCCTTTGTTCTGATAATCAAAGCATAGACTGGCATTGTGGGAGAAGTTGACACAAGGGTGGAAGGATTAAAAGAAAGATAAAATGCAATTCCAATTAAAAATTAATGTGTTTAATTTTGTTAATCTATGCCTACCCTAATTGAGTACATTTAAAATGAGAGAGAAATAAAGCCTCTAATTTGTTCCTCCTTGAAATATATATGGCTTTAGTCTTTGTTGTCGTTTTTGTTATATAAGTATTCCCATTTGATTTAGTGTTCACTAGGATGACAGATGGCTTTGTCTTGATGAACAGCTAAGTGAACTTGGAGAGAGTATTTTAGGCCCTCCAAAGAGAGTAGGTGGAGTTGCATTATTTGAATGTTGTTGATGTTGAATGGAAGCTGGACATTTGTCCCCTAGATTTATGTGGAAAACAACTGGCTTTCTTTCAGAACTATCTTTTATGCTCTACTCTAGGCAAATGGTTAAACTTGGAAGCTGTGATTACACAGTATGTGATCTTAGATGCATATGTCCATTTTGCCAAATGACCACATTCTGAAGAAATACACCTATTAAAACACAGGCAAGTTATTTTTCCATAATCTCAACATACTCAAGTAAACTTCATACAGTTTTAGCAAAACTAAAATACAGAAATTAAGAGAAAACTTCTAACACACATAATTACCTGTGTCCCAGATTATACTTATAATTATATAACTGAGATCACTCTGCTCTACCCTGGAAGACAGACATTCCACCTAAAACTTATCTAAACTCACTCCCCTGTATGCAAATTTCCTCTAGCCACCCTCCACAACAGGAAATTTGTCTAGTTTAGTCTAGATTTTAGCATTCTCAAATAAAAAGAAGCTCCTTTAACCATATTTCTGAGAGATAGTATTCTTCCTAGATTTGCACAAATGCCACCAGAATCTTTGATTTTGTTGTCGGTCTGATTCAATTAGTTTAGGTATCAGTATACAACAGTATCTACAGTGAGTTCTTTAAATTGTGACATCATGAATACTGCAAAATAAAGTTTTAGCAAGAGTTTAACCCACACTCTTTTGAGAACCATACATATTTGTTATGCCTACTTATATAGGATGAGCTATAATGAATAGACTGTCAGTTTTTATAACTTCGTGTTCCTTTTGCCAATGGTAGAGAGTAAATGTTTAATTATGGGGCTAAGTTCTGTGCTAGCTTCATGCTCCTCTGTGTATATAAATGTTAGGTTTCTCCCATGAGTCCACTCTTCTCTGAAATGCAAACTTTGTTTATCACTAACTAGGTGTGAAAGAAGTTGTTTGTAAGTACAAGAATAGGTACCGCAAGCATCTTTCTGTTGCTTAAATTGTGTGTTTCTTTGGTGGCTCTGTTTGCTGCATATGCTCTACATTGTTTGTAACTAAATTCATTTTATTTGGTGAAATCAGACCATCTTTTTTTAAGACAAAGAAACATTTTAAACATAGTGAGGAAAATGAAAATGAATTCCCATGTAGGGCATTATTCCCTTTGTACGACATATCCTTGGCTGGGGCAACTATTACTTTTTGACTCATCTTTATTTTTAAAAATGCAATGATGTGAAAAGCTACAGCAGATACCAATTGTTTTATCTCCCTCACACACACACCTGTGGGAATTCTTTTCACACCACTCCCACATATGTCACCTACGTTTTATGATTCTTTTGGGAGCGTATATGCTTCTGGTGATTGCAGAGGTGTGCACTGGACCCTGGATGAGACAGCCTGAGTATTTGACTGGAAATTTTTCACCTGGCACTGAATAACTCAATGTCTCCTTGGGTCCCCAGTTTGTATAATGGAACATAAGAAAGCTAGCAGATGCTGGTGCCATTGACTTAAAAAGTAGAGAAAATGTGTTTTTGATGAAAGGGAAGAATTAGACATTAGAATAATGTTTGCATTGTTTCAAATATTTAGCTTCATTCTTCTCCTTAAATTTGACACACCAATATTATCTCCCCTTTGCTAAGGCTGGTTTGAATTGGTTTAACGTTGTTAGCCAACAAAATAGCCCCAAGTAAAACTCTAGAATATAGCTCATGTGACCTTAAAAGTAGAGCATCTTGCTTCCAGGCAAATGGACCCCAGCAGTTTTTTGAACTCAAACCAGCCTAGACCTCCTTTTTTTCTAATTGGGGAGACACAGAGGATTTTCAATGAGCAAGATACTGGATATGTTGTCAGCTTCTGGACAAATATCATCACCCCGGGCTGAATTGTACTGTCCACCAAGAGGCTGTAGCAGATGCCTAATGGTCCCATCAAGTCCAGTGCTTCACTTTAATGTTGACAGTGCTTAAAGGTTCCCAATTTACGGTCCTAATAAACATAGCCCAAGCCAAACAGCTAAGAAAATTCTCAAAATGAGACCTAGGCAATCAAAAGTAGGGCCTGGTAGAAAATATCCTGATATAATAATTTTTTTAAAAAGGTATAGGTGGGAGGCACTGAATATTACAAGAAAGTTTTACTAACAAACACAGAATAATGCATTCTAATCTCTTAATACCAAATATTGTATAGATAACACCTGCCCAGTCTTCTCTACATTTTCAGTTGCTTCTGGTTGCCTAGCTGCAAGTTACTTGGTTGTCTACAGTACTATCCTACAAACTTCTCTACTCTGAGAGGCTTAAGGTGAATCCTTGTTTTATAAGCCAGGGCCCACAGCTAAATCTACTCAATCCCATGACTTGAGTAAATGAGAATCAATGAAATGTAAATTTACAACACACGCCATGAGGAGTTCAGATTGACTTACACATGGAAGGAATGCCTACATGATGTGGTTTTAGGTTGCAGTTACAATACTAATGCCCCCTCCAACTAACACCCTCATTCATTGATTTATATAGAAATCCCACCATTTTCTTAAAGCATTAATCTATTAGAATGAAAATTACTGAGAATAGACAATGCTAAACTCTTTCCTGTAACTCATACCTTAATGTAAATGAATGATCTGAGTAAGTTTGAGGAGTGAAACGGGGATAGGACAAAGGGAACAATACCATGTACATGTACTAGGCCTAGGAGAGAGAGGGGTAAAACAATACCAGAGAGACTGAACTTGCCAAAAGAAAATTCTTTCACTTGATGATTTTTACTTATTTTTTGCCTTGTTAAAGAGGCTTCCTTTTATTATTATTTTTTTATTATACTTTAAGTTCTGGGGTACATGTGCAGAATGTGCAGGTTTGTTACATAGGTATACAAGTGCCATGGTTGTTTGCTGCACCCATCAACCCATCATCTACATTAGGTACTTCTCCTAATGCTATCCCTTCCCTAGCCCCCAGTCCCCCGACAGGCCCCGATGTGTGATGTTTCCCCTCCCTGTGTCCATGTAATCTCATTGTTCAACTCCCACTTATGAGTGAGAACATGCAATGTTTGATTTTCTATTCCTGTGTTAATTTGCTAAGAATGATAGAATGATGGTTTCCAGCTTTATCCATGTCCCTGCAAAGGACATGAACTCATCCTTTTTTATGGCTACATAGTATTTCATGGTGTGTAAGTGCCATATTTTCTTTATCCAGTCTATCATTGATGGGCATTTGGGTTGGTTCCAAGTCTTTGCTATTGTGAATAGTCCTGCAATAAACATACATGTGCATGTGTCTTTATAGTAGAATGATTTATAATCCTTGAAAATGAACAATTATTCCAATAAGTGTTAATTTATGCTTTGATTGATAGTTACACAAATTTTTCTTTTTTTTTTCCCGCCAGATTGGAGTGCAGTGGCACAATCACGGCTCACCACAACCTCCCACTCCCAGGCTCAAGTGATCCTCCCACCTCAGCCTCCCAAGTAGCTAGGACCACAGGTACACACCACCACACCCAGGTAATTTTTTGTCTTTTTGGTAGAGATGGGTTTTCACCATGTTGACCAGGCTGGTCTCAAAATCATGAGCTCAAGCAATCTGCCCACCTCAGCCTCCCAGAGTGCTGGGGTTACAGGAGTGAGCCACCGCACCTGGACCCACAATTATTCTTTTATTGATAATAACACAATATAAAACCACCATTTAAAAACTAACTTACTAAAGTATAAGATCCTTCAGGACAGAAACCAAACAATAATTAATTTCTGTATCTTCTACAGTGCCTAGAATAGAATCTGGGAAATGTCAGAAACACCAAACACTTCAATTATTGAAAATTATTTAAAATGAGATACAAAGAAATCTAAAAAGTCTAATTTCAATTAACCGTGTTTATATTTAGCCTCTGTTTTCCCTGATTATAATTTTGGATTTTCTTTTTCCTAAGTCTTTTTTCCCTACTTTTTAACTATGGTAAAATATACATAACACAAATGTACCATCTTAACAATTTTTAGTGTACAGTTCAGCGGTACTAAATACATTCAAAATGTACAAATGTCACCCCCATCTACAGAACATTTTTCATCTTATAAAACTGAAACTCTATACTCATTAAAAAACAATGCCCAGTCTCCTCTTCCCCCAGCACCTGGCAACCACCATGCTACATTCTGTCACTCTTTCTGACTACTAAGTACCTCTTATAAGTGGAATCATACATCATACAGTATCTGTAGTATCTGTCCTCTTGCAACTGGCTTTTTTCACCTGCCATAATGTCCTCAAGGTTTATCTATGTTGTAGCATGTGTCAGAATTGTGTTACTTTTTAAAATATTTTAACTTTTATTTTAGGTAAAGGGGTACATGTGCAGGTTTTTTATATAGGTAAGCTCATGACTTGGGAGTTTGATGTATAGATTATTTCATCACCAAAGCACTAAGCATAGTACCTAACAGTTTTTTGTTTGTTTTTTGTTTTTGTTTTTGTTTTCTGAACCTCTCCTTCCTCACATTCTCTACCCTCAAGAAGGCCCCAGAATCTGTTGTTCCCTTCTTTCTCTCCATGTGTTCTCATTATTTAGCTCTCACTTGTAAGTGAGAACACGCAATATTTCATTTTCTGTTCCTGTGTTAGTTTGCTAAAGATAATGTCCTCCAGCTCCATTCATGTTCCTGCAAAGGACGTGATCTCATTCTTTTTCATATTAAATACCTGCTTAGTATTCCATGGTGTATATGTACCACATTTTCTTTTTCCAGTGTATCACTGATGGAAGTTTAGATTGATTCCATGTCTTTGCTATTGTGAATAGTGCTGCAATGAACATACATGTGCATGTGTCTTTATGGTAGAACGATTTATATTCCTTAGCATATATACCTAATGATGGGATTGCTGGGTCGAATGGTAGTTTTGTTTTTAGTCCTTTGAGGAAGTGCCACACTACTTTCCAAAATGGTTGAACTAATTTACACTCCCACTAACAGTGCATAAGCATTCCCTTTTCTCCACAACCTTGCCAGCATGTGTTATTTTTTGATGTTTTAATAATAGCCATTCTGACGTGTGTGAGATGGTATCTCATTGTGTCTTTGATTTGCATTTCTCTAATGATCGGTGAGATTAAGCTTTTTTTGATGTGCCTGTTGGCTGCATATGTCTTCTTTTGAAAAGTGTCTGCTCATGCCCTTTGCCCACTTTTTAATGGAGTTGTTTTTGCTTATACATTTAACTTCCTTGTAAATTCTGTATATTAGACCTTTGTCAGATGTATAGTTAGTAAATACTTTATCCTGTTTTATCAGTTGCCTATTTACTCTGTTGGTAATTTCTTTTGCTGTGCAGAAGCTCTTTAGTTTAATTAGATACCATTTGTCAGTTTTTGCTTTCTTTGCAATTGCTTTTGACATTTTCATCATGTAATCTTTGTCAGTTCCTATGTCCAAATTGGTATTTTCTAGATTGTCTTCCAGGGTTTTTATAGTCTTAAGTTTTACATTTAGGTCTTTAATCCATCTTGAGTTGATTTTTGTATACAATATAAGGAAATGGTCGAGTTTCAGTCTTCTGCATGTAGCTAGCCAGTTATCCCAGCATCATTTATTGAATAAGGAGTCTTTTCCCCCTTGCTTGTTTTTGTCCAATTTGTCAATTACCAGATGGTTGTAGGTGTGTGTCTTTATTTCTGAGCTCTTCATTCTGTTCCACTGGTCTATGTGTCTGGATTTTTACCAGTACCATACACTTTTGGTTACTATAGCTTTGTAGTACAGTTTGAAGCCAGGCAATGTGATGCTTCCAGCTTGCTCTTTTTGCTTAGAATTGCCTGCCATGGCTATTCAGGCTCTTTTTTGGTTCCATATGAACTTTAGAACACTTTTTTCTAATTCTGTGAAAAATAGCACTGTAATTTTATAGGAATAGCACTGAATCTGTAAATTGCTTTAGGCAGTATGGCCATTTTCATGATATTGATTCTTCCTATCCAAGAGCATGGAATGTTCTTCCATTTGATTGTGTCATCTGTTATTTCTTTGAGCAGTGTTTTATAGTTATCATCATAGGGATCTTTCACCTCCATAGTTAGTTGTATTCTTAGGTATTTTATTCTTTTTGTGGTGATTGGGAGTGGGATTACATTCCTGATGTGGCTCTCAGCTAGGGTGCTATTAGTGTATAGAAATGCTAGTCTTTTTTTTTTTTTTTTACATTGATAATGTATCCTGAAACTTTGCTGAAGTAGCTTATCAGCTCAAGGAGCTTTTGGGCTCAGACTGTGGGATTTTCCAGATACAGAATCATGTTGTCTGCAAACAGGGATAGTCTGAATTCCTGTCTTCCTATTTTAGATTCTTTTTAAAAAGTTCCTTCTCTTGTCTGATTTTTCTGGACTGGACTTCCAATACTATGTTGAATAGGAGTAGTAAGAGTGGGCATCATTGTCTTGTTCCAGTTTTCAAGAGGAATGCTTCTGGCTTTTGCCCATTCAGTATGATGTTGGCTATGGGTTTGTCACAAACAGCTTTTATTATTTTGAAATATATTTCTTCAATGCCAAGCTTACTGAAGGTTATTAATATGAAGGGATATTGAATTGTATCAAAAGCCTTTCCTGCATATATTGAGATAATCATGTGGTTTTTGACTTTAGTTCTGTTTATGTGATAAATCACATTTATTAACTTGCACATGTTGAGCCAACCTTGCATCCCAAGGATAAAGCCTACTTGATTATAAAGGATTAGCTTTTTGATGTGCTCCTGTATTTGGTTTGCTAGTATTTTGTTAAAGATTTTTGCATATATGTTCATCAAGGATATTGGCCTAAAATTTTCTTTTTTTGTTGTGTCTCTGCCAGATTTTGGTATCAGGATGATGCTAGCCCCATAGGATTAGTTTAGGATGAGTCTCTTCTCAATCTTTTGTAATAGCTTCTGGAGGAATGGTACCAGTTCTTTGTACTGTTAGAATTTGGCTGAGAATCCATCAGGTCCTGGGCTTTTTTTTGGTTGGTAGGCTGTTCAATTTCACAGGCTGATTCAATTTCACAGCTTGTTCTTGGTCTGTTCAGGGATTCCATTTCTTCCTGGTTGAGTTTTGGGAGGGTGTATGAGTCCAGGAATTTATCCATTTCTTCTAGATTTTATGATTTGTGTGCGTAGAGGTGTTAATAGTAGTCTCTGATGGTTATTTCTATTTCTGTGGGATCAGTGTTAATATCCCCTTTGTCATTTCTGATTGTGTTTATTTTCTTCTTTTTCAGTCTAGCTAGTAGTCTTTTTTTTTTTTTTTGAGACGGAGTCTTGCTCTGTCGCCCAGGCTGGAGTGCAGTAGCGCGATCTCTGCTCACTGCAAGCTTCGCCTCCCGGGTTCACGCCATTCTCCTGCCTCAGCCTCCATCTTTTGTGTGATTATTTCTGTGTCTCTATTTCCTTCTGTTCAGCTATGATTTTTGTTATTTCTTGTCTTCTACTAGCTTTTGGTTTAGTTTGCTCTTACTTCTCTTGTTCTTTTTGTTGTGATGTTAGATTGTTGAATTTAAGATATTTCTAACTTTTTGATGTGGGTATTTAGTGCTATAAATTTCCCTCTTAACATCCTATTAGCTGTGTCCATGAGGCTCTGTTAGATTGTGTCTTTGTTCTCATTAGTTTCAAATAATATCTGGATTTTTGTATCACATCATTATTTATGCAAGAGTTGTTTAGGAGCAGCTTGTTTAATTTTTATGTAATTTTATGGTTTTGAGAATGTTTTTCTTGGCCTTAATTTCTATTTTTATTGTGCTGTGGTCCAAGAATGTGGTTGGTATCATTTCAGTTTTTTTGAATTTGCTGAGGGTTGTCTTATATATGATTGCTGGTTGATTTTAGAGTATGTAAGGTGGTGATAAAAGGATGCATATTCTGTTGTCTTTGAGTAGTTTTGTGGACATCTATTAGGTCCATTTAGTCAAGTGTTGAGTGTATGTCATGTATCTCTGCTAATTTTCTGCCCTAGTGATCTTTCTAATAATGTCAGTGAGATGTTGAAGTCTCTCACTATTATTGTGTGGGAACCTAAGTCTCTTTGTAGTTCTCTAAGAACTTGTTTTATGAATCTGAGTGCTCCTATATGTTGGATGCATATAGATTTAGGATAGTTAGGTGTTATTGTTGAATTGAACCATTAACCATTATGTTACGCCCTTCTTTGTCTTTTTTGATCTTTGTTGGTTTAAAGTCTGTTTTGTTTGAAATTAGGATTGCAACTCCTGTTTTTTCCACTTTCCATTTGCTTGTTAGATTTCTCTCCATCCCTTTATTTTGAGCCTATGAGTGTCATTACATATGAGATGGGTCTCTTGAATACAGCATATCATTTGTTCTTGGTTTGTTATCCAGCTTCCCACACTGTGCCTTTTAATTTTGGCATTTAGCTCATATACATTCAAGGTTAGTATTGATATGTGTAAATTTATCCTTTCAACATGATGTTTGCTGGTTATTATGCAGACTTGTTTGTGTGGTTGCTTTATAGTGTCACTGGTCCATGTAGTTAAATGTTTTTTTAGTGGCTGATAACAGTCTTTCATTACCATATCTTAGCTTTCTTTCAGGAGCTCCTGTAAGGCAGGTCTGGTAGTAACAATTTCCTTCAGCATTTGCTGGTCTGAAAATAATCTTATTCTTCTCCTTTTCTTATGAGGCTTAGTTTGGCTGGATATAAAACTATTTGTTGGAATCTCTTTTCTTTAAGAATGTTGACTATAGGTCCCCAATATCTTCTGGCTTGTAGGGTTTCTGCTAATGGGTTCACAGTTAGTCTGATGGGCTTCCCTTTGCAGATGACCTTTCCTTTCTGTGTAGGTGCCTTTAACATTTTTTCATTTTGACCTTGGAGAATCTGATGATTATGTGTCTTGGGGATGATCTTTTTGTGAAGTGTCTTGTGAGAGTTCTCTGAATTTCCAAAATTTGAATGTTTGCCTCTCTAGCTAGATTGGGGAGCTCCTATGGACGGTATCCTGAAATATGTTTTTCAAGGTGTTTCCTTTCTCTCTGTCTCTTTAAGGGATACCAATGAGTCATAGATTTGGTCTCCTTACCTAATCACATATGTTTTGAAGATTTTATTTGTTCCTTTTTATTCTTTTTTTTCATTCTTGTCTGTCTTATTGCAGAAAGCCAGTCTTCAAGCTCTGATATTCTTTCCTCTGCTTGGTCTGTTCTGCTATTAATACTTGTGATTGCATTATGAAATTCTTGTGGTGTGTTTTTCAGTTCTATCAGGTTGGTTATGTTTTTGTTTTTTTCTCTACTGGCTGTCTGTCAGGTCCTGTATCATTTTATTGTGATTGTTAGCTTCCTTGCATTGGGTTTCAATGTTCTCCTGAATCTTGATGGTTTTCATTCCCATCTATATTCTGAATTCTATTTCTGTCATTTCAGCCATCTAAGCCTAGGTAAGAACCCTTGTTGGAGAACTAGCACAACTGTTTGGAGGAAAGAAGGTATTCTGGGTTTTTTGAGTTGCCATAGTCCTTGCACTGGTTCTTTCTCATTCGTGTAGACTGATGTTTCTTCAGTCTTTCAAGGTGATATATTTTGGACTGATTGTTTTGTTTTTTTCTTCTTTAATGCCCTTGGGGCTTTGATTATGGTATAAGGTGCATTTGGCTGTCTGGCATTGATTCTAGTCTGTTCCTGGGTTTTGGAAGAGCTCCTTCTGATTACTGTCTCCATGTCCTCATTTTTTTTTGTTAGGCATTAGGGTCCACAGTGCTCCCTCAAGCTGGGGCTGCAGTTGGCTGACAAGCTGTGTCCTTGCTGGGTCAGCTCTAATCTGATATTTGTGTGCTTCCTGGGGAAACAAGAGGTTTCATCTACCTACAGAGTTTTTGTGGTAGCAGGACTGTTGGGATGAAAACTCTAGTGGGTTGAAAACTCCTGGCAACAGGAAGTGGGGAGCGGGTGATGGCCAGCCCTGCCTTCCAGGCATTTCCAGGGCAACAGGAGGATGCACTCTTTGGCAAATTCAGGAAGACAGAACCACTAGACTGGAAGCTGTAGCAGGTGTTGCCTGCCTATCAATGGCAGTGGTTGGTAGGGTTATGCACCCTGCTGACTGGGTATTTCTTGGAACATCAGGAGGCTGTGTTCTCCAGCTGAGCTCACCCAGATGCAAGGTTGCTGGGCTAGAAACTCCAGCAGGTGTTGCCCACCTCACTACAAACGGCAGGGTGGGGGGTGTGGTCTCGTGCTCTGCCATCTGGGTATTTCCTATGATGACAGGAATCTGTGCACTTTGGCTAAGTTCACACAGAAGCAAGGCTTCTGGGCTAGAAGCTCTAGCAGGCATTGCCCACCTACCAGAGGTGGGGGTGGATGGGGTCTCATGCTCTGCTGTACAGGTGTCTCCCATGACAACAGGAAGTTGTGCTCTTCAGTTGAGCTAACGCAACAGTGGAGCCACTGGGCTAGAAGCTCTAGCAGGCATTGTCACTTGACTACCAGTGGCAAAGGCAGGTAGGGTCTAGTGCTCTACTCTCTGGGTGTTTCCCATGACAACAGGAAGCTGCACCCTCCAGCTGAATTTACACACAAGTGGGACCACTGGGCTGAAGGCTCCAGCAAACATTGCCCATTTGGCTACCAGTGACAGGAGTAGGAGGGGTGGCCAGCCATGTTTGGCCTGAAGCAGGACTGCTGGCACTGAGTCCTGGCCAGCAAGTGGTGGTGGAGCAATGTTAGTGCTCTCAGGCACCACAACTGTGGCCTCTGTTCGGACTACGGTGCTGGTGCAGTTCTTCTCCAGGACCCAAGCCTTGTAGAGGTCACCTTGGACTTGGGAGTTACCCCCGAAAAACATCTGGGTGGATCTTTGCCTCAGTCTAGAAGCATGATGGGGTTGTGTGGGAGAGCCAGAGTGATTCTCCCATTCCTAGTCATGCACAAGTCCCTGTGGAGAGCACGAATCTCTCTGGGCGTTCTCACTCACTCTTTCTGTTTTGGAAAGGTTCTCCTGGCTTTGAGCTGAGCCCAGACAGGCTGGTGCCCAGCTTCAATCCTCTCTGTTCTCTGTCTTTCCTTGCTACCTTGATATATCCTAATGTGGTTTATCAGATGATCAGCCTGCAGAGTTCATGTTCTCTAAACCTTGTTTCCTCTCCAGAATAGCAGCTCACAGAAACTACTTGTAGTCCATCATCTTGGCCCCACTCTCCATTCCTTTCTAAGACTGAATAAAATTTCATTGCATGTATATGCCACATTTTGCTTCAATAGATAATTTGGTACTTTCCAGGCTTTACCCATTATGAATAATGCTTTATGAACTTGGATGTACAAATGCCTCTTTGAGATGTTGCTTTCAATTATTTTGAATTATACATCCAGAGTGGGGTTGCTGAATCATGTGGTAATTCTATTTTTAACTTTGAGAAATTGCCATACTATTTCCATAATGGCTGTACCATTTTACATTCCCACCAATGATATACAAGAATTCCAATAACTCCACATCCTTACCAACATTTACTATTATTATTTTAATGGTAGCCACCCAAAGGGGTGGGGTGGTATTTCATTTAGTTTCAATTTGTGTTCTAATGATTAGTATTGTCAAGTACCTTTTCATGTACTTATTGACTAAATTTGTATATCTTCTTTGAAAAACTATTCAAGTCTTTTACTTATTTTTTGAATCTAGTCTAGTTGTTTTTTGATTGTTTTTGAGTTTTAGGAATGATATATATATATATATATTCTGGATATCCTTTGTCAAATATAAAATTTGCAAATATTTTCTCACATTATGTGGATTTCTTTTTCACTCTGTTGATCTTGCCTTTTAATGCAAAATTTTTAAATTTTTTCATGAAGTTTAATTTGTCTATGTTTTCTTTTGTTGCCTGTCTTTTGGGCATTATTTCTAAAAAAGTCTCTGCCAAATAGAATGTCACAAAGATGTTGCCCTATGTTTATTTCTAAGAATGTTATAGTTTTGATCTTTGATTCATTTTGAGTTAATTTTTGTATGATGTTAGGCATGAGTCCAACTTCATTCTTTGGCTATCCAGTTTTCCCATCACTATTTGTTGAAAAGATTGCTCTTTCCTCCATTGAAGAATCTTGGCAACATTTTCAAAACTCATTTGACCACATATGTCAGGGTTTATTCTTGGGCTCTTTATTCTATTCCATTGGCCTATATACTTGTCTTTATGCCAGTACCACATTGTTTTTATTACTATAGCTATGTAATATATATACTTGTCTTTATGTCAGTACCACATTGTTTTTATTACTATAGCTATGTAATAAGTTTTGAAATCAGGCAGTTGAGTCCTCCATGCTTGTTCTTTTTCAAGATTGTTTCAGCTATTCAGTATTTGTTGAAATTCCATATGAATTTTAGGTTGAGATTTTCTATTTCTGAATTTTAAAAAAACCATTGGGATTTAATAAGGATTGCATTGAATCCTTTACATTGCTTCGGGTAGTATTGACATTTTAACAATATTAAGTCTTATAATTGATAAATATGGGAAGTATTTCCTTTTCATCCATTTATATTTACATTAATTTAATTCAACAATGTTTCGTAGTTTTCTTTTTCTTTTCTTTTCTTTTTTGAGATGGAGTCTTGCTCTGTCACCAGGCTGGAGTGCAGTGGCGCGATCTCAGCTCACTGCAATCTCTGCTTTCCGGATTCAAGTGATTCTCCTGCCTCAGCCTCCAGAGAAGCTGGGATTACAGGCACATGCCACCATACCCAGCTAATTTTTTCTTTTTTTTTTTTTTTTTGTATTTTTAGTAGTGACACAGTTTCACCATATTGGCCAGGATGGTCTCGATCTCCTGACCTCATGATTCACCCACCTTGGCCTCCTAAAGTGTTGGAATTACAGGTATAAGTCACCGTGCCCAGTCTGTTTTGTAGTTTTCATTGTACAAGTTTTTGCATGCTTAATTCCTAGATATTTCATTTTTTTTATGTTATTGCAAATGGAATTGTTTTCATTTTGTAATTTCCTTTTCAGATTGTTCCTTGTTCATGTACATAAAATGCAACTAATTTTTCTGTGTTGACTTTGTATCTAGCTACTTTGATGAATTCAATTATTAGTTTTAAGAAGCTTTTTGTGGAATCTTTAGAATTTTCTACATTTAAATGTACAGAGATCAGATATCTGTGGATGGAGATAATTGTATTTTTATTTTCCAGTTCTGATGGCTTCTATTTCTTTTTCTGCCTAATTGCTCTAGCTAGAAATCCAAGTACTATGAATAGAAGTGATGAAAGTGGGCATCTTTTCCTTGTTCCTAATCTTAGAGAAAAAGACTTCAATCTTTCATCACAGAGTTTAGTGGTTACTGTGAGTTTTTCATATATGGATTTTATTATGTTGAGATAGTTTCTATCTACTCCTAGTTTATTAAGTCTTTTTATCATAAAAGGATGTTGAATTTTATCAAATGTTTTCTCTGTATCACTTGAGCTGATCATGTGGTTGGGGGGGGGTTCCCCTTCATTCTGTTAATGTGCATATTACTGTTTTGTCCATCTGAACATACAGCTGAAGTCACTCCAAAAATGCCAGCAGGAAAGTTCCGAAAAGGGACCACTTCAAACTGTTCTGAGATGGGACCAGTTGATATTCTAAAGAAAAAAGCACTAAACACCAGGATGATCAGTTCAAAGCATTATTAGGGGAACTTACATACAAAGTGAGGCAGCAGTCCTGACATCAGACAGCAAAAACGATATTCTACCTAGGTATGTCTGCAACAAAGCAGACATACCTAACTTAAATTCCTTAAACTCCTTAAACTGTTTAAGGAGTTTGTATGAAGGTTTAAGGAATTTGACTCATGGCGAGAAGTCGGTTCCACATGCGGCAACACAGTTGATCATTCAGAGCTTTTGAGCAACAACCTAAACAGCCTCATCAACACCTACAAAAGTTCAAGGTACCAGCTTGGGTTCAAGCTTGCAGGGGAAAACATGCACCTGGCTGAGCCACAAAGTCAAGGCACTTTGAGTTTCTTGGTAAGGAAAAAGAAAGAAAGCAGGAGACCCTACAATTGTGTTGACTGATTTTTATATGTTGAACCATCCTTACATTCCCAGAACAAATTCAGTTTGGTCATGGTGTATAATGCTTTTAATAGGCTACTGATTTCAGTTTGCTAGTATTTTCTTGAGGATATTTATATCACCGCTCATAAAGATTTTGATCTGTAGTTATGGTGGAGTTTTTTTTGTTTTGTTTTGTTTTTTGTAGTGTCTTTGTCTGGCTTTGGCATCAGAGTAATGCTGGTCTTACGGAATGAGTTTGGAAGGGTTCCCGCTTTTTCCGTCTTTTTGGAAAAGTTAAAGGATTGATACTACTTCTTTTTAAAATGTTTGGTAGAATTAGCCAGTGAAGGTATCAGTTGCATGGTTTTCTTCCTTGGGAGATTTTTTATTTGACTCAATCTCCTTACTAGTTTTAGGTATCTTCAGATTTGCTATTGTGTTCTTTCTTGTGATTTAGTCTTGGTAGGTTTTTTATTTGTAGGAATTTGTCCATTTCATTCAATTTGTTGATATATAGTTGTTCATAGTACTTGTATTAGTCAGTTTTCACATTGCTATAAAGAAATAACTGAGACTGGGAAATTTATAGATAAAAGAAGTTTAATTGTCTCACAGTTCTACAGGCTGTATAAGAAGCATGGTAACATCTGCTTCTGGCTAGGCCTCTGAGAAGTTACAATCAGGGTGGAAGGCACAGGGGGAGTGAGCTGTCTCACATGGTGAGAGAAAGAACAAGAGGCAGGGGAAGTTGCATACTTTTATACAACCAGATCTCAGGAGGACTCACTGGCTATTGTGAGGACAGCACCAAGGATATCTGCCCAAATGACCAAATCATCTCCCACGAGGCCCCACCTCCAGCCTTGGGGATTATAATTTGACATGAGATTTGGATGGGGACACAGATCCAAACCATATCAGTACTCTCTTATAATTCTTTTACTTTGGTAAAATCAGCAGTTAATGTTCAAATTTTTATTTCTGATTTTATTAATTTGAGTCTTCTCTCTTTTCTCTTAGTCCATCAAGCTAAAGGCTTGTCAACTTTGTGAGATTTTTTGAAGAAATTTTAGTTTCATGTATTTTTTCCATATTTTTCTATTATCTATTTCATTTATCTCTGCTTCATTATTGTTATTGTTATTATTTCCTTTCTTCTTCTAGCTTTGGGTTTAGTTTGTTCTTTTTCTAGTTCCTAAAGATTTAAAGTTAGGTCTTTCAATGTAATTATTTACACTATGAATTTTTCCCTTAGCACTGTTTTTACTGTGTCCCATAAACGTTAGTATGTTGTGTTTCCATATTTATTCATCTCTAAGTGTTTTGATTTCTCTTGTTATTTCTTCTCTCACCCATTGGTGGTTTGACTATCTTGTTTAATTTCTACAATTTTGTGTATTTTATAATTTTATTTCTGTTATCTCTAATCTCATCCTGTTATGGATGGAGAAGATACTTTGTATAATATCTCTATTTTTTATTTATTGAGACTTAATCTGTGGCCTAATATGTAGTTTATCCTAGAAAATATTCCATATGTACTTGAGAATATTGTGTATGCTTCTCTCATTTGGGAGAATGTTCTGTACATGTCTGTTAAATCTAATTGGTTTATCATGTTGTTTAAGTCCTTTATTCCTTACTTATCTTCTGTCTGGTTGTTGTTTCTATTATTGAGAGTGGATGTATTAGTCCATTCTCATGCTGCTATGAAGAAATACCCGAGACTGGGTAATTTATAAAGAGAAGAGGATTAATTGACTCAGTTCTGCATGGCTGGGGAGGCCCCAGGAAACTTACAATCATGGTGGAAAGCACCTCTTCACAGGCAGGCAGCAGGAGAGAAAATGAGTGCCAAGTGAAGGGGGAAGCCCCTTATAAAACCATCAGATCTCATGAGAATTCACTCACTGTCACAAGAGAAGCTTGGGGAAAACTGCCCCCGTGATTCAATTATATCAACCTGGTCCTGCCCTTGACACGTGGGGATTATAATTCAAGGTGAGATTTGGGCAGGGACACAGAGCCAAACCATATCAGTGGGGTATTGAAGTCTCCAATTGTTATTGTAGAACTGTTATTTCTCCCTTTAATTCTGATGTATAGCTACCCCTGCTCTCCTTTGGTTACTATTTGCATGAAACTTTTTTCCATCCTTTCACTTTCTATCTGTGTCTGTATCTAATGTTAG
Organism: Homo sapiens; assembly: GCF_000001405.40. Taxonomy (NCBI): domain Eukaryota; kingdom Metazoa; phylum Chordata; class Mammalia; order Primates; family Hominidae; genus Homo; species Homo sapiens. The sequence continues at coordinate 28,382,368 of NC_000018.10, read as the reverse complement.
TCTCTTTTCAAAAGCATATAGTTGGATCATGTTTCTTCATCCTGACAACTACTGTCTTTTCATTGAAGTTTAATCCATTTCCATTTAAAGTACTTACAGATAAGAAGTGACATACTTCTGGTGTTATGCTATTTGATTCCTACATGCCTTACAGCTTTTTGTTTCTAATTTCCTGCTTTACTCTTTGTTTGTGTTTAGTTGATTTTTTTGTAGAGAAATGTTTACATTGTTTTTTCATTGCCTTTTGTATGTATTCTGTCATTATTTTCTTTCTGGTTACCATGAGGATTAAATCCAATATCCTAAAGTTATAACACTGTAATATGAATTTATTCCAGCTTAACTTCAATAACACAAAAACTATGCCCCTTTACCAGCTGTGTTCCCATGCTTTTTGGTTGTTGATGTCACAAAATTACATCTTCATATGTTGTGTGCCACAAATCATAAACAAATCATTAATTTAAATACATTAGTCCCTTAAATTATGTAGAAAAATGTGGACTTAAAACCAAAGTTACAATAATATTACCTTTCAAACTCATGATTTTTAAGTATTAGCTTTTAAATCATGTAGAAAAAAATAAAGTTACAAATCATTGTTACAATAATATTGTCTTGTAATTGCTTATGTATTTATCTTTATTTAGATCTTCATTTATTCATATAGCTTTAAGTTATTGTTTACTGTCCTCTGATGTCACCATGCAGGACTTGCTTGAGCATTTCTTGCAGGACGGATCTAGTGATAACAAACTGCCCTGGCTTTTGTTTATCTGGAGATGTCCTAATTTCTCCTTCACATTTGAAGAACCATTTTGCTGGGTATAGGATTGCTGCTTGACAAATTTTTTTTCTTTTAACATTTTGAATAAAGTGGCCCATTGCCTTCTATCCTCCAAAGTATATGATGAGAAACCCACCGATAATATTATTGAGGAATGCTGGTCTGTGACAAGTCACTTCTCTCTTACTGTTTTCAAGTTTCTCTATTTTTTTTTTTTGTCATTTGAATGTTTGATTACAATATGTTTCAATGCAGACTTCTTAAAGTTCATGATACATAGAGTTTGTTAAATTGACCGGATGCTCACATTCACATCTTTCATCAAATTTAGCAATATATTTAGCAATTATTTCTTCAAATATCATCTGCCCATTTCTCTTTCTTCTTCTCCTGGGACTCTCAGAATATACAGTTGGCCTTCTTGATGGTATTTCAAAAAACCTCTAGGCTATGTTCACTTTTCTTCAGTCTCTTTTTCCTTCATATCCTCAGACTCAGTAATTTCCAATGAACTGTTTTCAAGTTCACTGAGTCTTTTGCCTGCTCAAATCTGCCTTTGAATCCTTCTAGTGAATTTTCATTCCAGTTATTGTACTTTCAGCTCCAGAATTTATCTTTGGTTGCTTTTTATGTTTTCAATCTCTTTATTGATACTTCCATTCTGTTTATACACCATATCATTTACTTTCTTGACATTTTCTTTTAGTTTTTTGTATCTTTAAGGTAGTTGTGTTAAAGTCTGTCTAGTAGATCTACCATCAGGTCACTTTCAGGGACAATTTGTGTTGATCTATTTTTCTCCTTTGAATGGAACATCCTTTCCTGTTTCTTTGTTTCTTTGTATTCCCTGTGATTTTTTTTGCTGAAAACTGGACATTTGAATCTAATAAGGTGGTAACCTTGGAAATCAGATTCCCTCTCTTCCCCAGGGTTGGATATTATGTGTTATTGTTTTGTTTTGTTCTGTAGGCCGTCTCTGTGCCAACAGTCAGTCTGAGGTATAAATTTAAGGCCTTTCCAGTTCTTTTCTGAACGTGTGCCTTTCCCTAAACATGTGTGGTCACTTTCTAATCCTCCCTGTATGTGCAGATCTTTTTGTTGCCCAGGCTGGAGTGCAGTGGTGTGATCTTGGCTCTCTGCAACCTCTGCCTCCTGGGTTCAAGCAATTCTCCTGCCTCAGCCTCCCAGGTAGCTAGGATTACAGGCATGTGCCACCACACCTGGCTAATTTTTGTATTTTTAGTAGAGACAGGGTTTCACCATGCTAGCCGGGCTGGTCTCAAACTCCTGACCTCGGGTGATCCACCCACCTGGTCTCCCAAAGCACAGGGATTACAGGTGTGAGCCTGCAGTAGTTTTGAATGTCCTAGTCTTTAATGTCTGGCTCCTAAAAAATGAAAAAGAGAACAATGAAGGGGTGTGGAATGGTGCTGGCCTTTTAAATCCCCTGAGAGTCATTTAAACCATAGGTTGGGGACTAGGCTTACTACAATGAAGGGAGGTCCAACAATAATGGCTATCTACCTCTATGTCTGAACCTCTGTGATAAGAAACAATAACCAGCAATCAGAGCAGAGATCCTCACTATTTGGAGAACAGAGTCCATTTCTACCCACCCTGCCTCCCACAAGCTCTGTACAGGTTGCTCTAACAACACAGAATATGTGCACAGCTGCCTGCCACGTGGCTTTTGGAGGGGTGTAGGGGGTAGGTGCTACTGTGCTAAGAGCTGAAATTAATCAAAATTAACCACAATTTACCATCCTAGCCTTCCCCTGGAAGTTACAAGCTTTCAATAGACTCCAGATTTCTAAAATAGTTATATCAGACAGATTCTGCCAGTATAATTGCTGTCTAGGTGGGCACACATATTCCTGGAGCTTCCTACTCCACCATCTTCCCAGAATCTTCTCTTTCCCCTAATTCTTTTACAACATGACAAGCCACAGGAAATTTCACCACTCATTGGAAATACAAACAACTGAAATTTTTATCGAAGTTCAAATAGTTAATATGTGTTCTTCAACCTTGTACCCAATACCACAAAACCTATGACAGCATTTCTTAAACTTGTATACAAAAATAAACCTTTTGAACATAAAACACACATTAGCTACTCACAAAATTCATATTCTCAGGAACATAATTTGGGAAATACTGGTTTAAATTTTCTAACAAACATTTTCACCAGGAAAATTATCTAATATCTCAACACTTTCTTCCCTAATTCTCAAGGCTTCATTTTCTTTCTTAACTGTAACAGAAAAGATCATCACCACCCATTATCCCATCGCACAATGTGACTCTACATGGCTGTGCTTGACTGGAACAGGAATAGATTTTTCTCCTTCTGGCGGAATGTTCAGGAAACATGCCTTTCAATACAGAGCCTGCATAAATCTTAATTTAAGCAAATGTCTTCACACTTTAACATTAAAACAGATGCCTTTATTAAGGGTTATGATTTATAATTTATAAATCTGCTACCAATTTTACCAAGTCCCCTAGTCATTTTTTAGACAAATATTTTAAAACATATCATAGAAGTTACAAATTTTAGTGGCTAACAATCTCACAAGGACTCTAGCAAAGTAACTGTTTATGTTCAACCATTCTTACCTTTCAATAATATCCTAATTCATTTGACAAATGTTTGCTGGAAAACGTTTAGGTACCCAGCACTTTTTTCTGTACTGAAGATATGTCAGTGAAAGAGACAGGCAATTCCTTGTTCTCAAGCAGATTATAATTTAGTAATAGAAGATAATTAACAAGGAAACAAACCTTCCTTCCTAAATTTTACATCTCAAAATCTGTTTCTGAGGGACACACCTTGCATCTGATGGTTATGTGCCAGCACCTGGCCTGTGTTATTCTGAGGTTTTATAATTCTCTTTGCTATTTGTCCAGTTCTCTAAGACCCTTCCCTACTAGCATCCCTGCCAATGGAATACAGCTACTCTTAGTAGCAAGTGATGCCAGTCCCCTTTCTGCTAATGTATTTCTTACACCTCTGGCGAACAGGGTACTTTCACTTTGAAAATGGCCATCTGGAGGACCATCAATTTTCCTTATTGAATGCACGAATTACTCTCACCAGTGATATTCACATTTTATAATCCTTGTAATTACCACCTCCCCAAAACTTCTAAAGCACCAGAGACATTGCCCCACCGATGCATTTCTTTCCATGGTTATGTTATCTCAGTTCATCATTTATGAGTTTTAACAATTTCACTACTACAGTATGCCAAGAACCTCTCATCCTCTACTTAGCACCAGTGATGGGGTCCTCATTGGTTCTCATTGTAACTAGCTGGTGGTGATTCAATTCCAAAGTTCTATTTTAAATTTAACCTCCTCTGCCCACTACAGGTACCAACTTTCTTAGGTAAAACTCCCTGTGAAACCCTGAGATGGAGATTTCCCTACAGGAAGTTTATTTAGGAATATAATTGGGATCAAAACCTGAAGGGAACTGAGGAAAAGAGGACTGGGCTGAGAGAGGAACTCAATCGTGTTGCAGCTACAACAGAGGCTTCAGCCTATTCCATGGGGAGTACTGGATCTGGGAAGGCCCTTCGGAGTAGTTTTGCTTTGGGCAAGAAAGAGGCTAGGTTTTACTCCAAGCTGGGAGAATAAATGTCTTAGTCCTGAACGGTGGATCTGAATGGTGAAAACACAGCATCCAGTAGAAACAGAACCCTTTCACACGTGATTTATGGGAGACAAGATGGCGGGCAACTGCAATGAAGAAGATGGCAGTGCCAATGCTTGTTGGTTGTTTGACTTAATAGAGATAACATAAGGTATTTTTTTAAAATTCTTTTCCCATAAAATAGAAAATGGAGTGATTAGTTGAGGATGGGCAAGGAAGTTTTGAGGAAAGGAAAAAAAAACAGGCACAGATTATTTTAGAAAGTGGAACAGAAAATTGATAGAGAAATAGAATAGGATTTCCAGGCACTTCTGAAGCTCAGTTGAGATATACTTCCATAAATTTAGGTGAAACCTATGATTGAGTGTTGTTCTTCAGCAATATTTAGTTTCTAAGGAAAAAGCACAAAGTAGGCAAAAAGGTGAGTTTAATGAGGTTGGGATTTTGCCTGTGAGTACAGTTGTGGGAGAGAGTGACACTCAAGTTGAAGTTATATGAAAGGGGATAGTTTTTTATGAATTATAGAATCTAAACTAAAGAGGATACCAAAGATATCAGGGACACTAACCGATAGCAAAAACAAACCCGAAAAGAAAAGATATTCACATGATTGTAAGATCCAGAAGGGCTACATAATTCCAGGAACAGGAGATACAAGACTTAGTAAACTAGAAAATGCTGAGATTATAATGGGATGCTTAGAAGAGTGAAGCAGGTGCAGCCGTCAGTAATGGAAATCTATTGAGTACTTCAGTGGGATTGGGTATCTGAGCTTGCGTTGAAGAAGTAATCACTGGAGGTAAGAAGCTCAAGAGTGTGAAAAGCCAGAGCATGGGATGGGTCATTCATACGATGCTGAAGTCACCAAAAGAATGGTAGGGCTATGATGGTGAAAAAAATGTAAACAACTGTTAAAATTGTCAGTGAATAAGGAAGAATTACCAGGAAGTTGACAGATAGTGCAACAAGGAGGGACAGTGGGTTGTATTGTTTGTTAACTTACTGTTCAAAAAGCTAAGGGTTTGGGGGTGTGAGAGCTGAATAATCTTGGATTGGTAATAAAAGCAAAAAAGACACTCCATCTCTAACAATCTGCTATGTAGGGAATGGGAGGGAAAGGAACAGTTGGAAGTCTGCAAAGGAATCCAATGTCTTCCAGGGATGGTCAGGTTTAAATAAAATAAGAAAAGAATGTTTAGATAAGAAGTTAATGATGATACACAATTTTACTGATAACAGAATCTGATTTAAAGACTGCATAATGGGCTGGAGGGTGGGGAGCTAGTGGCAGGAGGGATGGTAGTTATGGAGATGTGTGGGATTAAATCGTGGATAAAGGTGAGCATGTATGCCTTGAGGGGTTTGGACTTCTAGGGGACACTGGGATCAGAGATATGCACAGCATAAATAAATTTGTCCTGATGGATTCTTGGGGAAAAGTGAATATTCAGTTTTAATTACAGAATTCTGGGAAGTAGAAATTGGCAATTTACAGCAGTGAATTCATTGGCAAGGCACAGTCTTAGGATTTTAGAAATCTCCTTTTGTCTGTCTTGATCCTGATATGAGTAGGGTTATGGCCAGGTGAAGGGTGAATGACCCAGGGAAGCCAAGATTAACACCGCAACTGTCAGCTAATTACATTCATTGCTCATGCACCCAACTTGTGCCAATTAAATCATTTCCCAGCATTTCAAAACACAGCTGACTGCAAGGACTTATTTTATCTTTGATAACTGAGACATCAATTCCTGGACCCACATTCCCTGCCATGTGGAAGAAGTCTATATGCTGAAGAGAGACTAAAACAACACAGAAAGAAGCAAAAAAGAAACAGGAAAAGGGGACTTCACCACACTCCAGCCTTTGGATCCAGTTCTCTCGCAGGCCAGCACTAAACATGCCCTTTTCTAAGTAAGCCTACATATTGTACTTTTGTATTACTTTGTCACCTGCAACCAAACATACCTGATTTGTATACGTATTTAAAATAAACACACTTTAAACAGTGAGACAGTTTTAGATCCCAACCTTAAAAATTGTAAGTGGCATGACCTTGAAAGGTCATCTAATCCATTTTCTTGCCTTCAAGCAGAATGAAACTTTCACCAACCAAGAATACATGTGGATTTTTAATAAATACCATCTGTTATTGACACGTGCCTGTGGGATTTGTATGTGTAAATTACAATTATGTGAAACTCAAAAAATAAAAATAAAAAACAACTATACATTTCTATTGCCTGCTCTACAAGATGATGAATCATATTAAAGAGGGCATACTTTGTTTTTCCTTTGGAAAGGGCTTTACCAATTACTTTCGAAATTGATTTTACATAAAGCTAGAACTGCCTTAATGCTATTATCTCAAAATATCGGCTTTGAAAATATATTTAACTATCAAAATTTCTAATTTTAAAGTCTTATATTTGACAAATACTTAAGTTCTGCTATTATCAATGCAATATGGAAGAAGAAACATAAGTTCATGGAAAAACACACTCTTCCCAGAACTGTAATGAAATAATTTCTAACATTATCAAAGGTATGTCCAGCAAACACACACTCCACAATATTGGTGTTTCTGCCACGAAAGCCAGGAACGATAATCAATGCCCAACAAATAATAAATTGTCTAAAACGTAAAGAGAAAGATTTGTTCAGGATACTGAAAGAGTACTACCAATAGGGAGAAAGAGATGAAATATACATCAAATCAGAACACATTAAATAACATTATATTTAATATTTGATTAGTGTCAATATATGAACATGTAAGTAATATCTGAAATCAGAAACAGTCTGTCTAAGGATAGCATATCCAAATCTAGAGGAGAACCTATTTCAGGCATAACTCTGTGAAGGAGGACGTACCCAGTTACTATTCTCTCTGGAGGCCAAAACAGTGACTAAGAAAATCAGTGGAGTCCACCCCATTCCAATTATTTTCATAATGTTGCTGAAAAGAGCTCCTTAACTAGGACTTTATCTTTTTTCAAAAAGGAGGTGTTAAATAAAATTTAATGTCCCCATTCTGTACAATACACAATATACTTAGCAAATTTTAAAATGTGTGTTTGCAAATAAATGTATGTTTGTGTCCCTGTGTCTGTTTGTGGTTGTGTATATTTCTGTCTGTATCATTCTTCGTAAGTATTTTTGTAGAATATCACACTGGGAATAGTGTTACAGACTATTTTGCTTGGAATTCTCCAGACCAGGAGGGCACTCTGGCACTTTATCTATAATAGATACCAGTCACTGGAATGACTTAGCAGGAATAAAATATGATATTCAAATCAAATAAGAAAACTCGTTTTTTTGTGCAATTTACATCTCCCAATATGATAAAAGAAATCATATTTTCTTCAAGTAGTTTTCTTAATTCAATAAGCAACTCTGTCCTACTTTTGGCTAAAAGTGAAGCTAGGTTATTTCACACTCAATAATACCAAGCATTTCACATTTTATTTTTCATTTTTACTTTTTAAAAATATATGACGTTTGGGTTTTGGGTTTTTTATTTTTTATTTCCATGGAATTAAATATTTTATATATTTTACAGTCTCCTTTATTTATCACATGTACTATGTTAAGATACTAACAATTCGTCAGAAATTTTTAACTTAAATTTTGTCCCTTTATCTTTATTTCTCAAAGTGAGTTCCACTGAACCCTAATCAAAGGAAATATTTGACATGAAGTTTTTGTTACAAATACATTTGGAAAATGCACTCACTAATATATTTAAATCCCTAGGATACACACAGACAGACACACACACACACACACACACACTCTTACAGAACTTTTCCCAAATTTATCTAACATTAATCTTGCACTTTATCTATAATCCAACATTTCCCAAGTTTATATCACCACGGACCACTCTGTGGGAAACACCATAGAAAATGCTGGGGGAAGTGCCATAAAACACACAACACCCCAAGGGAATCACCATAGAACACAGAATGCCCTGTTGGAAACATTATTTTAATAGTGTTAACTTTACGTAAGCGGGCCTACTATTCATGGAAATGGGTTACATGTAAAAAGCACCACTGTTAGGTCTGTGTATACATGTACTAGTTGCAAGGAATTCTGATTCAATACCTGTAATTGCCCTGAATTCAGTATGCCATTGAGGTATGTTTTCATTAATGGAACTGAAAACCAGTAGGAGAAGAATAAAATAAAGTCATAAAGAACACTAGATTGAGTTTTAGGTAAGATGTTTATTGCAAGACCTACCTTGCCAATAGGAACTAGCTATTATGCACACAGCAATGGAAAACCACACTCTTCTTGACCTACAAGACAAAATGTAAGATGAGCAGTTAGTTCTAGCTTTTCTTTGTAAGCGATTAACATGAAAACCACTAGCTTCACACAACATGTCGATCTCAACCTTTGCTCTTCTTCTTGTTCTATGCAGACCTTAAATGTATCTTTTGCTTTTCTTTTTATTTTGTTTTAGAATTTTTCTAAAGCATTTCCCAGCTCCATTAGAAGCTGAACTTTCTGATAGTTTTGAGTATATCACAGATATATGATACACTTTTATCTCCATCTTTGTGCTCTTCTTACCAGCTTTTAAATATAAAGTTAAAAAATACCTGAGCAAACTGTACAGCCAAAATACTGACAGCAAACTGTACAGCCAAAAGACTTCATCAAAGACTGCACCTTTGCCTTCTTATCAATTCCTTTGAGAGAGCATTCTTCCCTTGACTATTTTCAAAGTGGACTATTTCATCCTTATTAACTTTTGCAATTTTTAATGCCTATCAATTAAACTTTTATTTAAGCCTCTGGTTGATCAGAAATATCATATTTGAATAAGTGAGAAAATAGTACTAAGGAAGTAAAATAATAATCATCATCACAAAAGATATTATATAAAGAAGGGCAAATGTCTCACAACAGAACCTAGCAGCTTCAAAGTTAAGTTTTAGGTTCTGCATTATTTCACTGCTGTCTATTTTTAGTTAGCTAAGCTCTTCCAACAGAAATACAAAGGGAGATAAAGCAATGGATCAACAAATACTGATTCCAAAAAATTATTTTACTATATTCTAAGAGATAAGTAAATTATGTGCTAAATGTGGTTGGATTTGATTGGCTCTGTATTTTGTACTTTGCTGAAAAAACAATATTTTACATTCAAGTCTTCTAATAAGGTCAATTAACTTTGCACAGTTTCTTGATCAGAAACAGAATCCATAATCCAAGCCAACCATCTCACAATTGTCCACCTGTGGTCACTGGTTGCATGAGCAAGAGAACATGGATGGATCCCCACAAATGAAGAAAAATCACTGGAATAAATAATTTACTGAGTGAATAAATATCATTTTCATACCTATTGGCAGAAACTTTATTCACTCAAATTGGACACTTACTAGCTTTTTGCACTGTCTCAAACCCGCCGGAATTTTTATGTGCGGATACCTTTTCCTAGTAAGTCATTTCCCCTTCTTTGCAGCCTTGGCTCATATGCATTCTTCAATAAAATCAAATGCAGCTGCTTTCAGGAAGATGTTCATGACGTGCTTCTTGCCTGTGGTGGGGGTTAGCATATCTTCTTCTCTGAAGTGACCCCACCCTCTTCTTTTCCAGCTCTGGAATAAGAACCTCTCTAATGTAACCTACACTAATTTTTGCAAAGGCACTTAACAATAATATCATCATGACCTATTGACTTATACCTACTTGTATGTCTTTCCCAGACAACAATTCTTTCCAGATGGCAGGACTGGGTTTGTGCGTGCGTGTGTGTGTGTGTGTGTGTTTGTGTGTGTGTGTGTGTTTTCAGTATATAAGTATTTAACAATAAAGTTTTTCCTAAGAATTGTGAAATAAGATAAATGCTGCCCTCTTAGACTGAGATTTAAAACAATCAGGGATGGGCACGGTGGCCCATGCCTGTAATCCCAGCACTTTGGGACGCCAAACCAGGAGGATTGCTTAAAACCAGGAGTTTGAGACCAGTCTGTACAAAAGAGCAAGACTCCATTTCTACAAAAAATAATTAAAAATTAGCCAAGCATGGTGGCACACACCTGTAGTGCCAACTACTTGGAAGGCTGAGGAGGGAGTTGAGCCCAGTAGTTCGAGGCTGCAGTAAGCTATGATCGTGTGACTGCACTCCAGCCTGGGCATCAGATCAAGACCCTGTCTCAAATAAATAAATGAAACCATAAAATAGAAATGGATACTTCTCTTTGGTTTGCAAAATCAGATCAATCAATTGTGAGCCTCCATGTATCTATCTGGTTGGCTTATAATTTGCTGCTAGTAATCTGCTCTGGGGAAAGAGCCTGCTCCAATTCTCTAATATTATACAAGATTCTCAGGGATTTTAGATATGCCAAAACATCCAGCTACTTCCTACTCTCCAGTCTACTTGGGAAAGTGTTGCTGCTGCCTGAGGGCTGAAAAGCAGCTTTCTCTTTCCATGTTAAGGCTGGGCACAGAAATCCTTTGCCAAAAGTCTCAAGGTCAGAGCTGTTAATGTTTGGTCCATTGGCATTCTTAGGAATGTAGAAGGCCCTTTATAAAAATATAGCCAGTTGAATTATCTGATTAAACCTAATAGTGTTGATTAGTGGATTAGAGGGGACACAGAAGAGTATATAATTCAGGACTCTTTCCTTCTTCTTACCCAGTTAGACATTTTTAGTAATAATTTCAGAGCTTATCAAATGTTCGGGTGATTGAGAACTAATATGCTGTATAAGGTTAGTAATTTCAGACAGATCTCCACAAGGAAAAACATGTTTGAAATTAATAAGATTAAATTAACAGAGATGGTGTAAGATTCGATGTATAGAAAAAAATTTTTATACCAGTACCATGCTGTTTGGGTGACTATGGCCTTATAGTATAGCTTGAAATCAGGTAGTGTGATGCCTCCAGATTTGTTTTTTGCTTAGTCTTGCTCTGGCTATGCAGGCTCCTTTTTTATTCCATATGAATTTTAGAATTTTTTTTTCTGACTCTGTGAAGAATGATGGTGGTGTTTTGATGGGGATTGTGTTGAATTTGTAGACTGCTTTTGGCAGTATGGTCATTTTCACAATATTGATTCTACCCATCCATGAGCATGGAACATGTTTCCATTTATTTGTGTCATCTATGATTTCTTTTAGCAGTGTTTAGTAGTTTTCCTTTAGAGGTCTTTCGACTCCTTCGTTAGGTATATTTGTAAGTATTTTATTTATTTATTTATTTATTTTTTGCAGCTTTTGCGAAAGGGGTCGAGTTCTTGATTTGGTGCACCGGGTTCTCACAAATCTCTACTGAAGAACTTACTCATGTAACCAAATACCACCTATACCCCAATAACTTATGGAAAAACAAAAATAAAATAAAATAAATAATAATTGCATGAGGTCAAGCTTCAGGAGGCCTGGCATGATGGTCACAGTCGATCTAAAAAAGACCCATGGGTTTTATGTAAATAGAGGATAAATTTAAACTCTCAGTGTGTTAGGGGAAACCATTCCTAAGAATGGGACCTCATTTTAGGTATCCAGCAAGCACCCAGCATAGCCATCTAATTATCCACCAGGGTCCAGGGCAGTGTACTCACAGAAATCCTCCATTCCAAGCACTAACCTCTGCTCTCCCTTCTTCCTTCTGCTCAGGCCTAACTTAACTCTCCTCAAAGTAGATATTCCCCTGGAGGAGGAGGAGTAGAATAAGCCTTTGGCTCCATAATGCCAGCCTCTACTTTCTGAGGGAAATAAACCTTAGGGAAAATCTAAGATTTAGACTAGGGAATACATGTAAGTGGGGAAAGAAAATCTTAACACCAGATAGTACCTTTTTATTTTGTATTAGAGCAGTTGTTAAGCATTCTTCAGAGGAAAAGATGAGTCAGCCAGGTCAGCAAAAATAAGAAATCACTGTAAGTGAACATTGAAAGCATCAATTCGAGGACACACTCAGGAACAGGCAGCCTTAGTGGATTGTTTTCAAGGGTTGTAGCCCCTTTGCAGTTGGTGAAGATGGATGCATCAGGGTATCTTCACTACTTTAGTCAATGCCCAAATCTATTTCCTGTGGCTCAAGTTCCTGATGCACCAAAAAAGCCTTCTAACTATAGCTTGGCTTCCTATATATATCTCTGAGTATAGGTAAACAAATGTACACATAAAAAAGCATGATTACTTGTTTATTTCAGCTTTCATGGCAGCTCTTTTTTTCTTACTGTCAGGTAATAGATTGGCATTCTGGTTTTGTAAATTAGTCTCAGGAGCTTTGATAATGTGAATCCTTAGCTGGAGAAGTGGATTCCCTACAAATGGGCTGAAAATAGGCAACAGGTGGAAAGTCACATCAGGGTCATGCAACCAGGCAGCCTTGGAAGACCAGAGAACATCAGGCACTTTCCCATCCTCTCTTCAGCAGTCTATATCCATATAAGGGACTCAATAGCTGTCTGTTGAATTATTAAAGCTTTAAAATTTCTATAGCATTGTATAGATTATAAAACATTTCCCCAAGCATTGTTTTTTTTGATATTTGAGACATTACTGAGGGCTACATATGAATGTTTATATTCCCATTTTATAGGTTAAAAAAAATCTGAGACCCAGAGTTTGGTCACTTCCTTGGGATCACAAAGCTAGTAATGAGCCAAGCCACAGTACAATCCAAAAAATGACTGCAAGTATTTTTAAGCTAGGTGCATTGTTAATGCCTGGTTAACAAAAATATATCATTCAAAACAGAAAGAAAAAATAATATAATTTCTAAGAGTTAATGCAGCTCTAACAATGTGCAGGACACTGTTCTTGGAAATTTACATACATTAATTTGGTTAGTCCTTATGATAACCCCGTTATGTTAGTACAAATTATCATTCCCATTTTACAGATGAAGAAACTAAATCTTGGAGAAGTTATATAGGTCTTCCAAAGTAGCAAGGTGCAGAAGTGGCAGAATTAAACCCAGACACACCAGAACCTATGACGTTACCCTATATCATACTGGGAATATATGAGAAACCCTTTCCTGGTTGGATACCATAAATCTTGGATTCTGCTTCCAGCTTGATTTTTTCATATGTGGAAGGCATCTTTTCCCTTTGGCCAAATTTTAGATTATCTTTCTGTGCACATGTTTCATCATGCTTGCACTTGAAAATATGTCACTTCCTCCAACGCCTCCACATCTCCCAATTCATACTGACTAAGATAAGGACAATCCCAGGAATTAACCACCTATACTCCAAATTCTAGATTTTTCTAATCTGATACAAGCTGCTTCTAAATAAGCCACTTACGATAGGCAAGATAAGGTATAATTACAATCTATTGAAAGACAGTTCCATTGGAATACCAAATGTTAAATAAATTCCTTTCCCCACTTTCCTGTTTATATTTATAAGATTTCAAATCAACTTATTAGACATCAATCTACATTGTAATAGGTATTTTATCCAACTTGTCATTTGTAATATTACTGAGAACATTCTCTGCTTAGGCCATTGACCACAATTATCTATGTTACTCTTTCATCCAAGGAATATGTATTAAACCACTAGTAATAGTAAGGCCTAAGCCTAAGCTGAATTCTCTGTGAAACAAAGCAAAGGACACAGTCCTTGTTGTCAAGGAGCTTACTGTTTATTAGAGATAAAAATGTACACAAATCAGTATAAAAATTAGTAGAAAAATAGTATTATTAGGTGCAAAAGGCTTTTGAAAATAATGGGATCCTGAAAGCTTGGAGTAGAGATTGTTCCATTTGTTTTAAGGAATAAGGAAGGCCTCGTAAAGAAAGTCACATTTAAGTTGGAGTTGAACAGCAGTGCAAATAGGCTCTTCCAATTTGAGCCAATAGCAAAAGAATGGGACTGAGATGATGCAGAATATTGAGCTAGCTCGGCTGGAGCAACAGATAGATTGAAGGATGTAACAAGAAATCATTTGGAAAGGTAGGGTGAGGCCAGAGTCCATAGCATCTTGACAGAGAAGCTGTGCATTTTACTCTAAAGCAGCCATGGGAGCAAGTAAAATTCATTTTGTTACATAGCATGGTGGTTTAAAAAGGGGGCAAAGATTACATTTCCAGATTTGCCACTGAGTACTTTGTTGACCTTGAACGAATCATTTAACCTTTCTAAGCCTCAGTTTCCTCATCTATAAAATGATAATAAATATAAGAACTACAGGTCAAGAGGTTGTGACAGCAATTAAATCAAGCAATGCTTACAGAAGAAGCCTTGACATTGAGGTTGTCAAGAGCAGTTACTCAGGAAACATTATTAGTATTAAATGAACAAATAAATATCGAGAGACTTTTGGAACTCTCATAATTCACTTTGGGTGCCTTGGAATAATTTCTAACTCATTGGTGCCTTTTTGCCTATGACAAAGGGCTTTGACATCATATTCCAAGTGTGTGTTGAGCCCTGTGTGGAACCCACCTCCCATCAGCTGTTCATCTACCTCTGTGATTGCACTGGTCCTTCTATTCTAACAGGTGCATCGCACTGAGAGTTTAATCCTGGATTCGTATAAAACCTGTGGGTCTGTTTCAGATGAGCTGTGACCGTCATGTCAGGCCTCCTGAATCCTGTCCTTATGCCATTATTTTTTTTCCATACATAAAATTTTACACCATCTCTGTTAATTTTATCTTATTAATTTCAAACATGTTCTTCCTTGTGGCGATCTTTCTAAAATTACTAACCTTATGTAACATATTAGTTTTCAATCACCAGAACATTTGATAAGCATTGAAATTATCACTTAAAATATCTAACTGGGTAGGAAGAAGGAAAGAGTCCTGAATAATATACCCTTCTGTGTCCCTTCTAATCCACTAATCAACATTATTAGGTTTA
Organism: Homo sapiens; assembly: GCF_000001405.40. Lineage (NCBI taxonomy): Eukaryota > Metazoa > Chordata > Mammalia > Primates > Hominidae > Homo > Homo sapiens. Next base: position 28,367,065 of record NC_000018.10, on the reverse strand, counting down.
ATTAGGTAATTTAACTGACTGTATTTTTCTTAATATGTACTTCTTGCTCAAAAGGTCATCTTGAAGTATTGAATCAAATACTCTGCCCAATTGGGTTATAATTTATCTCTCTCACTGCCCATAATCAAAAGGTAAACAAGCTGTTATTTTCATGACTCATTCTTCGTAAACACATGGTTCTTAGTGATCACTGTTCTCTCTGCTGAGCACTCCCAAAATATTTGTTTAATATCAATGCCTTTCTGAAAGTTCCCAATGTGCATTCGGGGAAAGTTTGCTCATAGGTAAAGGTCTAGCCAAATTTCCTTTACAGGAGCTTTTCCAGGAATGTTGATATGGATTCTGTGTGGATAGGTAGCATAAAGATGGATCAGCAGCCGGACCGGTGGCTCACGCCTGTAATCCCAGCACTTTGGGAGGCCGAGGTGGGTGGATCACGAGGTCAGGAGTTCAAGACCAGCCTGGCCAAGATGGTGAAACCTCATCTCTACTAAAAATACAAAAATTAGCGAGGCATGGTGGCATGTGCCTGTAATTTCAGCTACTTGGGAGGCTGAGGCAGAGAAATTGCTTAAACCCGGGAGGCGGAGGTTGCAGTGAGCAGAGATCGTGCCACTCCACTCCAGCCTAGGTAACAGAATGAGACTCTGTCTCAACAACAACAAAAAAGAATGTAACAGAGTGAGACTCTGTCTCAACAACAACAAAAAAGAATCAGCTACTTTGCTCTGTCTCCTGTCTCCTGACCCATCTTTAAATGACCTATCCACACAGAATCTTTATTTAATACCTACACCTATTTAAAATATTATGAAATATGTTTATTACAGAGTCCTTTATGTCTAAAGGCAAATCAAGTAAGTTCTTAATTCTTATATGTTATACTATTTTAAGGGTAATTTTGGTATATTTTGCAATAAAAAGAACGTATTCCAAGGTTTGTCATTTAATTTTTATGTGGAATCATTATTATGCAAACAAAGAATACACCAATTAATTTTGTTTCCTGAAGTCATTTCATTCAAAGACAACAGCAGGATATTCCACTGCTTCAAATAGGCATTAGCAGTTAACGGTACAAAAAAATTAACAGAGAATGCTACAGTTTTATTCTGCCCAGCAATCAGAGAAAAGCCTCCTACTGTAGAATGTGTTCTATCAAAAGGAGTTGAAAGGGGCTTCCTTAGACCCTGACCACCAGCTCCATTTGTAGTTCATTGTCCCAAATCTCTTGTTCTAAAAAGCTTTTGTAGAGCAACACCTTGACAACTTGTTCTGTCACTTCCATTGCACTTTGTCCAATACATCAGGTCAATATACTTTTCTTCTGACTCAGCAGGATGCTGGCATCATTCCAAACCTGCTGAGTCCCAATCTTGGCTTCATAGAAATTTTAAAAAATAAAATCAATGAGAGAAAAAAATGTCTCTGGCTAGCTCAGCTGACATAGCCACAGGCAGGAGCTGGCTGGTGCTATTTGGTATTATTCATATGACCAGCCAGACATAGACTTTGTTATTGCAGTTTCCCCTGCCAACCAAGTCACTCAATTCTTGCAATCAGTGCTAGTGCTTCAGGGTAAAAATAAATAAATAACAGTCATAACCTAGCACACATACCGGATGGTGCTGTGAATACACACAGAACAGCAGGACTGGGAGATTTAGGCTGCCAGGGTCTAAATTGGCTAATCAATTCTCAAATTTTTTTTTAATGTTTTGTCAGTTAACAGATTGTGACCATGAAATTACTTCTTTGAAAAGGAGCTTGCTTTAGGTAATACTGCTCTTTCTAAAAGAAAATCTACTGACTATTGCATCATTGAGTAAGAGCACCTAGCATAGGCTACTGAAAGTCAAGAGACAAAAGGGAAAGGTTACCTAACAAGTCACTAGAAGCAATCTTTTGCTTTGAAGTATATGAACTCCTAAAAGGCTTTGGGTGCTACTTCTCCATGCAGGGGCCTAGTGATGTTATAATTCATCCAGAAAGCCTCATTTCAAAATTGGAAAAATAGAAATATAAACTTATCCAACTTGGCGTGAAAATGTAAATGGGTTTGAATAATTGAAAGCAAGCAGAGTTTACCATATTGCAGCCAAAATTCAAACAGCATGCTGGCTCCTGCTACCTAGGAAAGCAATCTAAGCCATTATCTCCTGTGCCATTCTTTCTACTTTTCTTTAAGAAAACTATAGCAAGAGGATTTATGTTTTGAAGATGAATACCAGATATGAGCACTTTAAAGAATGAGTAGGCATATCTTTAAAATGTTGGAGAGGCAAATATTTAGAAGAAAGCAAACCTATTCATATTGCGAATTCTGTCTTTGCTCTGTCTCTGCTGAGTGATGGGATTTTTTATCCCAAAACAGTAGCAAAGGATGTTTAAATGTTGAAGATGTGATAGGAAAGTAGGTTGCTATAGGCAATTCCATTTCTATTATCTATATTAAAAGAAAAAAGAGCATCATTCCAGTAAGGGAAGGAAATACCTCTTTCCATCAGCAACACTAGAATTTCACAGCTTTGCTTCACTATTCTAACTTCTAAATTAGCCCTCAGTCCCTACCATTACACCACAGTATAAGCTAGACTTTGTGCAAAATGTAACATACACGTATTACCCCCATGCATGATGTCCAAATTAAAGACACAGTTTTATAGTAGTGTAAGTCATGTGCCTAAGTAGAATTTCATTCATAAACAGAATTTCCTATTTTCAGCTTCATAAGATAGGAGAAAAAAAATAAAAAAAAAAAAACAGTGAAAATTTTTTAAGTAAAAACCGATCAGTTGTCACTGGGACACAAATTGTTTGAAGGAAAAGGTTAATTTCATCAGTGGAAAAATTACAATCACAGTAGAAATGGCAGTAATCAAACAGAAGTGGGTAGTAAAGACAACAAATATAGAAAAGCAGCGGCAAACTAGATAGAACATGGAACAACTAACAAAAACATGTTATTGAGTTAGGCCAGTAGAGAGAATACATGACCAATAAATTCCAATTTGATTAAGGAGGTTAAGAAGTAACTAGGGGCCGGGGGTGGTCACTCATGCCTGTAATCCCAGCACTTTGGGAGACAGAGGCTTGTGGATCATCTGAGGTCAGGAGTTCAAGACCAGCCTGGCCAATATGGTAAAACCCTGTCTCTACTAAAAATACAAAAGTTAGCTGGGCGTGGTGGCAGGCGCCTGTAATCCCAGCTACTCGGGGAGGCTGAGGCAGGAGAATAGCTTGAACACAGAAGGTGGAGGTTGCGGTGAGCCAAGATGGCGCCATTGCATTCCAGCCTGAAAATAGAACAAAACTCTGTCAAAAAAAAAAAAAAAAAAAAGAAGAAGAAGAAGAAGTAACTAGGAGAAGAGAAAGAAGATAACTCACTACTGATTGTGGAAAGAGATTGTAGCCTCTTAATCTGTCAAGCGTCTGGGCTTAACAAAACAGTTTTAAACGTCTTCTTTCTTTGTCTTAAATAGCAATATCCCACCTGACTCCTGCCTTTTATAGGTCCTTCCTGTATAAAGAATAATATAGTTCATTTCTGAAAGCCAAGCAGATGAAACCTGAATACAGAAAAATCCATTTTGAGTGGTAAAATAAACAACATTTTCTTCTTTTATCGAACGTGAGCCTCAGTTATTCCCTGAAATGGCATCACCACAATACTCACCCTCAGAGAAGAAGCTTACTCTTTCACCGGGGCCTGACGCTGTCTGGCAATGAAACTAATCACTTCCTACAGAAGGTGGGGCAGCATTTCCCAGCATAGAGGCAAGGCGGTGCCCAAATCACTGAACAGACGTTTCAAACTTCACAAACCCGCCACCAAGAGCTGCACCCTAAGAAAATGCTTGCTCCATAGCCTGATAGGTCTCCCCTGGGGTCTGTAATTCTCACCATCACATGTAATTAGCTTCGTCATATCCAATGCTCCCCTCACTTCAAATTGAGAAGACTGATGGAGGCCATCTGAAACGGGGTTCAAAAGGAGATAGACTATAAAGAAGTTCATATTCACTGGGGCTTATTTTTATACTTTCAAATGTTTGAATTTCTAAAATAAGTAGACTCTAAGAGTTTATTCTGTTTATTTGTTCTGTATTTTTTTAATATTGTGAGTTTGTTTTCTTTTTATATAAATAATGCCAAGTTGAACAAATGGGAAATAATTTTTTTAAATTTAGCATGAACTTTAAGTTTTTTTCTTATTTAACATACCAAAAGTCCCAATCGATATAAAATGATTTTTAGTATAGGTCTTAGCTATCATCAATATCATTACTCTCTTTACAACCAAGTAATTTCCTCAAGAATGCATAAGATCTATTAAATGGAAGTATTATATTTCAGACTAAATCAGATGATTTCATGAGATAAGACTTGAGAAAATATATTTGATTGAATAATTTGATTATTTTACTGGCAACTCCATGAGGCATCCAGGTTTCTGCCATGTACACAGTCTCTTATAATCTCAAATTTGAACTAAGATCTTTCTGATTCTAAAGCTTATGCCCTTTCAATTTCACCTTCAAGTAGCCTGAGAAATGTCCTGTTACTGAACTACAGCAATAATATTTTACCAGATAGGTGGACTAACATTTCCTGCACTTACACTGATAAATGTAATACGTAATACGTAATGTAATATGTAAATGGCATACGGCCTCAGGGATGATTTAGACACAGATGTTATCTTTCTACATTTTTTTTTCTGTGATTATTTGGTGTGAGCTATAAATCAGATAACTATGGATCTAAGTCAAATACTAATTTATGAATCAAATGTGCTCTCTATCACACATTTATGTTGACCTATCTAGGTGCTTGAAGAAAAAAGAAACTTAGTGAACGTTATTATGCTAATTCAGATCTGCTGAGAAGATGAGCTAAATGTGCAAGAGAGTTATTAGGAAGTGAGCGTGATGTAGGTCGGATACCTGTGGAAGGAGAAAGGTAATGGAGAATAACTGGGTAGGAGGAGTTTTTAACTCCAGCAGAGTTCCAAAAAAGTTTCAGCGGGGTTGATGGCAGTCATCCAGTAAAAGTCACCTGTAGGAGGAGTCCTGGATCTCACTGGAGGAGGCCACCTCAGTACTGTGCTCAGTCCTATAGTCTAAGAACAAACGCATGGGTGAATCTATAGAGAGACAGCTGCTGAGGCCATCAGTCAATTATATTTCCCCAGCAGAAGATATTATAGGTATATTTTCTTGGCCACCACAATTAGAGCATCTTTGCAACATTTCATGTGTGTAGCCAAACCACCAAGAGCTGCATGACCTGCGTAGAACAACCATGTAATTGGAGTAAGGAGTTAAAGTGTAATCATCACTTACCCTACAAGCCTTGAAAACTAGACTTTCTTCCAAAATAATCACAACCAAAACGACCTGACCGTATTGAAATGAAAGCTAGGGTGAAGGGATCTAAGAATAACCTAAATATCATTACAGGATATAAGTTTCACAGAGAGTTAATATTGTTTATGAATGTCTGAAGATCAAACAGAGATATGTCAGTGTATGCCCTTGAGAAATACAAAGAAAATTTTCATTTTTACAAGTACAAAACCTTACTGTCAAAGAACACTACTGGAAGCAAACACTAAGGTAAGCAGAACAGGAGCACTGGGCATAAAAAAGAGAGAGATACTTCATGCAGGGTAGAGACACCTAAAGTAAGTAAATCCTGAAAAGTAGTATCAAGGCAAGATGCCTTTAGAGTCTGAGCCTGAGAGGACCGCCTTGGAAGGCAAGGTCTAGATGTCTCAGGGCTGAAGCATGCAGTTGAAGACAGAAAATCTTTCTGATCTAGACTTAGCTTTAAAAGGCAGAAAAGCAACTGCATAGAGGCCATATTTTGAGTATTTTACATAACAAAGAAAACTCTCAATCCAAGGACTCTCTCTCTGGGAAATCCTCCTAATAACCTAAGAAAATCCACAACATTGAAATATGAAAACTCAAAAAAAAAGCAGTATGATATAAACCATATAAAGTTATTGACAATAAAAATGATGAAAATGAACCTAATGATATTTCAATAGACAGAGAATACACTAGGAAACTTTGTCAAGAAAGTAAATGAAAGTGAGAAATACACTGAGAAAGCAATAGCAGCTTTGAAAATACCATAATTTTTAAAAGAAAAACTCTGAAATTACATGGCTAGACATCAAGAGAATATAAAACCAAAAGTTCCCAAGGAAAAAATTTCAGAAATGAAAGCTAAAATAGAAGGAATACTGTTGTGGGTGGCAACTATCTGTGGCTGCTGTCACGTAGGCAGGAAAAATATTTTACTAAGATAGTTGCAGGTAAAGAAAGTCAGGCTTATTAGACGAAGCATGAGAATATGTTGCAAGGAAGCAACGGGCAGCTCAGCAACAGAAAAGCTGACTGCAAAGAGACAAAGGCTTGCTGAGGATTTTATAAGACAGTGCTTGTGCTGGAGAGGGCTACATGCAGTACTGATAATGCCAAGGTTGTAGCTAACTAATTTGCATATATCTATCAGGCTGGTGATAGCTGGGTGCAGGAAGATTGTTAGTTATTTGCACAGGAGGGTTGCATGTCCTGGACCATGAAGAAAGGCAGACTTAGAGCTTATCTGCTTTCTCTTTTTGCTTTCACCAGCATCTGTCAGCCTGACTCTGCTTCTCTTATTAGGACTTCACATTTCCCAAGAAAAAAAAATTCAGAAATAAAAGCTAAATAGAAGGAATATAAGAATGAATGTATATCACAGAATGTACAAAGGCCAATGTAGAATGGAAAGAAAATGTATAAAAATTTAAACAGAAATGAATTAAGAGAACAAAAGAATTTGCAAGAAAGGTAAAATCCAAGCTAAGAAGATAAAATACATACAAAATTGGAGTCACCAAAAGGCAAACTAAAGCAAAGAGATAAATCACATATTTAAAACTATAGTCTAGGAAGATAAGCCTGAAGTAAAATTTTTTAAACATACATGTTTAAATCTACATTTTGGGGGCCATATAGTATACAACATAAATCACAACCCAGAGTAAACCATGAGAATTCAAAGACACAGGAAAAAAAATTTTGGGAAAACTAGTCTAAAAGTCTAAGTCAAATATATGAGGGAAGAAAATCCGACTGATAATTGATTTTTGACATAAATATTACATGATAGAAAACAATGAGCAACAATTTAAAGATAATCAGGGAAATAAAGTATGAGCCAAGAATTCTATAGTCAAACTCTTCAGTTATAAAAGTGAAAGAAAACAATTATAGATTTTTAAAAAGAACTCAGATAATACTGTTCTCATATTATTTCCTAAAGAATATACTAAATGATAAGTTTCCAGCAAATTTAAAATGGTTGGAGAAGCTGTGATATAACTGTGGAGATAAGGTTTAATATATTTGTAGAACTCGGCTTTAAAATATATAGGAATAAAGTTTACAAAATAATATGCATATGTTACATGCTCTAATAATGTAGAAGTAATTAAAAGCAATGAAAAAGAAAAAAAGAGAGGAAAAGAAGGAGGGATTAACTGAAAAATAGGAAAAAAAATTACCGATTTCCTTGACAGATAATAGCTGGAAGTAAAAGGGATATGCTTCATGATGAAAAATCAGATAGAAATGTAAGTGTATTTTAGACCCGAAGTTGTCAGTGGGCCAAATCCAGCCTATTGCTTGTTTGCGTAAGCAATGTTTTATGGGAACACAGCCGTGCCCATTAATTTACATATTGTCTGTGATTGCTTTCACAATCACAGTGGCAGAATGAAGCAGTTGGCTCACAAGCCTAAAATATTTACTGTCTGGTCCTTTCTAAAAAAAAATTGCTGACCATTCTTTTATAATATGAACATCAACATTAAAATGAAATAGTGAACAAATCAGAGAATGGGAAAGTGGATGGGGAAGAGAATTAGAAAGCAACTACTAGCTAACTTTAATGTTACTCATAGTAGTAAATCAAGAGTTGGATATAAAGAAGTGCGCTAATCTCAATCGCCCAATGAACAGATGCGGCAAAGGGAAGACATTTATTAATTTAAGGAAATGCCTGTGAGAGAAAATGGGAAAAGAACCAGCAGAGGCTGGAGCAGCCATCAGACAACAGTACAGATCTGACCACAAGTGAAAGAAAGAGAAAAGAAAACAAATTGAGTGGATATATAATAGACCACACTGAAATTCTAAAGAAAATTCAGCAAGACCCATCAGCAAATCCCAGAACCCAAGTGGCTCATCACAGGAGCCTCTGTCTGGGAAAACGAGTCTACCTTGGTATTCCAGCTGCATTCGGTCATTGGCTGGGTGCAGCCAATGGCAAGAATAGGCCTGGTACCATTGCAGGGATGGATTTCAAGAGTGCCGCAGCTAAAACCTTTGGGCAATTATGCATGTAAATGCATCCGAGAGATGCTTTCTTTTGACTGCTACAGTTTTGCCCACAGAGAGGCTTCTTAGCATAGTTCAGGGAGCAGCTTTTCTGTTATTTCCACAGGCTTCTCTTCCTGATAGGAAACTTAGAAAGCAGAAACGAGTGTGACAGCCTGCAGCTCCCATCACAGCCGCTGCTTTCAGAAACACAACTGGGACTCATCCTCACCCTCCACTATCCATTCAAAGTTCCTCTCACCCTCAGCTATCACCTCAGTATGTTTTAGTAAACTTCCAGGTGTTTTGAGTCAAACCTTCAATTCTAAGGGGTCAGAACTCTTGATAATCATGCTCTTCTCAGTCCAGATTCGCCATACATGTCCATTCACAATAACAATAGGCCAAGGAAGTAACAGGAGGCACTCAAATGGACTGCCTGGGTTCCATATACATACCATCTCGTCATCATTTTGTAAAAGAAGCGCCACTTCCTCTTTTTAATTAAGATCAATTATCACTGACATAATCACATTTTCATTCACGTGGTATGCCTAGGCACTAAGAGTTCAACATGCTCAAGAAGCAGTGATAACATGTAATTTAATGGAAACTTGTCTGTGTCCTCTAGCTAGACAGCATGCACTTGAGAACCAAGACCTCAAACCCTGTAGAGTCTAGAGTTGCAGGGATGTGAGGATCCAAATTCCCCTAGTGGTCACTTGGAGTAAAGGAAAGTGAAGCCACTTCTTTCACCACTGGTCTCTGGACATGCGCCTCACCATAGGCTTGCCTGGGTGTGCTCACAGTACAGCAGCTGCCCTCCTTGTCTGCAGGGGTGCCTCATAACATTGCCGCTGCCTCCTCCAAGTGAGTGATTCAGGAGAGAGAGAGCAAGAGCACACATCCAAGCCAGTGGCTGCACTCTTTTCATAACCTAATCCTAGAAGTAACATCTCAACACTGTTGCCATATTTTATTCATGCCATATTTTATTCACTAGAAATGAATCACTTAGTTCAGCTCACATTCAAGAGGAGAATAAAGTTCCACCTCTTGAGGGGAGGACTATCAAAAATGTGTGGACACATTCCTAAAACCACCAAAAACACCAACAAGTATTTTTTTCTTTTGGGAGATAGACAATATGATTTTAAAATTAATATAAAATCAAATAAGCAAAAACATCTTTTTAACAATTGAAAAAATATCGTGGTAAAAGAACTTTTCCTACCATATATTAAATCACATTATTATGTTTCTATAATTTAAAAAATTAATATTTGTGCATGAACCAGTGGAAAAGAATAGGAAATCCAAAGTAGATCAAAGTACATCTGGAAATTCTTTAAATGACATTCTATCATATCAGTAGAAGAAAGGTAGACCTTTTAAAAATGTTGATTGGAAAACTGAATGTTTGTTTGAAAAATAATCACTGGAAGAAGAATCCAAAAACTATTTTTTTAAAAAAGAAGTTATCTATACAGAAAGACAGGGGACCTAGAGACAGAATAGGAAGTGAAATTTCACTAAAAATGCTCTGATATATAGTGCTAATTTTGGAAGTCCATGCTTCATATATCTAACAATTAAATAGGCTGGGCACAGTGGCTCACACCTGTAATCCCAGCACTTTGGGAGGCTGAGGTGAGCGGATCACCTGAGGTCAGGAGTTCCAGACCAGCCTGGCCGAATTGGTGAAACCCCATCTCTACTAAAAATACAAAAATTAGCCAGGCATGGTGGCGCACACCTGTAATCCCAGCTACTTGGGAGGCTGAGACATGAGAATCATTTGAACCCGACAGGCGGAGGTTGCAGTGAGCCAAGATTGCACCACTGTGCTCCAGCCTAGGTGACAGTGAGACTCTCTCTAAAATAAAGAAAAATAAATAAATAAATAACAACAACAAGAAAGCAATCTTCAAAACTGCAGATACATTTAAACAAACAAACCTAATGACATGTCAAGTTGGTGACATAATCATATGGAGAAGATCTGGAATGTAGGACATTCTTTGGGACATCCAAACTTGTTTTTACAGTAAAACAATAAGAAGGAAAAAAGTAGTCCGGGCACGGTGGCTCGTGCCTGTAATCTCAGCACTTTGGGAGGCCAAGGTGGGCAGATCACTGGAGGTCAGGAGTTCAAGACCAGCCTGGCCAACATGGTTTAGTAGAAACCCCATCTCTACTAAAAATACAAAAATTAGCCAGGCATCGTGGCCTGTGCCTATAATCCCAGCTACTCAGGAGGCTGAGGTGGGAGAATCACTTGAACCTGGGAAACAGAGGTTGCAGTGAGCCGAGATCATGCCACTGCCCTCCGGCCTGGACAACAGAGTGAGACTCTTTCTCAAAAAAAAAAAAAATATATATATATATATACATATATATGTATATAAAAAGGGAACTAAATTATACTAAAAGATATTTGTGACTCAAATGACAACTGAATATAAAGTATTGACCTTGTTTATATTTTGAAATAAACAAAACTGTTGACTTTTTAAAAATCTAAAGAAACCAAAACATATTTTTGCGACAATTAAGATAATTTGGTTATAATCCAGATAACAGATTAAATCAACAGTTATTATTACCATTAGGCCTAAAAGAGAGCAGGGAAAGAGTGGATACCACAATCTAGGAAGACCCATGACTGAATCACAAATCTACCCTGAAAAAGCCATCATCTTAGTTAGAAAAGCACAGCCAGGCAGCCCAGCAGAAAAGCGACCAGGAAATAAACTTCTGAACCTACTCTCCTGCCCCCCCAAACTTATTCTCCTCCACAAATGGGAGCCAAAGGAAAGGGGAGTTCAGTGATGCAGTTTAGAGCAGAGTCTTCCATCACTCAGAGCACAGTGGAGACGGGCTGAGGACAAACATAGAAAGGCAAACCAGGAATAACCATGCCCCAAAGAAATAATGTTAAATTTATTAAGTGAGCTAATAGTATTAAGATTATGTAAGAACAGGCTCCTATTTTGGGGGAGATGTATTGAATGTGTAGGGATAATATGACACTATGTTCAGGACATTCTTTTTAAAACTTCAACAAGGAAAAATGAAATACAGAGGCTAGATGAAGCAAATATGGTAAAATTTGATCAGTGTGAATCTGGATAATGGCTGTATGGAGATTTCAGAGACAGTTAAATATTTTGAATTTTTAAATTTATATGATAAAAATAGAAAGCATAAACAAAATTATAACAATGTAATATACTATAAGAAACATTTGCAACACATATGTAAAGTTACAAATTAAGAAAAATGCAAAAGAATCAATGGGCCAATGTATAAAGTATTCTAAAATAGAAACAAATATCTTGAAATAAAGAGAAAATGCTCAAATTCAAAGAAACATTAAAAATAAAAAATATATATACAGGATATAGCACATTAAACGTTTAATGTTGCTGCTGTTTCTTTTCTCATAATTGGGGGTGAAATAGGCACTGTTTTACACTGTTGATGAGATGGAAAATTGTGATAATCTTACCAGGAAGCTATTTGGCAATAAATACCAAGAGGTATAAAAACATTTATAGGCCATAGTACTCTATCATAAAAAATAACTAGATATTACAACAAATGTATACACAAAAACATTATTTGTTACTGAGTATTTTAAAAGGCAAATAGTAAGAAACTCAAAAAAAATCAATAATGGGAAACTAACATCTTATAATAGGTAGTAATTTAAAATTAAATTTACAAAGCAGTTAAATGACTTTGGAAAATGCTCCACAGCACTTAAGACTCTCTCAAGTCATCATGAGATGGCCCTAAAATTTCTGTTATTGTGCCAATCAATTTGGCTTCATCAACATAGAATATTCCACACTTATCTGCCTCATAACGAAAATATCCATAAGGATACCCCTGACATGATTTTCTGTGCTGTTAGAATACAAATCTTCTCCACTTATTATTTTAAAAGCTGGTACATTTTCATTTAAATAAGTAATACATTACATTTTCTCTCTGTTAAAAATACAACACATCACAAGAAAATAGAAGAACATCTAAGAACATCAAGCATAGCATGAAAGCTTCATTTACCACCACTTCCACCATCATTCGCTATCAAAGGAGATCACAAAGTGCATCCTTCTAGTCTACTTTCCATGAAGTCATATATATGCAAAATACATACATGTATAAATACATGTTATGTATGACATATCTATACACATGCATATAATCACATATACATGGATATACATATGTGTATATATATATACACACACACACGGATATTTGTGTGTATACACAACAAAAATCCATCAAAAATCCATCTAAAATCATCTAAAATTGCTTTCTGCTTTCAGTCTTTACCAATTCATATCCTACCAACAGTATTTGCTCATACCCTGACCAATATTAGTAACTAATTACTTCAAATTTAGTGAATCTTAATGGAAGAAAAATGTCTTTATAATTTTAGTCTGCATTTATGAGAGTAATTATTTTCATATGTTTATCAGCCATGTGTATGTCTTCAATAGTAATTTGCCTGTACATATCCATTGACTATTTTTCTATTTGTGTGTCTTTTTCCTCCTGATTGATAGTAGCTCTTTATAATTTATACATGTTTATCCAGTTGCTGTGGACATGTTGCCGTCATTTTCTCCTATTCCTTATTTTTAAATTTAGTAATATCTTCTTTTTTGGATAGAAGTTTTAAATTTTTACAAAGTCAAATTTGTCAGTTCTTTTTTTAAAGCTTTTGGGATTTGCATTTTTCTAATAAAGATAATTTGCCCTTGTTATTTTAAAAAATGATTGCATTATCTCTTCTTGTATTTTTCTTGTTTATTTACACATTATATCTTTAATTTCTTATATGGGGTTTCCTAGAAAAATGCCCATCTTATCTGGATTTTTCTATTTATTGTCAAATAATATATCCATTATTTTTATATAACATTTTAATCTCTTCAATATTGATAAAAACCTCTCCTAATTTCTCATTTTTAGTTGTCGTATTCTATAGTGAACTAGAATAGGCTTGCCAAAGTTGAATCTATTTTATTGGTCATTTCCAAGAACCAGCTTTCATTTTTATGGTTTAAGTCTTCTTTATTAATTTCTACTTTTATTTTTATTAATTCCTTCATTGTATTTATCTTCTTTGACTCTGTAATCTTCTTGGTATCTTAATTCACGTATTTATTTCTCCTTCTTTCAGTTTTTCTTATTTTCTAACTCATGTATTAAAATGTATTTAATGTATATAACGAATTTAAAGTTTACTCTTTCTTCTGAATAGATTTTCAGCTGTTAAATAGCAAAATTATCCTACCAATTACATCTGTTTTAGTATTTGCACACAGCCTGAGAGTTCCATATAAATAGAACATTTCAAAGCATTCAATTTATTTTTATATTTGGTCTTCTAGTTTTATGCTTTCTATACTTAGTGTATTTCTTTTACATTATGTTTAATTTTTCTTTTGTGATTTTAAAAGTAAATATTCTGTTTTCATTTTGTGTTAATTTTTTTATTTTAAAATACTGAACCTGTGTCCACAGTTATATCAGTAATTTCAGAGCATATCCTGACCTCTTGTATGTGGAACGAGAAAATTATCACACTTTATTTCACTTCTACTCTTTATTTCACTTCTACTCTTCACTGTTTCTTTTATGTTGGTGTTGTTACAACCTGTATTTAATCCTTAATTATTTTTAAAACACTTGATTTTTATAATTTTGTTGTAATGATTTAGCCTTTTACCATCAGGCATTTTTCGTAGCACCATTTAAAAATTCTTTGTTGAAATGTTTATTTTCTTATACCAAAGTAAACTTAAATATGACCTTAAAGTGTTTGATAGTTGTTTGTTTTCAGACTAGAACAAATGACGGCTTTTCAGTCTTTTCCTTTACAATTTCCCATGTGAACAGGAACTTGACTCGGGTTCAGGATGTTAAAATCACAGCCTTTTTCCTTAAAACCCCTTCTGTCAGAGCTTTCAACCTTGTGGGCCAAGAATGGGCTGCAGCTATGATGAAAAGGTAGGAAGCACCTCAGCTGAGGGTGGCTGAGAAAACACCTGGCAGGTGAAGCCCTAGAGTTGCACCTGGGGCTGCAAAGACCACTGGGCATTTACCATACAATATTTTTATTTTCTCTGCCTTCTCACATTGTCACAATGTCGTAAAGTCCTCAATAGATGTTTCTCTATTATTTTCTCTTCTTTATCATTGTGAAAAAGTATGAAACCCAGATGGTTTTTCTCTCATCGTATTTAGTCATTTTCTTCACTGTAGATGATGGTATGTTTCTTTGTCATTTTTGAACATCCATCAGATTGTATCTATATACAGTTCCTTTTAATTACAACTCATGAGCCATTTGAATATACAAAGTAAGTGTATTACTTAATTTGAAACGTTTTCTATCTTAATACGTTTGCATATTTTTTTTTAGGTAATTATCCTTACTCTTCTTCAGAAAAAAAATCTTTCATATTTGGGTCTCTATTATTTGTCTTTTATATTAATCTGATTTCCATTAGTTCTTTTTACCTCATTTTTGTTTTTCACTGAATCCTAGGCAGCTTCCTAAGCTGAACTTTCATATAATTCTTGATTGTCTGCAGTTTCAGTTCTGTTCTTCACTCTGTCTTCGACTACTAGAAAAATGTTCCCCAGTTTTTAATACATTTTATAACATTTTTATTTACCACATTTATATTACTCTATATCTGTTGTTCCATGCATGTTTTCATCTCAGTCATCTCATGGCGTCTATTCTCTACATTGTCAAGTATATCTTATTTTATAAAATTTGATTGGATCCATACTTTTATACTGAATAAAGCAACAAGAGAATGTGGAGGCCAAGGCCCTTGGCCCTCTAGAGGTTCGCTGAAAATCACTGACATGAGGCAGATTGATTAACAGGGGAAAAGGCATAGGAATTTATTTAACATGTATACCCGAGGGTCTTCGGAATGAAGGCCCAACCCCTCAGTAAGGTACAAAAGCTTATACACCATCCTGAGGTTAGATAAAGAATGAGGGTGCAGACCATAGCCAAAAACAGGTTATGGTGATAAATCGGGTTTTACTGGCAAGATAGGTTGTGAGAGAGAGAAAGGAAGAAGCTTGTCTAGGAAAGCAGGTCTTGTTATATAGAGGAAATCTCGAAAGTAGCATTCCTCAGAGAGAATAGATGGCAAATGTCTCTTTTCTGACCTTTAAAGGTGTCAGGCTGAGTTAATCTCACCTGGATCCAAGAAAAGCCTAGAAATGGAAGGCCTGGCTTCATTAATGGAGATTCTGTAGAGAGACAAATTTCCTCCACAAAAGATAGCTTTGCAAGACCATTTCAGCCTGCTCGTGCTGCAGCAGCCATTTCAAAATACCTCAAAGAGATGCATTTGGAGGTAAAGTATTTTGATTTCCTTCAAGAATATGCACTTTTGTAACCGCCCAACAAGTTCACCTTGCCCACTGCCTAGACAGCGCCTATTTATCAAGACAGGGGATTGCAATAGAGAAAGAGTAATTCATGCAGGGCCGGCTGTGAAGGAGACCAGAGTTTTATTATTATTCAAATCAGCCTCCTCAAAAACTCTGGGATGGGAGTGTTTAAGGATAATTTGGCGGGCAGCGACAGGGGAAGTAGGGCGTGCTGATTGGTGGGGCTGGAGATGGAATCATAGGGGGCTCAAAGTGTTTTTCTTGCTGTCTTCCGTTCCTGAGTGGGATTGCAGAACTGGTTGAACGAGATTACTGGTCTGGGTGCTGTCAGCTGGTACATCAGAATGCAGGGTCTGCAAAATATCTCAAGCACTGATCTTAGGTTTTACAACAGTGGTGTTATTCACAGGAGTAATCTGGGGAGGTTCAGACTCTTACAGCTGCAGGCTGCATGGCCCCTAAACCATAATTTCTAATCTTGTAGCTAATTTGTTAGTCCTAAAAAGGCAGACTGGTCGGCAGGCAAAAAGCGTTTTTTGTCTGTTTGTTTGTTTGTTTGTTTGTTTCCAAGAAAGGGATATTATCATTTTTGTCTCAAAGTTAGACTATAAACTAAATTCCTTCCCAAGGTTAGATTAGCCATCACCCAGGAATGAACAAGGACAGCTTAGAGGTTGAAGCAAAATGGAGGTGGTTAGATCTGATCTCTTTCAGTATTATAATTACCTCAGTTATAATTTCTGCAAAGGCAGTTTCACTTCCTTGGACTCTTAGCACTTTTTTATCCATCCCTTTTTTTAACCAAAGCTCTTCATATGCCCTAGAGTGTCGTTTTTTCCATTTTACAGAATAATGATAAATTCATACAGACATCTATTCCCATCATACAGGTATCTAAGTGATTTCGGAAGCTCTCTCTCTCTAATTGAATAGCATTAGTTTTCTCTTATTGGATCTGAAGTTGGATAATTAGTTGATGTGTTGTATTTTTAGTTATCTAGAAGCCTAAGAAATATAGAGAAATAATTCTGAATAGTGGAAAATCTTTGCCTTTCAATGTTCTCTTTTGCTGTTTCTATTAATAGAAAAGATCCTAAACTACATGCCAGACCCAGCATCCTAAGGTTGTCATCAAATACCTCAAGAAATAATGTTTGTGTTTCTGAAAAAAAAAAGTCTGTCAAAACTTGCTGTCATTCACCCTCTACCTGGTGACAATCGCCTTCTTGCATATCTATTCTCAAATTCTACATGTCTCCTTCAAGTGTGTAAACTGACAAAAAATTCCTAAGCTCCTCCAACCAACTGAAGAGATCCCTCTTGGCCAAGGGGACCTCAGAGAAACCCAAAATACTGAATTCCCACCCATGATGGGATGAGATGTTGGACACACCTCATTATACCCCCTGCCTTTCGGAGCTTAGGTAAAATGGATATCATAATGATACAGGAGATAGAAAGAAATTATTTAGGCAGATAATGAGTGCAAAAGAGCCCTCAGCAGAACTTCCCTTCTAACAAAAGGCAGCCCTAGAGATCACTTCTTTTCTAACAAAGAACAGCCTGAAAGATTGAGCTGCAAACATAGATAAGAAAGCTGGAAGCTTGCATGGGGGGATGCTGGCAGCTGCACCAATAGAAAAGGGCTACCTGGGGACCAGGTGTGTCCACCATGGGGTCCCACCTTCCCTTTTCCATTAGCACATATGCAGTAAGAAAGAACTGGATAACATAGAGAAGTTGAGGCAGAGAACCCACCTGCGTAATAAAAGATCGGGGTGGGGGCTCTCAGAGATTTGTGCCCTATGCAGATGGCACACCTAGTCCTAACAGGTTTTTCGTGCCGTATGTAAATAAGACACTGCCTCCTGACTAGCGCATCTATAAAACCCCCAGCATTTTGCCGTGCTTAGGCAACCCATTTTTCCAGGACCCCTCTCTGTAGCAGAGAGATATTCTCTCTGTTTTGTCTGTTAAATTTCCACTCTTAACATCATTCTTTGTGTGTCTGCATCCTTGATCTCCATGGCTGTGAGACAACAAATCTCGGGTGTCACCCCAGACAACAAGGCCGCTTCAGTAAGACTGGCAAAACAGACTTTTTGTGGCAATAGATGCCAAATTGTAAACAAGATCTAGGGCTTTGGAAGGCAGGGTTAAGTCATGTCCTGCAAACAACAAAATCTCCTTAGATGGATTTTCATTAACCTGGTATAATGTGGTTTACTTTCCAACCTATAATGAGGCTACTTTCCAACCTCTTTCCATGTGATAGAGTATTACATGACAGATAGCAGACTCTAAAGGAAATCAAAATATTTCACCTCAAAATGTATTTCTTTGACATATTTTGAAGTAGCTCCCATAGGTCCAGCAGATTGAAATGGCCCTGCAAAGCCATCTATTGTGTGGAAAATTTGCATCTGTACAGAATCTCTATTAATGCAACCAGGCCTTTCCTTTCTAGGCCTTTACCTATATCTAGGAGAGACTAATGGAGAGCCTGGCACCTTTAATTTATGAAGACAGACATTTGCCATCGATTCTCTCTAAAGGCTGCTACCTATAAGGCTTCATCTACATAACAAGAACCTTGGCCTCCACAAGCCCCCTTATCTTAACTCAAGCATTTCTTTCTATTGACTTCAAGTGTTTAGACAAAGCTTATGTCAACTAGGAAATCAATGATTCCACCTATGAGGTATAATCCCCCCATTTCAAGATATTGCCCCTCTTTTGGCTAAACCAAAGTTTACCTTCTATGTATTTATTTATGGGTTTGTTTTGTTTTTGTTTTTGTTTTTGTTTCTTGAGATGGGGTCTCACTCTGTCACCCAGGATGGAGTGCAGTGGTGCCATTCCAGCTTACTGCAACTTCCACCTCCCATGCTCAAGTGATTGAACCTCCAGGCAGGTCTCCAACTCATGAGCTCAAGAGATTCACCCACCTTGGCCTCCTAAAGTGCTGGGATTACAGGTGTGAACCACCACACCCAGCCTATTTATGGTTTTACCTGCAATTCCTGTCTCCCAAAAATGTATAAAACCAAACCGTAACCCTACAGCTTTGGGCAAACTTTCTCAGGACCTCTTGAGACTGTTCCCTTGGCCATCGTCACTCATATTGGCTCGGAAGAAGCCTCTTTATATATTTCAAAGAGTTTAACTTTTCCATTGACAACTCATTACCATTAATTACACCAGAAAGGAGCCCTGATGGTTTGGGGCAGATGCTCTTTTCTTTTCCAAAATAAAAGAGCTGAAACACATAGCTACATTTATCTGGAAGCCAAGGCTAGGTTTTTTTTTTGTTTTTTTTTTTTTTTTTTTCTACAGTAGGTCACTGCTCTTAGACTCAAATAAACCACTTTAAAACAAAGATAAAATCTGGTGTTCTTCTCCATTGTGCCTGAATGTTGCTAGACAAATGGTTGTTCATGGAATGAATAAATAGCAGCACTTACTTACTTACCTGCCTGTATAACAGACTGATGGATTAGAAGAGCCCGATTACTGCAAGCAGCCTTAGTCTTTTGGATCCCCATTTCAAATGAAGATTCTTACTGCTGATCATGGAGATTTCAAAAATTTGGAGCATAGGTGACGATATGTCAGACACCAGTAAAAGAAAGAGCATGGCATCCATATCTCAGTGCACATTCCAGTTCTTTATTTTACCTGATCAGGATAGACTTGCTGTATTCCACTCTTTCTCATTCAAAGGGATAAAAAGATAAGTGACAGGTGAGGGCTCTGTGGAGACTGTTGTAACATGAGGTTCAAAAGAGAAGCAGGACCATCAGCTCAGATTTGAAACTAGTGCAGGGTGTAGAAAGACCTTTCATTACAGGTAACTGGGGTCATAAAAGTCCAGTCCAATGCTGGCCAACAGAACCTTCTGCGTAATGAAAAGGTTCTACATCTGTACATTTGACACAGTAGCCATTAGCCACGTGTAGCTATTGAGCACTTGAAATATGCCAGAATTACTAAGAAACTGTATTTTTAATTTTCTTTAAATTTAATTAATTTTTATTTAAATAGCCAAATATATTGGAAAACAAAGTCCAAGTCAAATCATTGACTTTAGTCAATATTCCTTTTCTAAAATCCAACCTCTGCCCACAAATTATCCCCAAGAACCAGTGAGGGCTTACATCAAGGAGGGTTTAATGCAAATATTATTTTTCTAAGAAATTTTCCTAAGATATATCACTCTAGATCTTAAAGGACCTTTTTTGTGTGTGTTAAGGAAGGTATGGAAGACTTAAGGTAACATTTGCCTTTTCCCTCTGGGATTTCTGGGTCTCGCTTTACAGGCCACATCTTATGGCAAAATGTGAGTCAGCTGGAGAACTCGGGAACCTTGGATGCTTGATGTCTTTTGGAAAGAAGCAGGCAATTTGATTCTCACCTTTTCTTTCCTCCTCCCTCTGGAGTCCCTTCCATCCACAGAGTTCCATGATCAATGATCATATCAATGAGCTCAGTGGTTCTCATGCTCCGTTCTCAGGAAATGGCAAGATTTGTTCTCATAAAATCAAACACCCAAAGCTCATGCTGATTTTTTCAAACCTGTGAGGATCCTTACTATCTCAGACAATCAACTTCTAATCTCACCGTGTCTGTAAAATACCACCTTTTTACTGCATCTTATCATATTCCACTTCTAAGTTTTTTTAATTGCCTAATGACCTATTTTATAGACAGCATGTGGTTAAAATTAAAGTAGCAATACTGTTCATTCCACGTACAAACTATTTTTCATCTTTGGAAAAACATTGATTACTCCCAGAGAACATTGCTGCACAGTAGTTATTACTTCACCATTTCACAGACTAAGAGTGGGAGGAGGAAATGAATAGGCTAAAAGGAGAATATCTGTGTGGCACCCTAGCCAGAATCAAAGTCGGGCTTTAGTCTGTGACTTTTCCTGTCAACTTCAGACCTGTCCTCTCCCTATTATAAGGTTATAAACATGAATCATTCTCAATTAACCATGAGCGTATTTTACATAGTAGATCTAAACGAGTACCAATAGACTCTGAAAATAAAAAGAAAGAAAAAACACACAGTAAACTGTTATTAACCACATTATGCTGTTATTTCCAACAAATATTTGATTGACTTAATCCACTAAAAGAACGCAGAAGTAGATGTTTGTGGAGCAAAAGAATTGCTACATCCTCGCCCAACCCTGATTTAGTCAGTAATGTCATAAAACCAAATGGCCCCTTACATGACTTACAAATCATCCACACACAGAAAAAGTGGCTGCTTCTGTCCCTAAATCTCTATCACCCATAGAGCCTTTCTTATCACTGCAAAAATAACTATACACAATGGTATGTGGGTGGGGGACTTTTATCTCTTTAGGGAATCTTTGGGTTCATAAGGAAAAGAGGAAGTTGTTTCTCTTTTGAGAAACATCTTTGAAGATTTTACTCCAAGGGAAAAATCTCGGTTATAAATATCCTGTCTATGTGGTTCTACCTGCCCCCAACATATCTCTCTTCTTCCTAAATACACTTCTTTTGGAAATCCCTTCCATTTGTCATAATGCCTAAAATTCTGCCAAATAGAGTTGCATTTTAGTTAACAATAATTATCTCTTAGAATTCAAATATTTTTGATAATATTGTAGATCTGTCACTTCACCTATACCTCATCATGCTATGTCAGGGAAGTTTGATTTTTAATTTTGGGAGCTGCAGGAGAGCTATTATGTTCAGTGGAGCAGACCTCTATAGAGTGCAAAATGTCGGCTAGTATACATAACATCAAATTCTACAATTTTTAGAAATGCAAAGCTTTTGGCTTCATCTTACAATTCTAAATCATTAGGTTTGCAATGGGTCCAAGACTCTTCATTGGAACAAATATCTGATGCATGTTGTTCAATTCCAGGACATGGTATCCCTGGGAGGTGTGCACTGTACAATCTGTGCATCTTGCATTGTCTTGGACATCACCTATTTTGATAAAGGCTTAGGTGATTAGAATACAGAAAACATTAGGGCTCATGGGGAAAGGACTAAAATTGAAAGACAGATGAATATTTGAAAATGACTCAGAGCCAAAAGTATAATTTGTCATTTCAAAATTTCATCAAGGTTTGGCTTTGGACCCAGGAGGAAAGCAGCAACTCCTCCCCTTTTCTACCTCCTCTTCTACAAAACTCCTTGCTCTCATAGCCTGGAATCATTTTATGTAGTTCAATTTCATATGGACAAAATAATCTTTCTGTTTCATCTTGGGAATCCATCCATCATCTTTAACACTAAGTACAGCAAGAAAATTTATAAAGTATAAATAATCCAACTAACCCTTCCCAAAGACAGGAACTTAAAATTTATAATAAAACGGAAACCAGACAAATAAGATTCCAAGAGAAAAATAAGTCAATTCTACATATTCAAGAACCAGCACGTAAAATGATTGTGTTGTTCCTCAAAAAAATAAAAAGAAAAAGAAAAAATTGCAATGATCAGGAGGAACATATGGATAATTATTGGCACATTCTAGGGTTTCGAAACCTTTGTGGTTGTTCCTTGAATGTTTCAATTAGAGTGCTCTAAATTTTCAAGGTGTAATATAAACTCATAAATAAGTACAAAAGAATACTCTAAAACCACTTATCAGTGAATTTTGGATGACTTTTTCTGTTTTTTTTTTTTCCATTAGAACAATCAAACTGATACCTTTATTCTTTTGCTATATGAAGGGTGGACCTCAGACTTGGAGCGTCAGCCATCACCGGGGAGTTTGTTAGAAATGCAGAATTAGAGGCCCCACCCCAGACTTACTGAATCCAAATCTGCTTTCCAACAAGATTTCTAGGGATGAGGATTTACATCGTCTTTTGAAAAGCACTATTTTATTTCACATCAAGACTATATCTAAGGGAAATTGGAGCGTATATACCACATCAGGGCTCCCCAGCCTCTAGTGGGGGAACCAAGGGTTCCAGGCCGCACAACAGGAGGTGAGCAGTAGGCTAGCAGGCGAAGCTTCATCTGTATTTACAGCTTCTCCCTATCGTTCACATTATCACCTTAGCTCTGCCTCCTGTGAGATCAGCAGTGGCATTAGATTCTCACAGAGGTGTGAACCCTATTGTGAACTGCGCATGCGAGGGATCTAGGTTGCCTGCTCGTTATGAGAATCTAATGCCTGATGATCTGTCACTGTCTCCCATCACCCCCAGATGGGACCATCTACTTGCATGAAAACGAGCTCAGTGCTCCCACTGATTCTACATTATGGTGACTTGTATAATTCATTATATATAATTCATTATATATTACAATGTAATAATAATAGAAATAAAGTACACATTAAATGTAATGCACTTGAATCATCCTGAAACCACCCCCCACCATGCCTGGTTCATGGAAAAATTATCTTCCACAAAATCCTTGTGCCAAAAAGGTTGGGCACCACTGTACTAAGTAGATACCCTCCAACGTTGATGATATTCAATATCTTGAGTCCAGGTCTGAAAATATGCATGGAGACTGAAGTTCTATAACTGACTTTCATAAATTAATCAATTTTTCTGAATGCCAGTTTCTATTTAAGAAACTGTATTATTGCCATTTAATTCCTACTGAGGATTCTATAAAATGAAGCTAAATTCCTCAATTCAGTGGTTGACCCATGAGTAGATAATGGCAGAGTCTCTTTCAATAGAGAGTAGGACCAAGGACCACATTAGCTTGGATTAAAAAAAAATTCAAAAACACATAAGACTGTAAAATAAAAGTTTATTCCACCCTTATTCAGATAGTAACCATTATTGGACTATCTGATAGTTGGCACCTTTCAGTGCAGCTGCAGAAGAGGAAAATGTTAAATTGAGCATCCATGAAGCACTTTAAATTTCTTTTGTTACTAAATCTAGAAGCAAACTGTAATTTTTACTTTATGACTCTCCAGTTAAAACAGCCAAACACCATCAGTAAAAGGACATCATCAAAATTGTGAAAATACACAAATGAAAAAAAAAGAAATGAATAAAAGAACAGATTCATAAATAATATTATTTTTCTTTTCTTTTTTATTATACTTTAAGTTTTAGGGTACATGTACACAATGTGCAGGTTAGTTACATATGTACACATGTGCCATGTTGGTGTGCTACACCCGTCAACTCATCCTTTAACATTAGGTATATCTCCTAATGCTATCCCTCCCCTCTCCCCGCCACCCCACAACAGGCCCTGGTGTGTGATGTTCCCCTTCCTGTGTCCATGTGTTCTCATTGTTCAGTTCCCACCTATGAGTGAGAATATGCGGTGTTTGTTTTTTTTTCCTTGTGATAGTTTGCTGAGAATGATGGTTTTTTACTTTAAATCATCTGTTTTTCTTGGTTATTAGCTTCCTAGAAGGTAGGTTCCAGATGCCCCATACTGGGATTTGATTTTCAATAACTTGATCCTTTAACTAGCTGTGATAAGCAAATGTGACTAGTTTACCAAGAGTCAAGGACAGAGTTTCTGTCCATTAGGGAATATTTCCCTTACTTCATTCTTTAACTACAGCTGCAGCCCATACCCAAGCCAATCAGCATAAAAATATATGCAGAAATTTTTAAAAGCAACAT
The DNA here is from genome assembly GCF_000001405.40 of Homo sapiens. Taxonomy (NCBI): domain Eukaryota; kingdom Metazoa; phylum Chordata; class Mammalia; order Primates; family Hominidae; genus Homo; species Homo sapiens. The sequence goes on along the minus strand of NC_000018.10, from coordinate 28,342,636 downwards.
GCAAAAGTGTAGGTAGATAAACACAAAGCTATCAGCATAAATCAAACCACTTGAAGCATGTTTCTTTAATGAATTCATGATGTATGTGATGAGAAAGCTGATTTTTATTCACCATAAAAAATTATACAATTTTGATGACCCAATTTTGGTTCATTTAAATTATTTTATCTTCGATTTACTTTAACTTACTGATTTCTTATTGCTGACTTTGCATTATTCCAATTTATGACAGTCTCTGATTTCTTTTTATATCATTTCTACAAAATTTCATCCATTTTGGCAGTCTCTTTTCTAACATTTGGATATTTCCTAATTGACTATCATGTCTGAGGTAATCAACTTCTCATGGACAGCACTTGATCCTACCATTAGTATGAAAATGTTATATATTTAGCAGACAAAGGTATTATTCTAGTATTATTCTTTGAAAAATACATATCCTCATTTGTATGTAAAGAATAAAGAGAAGCAGATAGTTTTAACTTAGTTTATATAATTCAAATTCTTCATTTGTGCCATATAATTACATATATTTCATTTGGCTAATTGATAGGATGGTAAATCTAGCTTGATAAAACTTTTAAACAGAAAGAAATATAACTATTTTATAGGATTATGTCTGTGGTTAGGAGCTGGGAGCTTAGCAACCTTTGTAAATATACAAAGAGATATATACAACCATGCATAGAGTATGCACGTTCCTGAATGTCTATCAAGAAGCTTAATGCTATCAAAGTACTCCACTGATAATGAAAGTCAAGGCTCAAAGGACAGTAAGCATATTATTCCTTATAATGTATTATGCATCAATAGTTTCAGGCGGGCAAATCCTACCAGCCTCTCTCAGGCCACCACAACAGAGTTAGTGAAAAGAATATTAACTGTATCAAGAAATAGAAAAAGAGAAAGAAGAAAGGGAGACCAAAGGGAATAAAAATCTAGAGCTCCCCCCCTTTTTTTTGTTACTTTTGCCACCTTTTTCTATTTACCTTGTGTTCCAGAAATCTACTCTGTAGGCTTTTTGCTCTTACTCTCCATTCTCCCAATCTTCATCTGATGCTTTCTTTGCCTTCATTTCTCTCTCCTTTAAATTTTTGGGGCTTTATTTGCCATCAAACTCAATCCAAGGTCAAAAGCAAATATATACTTATTACCATTCTGTCCCAGATATTTACTTGTCAAATTTAAGCTATTTCAAATCAATTCTTCATTATGATCTCACTTCAACTTCAGCCATAATTAACATGTGCATCCCACAGCTCATGACATCAATTCCACCTGAGCAATATTCTTTTTATCTCTGCATATAAAAGCTACACTGGCACCAATGGCAAATTTTTAAATTTGCTGTCGTCTGTCTCTTTGCCCTATACAAGTGTCTAGTTGTCATTTCAATAAAGACAAATTGGATCTACTATCAGGAAATAGTCACTATTTTCAAATTTTTGACACCAAAACTTTTTGCTATCTTTAAATCCCTTTCTTTTGATCTCTCTCATATCATACTATGTTGGACAAATGTATTTTAGGCAGTTGAAGATTCTTTCTCATCATTGTGTAAGAAATGAAATAATTTCTATGTGTGTTTACTAGGCGATATATGCTTCACTTTGGGGCAAGAATGGCATGCAAACTCATGAAGCATTTTACATAAAGAAATTAATAATCTTAATATCAAACAAATTAACAGAAATCAAACAAATTTAATATCAGTCAAATTTACAGAAATTTGCATGGGTGTTTCGTAAAGGTAATACCAAAGGGTTTGAAGTAGTAGAGAGGGAAGTTTTTTCAACTTCATTATTTCCCAAAACAACACAGATTACCAGCTTTGCAAAATTTTCCCTGTTGAGTTTAACATACGGACTTTTAAATACAAAGGACTTGTCCCCAAGTATCAGAAACTTTCCAACTAATTTAAACTATCCCAATAACTTTGTAAAGACACATTAGCAATTTTCCTATGGCTTTGCTAGCTCCTTCCATCAAAACTACGAATTCTGAAGGTCTCTTGCTATTTCCATGCTGTCTCTTTGACTTACAGTCTGTTCAGAATGAGCCTCCTCATCAGGTCCCTGTCACAATAAGTGTGTGCATATGTCGGCTCATCTTTTTATTGCTCCTCTTTACATAAAGACAAGAGTCTCACTTATAAAAAATAGTTGCAGGAAAGTGTCAGTAAAAAAATTTAGCAACATCAAACTTTAAATAAAACACACATTTGGAATGTGATGAAAATTTTGCAAATAAATTTGATGGGTGGTATGGGGATGCTTGTTCTGTTTGTTCTGTTGTATTTTATTTTTTTACTTTAATATTTTAGGCAAAGTGACCCAATGAAACAACATTATATATATACAAACACATATATATATATTCACTTGATACGGGGTATATGCAAGTTGTTTAAATGTCAGTAGAGAAGGAATCCAGAAGAAAACGTTTTTGCTCTTTTAGCTCCCTGGTTAGGACCTCAGCTCACATTCTAAACTATCTGTCCTCTGATAGCAGCTCTTGCCCACTTCTCTCACCTTCCTCAGGGTGATACAAGAAATGAACATTGCAACTCAATAACATGCCTCAAGTAGTTTCTGTCATGCAAGTAATGTCAAAAAGATCATGGGGAAAATTTATCAAAATTGCAAATAATTAACTCCCTTTTGCCACTGCCATACAATAGCATTTGCAGCAGTCTTATTGTAATAAACAAAAAGTATTGGACCTATACCTATTTTTATTAGAAAAAGGGAGCACAATTCAATATTCTACTATTCAAGTTTTAACAAATTTTTGTAAGCTGGTACTGAAATTATACACTGAAACTAAATTATGTTTAAAATGGGTTCCTTTGTATAGTTTAGAACAGATGATTTCCAGATGATAGTCTAACTCAAAAATAGAGCCTAGAATTCAGAACAGTTCAGTTGAATTGTTGAATTTGTAGCCTAAGACAAAATGAAGGCCCCAAATCTGCTAAAAGCATGTATTTTTGGTCTCTCTGCTCCTTTAAGAATGTTCATCATGGATGCTATCAAATTTCTGTCAATTCTTAAAATAACCAAATATTCCACTCTTTTAGAAACATAAATAAGAAGAAGCACAGCTTCTTTCACATAACACAGCATAAAGCTTAAAATCAAAGTTTGGAGCTAAATCTGTTAGCTGGAATAGTTAAGAGCAGATAGAGGCAATGTCTGCATTGCCTCTGTTCTCCATTCCTTTCCCTTTTTTTGATTTTTTTCCTGTCTTACCAGACGCATAGTCTCCTTCTGCCTTGGGAAAGAGAAATATGAAAAAACTACATATGCTTTATTCTTTAACAGAATGTTCTTTTTCAAAACCAGAAAATATTATAGAATCATAAAATAATTTCAGATTCACATTTTTAGTGACAAATCTATTCCAATTTCAGCATAGTGAACGTATGTGGCAGCTTACCAATATAGAGACAATGTAATAGAAAACAAAAAGACCAGAATTTTGGTTTGGGAAAATCAGGATTTGAAGTCCAACTTCAATGCCTACTAACAAGTAACAATCTTTCTGAGCCTTGATTTCTCCTCTGTTCAAATGAGAATAATATCAAGTTTTCAAGGATTTGGGGAGGATCAGGAATAATGTTACGTAGAGCCAACAACAGTCTTTGACTCCTAATAGGTGGCCACTATAAGGTCTAGTACTGTTGCTGGTGTTAAAGACACAAATAGAATTCACAAGGCTGTACTCAGATTTATTCACCAATACTTTCAAGGATCTACACCGAAGAGCATCAGCGATATAGATGGATTGGTAGACAGACGATTGATTGATTGATTGATTGATTGATTGATATTAATAGATAGACAACTAGCTTGATTGATTAAGAAGAAACTCTGTTTTAATATGATTTTAGATATGAACTGGAACTTGGTCATCACAATTCTGAAATAAATGGAAATTCACTAACTGCAGTTACATGAGCCAGCAAAACCACACATGGTGCTTTTTTTTACTTTTTATGGTACTTTTTTAATATGCAGCATTCCTTTGACAAACCTTATTATAGTTTATATTTAAAGAAGTACTAATAAGTTTAGGTAAATATGTACATTGTGATTCAAAGTATGTTTGAATAAATCTACTCTAAACCTACTAAGAAATAAATCTTTGACAAATTTGTCTCCCCTACACTGTTGTTTTCTCCTGTCTTCTTCCTTGTTCCTCTCGCATCACTGGATGTCCCAATTCTACCCATTTTGTAAGTCCCAGTTTGAAGCTCACCTATTCCTTTGAAGCCTAGAGAGGCAATTCCTTCCTCCTTTATTACTGCAATGATAATATAGTTACACAGTTTTTTGCAAAAATTATCAACAAACAAGTGCAAACCTGTCACTCATGGAGTAACACATACCAGAAACATGGGAATCATGCTCATCTTCATCTTTAGCTGCAACTCATCTAGGTGGTCACCCTGTATTACCACATACTAGTTATTCACTTCGTCACTCCCTTAGTTTAGGATGCTTCCGACCGCCTTGATGTGGTTTGGCTCTGTGTCCTCAGGGAAATCTCATGTTGAATTGCAATCCCCAGTCTTGGGGGAGGGAACTGGTGGGAGGCGATTAGATCATGGGGGCGGATTTCTCCGTTGATATTCTCATGATAGTGAGTGAGTTCTCACGAGATCTGGTTGTTTGAAAGTGTGTAGCACTTCCCCCCTTCTCTCTCTGTCTGCTGCCATGTGAAGATGTGCTTGCTTACCCTCCACCTTCTGCCATGATTGTAAGTTTCCTGACGCTTCCCCAGCCATGCCTCCTATGCAGCCTTTGGAACTGTGAGTCAATTAAATCTCTTTTCCTCATAAATTACCTGGTCTCAGGTAGTTCTTTGTAGCAGTAGGAAAACAGACTAACACACTCCCACTCTTTACCTGGTCCATAGAAAACCTTCTATATTGGTCTTCCTGCCTTTAGCCCTTTACCTCTGCAATTTTTTTCTCCACACTGTCATCAGAATGCTCTTTTAAAGCACACCTCTTATCATATCATAAAGTTTGTATATCTCGTTGTCATTTGCCTACTTAATACAAGTTCAAGTCTGGGGATAATGGCATGTTGCTTTACAAGAAGGCGTGTTTGGGCTTTTGCAGTTCACCCTGCTGGACTTGCAGCCCAGTTTCCCCACTTTCCAGCTCCATGACTTAGGCCCCTGCCAACTCCTTTAGTTTCAACTTCGTTTCTGTAAAGTAAGGATTGCTGAGAGCATTAAATACAATAATGAATTTCTAGTGATCAGCAAAGAGTCCTACATAGCAAACATTAAATGCAATAATGAATTTATAGTCATCAGCAGAGGGTCTTTCTCATAGCAATCACTTGGCAAACAGTCATTATCATTATTCACATTATTCACAATTCTCCAACTTGCAGCTCTGCTCTTATCTTCTACATTACCCGCTCCGCAACTTCACCTACTACATGTTCCCTGACCTCTTTGCCTTAGAACATACTATTACTTCTACCTGGAAAACTCTCTATCTTTGCCCATTTTATTAATAATAGTAATCTTAATAACATGTAGCAGACATGACTCAATGTTTACAGTTTGGGACATGCAAGAAATAAAACTTTTTGTTTTATTAAAACTCAAATTAATTTTCCATTTTGAGCTCCATGTCTCTGGTGGGTAAAACCTATAGTCAACCCACTAAGGAATTCACCTCTTTTGCTATGTTAGGACTGGGTCTGAGGCACTTACACAGGTGCAGGAAAGGGGCCCTTGTGTTTATAAGTGCGTGCTTGCATCCCCCATTCATGCTACTGTTTTTATCTAGCCTTTGGCCGTCCATCTGGCAGCGCTGAAAATCTCCTTGCTATTTCCATGCCCCTTGTGGGACTCAGATATTTGTTCTGCTACTTCTGCATCATCCTAAGACTGTGAGACAATCTCTGACATTTCTGCTTAGACACCCAGTAGTGGTTTCTTCTCTGAGATCCTGCCATCTCACTGAGCATAATTCTGCCTACCTGTAGATTCCTGGTTCTTTGCAGAGGCTTTGTCCACCCTCTCCTACCACAAATATACTTTCATTGGGGGAGGAGGTGGTACAATGTTCCTTCTGAAGGATCCGCCAGTGGAAACTCCATCAATCCTCCTCAACTTTATTTACTCTTACTTAGACTTTTCCTAAGCAGCTAGTCTTTTGGCATCTATTTATTTCACACCCAAAAGTTATTTTTTTTTCTGGTATGGCTATAACAAACCTTTCAATAAAGCAGTGAAATCAACAGCCTAGCTGCTCTAATTGGAAACAGTAAAGTGATAATAGGCAATATTGGAAGAAAAAATATTGCTTACATTTCAAAATATTATCACAGTGTGATATAAAAATAGCTAACATTTATTGGGTGAGTTAGACAGACACATCCTCACACAATTTAGTCTGTATCAGTCAGGGTCCCAGAAGGCAACAGATGGTGCATTCATATTAGGATACTTTGAGTGGGGTTTAATAAAGGGACTATTTACAATTGTGTAGGCAGGGTGTAGATAAACCAAAAGAGATAATGCAGCACCCTGGGGTTAGCAATGAGGTGGGGAGGGTTACCATCACTAGACCTGAAGAGACAAAAAAGGTAGCAGTAGCTTAGCTGGAAGCCAGAAACAGAGAGTCATGGAGACCTGCCACCTGGAGGGAATACAGGGGAGGAGACACAGCCAACAGAGGTAGCCCTGACAGAGGGAACCCAGCCAAAGGTAACCCTACCAGGGAGAAGCCTGTGGAGTAAATTCCGCACCCTCACTCTGCACCCTCCCTCTCATCTCTGCCTAGGGCTCACCAAGTGGAAGTGAGAGTACAGGGAGGGCTGTAGGTGTCACCCATATAGGTCCATTTGTGGGGTGGAGAATGAGGTGGAGAAGGGTGGAGAGCAGATCCACAGGGTCAAATGGGAGATCTGCGTCACAGGTCTACAAGAAAAAGTCTATGGATTCCTTAGAGTTAAACTCCCATCTTAGTCAGCTTAGGCTGCCCTAACAAAATACCACAGACTGGGTGGCTTAAACAAAAGAAATTTAGTTTCTCACAGTTCTAGAGGCTAGAAGTCCAAGGTTAAGGTGTCAGCAGGTTGGGTTCTGATGAGGACTCTTGCCAGCTTGCGGACGACCACCTCCTTGCTGTGTGCACACACAGCCTTTCCTGGTACATGCAGAGAGACTTCTCTTCCTCTTCTTATGAGGCCACTAACTCATTATGAGGTCTCATCTTCAAGACCTTATCCAACTCTAATTACCCCCCGAAGGCCCCATCTCCACATGCTACCAAGTTGGGGGTTAGGAGTTCAATATACGAATTTTGGGGAGCCACAAACATTCAGCCCATAACCAACTCAGATACTGTTTTCTTTGAGGAGCCTTCCCCATGTAGCAGAATTGGTTCTTCCTAGATTTTACTTCATGGTCCAGTGCATGGTACATACTTCTATAAGGGACATGTAAACATTGTATTGTATTACTGTTGATGTAATATATTTCTCCTGCACTAGATTGAGACTGTTATTGGTGTAAAACAAAACAAAACAAAACTTTGTCTTCCTTCTTTTATTTTCTTTTTACACGGGTGACAATGCCTAGAGTATAAGAGATATTAATAGTTTGCTGGCTGAACAAACATAAATGAATGAATGATATTTTCTATTGTTAAGGATCAAATTCCTTAAAGTACAATTCTTTCATAGATAAATAAACTAATTCATGGCATCTCTCTTCTTTTCCTGATAAAATATGTGCTTTTTAGCCATGGCATTTTGTAAATAAAACCCCAGCATTTGTCACATACAAACTGACTTGCTTTGGTATGGTGAATTTTAGGCATAGCAAGAGAAAAAGGGAAGAAGAGTTTGTGACAGGGTGATAAAATACATGCTGCATGTATTTGGAGCCAGGCATATCTCTGAAGTTCCCTAAATTGTCAACATAAAGCTTACTGGCAGTTGAGTGCAAATGGTAACGTGAATTCAGCAAGGAACTCATACACACAATTTCATGTAGAAATGTAGTGCAACTTAATGGATTATTTTGCCAGGATAAAGTTTTTGGCTTTTGAATAAAGCAAATACATATAGATAAACTGGGATTAACAGTCAACTATCTCTCTCACACAGAGGAGCAAATATAGTTGGACAATCTGTACACTCCACAAAGGCACTGGGTTAGGACTGTACAATTCTGGGCCCTGACATAGGACTGTATACACCTGGAGGAAGGGTGCTTCTTTCTCCAGAGAAAGGTATAATTTATCAACACAGAGGGGACATCTTTTTTGGTTTACTAAGAGGCATCTATAGGCCAGTGCCAGCCAAGTCCTCAAGCTCATCTCAAATTCTGTATATCCAAATAAGCTCTCTAGCCTAAGCATCTTTCTTTTTTTAAGTGTCATCATTATCCTAAAGACTTGCTCAAGATCAGGGAATTATTTTGGCTCTATCATCTCCTTTAATGCCTCCACCAATCATCAATTGAAGTCCTATTGAAATAAGAAATGATTTAAATAAATAGAAATATTTTGTATATAGTTGTATGTCAGGAGTTATATTACCACTTCAGGATAAAAATTTAAAAGAATGTAAGAAGAAGACCATGCCCTCAAAAATCTAAGCATTTAGTTTGGAAGATAAAATATAAAGCAACAAAAAGAAAAATAACTGAAAGGGACATTAAATAAAAAGTGTCAAATGATAAAAGCAGAAAGAGTCATCACGATCATATGTGTCCCAGACTCCATCCTCTGTCATGCCATCCTCCTGTCTCTGCTAACCGCCAAGAGGTGGATTGGGGGCTGTGGAACCTCAACTCCACCAGCCCCCTTCCCCTATTGTCACCCAATACAATAATTGATATTTTCTAAATCTTATGAAAAATAGCAATAGTGGGCATTTTTATAAAACTTTATTATTTTTAATAATAAAAAAGTAAAACTGTGTATGACAGGCAAATGCATTTTCAAGAGACATCCCTTCTAGTATTTTTGCTCACAGACTTCCAAAAATAATTTGAAAAGCCACACACATTTTTTAGTTGACATCTAAAATTTTTCAACTATCTTGAAGTAGTTGCATATAATTGCTGGCATATTGTAAATGTTGGCTATTTAAATAAAACTGGTACCTAGCTCATTTAAATGTATCCAGTGGAAAATTATCAGAGACGTTTGATACCCTCCATTATCCATTTAAAAAAATACATGAACAAATTGTTTTCATATCATTCTTTTTTCTCCTTGGGTTTCTACTTCCGTTCCATTTCCCTGCAGAATTTTATTCTAATGTAATATGTTTTTATTCATGAAATCTTTTATTGGCAACCTATCCACATATTTTTATTTTTCAGGACCATAACACTCTAATATTGTAGTTAAATTAACATTTTTATTATTATAGTTAATAAAACCAACAAATATATTTGATGTTTTGATAATTAGTCAACACAGAATGTAAAATATTAGCAGATTTACATATCTGGTGAGATAGATGAAACTTTTTAAATTAGTTCATATATCTGTGAATCTGTATTAATTACTGCTAAAGTAAGAGGCATCAGTTCTATTTTTTTCTTTTATATAGTGTTTAAAGCAAACTAAATATGGCCTGAGAAGGACTCTGTACTTCTATATTTGAGTCCTTGTGGTCCAATCGTTACCTAGCTTAATAGGCAGACAAAATTGAAAACCTAACTTAGTAGCATTCACCTGTAACAATAGCTGAGTGTTAGCCAATCCCAGCGGCCATACTTCAACCACTCATAGACAACTGAGTGTTCAAACTGTGTTCAAATAAGACGTACACTGAGCTGTAACCAGTCTCACTGTTTCTGTACCTCACTTCCAATTCCTGTACATAATTTCCCTTTTTTTGTCTATAAATCTTCTTCCACCGTCTGGCTGCCCTGGAGTCTCTGAATCTGCTGTGATTCTGGGGCTGCCTGATTCGCGAATCATTCATTGCTCAATTAAACTCCTTTCAATTTAATTCGGCTGAAGTTTTTTTTTTTAATAGAATTAAACATAAATAAGTAAGTTGTTAGGAATAAAATTCTTCCATTTTCCCCAAAGCAATGGCACTCAATTATTTAAAATACCTTTATATTTTATGTAAAAAATTATACCTTACCTGAAAACAAAAATTAATAATCATCAATCTGATTAGGTTCTTTTTTACATTGTATTGAAAGAAATGCATTAGAAACCACATATCTCGTAAAGGATTTATTGCCAGTTCCTTTATTAGAGGCTTTCACTTTCTCAACACCAGTGACATTTTGAATTGTTTCCTTGTTTGATATGCAGGAGGATTTCCACGCCAGAGCAATGCACCAGAAAGAGACTCTGGATTGGAGAGAGGACAACTGTGCCTTTGGAAGTGGGAGAAAGGTTACGGTGAAAGAAGAGGTGGAGCTGAGAATCAGCATGACATCTCAAACCACAGAACAGTTTTAGGAAAAAGTACAAATAAAAGTTTAGGATTTGAAATCAATTTCCCCAGAACAATGCCCTTGAAATGTTGCCATGGAATCCCAGGATAGTCATACCCTATTTTGAAGCCGGCCGTCCTTACCCTACATCTTTCCAATCAGATTAGGTGGCTTAACTCTTCCCATTTATAATAGAGCTACAGGTATTAATCTTCCAAAAATAACATTTCACCAAGCCACTTTAGCATTCAATTAACTCCCAATGCCTCTCCAGTGTGTAAGGTATGAGCACAAAAAACCACGAATCCATCTGAATGTGACCAGTGGCCCTTCCTAATCTGCCTTCCCACCTTGACCTCATTCCCGGGAATCTAAAAGAAGCAGTCTTTGCTTCAGTCATACTGGTCCCCTTCCCATTTAATCTGTTTATTTTGCTCAACTGCAGATCATATCTTTGCTCATGTGGCTTTCTTAGGCTGGAATGCTTCATCTGCTATCATCACCCTATTGTGATAATCTTCTTAGGTTCCTTCCCCCTGGAAATTTCCCCTTCCCACTTGCGGACGCAACTAATCTCTGCATTCTCATTAACTTACACATGCAACATGGCTATAAATATCTGGACTACTTTTTTTAAAGGGAGAGGAATTAATGAAAATCTATTAAAATTTTTCTTTCTCGTCATTCCTTTTCAACATTTTACTGGAAGTCTTAAGACAAATAAAGGAACTAAAAGGTATACAAATTGGGAGGAAAGAGATAAAACTGTCTTTGTTTACAGGTAACAGGATTGCCTATGTAGAAAATCCAAAAGAATCAACCAAACACTCCTAGAACTAATAATTGATTATAGCAAACTGTAGGATACAAGGTTAATATACAAAAGCCAATCACTTTCCTTTAATGCCAGCAATGACTAAGTGGAATTTGAAATTAAAAATATAATATCATTGGCACCCCCAAAATGAAATACTTTGGTATAGGTTTAGAAAAATATGTACATAATCTATATGAGGAAACTATACAATTCAGATGAAAGAATTCAAAGAACTAAATAAATGGAGAAATGTTCCATATTTATGGATAGCAAGATTCAATACTGCCAAGATGCCAGTTCTTCCCAACTTCATTAGTAGATTGAATGCAATCACAATAAAAATTCTAGCAAGTTATTGTGGCGGCCTTGGAAAAATAATTATAAGGTCTATATGGAGTGACAAAAGACTCAACACAATATTAAAGAACAAAGTTAGAGATCTAACATGACCTGACTTCAAGACTCAGTAAGCAAGGCAAGTGGGTTTTCAAGACAAGCCCCTCCAAATATTTTGCTCACCTGCTTTACTAACACCAGCATTTGGTGGTGTGCTGGTGGGAATGTGAAATGGTATGGCCACTTTGGGAAAAAAATTGACAATTTCTTACAAAACTAAATATACTCTTACCATACTACCTAGCGATTGCACTCTTTAAATCCAAAACAGTTGTTTAAAACACATCCACACAAAAACCTGCACACCGGTGTTTGTAGCAGCTTTATTTATAATTGTCAAAACTTGGAAGCAACAAAGATGTCCTTCAGAGAGTGAATGGAAAGATAAAAGGGCACATCCAGACAATGGAATATTATTCAGCACTTAAAATAAATCACCTATCAACCCATGAAAAGAAATGGAGAAAATGTAAATGCATATTGCTAAGTAAAAGAAGACAATCTGTAAAGTCTGCATATTGTATGAGTCCAACTATGTGGCATTCTGGAAAGAGCAAAACTATGGAGACAGTAAAAAGATCAATGGTTTCCAGGGATTGAGGGAGGGGAGAGGGATGAATAAGCAGAGCACAGGATTTTTAGGGCAGTGAAACTATTTGGTCTGATACTACAATGGTGGATACATGTCATTATACATTTGTCAAAACCATACACAACACCAAGAGTGAAACCTAATGTAAACTGTGGACTTTGGGTGATAATAATGTATCAACATAAGTTCATCACTTTTAACAAATGTACCACTCTGGTGGGAGATGTTGACAATATGGGAGGAAATGTCAATTTGGGGGCAGGGTCTACATGAGAAATCTCTGTACCGTCCTCTGAATTTTTCTATGAACCTAAAATTGTCTTTTTTTTTTTAATTCAAGTCTTTTAAAAAAATCAATTGCATTGCCCAAACATGCGCTGTTTTATTATTTGTTATTTGTTTATATTTCATATTTTGCATTTCCAATCTGACAGTAAGTTTCTTAAGAATGGTGTTATATTTACATATCTCTCATACTGACAAGTTTGATGCTCAAAATAAGAAGTGAAACTATTTGGTCTGATACTACAATGGTGGATACATGTCATTATACATTTGTCAAAACCATACACAACACCAAGAGTGAAACCTAATGTAAACTATGGACTTTGGGTGATAATAATGTATCAGCATTGATACATTATTATAAGTGTTCATTGATTCAACTCAGAAACTATCAAATGTGAAATAGCCTTTTTTTTCTGAATTGTTTGGGGTCATCTACACGTTTCCCTAAAGAGAAATCTTCCTCCAAAAGTTTGGGCATGAAAGAACCAATGAAATCTTCCAAAGAATCTGCAGCAAATGAATTAGTTAAATACTTGTTTGCTATAAGTTCTAATGAACAGGAAAAAACATTTTCAGCAGCTGTAAGGTATCATTTCTTTGCTGATTCCCCAATTGGACAGTGCAATCATCTGCATATTAGTGAATTGAAACTTAGAATTCTATCTGAAAGAAATTCTACTAGGTAAACGGATTCATGGGTGGGGAAATTCATTTTTTTTTTCTGCAAAACCAAGCCTTGCTTGTCAGAATAACACTTTGGATCTCTAGTCTTGGTGATGGAAAACATGCTTTATCATTTCCTACATACTGTTTCATAACACACCGGAAAACGGCAAAACAGAAATCAAATTTAAAACATTGAAATCTTATTAAAACCTTAACACCAACATTGTTAACCTTGAGTTTATTTTATTTGCTGCAGCCAACTAAAGTAATGTGAACAGACCAAGAAAAGGCTCTGGGCATTAGGAGTTTCTTTGTAAGGAATAAGTAAACTTATGGTGCTCACTTCTGATAACAAATGACTCCCCCATCCTAGAGGCCTGAAATCATCTATTTCTAGTTCACTATTAACCTCATGATGACTTAGTTTATATTAATTTGATAATTAAGAACTTGGAATGTATATGTTTTTCTCTCCAATTAAATTATACAGGTTACACAAATTATAAACTTTCCTTTTACTCCAGGTTTGCATGGTGATAGCCACATACTCTGTGATCAATTAGTATTTCCCAAGGAATCACAAGTAGGATAAAGCACCATACCAAATACTCTAACAGGATATTTTGGTCGGGCGCAGTGGCTCACGCCTGTAATCCCAGCAGTTTGGAAGGCTGAGGTGGACGGGTCACCTGAGGTCGGGAGTTCAAGACCAGCCTGGCCAACATGGAGAAACCCCATCTCTACTAAAAATACAAAAATTAGCCGGGTGTGGTGGCGCATGTCTGTAATCCCAGCTACTCAGGAGGCTGAGACAGGAGAATCGCTTGAACCTGGGAGGCGGAGGTTGTGGTGAGCCAAGATAGCACCACTGCACTCCAGCCTGGGAGACAGGGTGAGACTCTGCCTCAATTAAAAAAAAAGATATTTTCATTGCCTTAATGTATAAAAAATTGACTTAGAATTTATTTCAAGGAATGTTCTATTAAATATTTGAGCATTTTGGGACCACCTGTGTGAACTCCACACACAGGATGCAACAGGTGAGATGTTTATGGAAAAATTTAGACCCTAAGGACAACTTAGCTGAAATTAGATGTCAATGTACCTGTAGACTTCATATAATATGCAAGAAAGAGACAAACAGCTAAAAGTGACTGAGGTCACCCACAGAGTGCTCTACCCCTGCTTCCGCTGAGCACGCTCTTGTGTCAAGCAGGTTCCTGAGGACATTGTGCACCATTGGCTTCACAGAAACTGGGCCCCGTAAGTGGGCTGCCAAGTTGTGCCCGTACAAAGCTGGTAAAGCCTCCCCAGAGGCAGTTGCTGCAGCAGTGGTCAGAGTAAGAAGTGTTCAGTACCCCTCAAATCAGCTTCTCTGACTTGTATTTTTATTATCTGTTTAGATATCTGACTCAACTACCTAAAACATACACTCCTACAAAGCAAAAAGTGAGGCTTCCTCAACTTTACCTCCAATGTTAGACACAGTACCTAGAATAAAGACATAAAAATATAGGAGGTCAAAATGCATTTCACTCTATTTCAGATTTGTCTGAGACCCCACAGGTTTAGAACAAAACAGTAAGCGACAAGCCCTGCAATATCCCAATATACAGTGCCAGGCCTCCCATGCAAACCATGCTTAGGGAATTTGATCTTGCTGCCTCATTCACGCAGCACTCCTAATATGTCAATGACTTCAGCCTCCTCTAGGAAAAAATCAGTTCCTTGCAGTGGACTGATGAAGGGCTGAAAGGAAGTGGTAGAGGTGCTTTACCTTCATCCCAAGTAAAACGAGAAACACTTTTTAAAAGCCACCTTAAGTCTGCGTTTTCTGGAGTTTGGGTGGACCTAAGGTTTGAAACCTAACACATGCCTGATAATTACAGTACAAATGGTGCTTTGACAGTATCACCCACACGGCCAAAGAGGAGAGAATTAGCAGGCTGCATCATTTGGAACAAACTGTGCTTTTATAGATGGCAGGGAATAGATACACATGAGTGGTTTTTGGTCTGTTGGTTTGGTTTGGTTTCACCGACAGCTAAGTGAAACCCTGGAAAGTGATACTTATACAAGGAAAACCAACTATTTTCCTCTATACATTAATTCACAATACTCAATACTTCAGAACACTTCACTTCTGATACCAGATGTATAGGGATTTTCCCACAAGCAAGCAATTCTCTAATTCTACAGATAACAGATGAATGTCTGAAAATTATCTTCAACTCTGACACTTAGCATCGGATCCCACAAGTTAAAGGGATCAGTCCCACAACACTGCCTCCACTTCAGATGCCAATCAAGTCCAGGCCTCCAGTACTTCTGATCAAACAACTATAAATTGGAGGTTTTTAAAACTCTTCCTTGGGTTGGATAGTTGCTAGAATGACTTACAGAACTCAGAGAAACATGATACTTAATAGATTTCTGATTTATTACAAAGAATACAGCTCAAGAATAGCCAGATAGAAAAGATACATAGAACACAGTATGAGAAAAGGAAGGGCTTCGGAGCTTCAATGAAGCCAGATTCTAAACTTAGTCCGAAATTTCTACAAAATTGCTACCTTAATTAGAATGGTGGTAAGTCTGGTAGCCAAGAAGATATCATGTTTTGGTGGAGCCAAAATTAAATTAATTAACTTCATTAATTAAGAGTGGGTGTACCTCAAAGTGTGAAGGACAGGAAACCCGGGCCCATCAAGCAATTATTCTTTCTTTTTCTAGAAACATCTTTGATGTAAGAAGCTCTAATTAAAAACTGATAAAGGGAGGTGAAGGGAGTAGAGAAAGCATTCTGAAATCTAACAACTTCTTTATGTTTTTAATTTATATAAGATCCATGGATTGAGGTAAAGTTAGAGGAATAAGAAAACAAAATTGGACTGAAAATAAAGACAAAGAAAAGAAGGAGGCGGAAATAAATTTGGAGGAAAAGTTGTACGCAAATTATTTTGCCATATTTTATCCCATGGTCTTGATCCTGTCTTGACTGAACCTTCCCATTCCTATTGCCATATCTCCTGCATCCATTTCATTTTATACCCCTAAAAGGGTCAGTCACCCATTGTCTCAACTTGTCATTTTATTCTCTGTGCTAATTATTCATTCAAACATCTGTTGCAGGATTTGTCATGTAACAAGAATAAAATTATTTATATAAAAATATTTCTTGCTTTTCCTATATCCTTACCTTTTGCCCTTCTTTCTTTTTAGGTAAGAAGGATACTTTCTGACCAGTTCTTGGATTACCCTTTATAGAGCAGAATTTAAGCAGTAGGCTGAATTTCTTGAGAAACGCCGTCAGAATTTAGAAACTTGTTATATTTTTCCACATTCCCTCCTGTGTTGGGAACACCAAATGAGGCTTCTGAGAAGGAAGCACCAGTCACACTTATTTGGTGGAAGAAAAAATGATGTGAATAGAAGATCAGAATCGCAGCACAATTCTGAACAGACGGAGAGAATTTGGACAGCTGCCGAGAGAGCACTTCTGGGTTTTTAGCAAATAGTGAGTTGGGTTTGGGTGGGAATGTGAGAGTCAGGGGTAAACAGAAAGGCTTTGGAGCAATTGCGTGAGTCTGAGGACACTGTTGAACAGTAGAAAGGAGGAAAGTGGATATTAAGAAATGTTGCTGTTGGTTACGAACTTACTTCTAATAAAATATCAACAACATTCTCTAAAAAGTGAATGCTGCAGCAGACACAGTGCTTTCCTTACATAAAAGACATTACTATCCCTCTTTATCCCTGATTTTAAAAAAAAAGTGTTAAGATAGCAGGTGGAGGGAGACCTTGATCTGAGGGAGCAGCAACACAAGCCCCAGGGAATAAATCATGACCTGATAATCGCTCACTGCACTGGTGTTGCTCTCGGCCAGTGATTGTTTAAAATTAAACATGTGTCCCAGATCTGGCTAATAGAGGAAATGGGAAATCTGACTGAGAGAGGAGAAGGGCCTCATTCTTGAATAAAAGTGCAAACTGATTAAAGAAAAGGCCCTTTCCACTTTCTCCTTCCAACATTCTTTGTGTCTTGAAGCAGGATTGTGGATGAGATTTAAGCAGCCATTTTGGTCCTTGAAGATAAAGGCCAAAAAAATCTTAAAGACCTCAGCACTGACATTACTGAGCCACTGGACTCATGCCTGTCACGACTACTTTAGTATTTTCTATAGTGTGGGAACAATAAACTCCTGTTTTTTCAACCACTATCGCTGGGTTTTCTGATGCTTCTCATTGAATGCATTCTTAGCTGATCAAGTAAAGATCCTACTTCGGATTACTAGACTATATTTCCAGGAATGGAAGGAACACTGCTTCAAGCGAGAACTGCCAGCAACCCTGGGACTTATTAGCATTATTATCACAATGCATCATAATTAATTATGTGCACATGTATACCCCCCAAGTTATGAGATTCTCAATAAGAAGAATTGCATTTTGTTAATCTTCCTATCTTCTAATCTTATCACAAGTACGAGGCACACCATGGCAACTCATTAAACACTAGTTGAGTAAATGGATACAATTGAGGTTAACCCCAGGACCGAGTAATAAAAGAGGAGCTATCAATTAAGATATAAACAGATTCTTCAAAGCCAGCTCAGAAAAGCTTTCATTTGATCAATACCTTTTCTCCTACCTTTAGTCATTTAAGCTATATGAATTTTGAAATAAATTAACTTTGAATTTTTTAAGTTTCTCAGTCCATCTTCCTACACACCAGCCCCAACCAAGCCAGCCTCCATTTGGAGTTGCTTAGGTGACAATTCAACCCGTAGGATAAATAAATCTAGCTTATATCATACTTTCTATATTCAGTGTTTTATTTTTTCTGTGTGCCAGGATGCTTGAATCAAAATACTGATTTGCACATTCTGCATAAATTTACATATTATGTTCAAGCATCCTTAACTCCAAGCTCGTAAAATAAAACCCAATTAATTAATTAGTGCAACCTACTGCAATTGTATTTAAACCCAATATTCACAGCATGACACAGTGTATTTTTAAACCAATTAATTTAATCACATTTCAGTTTGAAAAAGGCAGACACATAAAGACAATGAGCTGGTGATGGACATGGAAAGAGATAAAATCAGAGCAGGCTAGGGCCCCCAATATGGATTCATATTTAACATCAGCATAAGAAGTATAAAAATCAGAAATATTCATTAGAAATGTGGAAGATCCTAATGTTATCAGCAACTGTTATTGTGTGATAATGAGAGACTTACTCTGGCTAAAAGAAGAGACAATTTACTCTCAACATAACTTGCTACACAAGTTATATTGCCAGGTATTATGGAAGAATTTGGTTCTCTCTCAAGATTACTACTATTATTACATCTGTTACTGTAGTACACGCTAATGTCTCTTTTCTCTGAACTATTACCCTTAGAGTTACTATCACACAATTTAACATTTAGTTATTCTATAATTGTTTTATGTATGCTGTTTTCTGTCTTTAATTTGATTGTAATCTCTACAAGGCCAATATCATATCCTATGCTTCTGTAATTCCTTAAGTCCGTGGCAGTGCCTTAAAGAATAGGTGTTCAATAACTAGTTCAACCAGAAAGCATTTATGGAGTTTTCCAGGAAAAAATACTGAAGAGCCTGTATAGCTTCACAGAGATAATGTAGTCTTGTTTATAAGTGACTCCGAGTACTTACAGGCCAACGGACAACACCATGGCACCAATACCCCTGGGAAAATCATATTGTAGAAGCAGATCCTCAAGTGAGCTAATAGTGGAGCAAGCTGAAAAGCGTTCCTTCAGAGTTCAAGAAAGTAAAGGAAATAACGGAAAAATGATGCAAAACTATGAGGTAGAATCAGAAGTTATGAGAAAATTATAAGTGTGCATCCCATAGCTAAAAATAAATATCTAAAAAAATAAGAACTCAATGGATAGGTCAATGGCAGTTTGGATACTGCAGAAGAGAAAATTAATAAGCTCTAAAACAAATAAAAAATAAACTGAAGCACAGAGAGAAATAATGGTAATGGATGAGAGCCTATAGGACATTCTGGGCAGAGTAAAAATTATAATATTTATGAAAATAGACAACAAGAAAACGTTGAGAGAAGGAATGTGATAGAATTATTGTAGAAATAATAGCTAACAATTCTTAAAAACATGTAAAAACATAATGCTACAGAATCACAAAGTTCAGCAAACTCCGAGTAGGATAAATAAAAAGAATACCACCTAGGCTCATCTTGGTAAAACTTCTCAGCATCTAAGTCAACGAGGAAACTCTTTAAAGCAGACAAAAACCTTCAAAGGACAGTAATAAGACTGGCCAATTACTTTCAAGGGTAACCAACTTCTCAACATGAAAAATATTTACAAAAAAGGCAATGCAATGACATCTAAGTGCTAAAAAAAAAAAAAAAACCTGCTAACCTACAACTCTACAATCACCAAAATATTCCTTTAAAAAATATTTTTAAATGGTTTTTTTAATGAAAAAAGTCATTGCCAACAGACCTTCACAAAGAGCATTCTGCAAAAGAAGGAAAATTTTCCTATAACAACAAACAATCAAAAAAAAAAAAAACCAACACATAAAATGGAAATGCAGGAAAGACTCAAGCACTCTGGACAAGACAAACATGTGAAGAAACATACAAAGATATTGACTACATAAAACTATGTGTAATGGCTTATAGAATTTAAAATATTTTAGGTTTTATTATGTGACAATGTAATACAAACAATATGATATGGTTAAATAGAATTAAAGAGTTCAAGTGTTTTAGAAATATCTGAAAAAGTTAAAAATAAGAAGTTAAAAATAAAAAATCAGTATCAGTATATAATGTGATAAGAATGCATATTGAAATCTTGAGGGTAACCAGAAAAAAATAAAATAAAATAGTATCTATCTATCGAGTTAATAGGAGAAAATAGAGTAATAAAAGTATTTTAAATGTTTTGATTAAATAAAATGAAACCAAGAAAGAAGGGGAAAAGGATCATAAAAGAGATGAGCTAAAGAGTAAAGGAATAATAAAATAGTAGACTCTACCTTTACTGCATTAAATGTAGATAAGCTAAACACTCACATATACATACCATTAAGTTTCATGTTTAATTAAATAGCAAGTGCCAGATGGAATAAAAATGAACTATATGCTACTTTACAAGAGGCACATTTTAGATATTAAAGCACAGAAAGTCTAAATTCAAATGTTGGGAAATAATATACCATACAATACCTCACAACAACAAAAACAAAAACCTGACTTAGCTGGTTTAGATAAACTAATGTTAGAAAAAATAGACCTTACTGCAAAAAAATATTGTTAGTGTTTTTTAAGACATTTCAAAATAATTAAAAATCAGTAAAACAAGAATATATCAGAATCTTAAATCCATCTGCACCCAATAACATAGTTTCAAAATATGCAAAGCAAACATTGCAGAATTTAAAGGAGAAATAGGAAAATCCATAGAAGACTTTAACATAGTTCTCTGAATATCTGGTGAAAAGAACCAATTAAGAAATCAGAGAACTAGAACCAATCTGAACAACATATTTAACAAAATTGATCTGACACATAAAGAGTAATGTACTCAACAACAAAAGAATTCATTTTTATTCAAGAATATTAGAACATCTACCAAACTGACCACACGTTGAACCATAAGAAAATTATCAGCAAATATCAAAGCATTTACATCATCCGGAGTATATCCCTAGCCAGTTGAAATGAGCTAGAAATTTTTTAAAGATAACTGAAAAATCTCTTATTTCTAGAAATTAAAAAATTCACTTTTAAATAATTCACAAGTCAAAGCAGAAATGAATAAAACAAAACTATTTGAACTGAATGATAATGAAGATACAACATTAAAACTTGTAACAATCTATTTATCTCATGATTGTAAATGCACAAGTCCTAAGCAAAATATCTGCAAATGGTACAACGTATTGAGAGAAAAATACATCATAATGAAATAAGTTTAACTTAGAAAAACAAGAAAAATTATGGTATATTATTACTACTTGATTTGCAAATATTACAAATTTGTAACTTTTGTAACATTGTAAATCAAGTAGTAATAATATACTTGATACATACAAATTTGTACCATTTGTAACATTGCAAATCAAGTAGTTATAATATACCATAATAATAGAAGGAAAAAGAATAACATATTATTAAATTAAAATGTGGAGAAATTCATTTCATTGAATTCAACATTTCCATGTTCAAAACTCTTAGTGAAATAGAAATAAAAAGGCCCTTCTTTAATCTGGCAAGTAGCTACCCAAAAGTTTATAGAAAAATTATATTTAATAGTGAAATATCAAATCCTTTCTCCATAAGATTGGGAGTGAGTCAAAAATTCCTAGTATTACCATTTATATTCAAAAATTCACTGAAAATACTTGCCAGTAAAATAAAACAAGAAAAATATCATTAAAAAGAATATGAATTGGAAAGAAAGAAAGAGAACTTTCATTATTTGCAGAAGATATGATTTTATACCTAGAATATTCAGAAGAACCTACAGGCAAACTATTAGATGAATAATGGATTACTACAAAGTCAGTGAACATGAAAATCATTAAAACCAATATATAAAAATTAGTCGTGTTTCTATGAACCAGCCATGAACAAATAGAAAATGACATTTGGAAAACTGCTACTGTTTATGATAGTATAAGAAACATCGAATACTCAAGAATAAATTTAAAAGGTACATGTCTGCTACACAAAATATTATAAAACATTTTATATGAAATTAAAAACCTAAATATTTAAAGGGATGGACCTTATTTATGATTGAAATATTCAGTATTGCAGATATTCCAATAGTCTTCAAAATGCTCTATAGATTCCATGTAATAGAAATACAAGCCTTTTAAAAAAATCTAAATAGAAATGCAGAGTCAGATTTTTTAAAAAGAGGAAACAGAACGACTTACAATACCAAATATAATCATAATTACTGTGGTATTGGCACAAGATAGACAGATAATTATAAGAAGCGACCTACACATAGATGCACAACTGATTTATGACAAAGAACTGCAGCATAGTCAAAGAATAAAACTTTCTTATTAAATAGGTCAGAGATGCACATTGTAAAAAATGCCTTGACCTCTACTTAACATCATATATAAATATCAATTCCAGATGTATTATAGATCTTAATGCAAAAAGTAAAATGTTAAAGCTTTTAGAAGGAAATATATAGACAAACAGCTTATTACATTAGCATAAGCAAAGACTTCTTAATAAAGACATAAAAATCATTTTAAAAGGTGCTAAATTGTACCACATTAAGATTCAGGTCTCGTGTTCAACAACAACAACAAAAATCATTAAGGGAGAAAAAAGGCAAATCATAGAATGGAAGAAGATATTTCTAATCTATATATTAAATCAAGGACTTATACCTAAAATATGTACTAACTCCTAAAAACATTAAGAAAAAGACAATAAACCTGACAAAAAATGGGCAAAACAGTTGAATGGAAACTTTGTAAAAGAGAATACGAATGGTCAATAAATTATAGGTTTCATAAATTTAAGTTGCTTAACTTCATTAGTCTTCAGGAAATCAAATTAAAACCATAATGATACCAGTACACCCATCAGAATAGTTAATTTTTTTTTTTTTTTTTTTTTTTTTTTTTAGACAGAGTCTCACTCTGTCACCCAGGCTGGAGTGCAGTGGCGGGATATCCGCGCACTGTAGCTTCCGCCTTCCAGGTTCAAGCAATTCTCCTGCCTCAGCCTCACGAGTAGCTGAGATTACAGGCGCACACCACCATGCTCGGCTAATTTTCGTATATTTAGTAGAGATGGGGTTTCCACGTTGGCCAGGCTGGTCTTGAACTCCTGACCTCAGGTGATCTGCCTGCCTCGGCCTCCCAAAGTGCTGAGACTACAGGCATGAGCCACTGTGCCAGGCCTAAAATTGTTAACAAAACAAAACAAAACAAAAGATGCTATCAAGCGTTGGCAAGGATACGGAGTAACCACAGTTCCCATAAGCCACAAGTTGGAGAATAAATAGGTATGAAGACGTTAGAAAACTGTTTGGCTGTATCTATTAAACCTATGTATATCTTACCATATAGCAATTTCACTTCTAGGAAATACCCAAGAGAAATATATACATTTGTGCTCCAAAAAAGAATATAAGAATATTCATAACAGCAATACTTGCAATAACCTGAAAACCACCGATCAGCAGTAGAAGGGAAAAATAAACTATAAATTATTCAGACAGGAGAACACTATACAGTAACGAAAATGAGAATACTGCATCTACAAAAAATAACATGGGTGAATCTCACAAACGTAATGTAAGCAAAGGAAGCCAGGCTTAAAAAGATACACATTGTTTGATTCCATTTTTATGAAATTCAAAAGTGGGGGAGTTAATCTCTGGTGTTACCTTTGGTGAGCCAGTGACTGAAAGGAAACTTGAAGGTAGATTCTGAGTCTTGATCATGTTCTGTTTTTTGGGCTAAGTTATGATTACATGGACATGTTCACCTTGTAAAAATCACTTATGGATTTGTCCACTTTTTTGCCACGTATTTTATAAATTATAAAAAGTTCAAAATATTAATCATTGCACACACCTAGTCTAGTATCACTTGAATAATAGTGATCTTTAACTATGAGTATATGAATAATTTATAATGATTATACTCTACCCAATACTTGCGTGTGAGACACTCGTAGAACTTTATACACTTATTACATAATTTAGTTCACACCAAAACTATGGAACTTGAAATTATTAGCCCAGTTTTCCCAATGAGGCAATTAAAGACTAAAAAGTTTAAGAAATGTGTCAAAAAAGCACATCATTCATGACAAGAGCTGTAATTCAAAGTCAATGATCCTGCAATTCTTCCTCCTAAAAGTCATGAAATTTTAGAACTAATTCATGTTGCAGTAAGTTGTAACAACATTATTTCAGTGTTGTCATAGGTTGGGTTCTCTGGAAGATCAAAACCTATGAAAGAAAGGAGAGGAAGTAGGATTGGACAGAGGGCAAAGATGACCTGCCGTGCAAGCCCAAGCAAGCCTCAGCCAACCTGCTGGGAAGCTCTGGAGCAAGTGCTGCCCATCATCATGTCCTCACTGAGCCAAAATGGCTGGCCCTTTATACTACTCAGCTCCAAAGTGGGCTACCCGGGAAGGATGTGATGTTGAATGAGGCAACTGTCTGTAGCCAAAGCAGACCCCGAAAGAGCTGATAGCTGGAGTCTGTCTGCTGACCACTCTCTCCAAGCAGCAAGTTCTTCCATAAGGGAGGAACTGGGCAGCGCATCTCCAGGTCTACCATCAGAATTTCCGTGACCCTGTTCTCTTTTAATCCTCACAATAACCCTTTAGAGTAGCCATGCATGTGCTCAGTTCAAGGTCTTTGTATGAGCTGTGACCTCTGTCAAGAACCCTCTTCCCTCAGTATGGGTAATTCTCTTCCTCTTAGAATGGAACTCTCTTCTGTTCAGGCTGCCATAGCAGAATACCATAAACTAGGTGGCTTATAAACAACAGAAATTTATTTCCCACAGTTCTGGAGGCTGGGACACCCAAAATAAATCGCTGGCAGATTTGGTATCTGCTGAGGGCCTTCCTGATTCATATAAAAGCTGATGCATTCTTGCAATATCCTCCCAGCATGGAAGAGGTGAACGAACTCCCTTGGGCCACTTTTATAAGGGCAATAAACCCATTCATGAGGGCTTCTCTCTGATGACCTAACCATCTCCCAAAAGGCCCCACCTCCTAATATTGTCATCTTGGAGGTTAGGGTACAACATATGAATTTTGAGTGGACACAAACATTTAGATCATAGAACTTACCTCCTTCAAGTCTTCTCTCAACTACAACCATCTCAGAGAGGCCTAACCAATATACGTTAAATTACAGCTAAATCCCATCTCTCACTCCACATCCTCTTTACCTTATTCCACTTGTGCTTTATTCCTTTGCATATATCATCTCCTAGCATATTAGCTAATTCACTTATTTTTTTACATTATATCACTTATTACTGACAACCTTCCACTCAAATCTCCCACAAAGACAGAAATTTTTGTTCTGATTACATGGATGTGCTTCCAGAATAATACTTTGTATATAATAGATCTTAATCAATATTGGTCAAATTAAATCAAAGTTTATCTTCACCCCTGAACATGTACACATTGGTGAAATGTGGTTAAAATCAACATCAAGAGAAAAAGAAATTATAGATTCTAATGAGAAGAAGGAGGAAGAGGAGGTAAAGTGTTAAATAATTGCGTTGTTAATTAGTGCTGCCTTCTCTATTTTCCCTAAGAGAATCTTCACACTGTGTGTCACTGATTGGGGAACTAGGAAGGATTTAAGGACTGCCATACCAGGAGGCATAATGTACAAGCTGTTAAAAACCTATTCCTGGACTTTTTTTTTTTTTTTAGTTTAAGATAGAGTAATTCCTACCTACAATCAGAGTTAAGTAACATACTAAAAGTACAAAAATATTGGCATCAAGGAAAAAGGTTAAAAAATGCAGTTATCTACTCCAATAAAAATTATAATAGTTAAACATGTGTTGAGTGTTTATTGTGTATCAGTTATGTATTAAGTCCTTTTCATGAATTATCTCATGAATGTTCACATTGCTATGAGCTAGGTACAATAATTGTCCCACTGCTATTCAATTTGTTATCCAGACATAAGGTAAAATTATGACTTTTACAGGTTAGAAAGTCAAAGCACAGTTAAGTTAATCAAGGTCACAAAATTAGTCTATGGTGAGTTGGAAATTGAATCCAGGCAATTTGATTGCAGAACAAATAACCACCCTGCTTAGACTCCCAGCTCCACCCATTGTACCCATCACCTCCAACTGGACTTCACCAAAAGCAAAATCAACTTCTCTGTGACAAACCACCATGTCATATATTTGTGTAATGTCATTGCCACCTTGGTATCCATTTTTAATCCTGACATAAGTTGCTTGAAACCCAATTGTACCCTGTAACCTATGGCCTAGTTAAAACCTCCCCTGCCTATGTGGTTGTTTGTTACATAGTCAGCTTATTCTTCATCTGACCATAATAACTTATTGGCCAATATCAGAGTCATGTAAATAAATTCCCCACTTCATGCATGTTTTTTTTAAACTAATCAACCTACAACCCCCACAGAGAAGCCTAAGAGATAACACCTATGGACTTTAATAGAGACATAATCCCACAGGTTCTCTCTCTCTCTCTCTTTCTCTCTCCCTTTCTCTCCCTCTCTCACTCTTTCCCTCTCCCTATCCACTGGTTGAGCACCCCACCACCTGTGGACTATCTGTTGGCACCCCTGACTTCTCTGGGACCTGTGAATAACAAATTTCTTCTGTTTCATGCATTTTGGTTTCCCCTTTCCATTGTGCCTCATCTAATACACACAACCCAACCTAACTCCCTACTCCCTAGGTCAGGTCTCTCCTAGAGAGTGGCTACTTTGTCTTATGGCCTTTCTCAAGAGAGACACTTTAAAAATAAATTAGAAAAAAAGAAGAACATGGAAATAGAAATCACAACACACTGGCATATTGGAGTGTACCTGTTTCAGCATTTAGTGTTATTGTGACTAATGCAGAGGGAAGCTAGGAGCATTTTGAATATGTATTTCTGGAGTTTTGTGTGTGACTTGCCCACACAGGAGAAATCCTGCTTGATGTTCCTAGTTGCTAAGTCCTTATGGTCCTCCGTCTGCACACCCCTGCCCCTCATCAACCCAGTCCCCAGAGGTGGTGGGAACCCAAGGAGAACAGTCACAGAAGAGAAAAAAACCTGGATTGTGTTGAACCCAGGCCAAGTTTCACAGGACATGAGGAAGAAGCCTCTGCTTTTGCTTAGACCTGGGTTTCTGGTTCCTGACGTTTTCGTCCAAACCTCAACACTGACAAGTCAAACTAGTGCAGCTACATTGGTTTTTACTGCCTCTCAATTTGGCCAGGCCTGCAGTTACCTGGAGGCTCTTTTTAACCAGCAGTCTCAAAACTAAAACCTTGTACACATAAGTTACATGCTTCCCTTCCCTGACCTTAACACTTTGTATGAGACATAAACTTCTTCCCAAACTCCTCCCAGACCTTCCTCAAAGGTGGAACTAGCTAGACCCATTGAGACCCAGCTACTAATTACTGTGAGTCTCATTTACATAATTTTTCTCATTATCAAACCATTATAATTGAATAGGGGTTTTGTTGCTCTGAGTGAAGTATTCCCAGGTGCAGGAAGGCCCCAAACATAGCTTAGTCTCACCCCTGCTATGATACAGACTTTCCTCATTTTGATGTCAAAAGAAAGCAAACCATTCCACAGTTCTAGTACTTTCTCCTCTCTCCCCATAAGGTCTGACTAATTCTCTAATTTAATAATAATTGATATCTTTCTCTCTATTCTTCCTCCAATCAAGGTTTTCCACGCTCACTTCCACTTAATCCCATTGACCTGCACTTAGTCTAAATGCCACAATTTCTGTAACACCAGCAGGGAAATATTGCCTTTGGCTGGGCACCCATGGCCCCTGTTATTACTCACTGGTGCGCTTATTAAAAGTAGAACCACTGCACAGCATTGTATAAGATGTGTTCTGACAACAAGAAGAAAGGGGAGAAACAATACTTGGAGGCAACCAGCAGTCTCTGCCAACCATGTATTTGCCTTTTAAAAACTTTCTAAGTTTTAGAAACGTTTTTAAAAATTTTCACCATTGACTGAAGATTCTTATGAGGATTGGTAGATGGTCTAGTTAATTTTGCTGAGTTTTGTCTCTCTGAATGCTTTTGAGCTGACATGATTTTGAAACGTGGTTGGGAAGAAGAAAGGTTGGAATAAGCTTGACTGGAGAAACTGAAGAATTTGGAGGGTAGAGGGAGAAAAAGAAAAGAAAAGAGAATGAGGCAGCTGTCCTGAGCAGAAGAAAACTGGAGAAAGCAGAAATGGGTTAAGGCTGTTATTTTGTTTTGTTTTTAAAGAGTCTACACAGGCTGATGTATTTTTTTTTCTTCACCTTCTCCTGAAAACATAAGTAAAATACTAATTGTACTTTTTTGATTTATTAAAATACTCTCTTATGTTTAGGGAGAATTTTACAAAATATGAAATAGAGTTTATGGAAGGTGTGGTGTAAAATAAGGTTAAATTGTACCAGTTAGGTAGGATAATTATGCAAATTTATTTAACTCAAAGAATATCCTACACCAGACTTTTGAAATTTTTGAACTGTAATTAGGCAAAGGACAGGTACTGTTCTATGTACATTATTACAATATACTTATTATTCCAGCAACTCTCTGAGGCTGGACTTATTTTATCCTACTTTATGGACGAGAAAACTAAAGCTCTGAGATGAAATAATTAGCCCAATGTTTCACGGGCAATAAATGGCAGAGCAAGAATTTTAACCTAAAAGCTGTCTAACTCCAAAGCTTATGCAATCTTTATGTGACTCTTCGTACATCTTCCACAAATGCAAAGTAATCAACCTAATTAATGGACATCATTTTGATGGCCTTTATTTCCATTCACACTAATCTAGGAAAGGCTTATACATATACATATATGACATATGTCAGCAAAAATATATTGAGTGATTTCTGTGTGCCAGCGACTGTGCTAGGTGTCAGGGAAATTAGAAATAAACATTGTCTGAGACCTTGGGAGACTCGCAATTTAGCAGAAATAAACTAAATCATATTATGTCATTTGCTATAACAACTTGTTGTTATTTTTCAAAAAGTCAATTTGGAAATGTAAATAATGATTATACTAACTGGTCACAAAACACAAAATAAAATGTGATATGAAAAATCATTAGTTTGATAATTTTTTTCATTCTTAGGGAGTTATACAAAATGAATGTTATATTAGGTAAGAGATTTTCAATTGCTATGTAAATTTTACTCTATTACTCTAAAAGATGATGGTTTTAACAAACGTACATACTGCAGAGGGTAAATGTATATGTATATGTATATATATGTATATGTATATGTATATGTATATATACAGCCTTCATTAATTGCCTTTCAGAAATCTATTCAATCAGCATCTAATCCATCTACAAACTTAAATGTGATAAGTGACAGATCATCTGGAAGGCTAACAAGCTCTGAGGGGCATGAGCTCACCTGTCACATATATGAAAATTCAAAATGCCCTGAAGTTCCAGAGAATGGATAAAGGGGAAATACTTAGCTGGCCCTATTAGACTGTCTTTTTTGATTAGCTGTGTCAAAATACTTCAGCCAGGTTTAATTATATGCTTCTCTTTACTCTAGTTCTCTTGACTTGCAATCCCTCACCTGCATGTAGTATTCCTCCTCAAATCACTTAGACACAGTCACTTGTGTGATGTATTTCAAACACATCACCACTGATGTAGTGATGTAGTAGCTGTTACCCTGGCAGAATGGAAAACTTTGTGGCACAAGCAGTAATGCCCACAGTTAGGGTTCCTTTGCAGCTCAGCACTGTTCTTTCTTTGTTCTTAATTGTCATCTACCTTAAGGATTTCATTTGGCACTGTGTTGAAAGTGAACCTTGAAACTTATATAACTTCTATTCAGGAAGCTTTCTTTCTCTGCATAATCCAGTAGTTCCTACTTGGGAATGTCAATTACTCTCCCACAAGCTAGACCATGACTTTCAAATTATATGTAGCAGAATTCATTCTTTTTTCAAATACCATTGTTCAAAAGCACTCTGCATGCCATATATGAAAAGATGAACTTTTTTTCTCAAGAAGTTGTAGTCCTTATTGTTTGTTGGAAAATTCATCATTGAAACCACAGGATTCTGTAGAGCAGTTTGATAATTACTGCCTTAGATATTTCCTATGTGACTTGTGAAAAACATAAGATTATAGTCATATTGCAACTACCCCCTACATGCCAGTATTCTTCAATTTGTGAATCTTTCATAAGCTCATCAATTTGGAATATGGAGTCAGATGGAACTGGACTCAAACTCTGATTCCATTGCTTGCTGGTTGTGTGACCTCGAGCAGTTTATATAAACTCTCAAGTCAGAGCTTTGTTACCAATGAAGTGAAAAGGCAATCCATGTGATGTATGGTAACTTTGAGGAGTAAATGAGGTCAATGCAATAGATTTTGACATTCAGCAAAGCTCTCTGGAGACACCTTGTCTCTTCTCCTCCACTATATATGTCATAATACACACTAATATTCAGACCACAAAAATAAAATGTAACTGCGCTATTGTCTTCACTTCCTACTGGTTTTCAGAAAGCTTGTAAAGGCTCTGGTTTTCTCTGAGCACATTTCCATAGAAAGTCACAGTTTCTGCCACAATTTAACTGCCTCTTCAATTTTCACGAAAAGTTTATCTTACTTAAAAAGAGGCATTTGCACTGTTTAGATCATAAAACAATTTCAAAATTACTTTTACTTAATTCCCATAAAGGAACAGATATGTATTTTCATGGCCATACATGAACCACCACAATATTATTTAATCTTTAAATATAATAAAACTTTACATTATAAAACATACTTTGTTATATCTTTTTAAATTCTGTATATTTTTGTGTAAATTTAAGGGGAACAAGGGCAGTTTTTTTACATAGATACGTAGTGGTAAAATCTAGACGTTTGTTGTAACCATCACCTAAATAATGTGTATTGTACCATTAAGTCATTTCTCATCCCTCACCCCACTCCCATCCTCCTATATTTCCAAGTCTCCAGTGTCTGTTTTTTCACATTCCATGTTCACGTGTCCACATTATTTAAGCTCCCACTTACAATGATAATTTGTGGCTCTTGAATTTCTGTCTGTGTTGTTTTACTTAAGATAATGGCATCCAATTAAATGCATGTTGCTGAAAAGGCAGAATTTCAATCATTTTTATGGCTGAATAGTATTCTATTTGCAAATATTTTCTCCCATTCTATACACTGTCTGTTAACCATGTTGATAGTTTATACACACACACACACACACACACACACTCACACACACACACAGAGCACGTTTTCTTCATCCAACTATCCATTGATGGGCACTTAGGTTGATTACATATCTTTACTATTGGGAGTAGTGGTAAAATAAGCATACAAGTGCAGGTATTATTTCATATAATGATTTATTTCCTTTGGGTAGAGACCCAGTAGTGGAATTGCTGATTTGAATGGTAGTTCTATTTTTGGATCTTTGAGCAGTCTCTATGCTGTTTTCCATAGAGACTGTACTAATTTACATTCCCAGAAATATTGTATAAGCGTTCCCTTTTCACCACATTCTTAGAAACGTATGTCATTTTTTTATGTTTTAATAGTAGCCATTCTGACTGGTGTCAGATAGTATCTCATTGTGGTTTTCATATGCATTTTGCTGAATATTAGTGATACCGAGAATATTTTTAATTTTCATTTTAGGTTCAGGGGTACATGCGCATGTTTGTTAAGTAAGCTCATGTCACAGGAATTTGTTGTATAGATAATTTTTGTCATCAAGGTGTTAAGCCTAGTACCGGATAGATATTTTTTCTGATCCTCTCCCTCCTCCCACACTCTGATAGGTCTCAGTGTGTGTTGTTCCCCTCTATGTGTTCTAATCATCTTGCTCCCACTTTTAAGTGAGGAAATGCAGTATTTGGTTTTCTGTTCCTATGTTAGTTTGCTAAGGATGATGGTCTCCAGCTCCACCCATGTTCCTGCAAAAACACTTGATCTCATCATTTACTATAGCTGCATAGTATTTCATGGTGTAGATATACACCACATTTGCTTTATCCAGTCTGCCACTGATGGACATTTAGGTTGATTCCATGCCTCTGCTATTGTGAATAGTGCTGCAATGAAAATACACATGCACGTATCTTTATAATAGAACAATTTATATTCCTTTGGGTATATACCCAGTGAAGGGATTTCTGGGTCAAATAGTAGTTCTTTTTTTAGGTCTTTGAGGAATCACCACACTGCTTTCCACAATGGTTGATCTAGTTTACACTCCCACCAACAGTGTATAAGTGTTCTCTTTTCTCCAAAATCTCACCATCATCTCTTATTTTTTGACTTTTTAGTAATAGCCATTCTGACTGGTATGAGATGGTATCTCATTGTGGTTTTAATATGCATTTCTCTTATGATCAGTAATATTGAGCCTTTTAAAATATGCTTATCAGCTGCATGTATGTCTTCTTTTGAGAACTGTCTGTTAAGGCCCCTTGCCCACTTTTTAATAGGGTTGTTCATGTTTTACTTGTAAGTTTGTTTAAGTAGTTACAGATGCCAGATATTAGACCTTTGTCAGATGCCTAATTTGCAAATATTTTCTCCCATTCTATACACTGCCTGTTAACCATGTTGACAGTTTCTTTTGCTGTGCAGAAGCTGTTAAGTTTAATTAGATCCCATTCATCAATTTTTGCTTCTGTTGCAATTGTTTTTGGCATCTTCATCATGAAATCTTTGCCTGTGCCTATGTCCTGAATCATGTTGCCTGGGTTGTCTTCCAGGGTTTCTATAGTTTTGTATTGTGTGTTTCAGTCTCAAATCCATCTTGAGTTGATTTTTGTATACAATGTAAGAAAGCGGTCCAATTTTAATCTTCTGCACATGGTTAGCCTATTATCTCAGCACCATTTATTGAATAAGGAGTCCTTTCCCCATTGCTTGTTTTTGTCAGCTTTGTCAAAGATCAAATAGTTGTAGGTGTGCAGTCTTATTTCTGGGCTCTCCATTGTGTTCCATTGGTCTATGTATCTGTTCCTGTACCAGTATCATGCTGTTTTGGTTACTGTAGCCCTTTAGTATAGTTTAAAATTGGGTAACATGACGCCTCCAGCTTTATTCTTTTTTCTTAGGATTGCATTGGCCCTTCTGGCTGTATTTTTGGTTCCATATGAATTTTAAAATAGTTTCCTCTAGTTCTGTGAAGAATGTCATTGGTTGTTTGATAAGAATAGCATTGCATCTGTGCATTGCTTTGGGCAATATGACAATTTTAATGATATTGATTCTTCCTATCCATGAGCATAGAATGTTTTTCCATTTGTTTGTGACATCTCTGATATCTTTGAGCAGTGTTTTGTAATTTTCATTGTCAAGAACTTTCACCTCCCTTGTTAGCTGTGTTTCTAGGTATTTTATTATTTTTCTGGCAATTGTGAATTGGATTGTGTTCCTGATTTTGCTCCTGGCTTGGCTGTGGTTGCATAGGAATCTAGTGATTTTTGTATATTAAATTTGTATCCTGAACCTTTGTGGAAGTTGTTTATCCACTCAGCTTTTGGGCGGAGGATATTAGGTTTTTTAGATATAGAATCATGTCATCTCCAAACAGGAATAGTTTGACTTCCTCTCTTCCTATTTGGATGCCCTTTATTTCTTTCTCCTACCTGATTGTTCTGGCCAGGACTTCCAATACTATGTTGAATAGGAGTTGTGAGAGAGGGCATCCTTGTGTTGTGCCAGTTTTCAAGGGGAATGCTTCCAGCTTTTATCCATTTGGTATGATGTTGGCAGTGGGTTTGTCATATAGAGCTCTTATTATTTTGAGGAATGTTCCTTCAATACCTAGTTTGTTGAGAGTTTTTAACATAAAGCGATGTTGAATTTTGTCAAAAGCATTTTCTGCCTCTGTTGAGATGATCATATGATTTTTGTCTTTAGTTCTGCTTATGTGGTGAATCACATTTATTGATTTGCGTACGTTGAACGACCTACTTGCAATCCAGGGATAAAGCCTACTTGATTGTGGTGGATTAGCTTTCTGATGTGCTGCTGAGCATTTTTTTCATATGCATTTTAGCCATTTGTATGTCCTCTTTTGCAAAAAATCTGTTTATGTTTTTTGCCCATATGTTAATCAGATTATTTGGATTTTTGTGTTGAGTTATTTGAATTCCTTGTAAATTCTGGATAGCAGTCACCTGTCAGATCTATAAGATGCATAGTTTGTAAACATTTTCTCCCATTCTGCAGTTTGTCTGTTCATTCTGTTGATTTTGCTATGCAGAAGCTTTTTGGTTTAGTTAAGTCCCATTTGTCTATTTTTGATTTTGTTCCTTATGCTGTTGAAGTCTTAGTCATGAATAATTTGCCTAGACCAATGTCCAGAAAAGTATTCCTTCTAGTATTTTAATAGTTCCAGGTCTTAAATGTAAGTCTTTAATCCATCTTGAGCTGATTTTTGCATATGGTGAGAGATAGAGATCTGGCTTCATTCTTCTGTATATGGCAATCCAATTTTCCCAACACCATTTATTGAAAAGGGTGTCGTTTCCCTACTATATGTTTTTGTTGATTTTGTCAAAGATCAGTTAGCTGTAGACATGTGGGTTTATTTCTGGGTTCTTGTATTAGTTCATTTTCACACTGTTGATAAAGACATACCCAAGACTGAGCAATTTACAAAAGAAAGAGGTTTAATTGACTTACAGTTCCACGTGGCTGGGGAGGCCTCACAATCATGGCAGAAGGTGAAAGGCACATCTCACATGGTAGCAGACAAGAGAAGAGAGCTTGTGCAGAGAAACTCCCCTTTTTAAAAACAATCAGATCTCATGAGACTTATTCACTATTACAAGAGAAACATGGGAAAGACCTGACCCCATGATTCAGTTACCTCCCACCGGGTCCCTCCCACAGCATGAGGGAATTCAAGATGAGATTTGGGTGCGGACACAGTCAAACCATATCACTTCACCCCTGGCCCCTCCCAAATCTCATGTCCTCACATTTCAAAACCAGTCATGCCTTCCCAATAGTCCCCTAAAGTCTTAACTCATTTCAGCATTAACTCAAAAGTCCACAGCCCAAAGTCTCATCCGATATAAGGCAAGTCCCTTGCACCTATGAGCCTGTAAAATCAAAAGCAAATTAGTTACAACCTAGATACAATGTGGGTACAGCCATTGGGTAAATACAGCAATTCCAAATAGGAGAAATTGGTCAAAACAAAGGGGCTACAGTCAGGCCCCATGCAAGTCCAAAATCCAGCAAGGCAGTCAAATCTTAAAGGTCCAAGATGATCTCCTTTGACTCCATGTCTCACATCCAGGTCATGCTGATGCAAGAGGTGGGTTCCCATGGTCTTGAGCAGCTCTGCCCCCGTAGCTTTGGAGGGTACAGCCTCCCTCCTGGCTGCTTTCATAGGCTGATGTTGTCTGTGGCTTTTCCAGGCACACGGTGCAAGCTGTCAGTGGATCTACCATTCTGGAGTCTGGAGGACGGTGGTCCTTTTCTCACAGCTCCACTAGGCACTGCCCCAGTAGAGACTCTGTGTGGGGGGTTCCCACACCACATTTCCCTTCCCCTCATCCTAGTAGAGGTTCTGCATGAAGGCCCCGCCCCTGCAGCAAACTCAGGAGGATTTGCTGTCAGTTCTTCATATATCTGGTAGAATCTACCGAAGAATTCTTCTGGTCCTGAGGTTTTTTCCTGTTGGAAGATTTTTTTATTACTAATTCAATATCACTACTCACTATTGCTCTGTTACAAATTTCTGTTTCTTCCTGGCTCAATCTTGGGAGGCTGTATGTTTCCAGGAATTCATCCATTTCCTCTAGGTTTCTTAGTTTGTGAGCATATGGTTGTTCATAGTAATCTCTGATAAGCTTTTGTATTTCTGTGGTATCAGTTGTAATGTCTCCTTTTTTCATTTTTTATTATGTTTATTTGGATCTTCTTTCTTCTTGATTAGTTCAGCTAGTGGTTTATCAATTTTGTTTATCTTTGTTAACCAAATTTTCATTTTGTTGATTTTTTATATTTCTTTTGTATCAATTCCTTTCAGTTCTTCTTTGATCTTTGTTGTTTCTTTTCTTTTCTATTTCTTTTTCTTTTTCTTTTTTTTTTTTTGACAGAGTTTCTCTCTGTCGCCCAGGCTGGAGAGCAGTGGCGCAATCTCGGCTCACTGCAAGCTCTGCCTTCCAGGTTCATGCCATTCTCCTGCCTCAGCCTCCCGAGTAACGGGGACTACAGGCGCTGGCCACCACGCCTGGCCAATTTTTTTTAATTTTTTTTATTTTTTTATTTTTAGTGGAGACGGGGTTTCACTGTGTTAGCCAGGATGGTCTCGATCTCCTGACCTCGTGATCCACCCACCTCAGCCCCCCTTTATTTTCTTCTTTACCTTTGGGTTTGGTTTGTTTTTGTTTTTGTAGTTCCATGAGGTGCAATATTAGGTTGCTAATTTGTTATTTTTCTTTTTTTCTTGATGTAGGCATTTAATGGTACAAACTTCCTACTTAGCACTGCTTTTAATATATCCCAGAGCCTTTGTACATTGTGTTTCCATTTTCACTTTTTTCCAAAACTTTTAAAATTTCTGTCTTAATTTCCTTATTGACCCAAAGGTCATTCAGGAGCATATTGTTCAATTTCCATGTGTTTTTATAGTTTTGAGAATTCATCTTGGGATTAATTTCTAGTTTTATCCCACTGTGGTCTGAGAAGATACTTGTTATGATTTCATTTTTTTTATTTATGAAGACTTGTTTTGTGGCCTAACACGTGGTCTATTATCGAGAATGTTCCATGTGTTAATGAGAAGAATTATATTCTCAGGTTGTTGGGTAAAATGATTTGTAATGTCTGTTAGGTTAATTTAGTCTAAATTCCAATTTAATTCCAGTGTTTCTTTGTTGATTTTCTGTTTCAGTGATCTGTCTAGTGCTGTGAGCGGAGTGTTGAAGTCCCCCACTATCATTGTGTTGCTGTCTATCTCTTTCTTTAGGTAGTATTCTCTAGTAATACTTGTTTTCTGAATATGGATGCTCCAATGTTGAGTGCATACATATTTATGATTGTTATATACCCTTGCTGAACAGATCGCTTTATCATTATATGATTGTTATATACTCTTGCTGAATTGATTGCTTTATCATTATATAATGCCCTTTGTTTCTTTTCACTCTTCTTGCCTTAAAGTCTATTTTAACCTATATAAGCATAGCGATTCCTGCTCACTTTTGGTTTTCATTTACATAAAATATCTTTTTCCACTCCTTTATCCCCAATCTGTAAATGTCTTTAACATTAAGGTGAGTTTCCAAAATAATAAGAGCCATATATGACAAACCCACAGCCAACCTTATACTGAATGGGCAAAAGCTGGAAGCACTCCCCTTGAAAACCAGTACAAAACAAAGATTCCCTTTCTCACTACTGCTATTCAACATAGTATTGAAAGTTTTAGCCAGGGCAATCAGGGAAGAGAAAGAAATAAAGGGCATTCAAATAAGAAGAGAGGAAGTCAGCCTATCCCTGTTTGTGAATGACATGCTCCTATATCTAGAAAACCCAATTGCCTCAGACCAAAAGATTCTCAAGCTGATAAGCAATTTCAGCAAAGTCTCAGGATACAAAATCAATGTACAAAAATCACAAGCATTTTTATACACCAACAGAGTCAGGCTCAGAGCCAAATCATAAACAAACTCCCATTCACAATTGCCACAAAAATAATAAATACCTAGGAATACAGCTAACAATGGAGGCGAAAGGTCTCTACAAGGATAACTACAAACCACTGCTCAAAGAAATTAGAGAAGACACAAACAAATAGAAAAGCATTCCATGCTCATGAATAGGAAGAAATGATGTCATTAAAATGGCCATACTACCCAAAGCAATTTGTAGATTATGCTATTATCATTAAACTACCATTGACTTTCTTCACAAAACTAGAGAAAACTATTTTAAAATTCATATGGAACCAAAAAAGAACACAAATAACAAAGGCAATCTTAAGCAAAAAGAACAAAGCTAGAGGCATTATGTTACTCAACTTCAAACTATACTACAAGGCTACAGTAATCAAAACAGCATGGTACTCATACAGGAACAGATACATAGACCAATGGAACACAATAGAGAGCCCAGAAATAAGACCACACACCTACAACTATTTGATCTTTGACAAAGCTGACAAAAACAACCAATGGGGAAAGGACTTTTTATTCAATAAATGGCACTGGGATAACTGGCTAGCAAATGGGGAAAGGACTCTTTATTCAATAAATGGCATTGGGATAACTGGCTAGCAATATGCAGAAAATTGAAACTAAACACCTTCCCTTACACCCCTTCCATACACAAGATGGATTAAAGACTTACATGTAAAATCCAAAACCATATAAACCTGGAAGACAACATAGCCAATACCATTCAGGACATAGGCACAGACAAAGATTTCATGACAAACACATCAAAAGCAACTGCAACATGCAAAAATTGACAAATGTGATCTAATTAAACTTAACAGCTTCTGCACAGCAAAAGAAGCTATCAACAGAGTAAACAGGTAGGCTACAGAATGATAGAAAATTTTTGCAAACTATGCATCTGACAAAGGTCTAATTCCCAGCATCTATAAGAAAATTAAGCATATTTACAAGAAAAAAAAACAAACAATCCATTCAAAAGTGGGCAAGGTGCCAAACAGACACTTCTCAAAAGAAGACATACAAGCAGCCAATAATCATTTGAAAAAAAGCTCAATCACTGGTCACCAGAGAAATGCCAGTCAAAATCAGAATGAGATACTCTCTCACACCAGTCAGAATGGCTACTATTAACAAGTCAAAAAATAACAGATGCTGGAGAGATTGCCAAGAAAAAGGAATGTTTATACACTGTTAGCGGCAGTGTAAATTAGTTCAACAATTGTGGAATACAGTGTGGCAATTCCTCAAAGACCTAAAGACAGAAATACTATTCAACCCAGCAATTCAATTACTGGGTATATTCCCAAAGGAATATAAATTGTTCTATTATAAAGACACATGCATGCATATGTTCATCACAGCACTATTCACAGTAGCAAAGACATGGAATCAGTCTAAATGCCCATCAATAATAGATTGGATAAAGAAAATGTGGTATATATACACTATGGAATACTATGCAGCCATAAAAAATAATGAAATCATGTTCTTTGGAGGAACATGGATGGAGCTGGAGGCCATTATCCTTAGCAAACTAATACAGGAACAGAAAACCAAATACTGTGTGTTATCACTTAGAAGTGAGAGCTAAATGATGAGAACACATGGACACATCAAGGGAAACAACACACATGGGAGCCTATCAGTGGATGAAGGGTGGGAGCAAGAGGATCAGGAAAAATAACTAATGGGTACCAGACTTAATACCTAAGTGATGAAATTATCTGCACAATAAACCCCCATTACACCTGTTTACCTATGTAACAAACCTGAACATCTGAACATGTACCCTGAACTTAAAATAAACTTTTAAAAAATAAATAAATAAATAAATAAATAAATAAATACGTTTTATAAAATTAAGGTGAGTTTCTCGTATGCAGCACATAGTTTATTTATTTACTGTTTTATCCATTCCACCAATCTATATCTTTTAAGTGGAGAATTTAATCCATTTACATTCAAGGTTAATACTGATATGTGAAGTTTTGTTCCTGTCATAATGTTGTTATCTAGTTGTTTGGTAGCTTCCTTGTTCCTTTTTTTCTTAGTCTTTTTGTCTTTGGGGTTTGGTGGAGTTTACTAATTATTCATTAGATATGGCTTTAAGTACTTATATCACACTTGCCATTTCTGAAGTCAAGTGCACACTGGTTTAATAATTTTGTAAAATAGATGCCAAATCTATTTTCTCTAATCTCAGTTGAGTTCACATGTTCAAATGCTGAAATAGTAACCATAACTTTTTAAAAAAAAATACAGGCCAAGCATATGCAATATTTTTGTTCCTTATTTTTTCTGTATTGACTTTTTATTGTAGGAAATCTCTTAGAGAGTATTCCATATTAGTGCTTTGAGAAATATCATGTTCTATTTTTGTTTTGTTTTGCTAATAAACTATTTTTAGACCAATTTTAGGTTCACAGAAAATACACTGGAAAGTACATATTTCCCATGTCTCTCCTGACTCTATACATGTACAGCCTTCTCCACTAACAATGTTCCATACCTCAGTGGTACATTGTTAAAAGTCAATGAACCCACGTTGACACATAATTATTACACCAAGTCCATAGTCTACATTATGATTCACTCTTGATATTACATTTTATGAGATTTGACAAATGCACAATGACATGTATCCACCATAATATTATCGTACAGAGTATTTTTACTGCCCACATAATCCTCTGTGCTCAGCCAATTCATCCCCCTCTTTTTCCTCCAACCCTAGAAACCACTGGTCTTTTTACTGTCCATATAGTTTTGCCTTTTCCAGAAGGCCACATAGTTGAAATCGCACAATATGTAGACTTTTTATATTGGCTTCTTTCACATACTAATGGTCACTTGAGATTCTTCTGTTTTTATGTTTCAATAACTCATTTAATTTTACCACTGTTAATATTTTATTGTCTGGATGTACCAAAGTTTATTTATTCCCCTCCTGAACAGCAACTTGGCTGTTTCCAGTTTTGGCAATTATGAATAAAGATTCTATAAATATCATTTTTCAGATTTTTATGTGCCCATACGTTTTCAATTCATTTGGATAAATACAAAGGAGAATGATTTCTGAATCATATGGTAAGAGTGTGTTTCGTTTTATAATAAATTGCCAAACTGTCTTCCAAACTGTCTGTACCATTTTGTATTCCCACTAGCAGTGAATGAGAGTTCCTGTTGCTCCACATCCTTGACAACATTTGGTCTTGTCAGTATTTTGGATTTTGGACATTCTAATAGGTGTGCAGTGGTATCTCACTGTTTTAATTTGCAATTCTCTAATGACAATATGAAGTTGAACGTCATTCATGTGCTAATTTTTCATATGTTTGTCTTCTTTTGTGAGGTGGTTGTTCATATATTTTGTCTATTTTTTAAATAAGGTTGTATATTTTCTCATTATTAAATTTTGAGTGTCTTTTACATGTTGGATAAGAGTGCTTTAGTAGTGTATCTTGTGAAAATATTTTTTTCCAGTCTGTGGCTTGTCTTATACTCTTGAAATTGTTGTTTGCAAAGCAGAAGTTTTAATTTTAATAACATCCAGCTTGTCAACTTTTTTTTCCATGAAGCATGCCTTTGGTGGTTTATTTTGAAAGCCATCACTATACCTAATAGTATCCAGATTTTCTCCTGTTATCTTCCAGGAGTTTTATAGTTTTGAATTTTGCATTTAGGATTATAACTCTTTTTAGTTAATTTTTCTGAGGGGTTTAAATTTAGGGAATTTTTTTTTTTTTTTTTTGCCTGTAGATGACTGGCTGTTCCAGCACCATATGCTGAAAGACTATCTGCCAAGGTATTGCCTTTACTCCTTTGTCAAAAATCTGTTGGCAATATTTATGTGAGTCTATTTCTGGGCTCTCTATTCTCTTCCATTAATCTATTCAATTTTTCTATTCTATCACCAATACTACACTGTCTTGATTACTATAGCTTTACAGTCAGTCTTGAATTAGGTTAATGTTAGTCTTCCACTTTTCTCCTTATCCAACACTGACTTGACTTTTTTGCATCTTTTATCTCTCCATATAAACTTTGGAATCATTTTGTCAATATCCGCAAACTAACTGCTGAGATTTGAAATGGGATTGCACAGAATCTATAGATCAAGATGGGAAGAACTGACATCTTGACAATATTGTCTTCTATCCATGAACATGGAATATCTCACCATTCTTAGTTATTTGATTTCTTTCATCAGAGTTTTATAGGTTTCCTCAAGTAGATCTTGTGCATATTTTGTCATATTTGTTTTTGCTTTTATAGATTACAATTCTCTTAATTTTTATATTTCCAATTAGATGGAATAGATGGGAAATACAAAAACCAGATCTGGAAATCTCCCTAGAGAATATATGTGCTCTTGGTCACAATGGGGTATATGAAATAGGCCCTAAACTTTTATACCAAAAAAGACCTGAGTTTAAATTCTAACAATTATTCTTATTAGCCACAAGAATTTGGTCAAGCTACTGCCTCAATTTCTTCATCTATAATGTGGGAATAATAGCAT
The DNA here is from genome assembly GCF_000001405.40 of Homo sapiens. Lineage (NCBI taxonomy): Eukaryota > Metazoa > Chordata > Mammalia > Primates > Hominidae > Homo > Homo sapiens. Next base: position 28,300,440 of record NC_000018.10, on the reverse strand, counting down.
CATACCTCTTATTTGATGTGAACACTATATTTTTAAATACATTTTATGAAAATAGAATTGAAATATATGGTTTTAAATGAGCGAATGAACAAATGAGGCCTAAAATTCAAATGGTCAAGTACTTGAGTCCAGGAGGAAAGAGGTAGAGATTAAAGAAACACTAACACAGAGCATAGCAAAGAATTAGACAATAAGTCTGTATCCCAGTTCAGGAATTCTAGAAAATAAGTGGCAGAAATCTGGGCTGTTATCTATTTAACAATTTTAGAGTAACTGTAAGAAAAATGGATTTTGAGCCAAAGACTGAGATACAGTCCCTAAACACTTTCTAATTGTGATTTAAACTATTTAGCATTTTGGTTATATTTGGGAGCATTACAATCTAAGCTCCAGTAGGGCAATAGGTTTTTGTATTTTATTCACCATTGTATTTTCAGTATATAAGAAAGTATCTGAGAGGATTTGCTGGCAAGATCACCAAATAGGAACAGCTCCGGTCTGCAGCTCACACAGCGAGATTGACACAGAACACAGGTGATTTCTACATTTCCAACTGAGGTACCTGGTTCATCTCATTGGGACTGGTTGGACAGTGGGTGCAGCCCATGGAAGGCAAGCCAAAGCAGGGTGGAGCATCGCCTCACCTGGGAAGCACAAGGAGTTGGAGGATTTCCCTCCCCTAACTGTGAAAGACTGTACCAGGAGGAACGGTGCACTCTGGCCCAGATACTGTGCTTTCCCCACAGTCTTCACAACCAGCAGACTGGGAGATTCCCTCAGGTGCCTATGCCACCAGGGCCCTGGGTTTCAAGCAAAAAACTGGGCAGCCATTTGGGCAGACACTGAGCTAGCTGCAGGAGTTTATTTTCATACCCCAGTGGCAACCTGCAACGCCAGCAAGACAGAACCTTTCACTCCCTTGGAAAGGCGCTGAAGCAAGGGAGCCAAGTGGTCTGGCTCGGTGGGTCCCACCCACACGGAGCCCAGCAAGCTAAGATCCTGGCTTTAAATTCTCACTGTCAGCAAAGCAGTCTGAGGTCAACCTGGGATGCTTGAGCTTGGTGTGGGGAGAGGCATCCACCATTGCGGAGGCTTGAGTAGGTGGTTTTACCCTCACAGTGTAAACAAAGCTGCGGAGAAGTTCAAACTGGGTGGAGCCCACTGCAGCTCAGCAAGGCCACTGCAGCCAGACTGCCTCTCTAGATTCCTCCTCTCTGGGCATGGCATCTCTGAATAAAAGGTAGCAGCCCCAGTCAGGGAGTTATAGATAAAATTCCCATCTCTCTGGGACTGAGCACCTGCGGGAAGGGGCGGCTGTGGGCACAGCTTTAGCAGACTTAAACGTCCCTGCCTGACAGCTCTGCAGAGAGCAGCAGATCTCCCAGCACAGTGTTCAAGCTCTGATAAGGGACAGACTACCTCCTCAAGTGGGTCCCTGACCCCTGTGTATCCTGACTGGGAGACACCTCCCAGTAGGGGTCGACAGACACCTCATACATACAGGAGAACTGTGGCTGGCATCTGGTGGGTGCCTCTCCGGGATGAAGCTTCCAGAGGAAGGAACAGACAGCAATCTTTGCTGTTCTGCAGCCTCCGCTGGTGATACCCAGGCAAACAGGGTCTGGAGTGGACCTCCAGCAAATGCCAGCAGACCTGCAGCAGAGGGGCCTGACTGTTAGAATAAAAACTAACAAACAGAAAGGAATAGTATCAACATCAACAAAAAAGATGTCCACTCACAGACCCTATCCAAAGGTCACCAACATCGAAGACCAAAGGTAGATAAATCCATGAAGATGGGAAGAAACCAATGCAAAAAGACTGAAAATTCCAAAAACCAGAACACCTCTTCTCCTCCAAAGGATCACAACTCCTCGCCAGCAAGGGAACAAAACTGGATAGAGAATGAATTTGACGAGTTGACAGAAGTAGGCTTCAGAAGGTGGATAATAAACTCCTCAGAGCTAAAGGAGCATGTTCTAATCCAATGCAAGGAAGCTAAGAACCTTGAAAAAAGGTTAGATGAATTGCTAACTAGAATAACCAGTTTAGAGAAGAACATAAATGACCTGATGGAGCTGAAAAACATAGCACGAGAACTTCATGATGCATACACAAGTATCAATAGCCAAATTGATCAAGCAGAAGAAAGGATATCAGAGGTTGCAGATCAGCTCTGTGAAATAAAGTGAGAAGAAAAGATTAGAGAAAAAAGAGTTAAAAGAAATGAACAAAGCCTCCAAGAAATATGAGACTATGTGAAAAGACCAAATCTACATTTGATTGGTGTACCTAAAAGTGACAGGGAGAATGGAAACAAGTTGAAAAACACTCTTCAGGATATTATGCAGGAGAACTTCCCCAACCTAGCAAAGTAGTGCAACATTCAAATTCAGGAAATACAGAGAACACCACAAAGATACTCCTTGAGAAGAGCCACCCCAAAAGACATAATTGTCAGATTCACCAAGGTTGAAATGAAGGAAAAAATGTTAAGGGCAGCCAGAAAGCTCAGGTTACCCACAAAGGGAAGCCCATCAGACTAACAGCTGATCTCTCAGCAGAAACCCTACAAGCCAGAAGAGAGTGGAGGCCAATATTCAACATTCTTAAAGAAAATAACTTTCAACCCAGAATTTCATATCCAACCAAACTAAGCTTCATAAGTGAGGGAGAAATAAAATCCTTTACAGACAAGCAAATGCTGAGAGATTTTGTCACCACCAGGCCTGCCTTACAAGAGCTCCTGAAGGAAGCACTAAACATGGAAAGGAACAACTGGTACTAGCCACTGCAAAAACATACAAAATTGAAAGACCATCGATGTTATGAAGAAACTGCATCAACTCAAGGGGATAATAACCAGCTCATTAAAAGACACAGACTGGCAAATTGGATAAAGAGTCAAGACCCATCGGGATACCGTATTCGGGAGACCCATCTCATATGCAAAGACATATATAGGCTCAAAACTAAAGGGTTGGAGGAATATTCACCAAGCAAATGGAAAGCAAAAAAAAAGCAGGGGTTGCAATCCTAGTTTCTGATAAAACAGACTTTAAACCAGCAAAGATCAAAAGAGACAAAGAGGAACATTACATAATGGTAAAGGGATCAATGCAACAAGAAGAGCTAATTATCCTAAACATATATGCACCCAATACAGGAGCACCCAGATTAATAAAGCAAGTTCTTAGAGACCTTCAAAGAGACTTAGATTCCCACACAATAATAGTGGGAGGCTTTAACACCCCCCTGTCAATATTGGACAGATCAATGAGACAGAAAATTAACAAGGATATTCAGAACTTAAACTCAGCTCTGGACCAAGCGGACCTAATAGGCATCTACAGATCTCTCCACCCCATATCAACAGAATATACATTCTTCTCAGCACCACATTGCACTTATTCTAAAATTGACCACATAATTGGAAGTAAAACACTCCTCAGCACATGCAAAAGAATGGAAATCATGAGAAACAGTCTCTCAGACCACACTACAATCAAATTAGAACACAGAATTAAGAAGCTCATTCAATTTATCATGGTGGATAAGCTTTTTGATGTGCTGCTGGATTTGGTTTGCCAGTATTTTATTGAGGATTTTTGCATCAAGGTTCATCAGGGATATTGGTCTAAAATTCTCTTTTTTTGTTGTGTCTCTGCCAGGCTTTGGTATCAGGATGATGCTGGCCTCACAAAATGAGTTAGAGAGGATTGCCTTTTTCCATTGATTGGAATAGTTTCAGAAGGAATGGTACCAGCTCCTCCTTGTACCTCCGGTAGAATTCAGCTGTGAATCCATCTGGTCCTGGACTTTTTTTGTTGGTAAGCTATTAATTAGTGCCTCAATTTCAGCGCCTGTTATTGGTCTATTCAGAGATTCAACTTCTTCCTGGTTTAGTCTTGGGAGGGTGTATGTGTCGAGGAATTTATCCATTTCTTCTAGATTTTCTAGTTTATTTGCGTAGGGGTGTTTATAGTATTCCCCGATGGTAGTTTGTATTTCTGTGGGATTGGTGGGTGATATCCCCTTTATCATTTTTTATTGCGTCTTTTTTATTCTTCTCTCTTTTCTTCTTTATTAGTCATGCTAGTGGTCTATCAATTTTGTTGATCTTTTCAAAAAACCAGCTCCTGGATTCATTGATTTTTTGAAGGGTTTTTTGTGTCTCTATTTCCTCCAGATCTGCTCTGATCCCTGGGAGGCAAGGCTGGTTCAACATATGCAAATCAATAAATGTAATCCAGCATATAAACAGAACCAAGGACAAAAACCACATGATTATCTCAATAGATGCAGAAAAGGCCTTTGACAAAATTCAACAACCCTTCATGCTAAAAGATCTCAATAAATTAGGTATTAATGGGACATATCTCAAAATAATAAGAGCTATCTAGGACAAACCCACAGCCAATATCATACTGAATGGGCAAAAACTAGAAGCATTCCGTTTGAAGACTGGCACAAGACATGGATGCCCTCTCTCACCACTCCTATTCAACATAGTGTTGGAAGTTCTGGCCAGGGCAATCAGGCAGGAGAAGGAAATAAAGGGTATTCAATTAGGAAAAGAGGAAGTCAAATTGTCCCTGTTTGCAGATGACATGATTGTATATCTAGAAAACCCCATTGTCTCAGCCCAAAATCTGTTTAAGCTGATAAGCAACTTCAGCAAAGTCTCAGGATACAAAATCAATGTGCAAACATCACAAGCATCCTTATACACCAATAACAGACAAACAGAGCCAAATCATGAGTGAACTCCCATTCACAATTGCTTCAAAGACAATAAAATACCTAGGAATCCAACTTAAAAGGGATGTGAAGGACCTCTTCAAGGAGAACTACAAATCACTGCTCAACCAAATAAAAGAGGATACAAACAAATGGAAGAACATTCCATGCTCATGGGTAGGAAGAATCAATATCGTGAAAATGGCCATACTGCCCAAGGTAATTTATAGATTCAATGCCATCCCCACCAAGCTACCAATGACTTTCTTCACAGAATTGGAAAAAACTACTTTAAAGTTCATATGGAACCAAAAAAGAGCCCACATTGCCAAGTCAATCCTAAGCCAAAAGAACAAAACTGGAGGCATCATGCTACCTGACCTCAAACTATACAAGAAGGCTGCAGTAACCAAAACAGCATGGTACTGGAACCAAAACAGAGATATAGACCAATGGAACAGAACAGAGCCCTCAGAAATAATGCCACATATCTACAACTATCTGATCTTTGACAAACCTGTCAAAAACAAGAAATGGGGAAAGGATTCCCTATTTAATAAATGGTGCTGGGAAAACTGGCTAGCCATATGTAGAAAGCTGAAACTGGATCCCTTCCTTACACCTTATACAAAAATTAATTCAAGATGGATTAAAGACTTAAATGTTAGACCTAAAACCATAAAAACCCTAGAAGAAAACCTAGGCAATACCATTCAGGACATAGGCATAGGCAAGGACTTCATGTCTAAAACACCAAAAGCAATGGCAACAAAAGCCAAAATTGACAAATGGGATCTAATTAAACTAAAGAGCTTCTGCACAGCAAAAGAAACTACCATCAGAGTGAACAGGCAACCTACAGAATGGGAGAAAATTTTTGCCATCTACTCATCTGACAAAAGGCTGATATCCAGAATCTACAATGAACTCAAACAAATTTACAAGAAAAAAACAAACAACCCCATCAAAACGTGAGCGAAGGACATGAACAGACACTTCTCAAAAGAAGACATTTATGCAGCCAAAAAACACATGAAAAAATGCTCATCATCACTGGCCATCAGAGAAATGCAAATCAAAACCACAAAGAGATACCATCTCACACCAGTTAGAATGGCGATCATTAAAAAGTCAGGAAACAACAGGTGCTGGAGAGGATGTGGAGAAATAGGAACACTTTTATACTGTTGGTGGGGCTGTAAACTAGTTCAACCATTGTGGAAGACAGTGTGGTGATTCCTCAGGGATCTAGAGCTAGAAATACCATTTGACCCAGCCATATCATTACTGAGTATATACCCGAAGGATTATAAATCATGCTGTTATAAAGACACATGCACACGTATGTTTATTGCAGCACTATTCACAAAGCAAAGACTTGAAACCAACCCAAATGTCCAACAATGATAGACTGGATTAAGAAAATGTGGCACATTTACACCATGGAATACTATGCAGCCATAAAAAAATGATGAGTTCATGTCCTTCGTAGGGACATGGATGAAGCTGGAAACCATCATTTTCAGCAAACTATCGCAAGTACAAAAAATCAAACACCGCATGTTCTCACTCATAGGTGGGAATTGAACAATGAGAACACATGGACACAGGAAGGGGAACATCACACACCGGGGCCTGTTGTGGGGTGGGAGCTAGGGGAGAGATAGCATTAGGAGAAATACCTAACGTAGATGACAGGTTGATGGGTGCAGCAAACCACCATAGTACGTGTATACCTATGTAAGAAACCTGCATGTTCTGCACATGTACCCAGAACTTAAAGAATAATAAAAAAGAAAGTATCTGAAAAGTATTATGTCTTCAATGAGTGTTTATTGAATAAATGAACAGTCAAATTAATGAACAAGGTAACAACACCAAGTTACTTTCATACTCTAATTTGTGTAAAATAAAATTTAACATAGAGCATATCATAAATAGGATGATACTTCATCACACTGGGAACCTTGGCATGCTTTATCAATATACTCCTTGATTGATGGCCCATAATCTATATATATATACGTATCTGCTATAATTTAGAGGTACAGCAGTTTGAATGTGTCAGGTAAAATTAAAAAGCAACTAGTAAGAATTATCCTATTCTTTCCCCTACATGCTTCATTCAGGTCCTAGTACATTACTTGCCTTTGGCTTTTTTTCTCCTTCCATTACACACAAAACTGTTTCCTTGGCTGCAAGCTAATATCTGATTAGTTCCTGCCTTTGAATAGCAGTAATGGTATTGACTCCAACCTAGGATAGTGACTTTCCTAGTGTTTTTTTTCTTTAATTTTCCTTATTATATTAAAAAATAGGCCATAGTTTTAGAATAAAAAAGTAACAAGATATTAAATACAAAAGGCATTACAAATCTTTCACAGAATGGCAAGCTGAACAGTGATATTTCCCAGAAATAATGTAGTAGAAAATCAGGGTTTTGTTAAATGTACTAGACTAAAATGGGTTATTGTAGGCTTTTAAAAACTTCTTTTTTTTTTTTTTTTGAGACGGACTTTTGCTCTTGTTGCCCAGGCTGGAGTGCAATGGTGCAATCTCAGCTCACTGAAACCTCCGCCTCCCGGGTTCAAGCAATTCTCCTGCCTCAGCCTCCTGAGGAACTGAGATTACAGGCATGTGCCACCACACCCAGCTAATTTTTGTATTGTTAGTAGAGACGGAGTTTCTTTATGTTTTTCAGGCCGGTCTCGAACACCCGACCTCAGGTCATCCACCCGCCTCAATCTTCCAAAGTGCTTGTGCTGGGATTACAGGTATGAGCCACAGCACCTGGCCAAAAACTCCTTTCTGAACAATGAGTTCAACATTTTACATAAAACTAATGCTTTTAAGTTATAAATATTTATGAATCCTATATGACAATTACTTAGTTTTTTACTGTATGCCTATTTTCATAGCCAATCACTATTTCTTTAGAAAGAGACACTCTAATAAAGTATTCCTAACATCTGAGGGCAGAGGGAAGGATAAAATACTGTATGTTCCACACCATAAGACCTCCTATTATTGAACTACAAAGAAATATTTTTCATTAAAGCTTCCCCATAAGAAATAAGCAAGTGAAAATACTTACCTGTGTGCACACATAGATCTAAAAACCCAGAACTAAAAACTGCATGCAAAGGCTGGGCCAGATGTTTCAAGTGTGTGCTGTGCTTGGTAAGACTGTTTCTGATGACCCTGTGCCATTTTTCTATCACTGAGTATATCACCAGCTATCACTTGAGTAATTTAGAAGAAGAAAATTCTTCTTGAAAGCTAAATTTGGCTTCAAAAAAGAGAAAATCCCAAATAAGTTAATTTAAATAGGTTGGGGGAAGCTCTTAAACTTTCATTATCTCTTGCAAGCCTCAACTTAGTGACATTTAGCACATCTAATTCTCAGTCACATTATGGAAAAGTCATCATCTCTCCTGGAGTCTCCCTTTAATCCTCCTTGCCCCAGTTTGGAGTCAATAATTTATACTAGAACATAATTAATGCTGATGTTAAAGACTAAAAAAAGTCAAAAGTTACATAAAGAGAAAATGAGAAATGAGTTGTGTCTTCCAGGACTTCTACTATAGCATAAGAATATTAGCAGGGAAAGACTTATCTGCCAGGAGTTGCAGTCCCAATCTTGCACATGGTCTTCCTCATGTCTTAGGCCCTTGCTGTTAAAAATTTGAGAACATTGAGGATATTTCCAGAACACTCTTCAATTACTTAATATAAGTCTTGTCTTCTTTCTCAAAAAACAGATTTGTATGTTGGCTGCAGTTATAATTATTGTATTCTTAACTATATTTAGCTGAACAGAAAATTTGAAGATTATAAAATGTGATTATTATATAAGCTGTTATTTTTATCAACCTACACACAAAGAGAAATGACTTTATTTTTTATTTCTCTTGCAAGTGTCCTTATTATTTTTCTTTTTAAATTTGTGTTTCTTTTCTATTTTAGTTCTCTAATTTTTACATAACAAAAGAATTCCCACTATTTTAAACAAAATAACATGCATTTATTGATTTACAAATTAAATGATAGAACAACTATGGCTAAATTGAGGATTTAACTATTTTATCAGTGATCAGCTATTCCTTTGTCTCCTAGCTCTTCTTTGATTGTATTGTTTTACTTTACAGACGGACTTTCTCCATTTGACAGGTCCCAGTAATTTCAAGCTTATGTACTCCTTACAGTTAAAGAAAGAGCATTTCTCCTGATTGTTGCTGACTTTGCTCAAAAGTCATTAATTAATTGTAGAATCTTTTGCCATCTGGAGAGGCTGAAGATTTTTTAAATCATCAAGTCCTGGTTGCTTTTGTCTTAATCTTTCTTCTTTCAATTTATCTCTTTCCTCTCACATTTTACTATACACAGCAAAAGGAACAGGCAGCACCTTCAACACTTTACTTGGATATCTCCTTAGTTAAATAATAAGGTTTATTACTTAGGTGTTCTTCTTTAAACATAACTAAGGGAGAAATTTCACTAAGCTTTCTGCAACTGCATAACATGGGTCTCTCTTCCACAAGTACTCCTATGTTCCTCACCTTCTCTGTCACCCTCAATGAGAGTTTCCTCAAGGTCCAGATTTCTACTAAGTCAGTTCAAGGCAACTTAATCTTTCTTTATCACAGTCCTCAAAATCCTCTAGTCTTCCCACTTCCTTGTTCCAAAGTCACTTCCACACTCTTAGGTATTGTTTCGGTAGTAACCACTGATACTGTTTCAATCATTTCCCCTGAAAAGACATTGGAGTCCTAACCCCCAATACCTGTAAGTATGACTTTATTTAGAAATAGAGTCTTTGCAAATTAGGTTAAGCTAATGTAAGGTCCTTATGGTGGGCTCTAATGCAATATGACTATGCTCTCATAAAAAGAAGAAATTTATCCACAGAAGCAGACATGCACACAGGAAGAATGCCATAAGAAAATGAAGGCAGAGATCAGGTGATACATATATAAGCCAAGAAAGGCCAAAGATTTCCAGTAAACCACCAGAAGCTAGAAGAAAGGCATGAAATCAGCTCTCCCTCACAACCCTCAGAAGAAACCAGCATTGCCAGTACCTTGGTCTTGGACTTCCAGCCTTCAGAACTGTGAGGTGATGAATTTCTCTTGTTTAAGCCATCTAGTTTAAGATATTTTGTTACAGTAGCCCTAGCAAATTAATACACCCACTTCCAGATATCAAAATCTGGATTAGTTATCTTTTACCGTATAACATTACTATAAAAAATTTAGCCTCTTAAAATAAAACCCATGCATCATCTACACTTTCTATGTTATCCAAACACACCTCACTGAGTCCTCTGCAAGTCTGCAAGCAGGATGTTTGCAAGGGCCGTGTTCTCATTAGAAGTTCCACTGGGGAAGGATCTCATTCCAAGCTTAGGTGACTGCTGGCAGAATTCGGGTTCTTTCAGGCTGTAGGACTCTGAGCCTCCATTTCTTGATGGCCATCAGCCACAGGCTGCCCTACATCCTGTGCTGATGGCACTCCTTCCATGGCAGCTCATAACATGGCAGCATGTGTCTTCAAAGCCAAGGAGGGAGAGAGAGTTTCCTAGCAAGATGGACATTACAATCTTATGTACAGTAACTATGTACATGTAATAACATCCATCTGGTTACCTTTGCCATAATCTATTGGTTAGAACAAAGCCCTGGATCCTGCTGATATTCAAGGGGAAAAGATTATGCAAGGACATGACTAGAAGAGGCGCAAATCATGGGGATCAACTTGAAGCCTCCCAGCCACACTGTTTTTATATTTTAAACATATGACTTATAGATAGCAAATGTTTGGGTTTTGTTCTTTTTATTCATTCTAACAACCTCTGCCTTTGATTAGAGTATTTAATGAATTACTACGCGACATAATTCTTTGCTTGAGTGAATGTGAGTATACCATTTTATTATTTGTTTTATATTAGTTTTCTCTGTTTGTTGTTTCTGTGTTTCTTTTTTATTGCCTTTTTTTATAAACTTGAATACCTTTTAGAATTCCATTTTAATTTTCCTATTGACTTTTTAGCTATACTGTTTTAGTATTATTTTTAAGTAATCGTGCTAAAAATTAACATATGCGTCCTTAACTCTTCACAGTCCACTTACAGTTAACATTGTTCTACTTCATGTAATACATGAAAATCTTACAAATGTATAGTTCCATATTGCTTCACCATTCTCTACTTTATAGTGTATTATATACTTATATATAATCCATATGCATAATAAATCTTTTTAAACAATTGTGTGCTTTATAAATAAATATAAAGCAAAAATAAACCAATGGTCTCCTGGCTTTTATAGTTTCTAGCGAGAATTTAACAATTAATTGTATCATGGTTCCCACATATGTGATGCCTCATTTTTCTTTTGATGCTTTCAGTAAAACATAGTTCCTTCCATTCAGTGTAGAGAAAGAAACAGAAACAAAATTAAGCTCAATAAAATATAAGTGATAAGATCATTGGCAAGTTTTTCGTTGTTGTTGTGGTTAGCTTAATTTTGAAGGAAAATAATTTGCATTATCATTATTTTAAAATACTTTCCATATTGTTTTTTTCTAAGCACTGAGAAACGAACATAACGACCCTCAGAAATAGCTGTCCTCAAATAAACTGACAAATAATTGTTCTAAAAGAACATACATGTGTACGCCTATTTATGCATGGGGGTATATGAAAACAAATACAGTCACGTGACACATTAATGACATTTTGATCAATGACAGATCATGTATATGACAGTGGTCCCATAATATTATAATGGAGCTGAAAAATTCCTATTGCCTAGTGACATCACAGCCATTATGCTACAATTGCCTACAGTATTCAGTCCAATAACGTGCTGCACAAGTTTGCAGTCTAAGATCAATAGGCTAAAATACAGCCTAGTTGTATAGAGGCTATACTATTTAGGTATGTGTAAGTACACTTTATGATGTTCACACAATAGCACAATTGCCTAACAATGCATTTCTCAGAATATAGCCTTGTCTTTAAGTGACATATGACTGCATATATCTGAGAACTATATTCTGTATTTTGTTACATTCTTTCTAAAATATATTATTTTTTCAAAACTGCAATAAAAATACATTGCTGGCACAGATGTTCAACATGAGGTGATTGATTCATCCTTCAGAGAAATATCCCTATACCAAGTTATTATTTTATTATTTTATCAACTACACAACAATTTACTTAGGCAATGTGAAAAAGTAAAAAGTGCCATAGTTTGTTGACTTATCTAAGCAGTAAACACTACAGTCAGTATTTTATATCATGCTCTTAAACATGTCAAAATGAATTTCTTCCAAAGCCTGTGCATAAGACGAGGATAAACTAAATAAAAATAACAGCCTCGAGGACTATCTTCAATCACTTTTTCTCATTCTTTTGAAAGTATTAAGCTGCTAAAATATTATTTTATCTGAGTTGTAATTTTCTGTCTTTATCTTTCTATATAACTTTCTGTATCATAAGGCCTTCTTTGCCTTATTCTTAATGTAAACCCTGTGCACAGATAGAGAGGTCGAGAGACAACATGCCAGGTAGCTTCCTGTAAGTGTGTTTTATCAAAGAGGCCTAATGACCACTGTAAGAAATATATCAATTTTTCCTTTCATTTATTGTTATTGAATTAATTGCAATGCATCCAATGCCTGTCCTTGCGTCCAACATTCTAAAGCAGACAGGGATCATAATGAGATGCATGTATTAGCTCACTTGAGAGGCTTCCTTAAACACCATTACTTTATTTTGCTATCCAATCTATCTACTTTTTTATTAAGTCTCATAAATGTGATATCTGTTATTTTGACTAAGAATAGCATTTTTGTGAGGTCCTACTGATTTTTCTTATATATCAGACTGCCAGCTATTATGGATATGACTTCAAACATTTCAAATTATACTTGGGAGCACCACTGTGATCTGAAATTAACTTTTAAAAATGTGAAAGGAAATAAAGCACTTCCAGAGCATGAAAATTTTAGTCTGAGTCATGTTGTTTCCACCTAAAATAATGTTTATATCATATAAATACTTTAATACTTTAATATAAATACTTTAACTTAATTTTTTTAGCACATTGCTAACCTTTCCACATCAACATTTTTTAGCCTGATTATAAGCCAAAGAGTACAGGACAAAGCTTTAGCAGGCTTAATTCAAGTTCCCAGAAAAATATTATGAGCAAAAAATGGTTGCTTCAAGTCATGGACTTTAGCAAGGAATAGATGGTCAAAAGGGTAAACACCCAAAGAGACAGTCAGTAGGATGAGGCCACATGTTAACAGTACCAGAGGCCAAGACAAACAAAAGTTCAGGAATCAACAAGAGGCCAAGTGGTTAATCTGTTGGCCATTCACATGCAGATCTGTCTAACACCAACACCTTGCTGCCATTTCCATTACACTGCATTGCCTGATAGAGTTAACAGATATCAAGGAAAACTATATCTTCCAACAGCATTCATTTTTCCAAAAACAAATTTGATTTCAAATGATAGTGCAACATAATGCTAACTCCACTATGAGAAAAATGCTTAAAACGTATTTTCAACCATAAGAAATACATTCTAAGCATATTTAGATGATAATAAAAGTTACTGAACTTTGATAAATGGGTATAGCCTTCTCAAACTCCTAAGCAAAGTAAACTACATTTCATACTGAGAAATGGTTAGGCCAGTTATCTTTTAATATACAAACTAAGGCAAGTGACATAACAGTTGACTATCTCCTTTTAGGAGATAGTGCTGTTTTACAGCACACTAAAAGTGAAAATAAAATGAGCCAAGTACCATGATTTTGCTATTTACAAAGAAACAAGAGGCTTAAGAATTTTAATTGGTCATTTAACTAAAAGTAGCTAACCAAATATTTTTATGTTGTACCAACATGGTGGTGTAATTTTTATTTATTTAATTATTATTATTATTATACTTTAAGTTCTGGGATACATGTGCAGAACATGTAGGTTTTTTACATAGGTATACATGTGTCATGGTGGTTTGCTGCACCCATCAACCAGTCATCTACATTAGGCATTTCCCCTAATGCTATCCCTCCCCTAGCCCCCCACCCCCTGACAGGCTCCGGTGTGTGATGTTTCCCTCCCTGTGTCCATGTGTTCTCATTGTTCAACTCCCACTTATGGGTGAGAACATGCCATGTTTGGTTTTCTGTTCCTGTGTTAGTTTGCAGAGAATTATGGTTTAAGTCTACTGATATTATAAATCAGTTACAAAACTCAGCAAACATAATGAGCTAAAACTTAGACAAACACCCATTGGCCTCAACATTTGTAAATGTCATTAAACATTGGTGGTCTCTGAAGCTCAATTTTTCTCTCCACTGAAATGCAGAGAACTGACATGTTTTTCTCCTTCATAATATTATATATTCAGAACAAAAATGTTTAAAATTCTAAGAACTCAATCCATATTAAGAAGCTATGCAGTTCAGTGTTTGTGAGGTGCTGACAGAAGTAAAGAATAACTTTCTTATTTTTCTGGAGCTCATATGCTAAACCAACAACACATGAACAATTGAGGAAAATTTAATACTAATCTGGTTGATTCATAATTGAGACCCATATTGACTTCTACGGTCAGAGACATCTTTATAGGGAAGATGCACGTTAACATGGACTCAGATATGGATCGGATTTCAACTAGGTCAAAGGGAGAAAATTTTTAGGCAAAAGTAGCAGGTAAAAATAATGTAAAAAATCATAAACTCATAAAATGATGGTGAAAGGGGCCCAGTGCTGCCACAAGAGAACCAAGTAGTAGCAGCATTTTTTGATTTCCCTCCTGGAGACCTTTATCTCACCTTGATAAAGAAAGGTTGCATACTATGAGAAAAGAATTCAAAGAATCAAGTAGAAGGTGCTGATTGGAGGTAAGAATCACTCAGCCAGCGGGGCACGGTGGCTCACGCCTGTAATCCCAACACTTTGGGAGGCCGAGGCGGGCGGATCACGAGGTCAGGAGATCAAGACCATCCTGGCTAACACGGTGAAACTCCGTCTCTACTAAAAATAAAAAATAAAAAAAAAAAATTAGCCGGGCCTGGTGGTGGGCGCCTGTAGTCCCAGTCGCTCGGGAGGCTGAGGCGGGAGAATGACATGAACCCGGGAGGCGGAGCTTGCAGTGAGCCGAGATGGCGCCACGGCACTCCAGCCTGGGCGACAGAGCGAGACTCTGTCTCAAAAAAAAAAAAAAAAAAAAAATCACTCAGCCTACTTCCATTCTCCGTGTTGCCTCTCTCATGCTCATCCTTTCTGAATTGTAATTTTTCTAAAGGATGAAAAAATCCTCAATAATGATGAGCACAAATCTGTATCTAATCAGAACAGCAACATTAATTTAAAAGATAGTGTATGCCTCCTTCTTCTTGAAGAGAAACAGCAAACATACTACAGTCTTGCACAGCACAACGTTTCAATCAACGATGGCACACAGATATGACAGTGATGTCTTAGCATTATAATAGAGCTGAAACATTTCTATTGCCTTGTGACATCATAGCCATTGTAATATCACAGTGCAATGCATTGCTCACATGTTTATGGTGATGTTGATGTAAACAAACATATTGCACTTCCAATCATAAAGCACATTACCATCATGTACTGTATATTATACTTGATAATGATAATAAATGACTATTTACTGGTTTGTGTATTTACTATACTATGCTTTTATTGTTATTTTAGAGTATACGCCATCTACTTTTTTTTAAAGTTAACTATAAAACAGGCTGAGGCAGATCCTTCAGGAGGTATTCCAGAAGACATTGTTATCATAGATAATAGCTCCAGGCATGTTACTGCCCCTGAAGACCTTCCACTGGGACAAGATGTTGAGGTGGAAGACAGTGAAATTGATTATCCTGATCCTTTGTAGGCCTAGGCTATTGTGTGGGTTTATGTCTTAGTTTTTGACAGAGAAAATTAAAATGTAAAAAAAAAAAAAGAAATAAAAATTGAAAAAATGGACAAGTGTTTATAGAAGAAAGATAAAGAAAATGTTTTTGCGCAGTGTGCAATGTGTTAGTGTTTTAAGCTAAATAGCATCACAAAAATTTTAAGAGTTTTACAAATTAAAGTTTATAAAGCAGAAAAGTTACAGTAAGCTAAGGTTAATTTATTGTTGAAGGAAAAATGTTTTTTATAAATTTAGTGTAGCCTAAGCGTACAGTGTTTATAAAGGCTACAGTGGTGTACAGTAAAGCCCTAGGCCTTCACGTTTACTCACCACTCAATCACTGACTCACCAGAACAACTTCCACTTCTACAAGCTCCGTTTATGTTAAATGTTTGTATTACTCAAGGTTCTCTAGGGCAACACAACTAGTAGGATATATGTATATCTGAAAGGGAGTTTATTAAGGAGAACTGACTCACGTGATCACAAGGTGAAGTCCCACAATAGGCCGTCTGAAAACTTAGATGCAAGGAAACCAGTAGTAGTTCATTCAGAGTCCCAAAACCTCAAAAGTAGAGAAGCCAACAGTGTAGGCTTCAGTCTTTGGCCAAAGGCTTGACAGCCCCTGGCAAATCAGTGGTGTAAATCCAAGAGTTCAAAAGCAGAAGAACTTGGAGTCTTATGTTCGAGGGCAGGAAGCATCCAGCACCGGAGAAAGATGAGGTTGGAAGACTCAGCAAGTCTGCACTTTCCATCTTCCTCTGCCTGCTTTTTCTACCCATGCTGGCAGCCGATTGGATGATGCCCACCCAGATTGAGGGTGGGTCTGCCTCTCCCAGTCCACTGACTCAAATGTCAATCTCCTCTGGCAACACCCTCAGAGACATACCCAGAAACAATACTTTGCATCCTTCAATCCAATCAAGTTGACACTTAATACTATCACAGTGTCCTATATATGTATACCATTTTTTATGTTTCATACCATATTTTTACTGTACCTTTTCTATGTTTAGATATATTTAGGTACACACATACTTATGATAGTGTTACAATTGCCTACAGAATCCTGCACAGTAACATGCTGTACAGGTTTGTAGCCTAGGAGCAATAGGCCATACCATATATAGCCTACATGTTTAGTAAGCAACACCGTCTAAGTTTTTGTAAGTACATTCTGTGATATTCATAAAACAACAAAATAGTCTAACGCGTTTCTCAGAATATATCCCCACCATTAAGCAATGCATGACTGTATATCTGAATTCACTAAAAATTAAAGGAAAAAGTCAGTATGCTTTTCATCTGCAGCTTCCCAAATATGATTGGGTTGCATGAGCAAAGGAATATGAAGCTACTTAGTTTGAGGTACAAAGGAAGCTATGATATTATTTTTATATTTTTTGACACTTGCCATAGACAGTCAATTTCAATATGCGATCAAGTCTTTCTACAGTGAGACTAGAGAACAGTGAGAAAACCTAGAAGATCAAGGGACAATAGGATCAGTAAGCACTGTGACCTGCATTGCCCCTGCTCCCCACTGGAGATGTTCCAAGGTAATAAGTAGCAGGTTTGCAGAATTACAGCCACCACACTGACCAATCCTTATGCAGAATTGCCGTGATAAGTTTTATTTCAGAATATTATATGACAGAGCATATAAACTGAAAAATATTAGTATGCCAATATGAAAAGAGACTGTATTTAAGATCCAAGATAACAGAAAGCAATATAATAGTGGTTGGGCAAAGGACAGACTGTAATTACATTAAATAATAATAATGATCTGTCATACCGAATATAGGCAAATTCTGAAGTTTTTTTGCACAATCAAATGATATATTAAATATACTAGCTATACCTGTGGGAAATCTTATGCTGGTTTTGTCTTATCTGAAGACTCTGGCACTTCTAATTTTTGTAATTATTTTCCTGCGAGTTGGATTTTTTCTTTCTCTATAATATTATTATTTTTTTATTTCCCTTTCCCCTTTTCCATTCTCTCTAGGGGTGTGACTCTACTGAATGCTGGGAAGGGTCTTTTGGCTTTCTTTCTATAGTCCTATGCATTTCTTTTGCAGGTTTCATATTGGGCTGTGCGATTTCACCTACCAACCCATAGGTAAGAGCTGGCTGCGGCCAGCATGGCTGGATATGTGCTTAATCCTTGTTTACTGGCAGAAGCTCTCTGTTGCCTCTGACAATGGGTTAATTTGTGGAATGCACAGTGGTCTGAACTCCCTGCTCAGTCCCAGGTGGGGTGAGGTGGGTTGGGGAGGCACAAAGGGCAGGCAGGCCAAACTGGGCAGGTCCCCCTGCAGGTCCCCTGATGGCAGGCACAAGCACCAATGCCAAGGGAGAATCCAGTGAGCAACCACTGAGTACCCAGGTGCGTACCTAGGTACAGAGCTGAGAAAGCTCCTCAGTTCTAAGTTCTCCACACAGGGAGGGGGGCGGGTGGGCTAAACTCTTAGATCAAGAGAGGGAATGCTCCAGATGCCTGGAAATCTGCCTGGGTATGGAACAGAGAGAGTGCCCTTGCACCAAGATCTCTGCACAGGAAATGTGGCATGGCTCAGGCTGCTGAATTAGGCAAGCAGGTGCTTCAAATGCCTGGAGATCTGCCTGGTCATGGAGCAGAGAGAGCCCCACTGCACCAAGATCTATGTCCACCGTGATCTATGCCCTGTTGCACCATGCTTTCAGGGGAGCAGGCTGGGCACCCAGCAATGGCACATGCAGATCAATTCCAAGTAGCCAAGCTGACCCTGGGTGTGAGTCTGGCCACCCAGAAGAAAATGCACTTGTAGCAGCTCTCCTTCCACCCCAGGTCTGCGATGGGGGAGAACACAATTCCATTGCCTGCTGCTGAAGTGCTTTCCACCATTCTGGCTGTGGCAGTCCCACTCCAGAGCAGGTGTTCCAGTCTTGGGCTGGAGATTAAAATGTGTACACAGCCACACTGCCAGATCAAAATGAATTTCAGTAGGCCAGATTAAAACTGGCATCCTGGTCTCAGTCCCTGGTCTGGGAGAATGTCTGCAGGTTTTCCCGATGTCTTTCCCTCACAGCATCTCAAGCCTCTCCCCAGGTTAGTCCCAGGGCTTGAGATAAACAAACTGCTGTCCCTCAGCCTGGGTTGCTCAGATCGCCAGTGGAAAGGTGAGTCACAGAGGGAGGCCTTCTGTCTCCTTCATAGACTGGGGCTTCACTCAGTTTTATCAACTGTACATCATCATGGGGGCTGTTTGCCAGCATCCTGTCTGGGATCAGGAGTGTCCTTTACAATTCCAGTAGATTCCCTTTTTCTTCTTGAGTTAAAGCTCACAGAGTTTATTTTTATGCACTATCTTGCTATTTCCAAGTGGCTGAGGCATGCTGAAAGCCTTTAATCTGCCATCTTGAAAAAAAAACAAAAACAAAAACAAACATTCCTTTTTTCTGAAAGACAAAACCTCTAATTACATAGAGCACAATGGAGAGAAAATGAATTCAAGACAGACCTGCAGAAAGAATGACATTTACTAAAGCAACACTACCTTCTATTTCCTAAAGATCACAGATGTCCCTTGGCAATATATGCGCAAATGAAATCAAAGATTAACTTTTACTTTAAAGATTATTACATGGTCATTTTGTTTAGAGTAGTGACCAGATTTTAAAGAAAAGCAATATGCTAAATGCCGATAATACAAAACCTCAATCTTATCCATGCATTAAGAAGATAACTACAAATGAGAAACACATTTAATCCTCTAGCAGCATTGTGGAACATATGCATATACACATTTGACAATATATCTTAAAACCATTTTAAATTGTTTAAGAATAGATTAACATAATGCTTACCAGGAACAACATAAATAACAACATAAAAGGTAGACAATACAAGATTAACATCTTTACTTAGCAATTAAGGTAAAACAACAGTGTGTTGTGTATCATATGAAGCCCAGAGGTACATTTGGTTTCTTTATGTATGTGTTATATTAGATTTGGGACATGTTTTGCCAGGACTCTTCATGGTGTACATGACAGAAATACAACCCAACCTGTATTAAGCAAAAGGAGAATATATTAGTTCAAATAACTGAAAAGTACAGTTGCAGATCTCTCTAAGCCTGGCTAGATCCAGGGCTCAAGCTGGGTTTTCAGGATTTAGTGTTATTCTACCTCTTGGCTCTAGTCAGACGATGTCTCAATTTAAGGCAATATCTCTCTTCTCTGTGACACCTATCTCTGCCTATAACACTAAGCCTAAATTCTGTATGAGAAGATTTTTTATATAGAAAATTATATAGACATAGCAACACATTAAGATCAGAATATTGAATGAACAAGAAAGAAAATAAGATCTTCAGTATAATAAATGCAAATTAATAATACATATACACGAAAATATCATTTATTAAAAATGGATAAAGAAATTGTAGTGTGTGCATGTATGTATTTAGTTGATCATAAACAACATGAGTTTGAAATGCACAGGTCTTCTTATTACCCAAGTTTTTTCTTATAAGAATTAAATTGAGTATGCCTGCCTCTCCTGCCTGCCTTTCCCTTCCTCCACTTCTTCCACCTCCGCCACCCGTGAGTCAGGAAGACCAATCTTTCCTCTTCCTCCTCAGCCTACTCAATGTGAAGATGACAAGGATGAAGACCTTTATGATGATCCTCTTCCACTTAATGAGTAGTAAATATATTTCCTCTTCCTCATGATTTTCTTAATAATATTTTCTTTTCTATAGTTTAGTTTATTGTAAGAATACAGCATATAATACATATAGCATACAAAATATGTGTTCATCTATTGTGTGTGTCATCAAACCAGTAAGGTTTTATGTCAAACCAGTAAGGCTTCTGGTCAATAGCAGGCTATTAGTAGCTAAGTTTTTGGGAAATTGAAAGTTATGGGTAGATTTTCAGTGCAAAGAGTGATAGTACCCCTCCTAACCCCTGCATTGTTCAAGGATAAGCTACACACACACACACACACACACACACACACACACAAAATGTATTCCATTATATAATAAATAAAAATAGATGAAGAAAATGAAGTGTGTGTATATGTATGTGTATGTATATGTGTGTATATATATACCCACACATACATATACACACACTTCAATTTCTTCATCTATTTTTATTATATAATTATACAATTATATATATAATATATGTGTATATATATACACACATACATATACACACACACTTCATTTATACATATATATATACAAACACACTACATTATATAAGACTCCTTTATATAATGGAATATTATTCAGTCTTAAAAAATAAGGAAATCCTGCCATTTCTGACAACATGGAGGAACCTGGAGAACATTATGCTACATGAAATAAGCCAGGCACAGAAAGACAAATACTGCACTTTCTCATTTATATGTAGAAACTATAAAAGTCAAACTTATCAAAGTAGAGAATTTAAAAAGTGGTTACCAGGAGCTGGAGGTTGGGGGGATGAGGAAGTGTTGGTCAAAGGCTATAAACATTCAGTTATGCAGGATGAATAACTTCTGAAGCTCTAATGTACAGCATGGTGACTATAATTAATACTATATTATTATATTTTTAGCATTTGCTAAGAGAGTAAATCTTAAATATTCTCACCACAAAAAAGTGGTCACTATGTTAGGTGTATTAGTCTGTCCTCACACTGCTAATAAAGACATACTCAAGACTGGGTAATTTATAAAGGAAAGAGATTTAATGGCCTCATAGTTTCACTTGACTGGGGAAGCCTCACAATCATAGTGGAAGGCAAAGGAGAAGCAAAGGGACATCTTACATGGTAGCAGGCCAGAGAGCTTGTGCAGGGGAACTCCCACTTATAAAACCATCAGGTCTCGTGAGATTTATTCACTACCAGGAGTAGAGCATGGGGGAAACCACCCCCATGACTCAATTATCTCCACCTGACCCCGCCCTTGACACCTGGAGATTATTACACTTCAAGGTGAGATTTGGGTGGGGACACAGCCAAACCATATTAGTTAGGTGATGGACATGTTAATTATCTTCATTGTGGTAATCATTTCACAATGTATATGTTTAACAAAACACCATGTTGTAGACTTTAAACATATACAATTTGGCCAGGTGCAGTGGCTCACACCTGTAATCCCAGCAATTTGGGAGGTCAATGCAGGCAGATCACTTGAGGCCAGGAGTTCAAGACCAGCCTGGCCAACATGGCAAAACCCCATCTCTACTAAATAATATAAAAATTAGCCGGGTGTGGTAAGGGGCACCTGTAATCCCAGCTACTTGGGAGGCTGGGGCATGAGAATCGCTTGAACCAGGGAGGTTGCAGTGAGCCAAGATCGCATCACTGCAGATCAGCCTGGGTGATAGAGCAACACACTGTCTCAAAAAACCAAAAACAAACAAACAAATATACAGTTTTATTTACCTATTATACCTCAACAAACTTGGTAAAAAAGGACAGGTGCATATATAAATACATCTATCAAATACATTAGAATGAGTATCTGTAGAAAAGATTAAAATATAAGTAGAACAAAGGGGGAAACATTAAATTAAATGAAACAAAAGAAAGTTACACAAAAACCAATAATTTTGTGCAATGAACTGAAGTCAAGAGAAAGAGCGAGAGAGGAAGTGAGGGAGAAAAGGAGGAAAGTAGGGGAGAAGAAAGGGAGGACAAATAAAGTTTGTGTATGGGACAATAGCAAAAGTAGTCATCCCCATCACCATCCCTCTCCAACTCATACTCAGCTGGATGCAAAGCACAGGCATCTGTCACTTAAATTCAGGCTGAAAATGATCTCTACCAAAATTGAGCAGTTTGGGGAAGCTGGTGTGAACATCAACACTTCCCTGAAGTAGAGCCCTTCTCTTTCAACCAGTATGAGTTCCAACAACAAGAGGACCAGTGGGCTCACCGTAGCTTCAGTGTAAAAGTAGAGCCAATCCACCAGCATAGTCTGCCCGACCTACATGGGATTCCCCTTCAGAATTCTTGCTCAAGAGAGATGTTGAAGAGACCGTAAGGAAGTGCTAGAAAAGGCACTTCTGCCACAGCAAAGGAAACCCTCGTTAGCAACCCGCTCCTTTAGAAAATGTAACCTGAAAACCAAGCATTACCAGATATATTAGGAAACCTAACTACATGAAAGAGAAATATCAAACTGCAAAATGACCCTTGAAAAGCAGAGATAATTAAGGATACTGAGAGAACTTTAAAACAACTTCAGTATGTTCAGAGTGATTATAGAAGTAGTACAACCTTAAAAATAGACAGGATTCTGTGAAAAAGAAAAAAAGCACAGAACAAGATGCTTTCCAAGATTAAAAAGAGGATTTCTAAGAAAATAAACTACAAAAAGACTGAAAAATATCATTTAATAAAACTCACCGAATAAAGAGCAAAAATACAAAGTGTATTGGTTTCTTATTGCTGTGTAACAAATTATCACAAACATATGGCTTAAAACAACATTAATTTATTATCTCACAGTTTCTGTAGACCAGAAGTCCAGGCATTATACCTCTGGCTTCTCTGCTCAAGGTTGCATAAGTCTAAAATCAAAGTTTCAGCTCAGCTGTGTTCTCATCTAGGCTGTGGGTATTCCTTCAAGTTCATTTGGGTTGTTGGCAGTATGCAGGTTCTTGTGGTTGTAGGACGGAGCTCCCAGTTTTCTTGTTGACTATTGGCCATGGATCTTTCCCGGCTATTGGCCATGGATCATTCCCAGCTACTAGAGGCCTCCAGTTCTATCTACATGGCTGTCTCAGAATGGGACGACACATTCCCTCAAAGCCAGAATCTGTCCACAGGCTGCCAGGAAGGCGTCTTATATAATGTAAAAATAATCACTAAATGTGACAATGCTATCACCTTTACCCTGTAAAGTAACCTAATCAAGGGAGTTATCTCATCTATTATCCCATCTATTTGCAGGCCCCACTCACACTCAAGGGGAAGGAGTCATAAAGCGTATGTAGGGAGTCAGGGTGGGAGGAATTTTGGTGGCTATCCTGGAACTCTGCCTCCCACACCAATAAAGATGTTACAAGAGACAGAGAAGACCAACCCAAGAGGCCCAGGATTGCAACCCAAGAATTCCAAAGAGAAATAAGAGAGTAAGTAGGGGAAAAGAAAATATTTTTTAAAAAATAATACATGAAATTTTCTGAGAACTGTAGGGTGTAAGTCTTCGGAATTAAAAATCTACCAAACACCAAGTGCAAAGAGAAAACAGATCCACATCTAGATACAGCATGTCATCACAGAGAAAAAGATTCTAAAGCTTGCAAAGAGGAATCAAATTTGCCAGCTAACTAGCATCTGACTTCATATCAGCCACACTGAATGTAAAAAAATAAAAAATAAAAAAAACAATGAAATAATGCTTTCGATGTTCTAAGGGGAGAATACTTGTCAACCTAGATTCTATAATAAGCTCAGGTATCAATTGTCTGTAAAGGCAGAATGGAGACTATTTCTCACACACTCAAAAGAATATATTTTATGTAGAATATTTTAAAGAGCTACATGAGGGTCTACTACAACAAGTAAGGGAATAAAACAAGAGCGAGAAAGATAACAAGGGACCCACCGAGGAGCTTCAGGAAAGTTCCAAGATGATTCCTGTGCTGGGATTCAAGCAAGAGGCCAGACAGGGATGGCTCTGAAAGAATTATTTTTTGTCAGGGAAAATAAGCAGGCTAGATAAAATAGAGTGTATAATAAAGAACCTAACAATATTAAGCTTGTGATAAAGGTAAAATTCATTAAGAGTAACAGACATGCAAGAAAGAATAATAACCAAAAAAAATCAATTAATGGTACAGTTATGAAGCCAAATGAAATATGGCATGATTTCAAGCAATTTGTAGAATATAAGCAAAGAAGCTGGGCGCAGTGGCTCACGCCTGTAGTGGCTCACGCCTGTAATCCCAGCACTTTGGGAGGCCGAGGAGGGCAGATCACCTGAGGTCACGAGTTCGAAACCAGCCTGGCCAAACTGGTGAAACCCTGTCTCTAATAAAAATACAAAAATTACCCAGGTATCAAGACCGGTGCCTGTAATCCCAGCTACTCGGGAGGCTGAGGCAGGAGAATTGCTTGAGCCTGGGAGGTGGAGGTTGCAGTGAGCCGAAGACCATGCCACTGCTACAGAGCAACAGAATGAGACTGAGCAACACAATGAGACTCTGTATCAAAAAAATAAAAAGGAAAAAGAAAAGAAAATCCATTTGACATTATTGGTGAGAACATTCTCTGTCAAATGGTACTCTACTTGTGGAGAAGGAAATATAATATTAGCAACTACCTAACACCAGAATGCAACAATATTTTTTTGGTCGTTATGTGCTAATTATAGGTATTTAAATTTTCTTGTCAACTATGGATAAATCCCTTAGGACCACTTGGGGTTTTATAATTGTAACTATTGACAATCTTGACAAAGTAAACTATGACTGGCAGAAATTAAAGGATAGAGGCAGAGGCAGTGAGGAAGATGGAGGGAGATTTTTAAGACACAAATACACTTTGGGAAGCCAAGGCAGGAGAATTACTGGAGCTCAGGAGTTCAAGACCAGCCTGGGTAACATAGAGAGACCTCCTCTCTATTAAAAATAAAAAAAAAAAAAGGCCAGGCATGGTGACACATGACTGTAGCCCCAGCTACTCGGGGAACTGACGCAGGAGGATCACTTGAGCCCAGAAGTTCGATGCTGCAGTTAGCTATGATTGCACCACTACACTCCAGCCTAGGCAACAGAGCAAGACCCTGTCTCAAAGAAAAGAAGAAGAAGAAGGAGAAGAAGGAGAAGAAAAATATTTTTATTTAACAAGAGGAGACCTAATAGATACTATCAAAAGTTGATCCAGCAGGAATTAGAAATGCTCATACATTATTTAAACTTATACAATATGATTAAAAATAGTAAAGCAATTGTTATGATTTTTAAAGCAGAGTGGGGAAGGAGAAGGTGTGAGAAAAATACCCATTTTTAAGATTACAGAGTCAGTTGATATTATCAAAACTTTATTCAAGAAATAAACAAGTATATTATATGAGTTATGGAGGAAACAAAGGAAAACAATGTACAGCTAAAGGATCTGTTTTTAAAGAATGGCACTCATTGGAATTTGAATGGGTAGAAGGCAATGGCATTTTATCACAAACTTTTCTTTAATGTTTGATTGTGTCACTATATACATGTATTAATTTGTTTTAAAAATAATATTTAAAAGTTATTTTTGAATAATATTGTCTCTGTCCAAAAAAATACAGCACTTGAAAAATGTTGTAGGTATCTGTATTGAAATTCCTTGAGCAATTTAATGGACTCAAACATTAAAGTTAACAATTCAGTTCATTGGCTGGGCGCGGTGGCTCACAACTGTAATCCTAGCACTTTGGGAGGCTGAGGCGGGTGGATCACCTGAAGTCAGGAGTTCAAGTTGAGCCTGGCCAACATGGTGAAACCCGTCTCTACTAAAAATACAAAAATTAGCTGGGCATGGTTGGGGGTGCCTATAATCCCAGCTACTCAGGAGGCTGAGGCAGGAGAACTGCTTGAACCCAAGTGGGTGGAGGTTGCAGTGGGCCGAGATTGCACCACTTCACTCCAACCTGGGCAAAAGAGCAAAACTCTGTCTCAAAAATTAATAAATAAAATAAAAAATAAAAACAATTAAGTTCATTAAACTGTTTTATTAGTTTTTTAATAATACTGCAAAAAGGTAACAAGTAAATTTCATATTTATCCTATTGTATCTTTTATTTGCCATAATCACACATGGCTTTATCTTTTTCTAGCTTTATTGAGGTTTACTTGAAAAATGAAAGTTGTATACATTTAAGGTGTTGAATGTGATGTTTGATATATGCGTATATTGTAAATAATTACCATAATCAAGATAATTAATATATGCATCACTTCACATAGTTACAATTTTTTGTAATTAGAACTTTAAGATCTACTATCTTACAAATTTTGGGTATGCAAAACGATATTATTAACTATAGTCACCATGCTGTACTTTAGATCTCCAGAACTTATTCATCCTGAATAACTAAATATTTGTACCCTTTGATGAGTATCTCCTCATTTCTCCACCTTCTAGCCCCTGGCAAACACCATTCTACTCTCAGCTTTCAACTTCTTTTGATTCCACATATAAGTGAGATCATGCAGGATTTGTCTTTCTGTGCCTGGTTTATTTCACTTATCATGATGTCCTCCAAGTCATCTATGTTGTCACCAATGGCAAGACTTTCTTATTTTTGAAGTCTGTTGCAATCAGGGTGTGTGTGTGTGTGTGTGTGTGTGTGTGTGTATGTATCACAATTTCTTTATTCATCTGTCAACAGACACAGATTATCTTTATCATTTGACTATTACGAATAGTGCTGCAATGAATATGGGGTACAGATATGTCTTCAAGATACTGATATCATCTCCTTTGGATGTATACCCAGAAGTGGGTTTGCTGGATCATATGCTAGTTTTATTTTTAATTTTTAAATTATATATATATATATTTTTTATTTTTTTTGGAGACAAAGTCTTGCTCTGTCACCCTGGCTGGAGTGCAGTGGCATGATCTCGGCTCACTGCAACCTCCACCTCCCGGGTTCAAGAGATTCTCTGGGCTCATTCTCCTCAGGTAGCTGGGACCACAGGCACACACCACCATGCTTGGCCAATTTTTTTATTTTTGGCAGAGGAGGCATTTCACCGTGTTGACCAGGCTGTTCTAGAACTCCTGGCCTCAAATGATCTGCCCACCTCGACCTCCCAAAGTGCTGATTACAGGCTTGAGCCACAGTACCCAGCCATATTTTTAATTTTTTGAGGAACCTTCATGTTGTTCTCCATAATGGCTGTACCAATTTACATTCCCACCAACAATGTACAATGTAGAAGCTCTTCTCCAAAGCTTAACAAGACAATGCTTGTTATTTGTTATCTTTTTGATGATAGTCACAGATGATCACAGGTGTGAAGTGATATCTCCTTATGGTTTTGATTAGCATTTCCCTGTGGTTGGTGATGTTGAGCACTCTTTTATGTACATGTTAGCCACTTGTATGTCTTTTTTGGAGAAATGTCTATTCAGGTCCTTAGCCCATATTTTAGTCAGTTCATTGTTGTTTTGGGGGTTTTATTTATTTATTTATTTATTTTGCTTTTGAGTTGTTTGAGTTTCTTATATACTTGGATATTAACCTCTTATGAGAAATATGATTGGCAGATATGTTCTTTCATTCTGTATATTCCTTTTCAGTCTATTTTCTTCACATTTTAGCAGGTTTAACTTAGTAATTTTCAGCATCGACAGAATTTTTACATTTTTATCATATATACAAAATTAAAAGGGTAAAAACAAAAGACAGTAAGAAACACTTCCAAAGTCCTTTTATGAAGCCAGCATTACTCTCATACGAAAGTAAGACGAAGAAAAAACAAGAAAAGACAACTACAAACCAATATCCCTCATGAACACAGACGCAAAAATCTCCAATAAAATAGTAGCAAACAAAATTCAACTGCACATGTAAAAGATTATACACCATCACCAGGTAGGATTTATCCCTGGGAGGCAAACACATTTCAACATATGCAAGTCAATCAATGTAATACCCCACATTAACAAAATAAAACAAAAGAGGGATTAAAGACTACACATTGGGTACCGTATACACTGCTCAGGTGATGGGTGCACTAAAATCTCAGAAATTACCACTAAATAACTTATTCATGTAACCAAAAACTACTTGTTCCCCAAAAACTATTGAAATAAAAAAAAGAATATCTCAACAGACACAGAAAAAGTCTTTGACGTAGTTCAATGTTCAACATCCATGTGTGACTCAAACTCTCAACAAAATCAGTATAGAAGAAACTTACCTCAACATAATAAAGGTCATATATGAAAAGTCCATGGTTAACAACATAATTAATGGGGGAAAACCCAAAGCTTTCACTCTAAGAACCAGTATAAGGTTCTTATAACTTTTATTCAATATAGTCCTGGAAGAACCATTAGACAAGAAAAGAAATAGAAGTTATCCAAATTGGAAAGGAAGAAGTAAAATTGTCTCTCTTTGCAAAAGACATGATCATATATGTAGAAAACCCAAAAGACAACAATAACAACAACGAAAACTATTAGAACTTATAAATGGATTCAGTAAAGTTACAGGATACAAAATCAACATATGAGAACCAGTTATATTTCTATATACAAACAGCAAACTATACAAAAAGGAAATTAAGAAAGCAATTCCATTCACAATAGCAAAAAAAAGCATAAAATTATTATGAATACACTTAACCAAGGAGATAAAAGACATTAGACATTGATGAATGAAATGAAAGAAGGCACAGATAAATAGAATGACATCCCTTTTGAATTGGAAGAATTAAATTGTTAAAATGTTTATACTACCCAAAGAGATCTACAGAGTCAATGCAATCCCTACCTAAATCCCAATGGCATTCTTTACACAATTAGAAAAAACAATCCTAAAATTCATATTGGACCACAAATGATCTTAAATAGCCAAAGCAATCTTGAGTAAAAAGATCAAAATGGGAAGCCTCACTCCCTGATTTCAAAATATATTTCAAAGTTACAGTAATCAAAATGGCATGGTAATCACATAAAAATAGACATAAAGACAAATAGAATACAATAGAGAGCCCTTTCACATGGATGTCAAGAAACGTACAATGGAAAAAGAATAATCTATTCAATAAAAGGTGTTTGGAAAAATGAATATTCACATACAAAGGAATGAAATTGGACCTTTATCTGATACCATATACAAAAAAAACCCCTCAAAATGTAATAAAGATGTAAACATAAGACCTGAACCCAAAGAATTACTGGGGAAAAACAGAGGGAAACCTCAATGACATTCCTCTGGGCATGACACCAAAAGCATAAGCAACAAAAGCAAAAAAAACCCCACATGGGATTATATCAAATTATAGAACTATACAGGAAATGAAACAATCAGTAAACCTTTATTTAATCATATCATTGAATTAAAATGGCATTTGTCACAGTCTGTCCGAATGATAAATAACAGACTTTGTAGAAACTTCCAGAAAAATGGTAGCCCAAGAAGTCTTGTCTTCAGTGCAGCTCTACTGTTCCATTGTACTCCATACTTAGATTGGAAGGAAAGGACTCACTTGTTTAAAGTCTGGAAGAGAACAAAGGCAAGAAATTTAACCTAATTGTAACTTACTTTTTTCTTGCAAATATAAGGTATACATTGCCACAGAATATATTAGCATTCATGCTATCTTTCCAACTGGAGTCTAATAGCAATTTTTTTTTCTAAAAGGACACACAGTTCGGGGGAATTAGAAATCCCCATCAAATGTGGCTGACAGCTAAGAAAGGAGAATTAGGGTAGTTCTTATAATTTTCAATTCAAGAGTAAGAGGAGCACTAAACAAATTGTAGAGGTTAATTCACATGTTATCTTGCTGACTATGAGTTGAAATTAGTTATAATAGCAAAGCAAAATGAAGTAACACTTCTACCAACAAATATAAAATTCCATTTAAGAACACATACATGTGCACACTCATAACCAGCTCTGATGGCTTATCTTTTAGAACAGTGCTTCTCAAATTTTAACATGAACACCAATCACCTGGAAATCTGTTATGGGATTGAGATTTTGCATTTCTAACAAGTTCCCAGGTGGTGCCTAAGCGCTGATCCATGAATCACATTTCGAGTAGTAGGGACAGCTTCCAAATCTGTGGTTTTTCCATGATAAATGAAGTGAAAACTTAATCTAATAAGAAGAAAATGACTAACAAGGAACTATAGATCTTTGAAACCAGAAAAGACTTTCTAAGAGATCTGCTTTGAATTTACATATCAACATTTATCTGCTGCAGTTTGAGAATATCTTCTAAACTGCTTAAAATGCATGAATTACATCAAGTCTAAATAATTGTAATAAAAGGATTAAAAGTTTATTGAAGTAAAAAAATGGGGTCTTTATTTTTGAAGCATATCTATTTTCTGTTGCACATTTCTTTAGGTTGTGTTAAATTTAATAAATAAAAAGTGGGTGATTTAGAATTATTTCAGTCCATTCTAAATGTCACGAATTACCAATAAGAAAGGGAAATTTGTAAGACTAAATATTATAACACAGATAAAGAAGGGGAATTATTATATCCTGGAAAAGAAAGGCTTTATTTATCTCCAAAGGGATGGAATCTAGAAAAAAATTGTAAATCACTGAGGAATGATGAACTCTGAGCATTCTTCCCTTGAAACAGGAACACAGTTGAAAGGTCAGGTAGGCTTAAAATAATTAACTACTAAATTACTTGCATGTCTTAAATCTTAGATATAATGCCAATTATAAACCTCTTTCTCAGACCTTGGCTCTTCTTTTTCTGAAAAGTTGTATAATTTTTTAACACCATGCAAATACCTGTAGATTAAAGAAAAACAGGCATCTAAAACACATGTATCTGCTCTTTTATTTACTTATAAAAATCTTACATTTACAATGAAGAAAGGATACTGTCTTAATGAATCAAAATAAAAACATGTTTCCAAAGTCTGAGTCTATTTCCAAAGTGTAGCCCAAGCTGGAATAAATCTTAAATAGAGTTTAGTCTTACAAAGCCAAAAAAGAAAGAAATACAAAGCTGTTGAATACATTTCTACCTTGTTTAAAATATTTAAATTAGCAAAAATACTGCTTTTGTTTCCGGAAGACTATTGAACCGAGAAACTTCTAGGCTTTAAGATTATTAAAAAGATTGTCCAATATGTGACTGCTATGATCCCACAAAAATTCAATTTTTATTTGCCAAGTTAAATCTTCCAGCAAATTGTCGGCAGTGTGATGTCGGATACTCATATCATAATAATCCTGCCCAAATAGTCATGTTTGATTACTCCTTGTTCAGTGCTGAGAGGGAAAAGTCCAATAAATTCTCACTACTACTTTTCAAACTGTACAGTAGTCACTGTAAACACCAAAGAATAAGACAAAATGAGGACCAGCATGAGCACACCTTTTGTCCTAAATGTTAGATTCTTAAAAAGGGGAAATAAATGAATGTAAAGGAAAAGTCTAAGTATAAAGTGAATTTTTGATAAGCTATATAGTAGGGACATATCAGGAAGACCCCTTACTTTTTCACTGCATATGAGAAGACACAAATATAAATATGTATTTTTTATGTTAATGCAAACAAAAAAAAATCCTCTACATGTCAGTTAATACTAAAGCCTATTTCCCAACTGAGGAAGTTCCCAGAATGGAGAGGGTACGTAACCACTGTGGAAAGATAAGCCTGTAAGTACAAGACATCATAACAAACAATTTATTCATTAAAAATACTGCTTTTGTTATCATTTCAGTTTTGATATGGGTTTGGCTGCTATAAATGAGAGATACAAAATAATATTTTTTAAAAGAGAAAATTTGTTTCCCTCACACATAAGTTCTGAGCTGATATGGTGATGATTCTGCTCCATGAAGTTGGGTGAGGCTAAGTGTCTCTCCACCTTGCTGCTCAGACATCCCCAGGGTTCTATCCATTTCCAGCAGTCCAAGATGACTCATCACCATTACACATTCCAGTCGTCAAAAAAGAGGAAAGAAGCAGGGAAGAAGGCATCCTTTTGTTATAAAGAAATTACTAAGAAATTGAACGTGGCATGTCTATTTTCTTCCCATTGGCCAGAACTTTAGTCACGTGAACTACATTTAGCTGTAAGGAAACCTGGGAAACAGCCCTTAATCACCAACCACACACAAAGATGACAATTCTATTTGTAACTCTGCCACTGTGACTTTTGGATATCAGATTAGTTTTTTCCACCATCAAGCAAGACTCTAATACCTGCTTCATCTCCTTTGTAATAAGGATTAAATGAAATAATATACATGAAATATTATGTAAACTGTAAAGCAATGTATACATGGAAGGTATAAATTATACTTTGCACTGATATTTTACAGAACAAATGGGAAAAGATAAGAGAAAGAAGATGAAGCAGAGAAGATAGGAAATTACTTATTGATACTGTTTTCAAAGAAACATAAAGAACACTCTTTTTTAGACACAGTATGAAGGTCAATTTAGTTATTTGTGATGTGTTAGACTCTAAGTATGAGTTTGGAGTGTGAATGTTATTGCCATAATTTGAAATGCCATCTATTTGCATCAAAATATTTCAGATGGCATGTCAGTCTTCATGATTCGCTCCACAGGAACTGCTGCCACATGGACTGATATGAATCCAAGACTGTACACCAGGAACTGTGCTCAGCACAAGAGATGAAGGTAAAAAGAAATGTATGTGCACGTTTAAACAGGTAAATTTCAAAGCAATGTCATAAGTAAAATTATACAGACTTTTTAAAATAAAGTATGAGTGAGCAGCATATAGAGGAAAGAAATGTATGTTATCAAGCACAGTATTTTGATATCATGCCAACGATGCTTTAAAATTTCCACATATCACTGGCATGACTACCTAAAGTTAAAATATTGACTAGAAATTCATTGCAGTTTTAGGAAATAATAGGTATTACTCAAAATATCTCCTATCCTGCTAAAGTCCCTGAATTCTCAGCTTAAATAAACAGAAATATAAAAACCTTTCAAATAAACCACTTAATTATCACAGATAATTTAAAAGGACCTACTAAATTCACTTAATATAAGAAAATGTAAGATGAACAAGCCTATATATGAACTTATTACTTAATTACTTATTGTTTACTATATTGTTTTGCTTGTATAAAATACAAATATAAGACTATTTCTTATATAAGCATCTTTAATTGATTAGTTTCTTTGAAGGAAGTAAATATATGAAATAAAACAGGCTTGTCGTAGCATTAATTTTTTCTTTAAATAATTTTATCTTTGAAAACAGAACAAAACAAATCAATCCATCAAAACATAAAATTATTTCCACTGTGAGAAATTTAAGGGTATTCTTTTTAAAGGATTTATAACTATCTCTCTATGTGTTTTCCTAGATGAATGTTTAAAGCTGGAGTGATAAAATGCTAATATTATTAGACACTAAATACTTCAGCACTACTGAGTTTGTTATTACATTTTATGTTATTATTACATCAAAAAACATCCAGGATGTAATTTTGTTTGGGATGCACTGCTAGATTCGACAGTAAAATTAGAACTCTGAGGCCAACTAGAATGTCATCTTGAGGTATTGGTTTATAATTTGATGGATGCCTCAGCATAAAACATTTGCATATTCAAGTTAATTTTATTTGACTATGATGTATGCAATCTGAATACCTGTAAAGTTTTCTATTTATAGTTAAAAAGTAATTTAAAATATTTTCTGGAATTAAAATTTTTTTAGCAGAATATATTATCATGCACTTTGTACTCTTTAGATATTATTCTGTAGGTCACTCTTTTATAAGTAGATTCTCATAGTTATTTAATTACTTAATGAAAATTAAATTTTTTAAGTTATTGATTATAATTCCAGTGTTACCTCAACTTATACAATTAAATAACTTTTTAAAATAGAGTTCTGCCATTCTTTAGATTATAAATGTTGTTATTAATTGAGGAGTCTCAAGATCCTGGTGACCAAAAATATTTGCCCCTGCTAAAGTCTCTGAATTCCCAGCTTGAAGGCCCAGATGTTTTTATTACAGTACAAAAACAGATACCTTTAGCTTCTCTTTGTCAATGCCCACCTATTTGCTAATTATCAGTGTCATGATCAGCAGGAGCTTGACATCTCAGTGCGAGCTGATCGGTAGGCTGCAATGGAATGCTGTAAAAGCGTACTGTGATGATGGGGAAAGGGTATTTATGGCCACATCATGTACCTCAGTGGGAAGATATATAAAGAAAGGGTATCAGAGGGTGACTGTAGACATTCTAGAGTAAGGAGAACATGGGATGTCAAGAGAAAAGAAGCTTGTAGAAAGCGAGATGCTTAAGGAAGATGGAGAAAAGCATTTTAAAGCCTGGTGAGAACATACCAAAGACAAATATGACCAATTTCACAATTTTACCAAGGATTTGGATCCCAGATACCTTCAGAGAAAATAAACAACTTAGAGAATAAAGTGCTTTTTAAAATATTTTCCAAGCAATGAACACATGGAGGGGTCATCCCAGCACTCTGGCAGATTATGGGTAAGCATAAAGCATTGAAGTAACTAGAAGTCGGTTAGATGGATGTTAATCCAGCAGTCTCCAAAGTGTATCATTTACTTTGGTGGTCTGATAAGATGTTCTTTTTAAAAATTGACAAATGGAGTCTAATTGAACTAAAGAGCTTCTGCACAGCGAAAGAAACTATCATAGGAGCAAACAGGCAACCTACAGAGTGGGAGAAAATTTTTGCAATCTATCCATCTGACAGATGTCTAATGTCCAAAATCTATGAGGAACTTAAACAAATTTACAAGAGGAAAACAAACAACTCCATTTAAAAATAGGCAAAAGACATGAACAGGCACTTCTTAAAAGACATTCATGCAGCCAGCAAACTAATGAAACAAAGCTCAACAACACTGATCATTAGAGAAACGCAAATCAAAACCACAATAAGATACCATCTTATGCCAGTCAGAAAGGCGATCATTAAAAAGTCAAGAAACAACAGATGCTGGTGAGGTTGCAGAGAAATATGAATGCTTTTACACTGTTGGTGGGAATGTAAAGTAGTTCAACCATTATGGAAAACAATATGGTGATTCCTCAAAGATATAGAACCAGAAATATCATTTGACACAGTGATCCCTTTACTCTGTATATACCCAAAGGAATATAAAAAATTCTACTACAAAAATACAAGCACCCATGTGTTCATTGCACCACTATTCACAATAGCAAAGATATACAATCAACCCAAATGCCTTTCGATGATATACTGGATAAAGAAAATGTACATATACACCATGGAATACTATGCAGCCATAAAAAGGAACAAGATCATGTCCTTTGCAGGGACATGGATGGAGCTAGAAGTCATTATCCTCAGCAAATTAATGCAGGAACAGAAAACCAAACACCGCATGTTCTCACTTATAAGTGGGAGCTGAGCAATAAGAATACATGGACACAGAGAGGGTAACAACACACACTGGGGCCTATTGGGTTGGGGCTGGGGGAGGGAGAGTAGTAGGAAAAATAGCTATTGCATGTGGGGCTTAATACCTAGGTGATGGATTGATAGGTGCAGCAAACCATCATGGCACACATTTACCTATGTAACAAACCTGATTATCCTGCACGTGTATCCCAAAACTTAAAATAAAAATTAAAAAATATAAAAAAAATTTCTGCAGTGAAACAGTTTGGGAAACTCAGCATCCTATAATTCCCTTTTAGAGACCCAAAACGTCTATTAGCATATTATAGGCTTTGAAAAGTTTTTGAGTTGAGAAATCTTTCTAAAAACTGGCATTTCCCAGAGTTATTTGACCTCATAAGCATGTTTTTAGTAATACCTATAAATATTTTGCTGAAAATGTTGAAATGATTATAAACCCCTTCTATGCATGGCAGAGTAAATTTGTTCTCAGTTACAAACTATGATCAAGGGAAGTCAACTGATATACATTTTACCTAGTAATGACAGCCATAAAATTATGATTTATTAAAATACACATCTTTGTCATCAGTATGACTTTTAATGAAACTGTAATGTGAGAGTGTCAAATGGCCATGATAAAAATTCAAATCTTCTATATACCTTAAAAATGCTGTGTAAGTAATAATAAACCAAACTTTTCCAACAGTGAGTTGATGACTGAATTAAAAACCGAGTGTAGATTTGACTGATTTAATCATCACTGCTCAACTGGGACCTTCTGAACTGTTGTGAATTGTGGTGGCATTTGTGAAGATATGGCTACCTACCTACCAGAAATTGGACTACATGATCCACGATTGACATGGGATACAGAACCAATTATTAAGAGAGTTTTATAATTACTAATCCAAGACAAATTTTAACAAATAATAGAACAAAATCTGCATCCTAATCTAATCTCTTCTAGCTTCCCTATATCCATATCCAAAATGAGGCAATATTTCAAATATACATACAGAGTACAGAATAAGAAGATGCAAAGATAAACTATCTTCCTACTATCTTGGTGCCTAAAGTAATTTCTTAAGCATTGCCCCAAAACTCTGGACCTCTCTGTTAACCCAAGCTTCTGGTTTAAGCAGGAGCAAATAAAGCATCTTTCTAAACATTAGAATTTGAAGATTTGTATATAACGTCACTCATTTTTTTTTTCCAATCTGTAGCCCAGTCTGCTTTCCCCTTCATCAGAACTTTTGAAATTATTGTTTTGGGTTACATCGAAAATGTTATCTGGTTGCCCCACTAACATATTTTCTTGGATATATTGAAATGTATCTCTCCAAATCATAAGATAATGCAATTTTGGGAACTTGAATAGGCTAGTGAGTAAATAACTTCAATTTCTGATTTTACATAAATCAGGCCTGGAACTATGAGCATTTGGACAACGAGCTGGTAAAGAAAAACAAGGGGTGGGGGGCCGGGCGCGGTGGCTCACGCCTGTGATCCCAGCACTTTGGGAGGCCGAGGCAGGTGGATCACGAGGTCAGGAGATCGAGACCATCCTGGCTAACACGGTGAAACCCCGTCTCTACTAAAAATACAAAAAATTAGCCAGGCGCTGTGGTGGGCGCCTGTAGTCCCAACTACTCAAGAGGCTGAGGCAGGAGAATGGCGTGAACCCGGGAGGCGGAGCTTGCAGTGAGCCGAGATCGCGCCCCACTGTACTCCAGCCTGGGCAACACAGCAAGACTCCATCTCAGAAAAAAAAAAAGAAAGAAAGAAAGAAAGAAAAACAAAGGGGGAAAAAAGTGAGGAGATACAAAAAGAAGAATAAGACACAAGATCAACATTTAATAGTTCACAATTTTGGCCCTCTTTTGCTGCCAAGTTTGTATGAAAGTAGATACCAGAAAACTTGTATTTTGTCATCTATGATGTTGAATTCCTCTCTTACATATACGTCATTTAGTATATAAATGTAATGTGATGTAGTGTAAGAGTACAGGCTTGGAATAAGATAGTTCTGTATTCAAATTTCACGCTCTTATTTTCTGACACCAAAGCCTTAGGCACCCTCAGCGCTGAAGCATTAAATTCAGGCAGCCCACTCTGTAACCACCACTTCTCCCACCTTCGGACTCACCCAACTATTCCAAATATACATCTGCAAGTATTTTACTTTGTTTTGCTTTTTGTTTGTTCATTTTTCTACTGATATTTGAACTTCCTTATGCATTGCATGAAAAAACACTTATTTCCTGTAGGAGAGCAGGAATTATTCCTGTCTCACTGACAATGCTAGGATAATAGACCTTTAATAAACATGACATACTGTTGAAGATTACTTAACCTCTCAGATCCTCTTTTTTTCTACTTGTAAATGAAGACTAGAAGAAATAGAATTTTTTCAAACATTAAAAATGAGATAACTAATATGTATAACTATCTTACACATAATAAGTAATCCAAAAAGGTTAATTCCATTAACCATGTCACTTTCCCCAAGATTCAGAGCCATGGAAAAGACAAGAAGATTGGCAGGGGACGTAAGAGACTGGAAGTCTCTTACTGCATTATGGCTATTATTAGTGATTTCATCTAAATATTATGTAGAAAAATTTGTCACATCTTCAACATACTTTATTTTCTTTCTTCCAACAAACTGAAGTCAATTCACTTTCAAAAATAGATTGTATGTATTTATGCATTATTGTTTTTATATGTCCATGTGGGGTTATTCATAAATGAAGGTCATCAAGAAAAGATTGTTCTCATGCAATTGACACCACACTACAGACATTAAGCAGTGATATTTACAACCTACTAGGCAGAGAATGAGAAGAGAAAGGGAATAGTTAAGAGAGTTAAACAGGATACAGCAAGAAGTCCTTATTTCTGACCATGAGGAAATTGTTTTCAGCTCAGACTCCTCTCAGAATATTAATCTTCCTGCAAAACTGTATGTAAGATAAAACCCTTTCTCCTCTAAGCAATCAAGGGCCCAGGAGCCAAACCCAAAGAGCTAGAAACTCACATCAGCAGAAAAAGAAACCATTTAAAGATAAACAATTAGGGCTGGTGCTTTACAGAACATAATTGAGAGATGACACCTCCTGAAAAGCCCCCCATTGATTAAAACTCAGTATTTAAAGTAAACTTAGTGAACCCACATGAGCAAAGGCTCAAAATTTTCTTTAAATGCTGAAAATGGCCCTAAGTTTAAAAATGGAGATCCTACTACGGACCCTTGTGGAAAATGTACATTCATTAAGTGATGGAAGAGAGGACAGGCAGAATTTGCCAGAAGAGGTAAAGTGTTGAGCAAACATTTTTCTTTTAGCCGTACCTGTCCAGGTGATATCATGAGAGGGAATTTGAAATTTATATCAGAAATATATAGTATAACAATTATATTATAAATAAGTATGCTGAGATTTACTATATTATAAAGTATCTATGGTTCTCAACTCTTGAGTGTCAGTTTATTCTCACCTGTTCTTTTATCATATTAATAAAATTCTGAGACAAACCCCATTTATGTATTTTTATTGATACAAAATATTTCACATATTTTTGGAGTGCGTGTGATAGTCTGTTACATGCATAGAATGTGTAATGACCAAGTCAAGGTACTTGGGGTATCCATCACCTTGAGTATTTATCATTTCTATGTGTTGGGAAACTTCAAGTCCTCTCTTCCAGCTACTTTGAAATATACCATACATTGTTGCTAACTATAGTCCCCCTACTCTGCTGTGAAAAATTAGAACTTATACCTTCTATCTAACTGATGTACCCATTAACCAACTTCTCTTCATCTCCACCCCCCGCCCCATTCCAAATACCATTCCTAGCCTTTGGTAGCTATCATTCTACTCTCTACCTCCATGAGATTAACTTTTTCAGCTCTCATATAGGAGTGAGAACATATATTTTTCTTTTCTTTCTATCCCTGACTTATTTCACTTAATATAATGACATCCAGTTCCATCTATGCTGCTGCAAATGACATCGTTTCACTCATTTCTTTTTTTTCTTGAATTTGTATTGCTGTTTTTGCCATTTTTTATTATACTTTAAGTTCTGGGATATATGTGCAGAACATGCAGGTTTGTTACATAGGTATACACATGCCATGGTGGTTTGCTGCACTCATCAACCCTTCATCTACATTAGGTATTTCTCCTAAGGCTATCCCTCCCGTAGCCCCCCACCCCCCAAACAGGCCCCGTGTGTGATGTTCCCCTCCCTGTGTCCATGTGTTCTAATTTTACTCATTTCTAAGGATGAATAATATTTAGTTGTGTATATATACAACATTTTCTGTATCCAATCATCTGTTGATGGACACTTGTGTTGCTTCCATATCTTTGCTATTTTGAACAGTGCTGCAATAAGCATGGGAGTGTACATATCTTTTTGACTACTGATGGCTTTTCTTTGTATATCTCTCCAGTAGTGGGATTGCTGGATCTTATAATAGCACTATTTTTAGTTTTTTGAGAAATCTCCATACTTTTTTCCATTTATATTCTTACCAATCATGTATAAGAATTCCCTTTTCTATGCATCTTCACCAACATCTGTTATTTTTTGTCTTTGTAGTAATAGCCACTCTAACTGGGATGAGATGATATCTCATTGTGGTTTTAATTTACATTTCCCTGATTATTAGTAATGTTCAGCATTTTTATTTGCCTAATGGCCATTTGTATGTCTTCTTTTTGAGAAATGTCTATTCATGTTTTTTGCGCACTTTTTAATGGGATTATTATTTTTCTTGTTTACTAAGTTGTTTGAGTTCCTTATATATTCTGGAAATTAGAAGTTCATGGTGGGAATGTAGACTGCTGGAGGTATTTTATTTTTATGGTTTCCCTGCATTAGGAAACCTCTCCAGACTCCCAGCCAATCCCAGCAGAACAACCTGACTCAGTTCCCTCTCTTTACTTGCTTTTGGTGTTTCCTGTCACTTCTGTATTGAATTCTAGTGTTCTCTTTTAGATGATCTATTCAAAGTATGATTATTTACTCACCATTTTAGTTCTTCTTTGTGGAAGAGGCAAATACCAAATGCATTTAACAAGCTATCTTAAAGCCCCTCCTTGTTTTATTTTGCAAATGGATAGCCTGTACATGATCATTGCAGTCAGAAGTTAAGAACCCAGGTCAGGGAAGCAGCAGGGGTTGACAGGGGGTGGAGAATAAAATCTGGTAAATAATAACATCAGTAACTTGATGTTACTTAATAAAATTTACTTCTTTCTGGGCATATGTCTGGTTAGATTTACATAAGAAGTTATAGAAAAAGATATGAAACAATTATGGTTCTTGGATAGCCCTATGTCTAGTTCTTTCCCACCCTTCCTTTAATTTATCCTGCATATTATTGACAGATTCAATTTCATTAAATACATATTTCCTTAATAAATGTATACCAGGTAACGTACTGTGCACTGTGGCTATAATAATGAATGAGGCCAATACAATTGCTGAGTCCACTGGGGAAACAAAAAGAAAACAGGAGACTATCTTTTAAGTAACAAACATGATGAGAGAAGGTTAAGATACTATGGGAAGTCCAAAAAAAAAGCCACCTAAAACAGACTATTGTAAGTAGACAGGTCCTGCCAGAGCAAGTGATGTTCAAGATGAAGAGGTGTAAAGAACAAATGATGGTTGACCAGATGAATGTAGTGAAACAGCCACCCTAGAGGATCAGTGGAGATTTAAAAGATAAAACAAGAGACGTAAACATGGATAAAATAGTGAATGACTTTGCAGTCTGTGTTAGGAGCAGAGGGGAGACATCACCTTTCTTAAAAATACAATGAAACTTCAAAGTTAAATGTGTTTTCCATGTGCCACTTTGTGTCCATATTTCCTGCTGATGGGATGCCCCTGTCCTGTGAAGGGACCCTACAACCAGAGAATGGATTGGAGAAGAGGATATTTTGATAAAACTGGAAGCAGAAAGGTCATTGTTGTTGTGATAGTAATCAAGGAGAAAGATGATGCTAGGCAGAACTAGGCTACTGAAGATGAATCAAGAGAAAAATAGAGTACAAAGATATTTAGGAGATAGAAACAGCAAAACCTAGTGATTGATTAAATGTGGTTTTAATGTAGAAGGTGGAGGATTCAAATATAATGCAGATTTATAGCCTGAGCAACTAAATGCATGGCACTGCCATTCCTTGAGTTAGGGAAAAAGAGTTGGTTTGTAGCAAGGGAAGAAGATCGGGAACTGAATGTTTTACATGTTGAAATTTATGCATTTTGTGATAACCAAGTATAAATCTCCTGAGACAGTTGGACATACAGGCCTATACCTCAAGAAAGAGATATGTGGGAAGGGTCGAAATTTGGGGTTTACAAAGCTTTACATAATCTACACATTTGTAAGAGTTTATAAGACTCTATATCTTTTATCTTTCCCATGCCTATTTATATATTTGCCTTTGTGCTAGGATCCCATTGCCTTTTACTTGTTCTGGAATCTCATCCTATCAATCATCCATTACTCCATATCTCAATTCTCCTCCTCCTTACTGACTCCTTTTCATCATCATGTATATATGCCAAGGCTTCTCTCATAATAAACAACAAGCAAGCAAACAAACAAAGCCCTTGTTTCCTAGCCACCATCCTATATCTCTCTCTCACCAGAATTGCCTACCCTTCCTCTTTTCACTGCCTTCTATTCTTTCCTCCCCTCTCCATCACCATTATTCCATCAAAATTACTCTGTACTTTTTTCCACCAAAATTGTACTGCTCACTTTGCTGTGTAATTGAACAGCTCTTCACAGTCCTCATCTTCAGGGTCTTCTGAGCACTACCTGACACTATTTACCAAGTGCTCCTTCTAAAAGCTCTTACTAGACTTTGTGACCATCTATTCTCCTTGTTACTGCCCCTGGGTCTCCTCTACAAGGTCCTCTCCTGTTCATCAAAAGCTGAATTGCTTCCCTTACTCTACACATATCCTCATATGATGTAATCTATTCCTGTTGATTATTATTTTGTAGTAGTGATTCCCAAGTCTATATTTTTGGCACAGAATTCTCACTAAAAAGAGTGTATGGGAACAAGATGAAATTCTATCTCCTTAGCTAGGCATCCTGGTTTAGCAGTCATTTGTAATGCTGCCAATCTAACTTGTTTACTGAGTATTCCATAGCACACCACAACTGAGGGCCGCTGTTCTTCCTTTGTACTAGTTCCCTAATCTAGATTCCCTATTCCCTTATTCCATTAATTTATATTTTATCACTCATTTAAGGACATCTCAAAACTTACATCTCTAGTCGACATTCTGTATTGGATTTATATATCACTGTAACACTCCCATAGCAAAGGAATGCTAATAGTTTCCATATTGAATACAAATGCTGATTCACAGGTAAAGTCGACCTAGAGTTCAAGGCCAAGAAAGATTCACTGTTTCCCATGTCCAGACACAGCAGGAAAACAGCTATT
This sequence comes from Homo sapiens, assembly GCF_000001405.40. Lineage (NCBI taxonomy): Eukaryota > Metazoa > Chordata > Mammalia > Primates > Hominidae > Homo > Homo sapiens. Next base: position 28,257,155 of record NC_000018.10, on the reverse strand, counting down.
GAATATCAACGTCTACCATGAATACTATAGAGAGAGAAGGGCCAGCCTCAGGCCACATACTTGCCATCTATGGCAGAGCTCTTAAGACATGCTACTTTTAATTGTCGTTTACCTTGATTATAAGTGCTATGTCCCTAAAACCAGATTTTAAATCACAAGTTAAGGACTGGGTCTTATTCTTCTTCATATTCCCTTGCAACAAAAAAATTAATGATCAATAAATGTTTGATGATGAGGAGGAGGAGGTGCTAGTGGAATAAATTTTAAAAGTGGAAACCAATGTGGTGTACAGAAAAAGTAAGCTTTCTAAAAGAAGAAATTGATGACTTATTACCTATTCTCTAAAGATACAGTCTAAAATTAAATCACCTTACTCTTTACGAACCCAGATGGGATAATAATATTTTTAGAGAACACGTTTTCCTTTTGAATCTTATGCAATCTCCTTTTAAAATTCTATCAGTTTTTAAGCATTTGCTGTGGTTGAAATGCCTTCTTCAATACTATGCATGGCCTTTGTTAAATCCAAAGTCAAGTTCCACTGTTAAATATTCTTCTTTATTTTCCATTTTAGTAAAACAATAGCTTAAGATGCAGGGTGAATTTATATTTCTAAACGTATTTTAGAAGAATATGTTTTAGAAGAAATGAGATATGTAGATGATGTTACCCTAAGACAATGCTACAAAAATGAAAAATGACATGGGCAAAAAATATCTAAAAAAGGAATTTTCTCTCCCACCATTCCTATTCTGTCATCTCCCATTACTCATCCCATTGCACATATTTTTAGAAAATGCCCTCATAGTTATGACAACATATAAAATATATGCTTCATAGAATAAGTCAAGGAGAGCTCTAGACGTGTTGAAAAACTGAATTTGTGAGTCAGATATTTAAATATTTCAGATTAAATTGTTTCCTAGTTTAAATTCATTGTTGTCCTTAATGTCTTTGGTATGGTTTTATCTTATTAATGGTTGATGGACTAAAATCACTTTATAGTTTTCAACTGAAAATTCATAATATCTATAATTTCCAATTTAGCTTTTTAATTTACTCCTCTTTTGTTACCTGACATACTACTTTACTGTACATGAGAAAATATGTTGCCACACTGGAAAAGAAGCATTGTCTTCAACAGACATGGTTCTGAAATAATAGCATGAAAACTAATATCGAAAATACTTTACCTGCTTGATTGAACAGTGGAGAAAACATAGCTTTTAGAATCAGGCAGGCCAGATTTTCAACCACTCTCCATTACTTACTTCGTTATCTCAGGCAAGTTGTTTAACCTCTCTGTGACTTTGAGCAGGTGTCTCATCTGCAAAATGGGAATATCAATACCTATCACGTAGCAGTAGAACATAGTCAAATAGAGTATTGTTTAAAGAACACAATACCTATAATACAAAAACCAATAAATAGATGTTTGATATGAATATTGGTTCCCTTTCAATTGATTAAAAATAAAATTACAAGCTGAAAATCTGGATTCAAATGCATTTATTATTAATTTTCTTTATAGCATTCATGAAAGTATTTGCTTGACTAAAATGGGAAAAGGCAACACCAAATTTTAAATATAAAAAAATTTCTCTGGTAAAAGTGGTAATATTAAAGTATATGATCTGTCACCTTGGCTGGGTTGGTATAGTTTTCTTCCCTTTTCTTGCTGCTTTATAGTTAACAAATAAACAATCTAATAGCTCCTAACATAATCTGCCACACACTATTATAAGTAATATGTGTGGCAATATTTTAATGGTACAACAGATAGTATTTAAGAGTATTACTTATGAAAAAACAGCCATTTATTTTCAAAACATGTTCATAAAGAAAATAACAATGCTTAAATCTTAATTCTATCTTCATGACTTTTGACAAATTTCTGAAGTCTCTTTTGTCTTCTCACAAATTAGTAAGTCGGAAGAGCATAATTAATACAGAGTGGATCTATCTTACAGTTTTGTCTAAAAAGGAAAGACCTTTATACTTCTATAAGAGGTTCTGATAGTCTCCTCATCTGTGCTGCCACTAACAGGAGATCTTGATAGCAAGATCTGTAAATAGCCTGAGAAACAATAAAAAATATATGGAAGCCACTGAGGCACTCTGGCACACTGTGGCATTCTTTGTGCCACTTGTCTCTTCGAGAACAAGACGGAGATTTTACAGAGATTTTTTTTGTTATCATGATACAGTTTTGGCAAGATTCATTACGTAGTGAAGATGTGAAGACTCCCATGACACAGTAAAGGCTTAAGAGTGGAAAAGTTAACTTACACTCCCACCAACAGTGTAAAAGCATTCCTATTCCTCCACAGCCCTGCTAGCATCTATTGTTCCCTGTTGTTTTAATAATCTCCATTCTGACTGGTGTGAGATGGTGTCTCATTGAGGTTTTGATTTGCATTTCTCTAATGATCAGTGATGTTGAGCTTTTTTTCATATGTATATTGGTGCATAAATGTCTTCTTTTGAGAAATGTGTTTATATCTTTTGCCCACTTTTTGATAGGGTTGTTTGTTTCCTTCTTGTAAATGTGTGTAAGTTCCTTGTAGATTCTGCATATTAGGCCTTTGTCAGATGGGTAGATTGCAAAAATTTTCTCCCATTCTGTAGGTTACCTGTTCACTCTGATGATGGTTTCTTTTGCTGTGCAGAAGCTCTTTAGTTTAATTAGATCCCATTTGACAATTTTGGCTTCTGTTGCAATTGCTTTTGGCGTTTTCATCATGAAGTCATTGCCCATGCCTATGTCCTGAATGGTACTGCCTAGGTTTTCTTCCAGGGTTTTTATGGCTTTGGGTTTTACATGTAAGTCTTTAACCCATGTTGAGTTAATTTTTATATAAGGTGTAACGAAGGGGACAGTGTGGTGATTCCTCAAGGATCTAAAACCAGAAATACCATTTACCCAGCAATCCTATAACTGGATATATACCCAAAGGAATATAAAGTACACATATACACGTATGTTTATTGCAGCACTATTTACAATAGCAAAGACATGGAACCAAACCAAATGTCCAGCAATGATAGACTGGATAAAGGAAATGTGGTACACATACACCACAGAATACTATACAGCCATAGAAAGGGATAAGATCATGTCTTTTGCAGGGACGTGGATGCAGCTGGAAGCCATCATCCTCAGCAAACTAACACAGGAACAGAAAACCATACACTGCATGTTCTCACTCACAAGTGGGAGTTGAGCAGTGAGAACACATGGACATAAGGAGGGGAACAGCACACCCCAGGGCCTGTTGTGGGGTGGTAGGGAGGGGAGGGAAGATAGATGATGGATCAGTAGTTGTAGCAAACCACAATGGCACAAGAATACCTATGTAACAAACCTGAAAATTCTGCACATGTATCCGGGAACTTAAAGTAAAAGAAAAAATAGAGTAGGAAAGCAAGAGACAGACAATATTGTCTCAAAAAATCTCAATAAGACTGGGTGCAATGTCTCATGCCTGTAATCCCAGCACTTTGGGAGGCCAAGGAGGGTGGATTGCTCGAGCCCAGGAGTTTGAGACCAGCCTGGGAAACCTGGCAAAACCCTGTCACTACAAAAAATACAAAATTTAGCCAGTTGTAGTGATGTGCACCTGTAGTCTCACCTACTCGAGAGGCTGAGGTGGGAGGATTGCTTAAGCCTGGGAAGTTGAGGCTGTGGCGAGCCAAGGTCCCACCATTGCACTCCAGCCTGGGCAACAGAGTGAGGCCCTATATATTAGTCTGTTCTTGCATTGCTTTAAAGAACTGCCTGAGACTGGGCAATTTATGAAGAAAAGAGACTTAATTGGCTCACGGTTCTAGAGGCTGTACAAGAGGCATGGCTGGGGAGGCCTCAAGAAACTTCCAATCATGGAGAAAGGCGAAGGGGAGGCAGGCATGTCTTAAGTGGTAGGAGCAGGAGAAAGAGAGTGAAAGGGGAGGTGCTGCATGCTTTTAAACAACCAGATCTCATGAGAATTAATTCACTATCACAAGAACTGCAAGGGGGAAATCTGCCCCCCATGATCTAATCACCTCCCACCAGGCTCCTCCTCCAAAACTGGGGATTACAATTTGATACAAGATTTGGCCCGGGACACAAATGCAAACCATATCACCCTGACAACAACCAAAAAAAAAAAGGTCAATAAAATGGAAGCTGAAAAGATAGAATAAATAAAATAAAAGGCAAAGCAAGGATTAGAGTTCTTAAAAACGTATAATTCCATAATCTATACATAAGATACATTTTGGAGATTCAGAATGTGTATTTGAGAAGCTTTCTGTATCCCTTTGGGGGTTCAAAAACAATAACCTCATATTATTAGTAGTTCAGAGACAAATAATTTTCTTTGTTTTAATGTGCTCCAGAGTAAGTCATATCTTTGATATTATTGTTTAACTTTACTGTTGTCTGGCCCATCTAAGAAAAATTGCCATGTTCTAGGTGGTAGAATAATAGATTGGGAGAATAAAGTGTTGCAATAAATAACTGATCATCAGCCCCCATAGAATTTGGTCATTTACCAAGCATTAATTCTCAAGCAAATCACAAGCATTAGGTTTATTCCGTTAAGCAACAATAATGATCGTGATCTCAAAATACTATTATAGGAATTAATGTAGCAGCACACTGCAAACCTCTCAAATGATAGGTTTTATGTAAGACCAAAAATAGTAATAATATGTTAAACACCTGAAAACTGCTCTTGGAGGTAAAAGACAGAATTTTCTGTATAAAAATAGCACTGTATTATGCTTTTTGAAGCTGCAATTTGGGAGGGTCAAATTTTATTTTCTCAGATGTTCCAATGACACAATTCTATGAAAAAAAATTAGATCTAGATATGAAATAGAGGACACCTGGAGACAGATGAATTGGAAAGCTAAATTCAAAATGAATCATTGAGCTAATGCATAAAAAGTATGGGTTTAAATGTTTTACTCATGCTTCCTTTGCTAATTGTATTTTCTTCCTGCTGCTGCTCTTATTGTCATGATGTTTTTAATACTAAATTTGTGTATAAAGAATGAGGCCTGTTACCTTTCCTGGTTAGAGTTCTTGGAGAACTGTGGCCCATATTTAGTTCAATGGTAAAAAGACAAAAGACTGGATGGTGCTCATGTACTTATCACTTGCTAAGCCACTTTTTATCAATCTAAGGAAAAATTGACAGGCTTGATCTGAGAATTAAGGTATCCTTTCCTCTTCCCCCTATAAGATCTTCTAAAGCAGACAAGTAGTCTTAAGATCTAGACTATGTTTGTAATTAAGGTCTATGTATTCATCATCAACTCCAAGTTTCAGTGGTATCATGTCTTCCAATTCTGAGGTTACATGAAAGAAAACAAAAATCATACTGTCATTAATAGATACTTGAAAAATCTGTGCTATAATGTGTAACATTTGTATTATCCCAAAGTAACATTAATTCTTAGAAACAAAATAATTGGGAAACTGAATATTTGAGGTAATTAAACTTACTGTCTAACTAGTCAACTAGTATAGTCAGTGTGACCAATGTCCCCTGTTCTTTACGTGGAAGATAGGACTGCGTTGCACTGGTGTTAAATCTACTGGAATTTTTTTAAAATAAATATTTGGTTTAATCTCCATTTTTATCTCCTTTTCCTCAAAAATTTTCAAAATAAGACATAGACAAAAATGTCTATCCAGAGTAAATGTTTTTATAAATTGAATTTTAGTTTGCATCTTCCTGCAATAAAAAAATCAAACAAGAGTCTTCAACTGTATTTGTTATTTTCAATTAGAAGAAATATTATGATGATCAAGTCAAGAGTTTAATATATATCCACACAGTTCCTGCAATTTAATTTAGTACAGCTATAATTAACATGCTATTATAATGCCCTGAAAGAGGTCAATCTACTCTCACAAGGGACCCAGACGTCTCTCAAATGCTTGAATAATGGAAAGCTAATACCCTGAGCAATCTATAAATTGATAGTTCTTTTTTATTATTTTTATCTTTGTCTTTATCTCCTTTTATACACCATTCTATACTAAATGCATAAGTGTTTCCTTACCCAAGTTTCACAGTTCTATTACATATGTTGTGAATTCCAACTCTTTATGATTTATCATAAGCATAAAATAATCTAAAACTGTGAACTAGAAGTTTAATATATCTTTCTTTCACACATGAAAAAATACGAAATGGTGCTTTTAGGAACTATAAGCCCATTATTTTGCACATAGTAAATGTTCCATATGTGCCTGTTGGTGATAAAAACTTCTAAAGTATTAATTGGTATCTACCTTAAATAATACATCTAAGAGTCTGAGAATATGTAAAACCCATGTGTTATTAATATTAACATGATTAATACATTAATATTATTATTACTAATATAACAAATTAAATATTATGAAAAATGTGAACTTGTTATATTCCTATCCTATTGATGCTTAACACATAATAGTTACTTAACTGTTTCTTAACAAGCGGGTAAACAAATGAGTTAATTGTTCACAAAATGTTAAAAGTGAAATACATTCACATATTCAGCAAAACATTTTTGTTGCAAACTCCATTTACTGGTTTTTTAAATCTATTTCAGTAAAAGATATTTTATCTGTCAGAGTCCCAGCAGAAAACAGGCAATGCCCTCATATAGGACAATTGCTTCATTTTTAAAAGAGATTTTTATAGTAGTGTAGTTAGAGTAGTTAGCATCAAGAACAGCCAACAGGAAATGATGCAGAACATGGACTAGCAATAGCAGAGAACCATGATTCCCAAGATCTGAAGACAAAAGGGAGCCAGTGATTCCTGGAACCCAGAAAGAAAATGTAAGGGTATCCCAAGAGAAACTGTGTAGCCTTCAATGCAGGGACACAGCTACTTCGTGACAGGGAAAGAGCTAGGGAATACACCCCCTGCCTGAATTCACCCTCCTCTCACTTTTCAGAGTTTCTGTTGGTACCTACCAATGGCTCAACCCTATCAGCAGCCAGACAACAAGGGGACCTGTGACGCAGGCCATAGAGGGCCATCTCATGGTGCACAGAGCAGTATGTAGGACTGTAGAAGATATCTCTAGAGGGGCAAACCAAAAACTGCCAGGACAGCTAAGATGAAAGCCACTTTAAACACTACATAATAAGGAAAAGATTTGCTTAGCCAATTAACCATAAAAATAAGATGTAAACAAGATAATTTAAAACATTTAAAGATAATTGATCATTTAAAGCATCTTTCTCCTTAGGAAACTATTATTTAGGGAAAAGAATCCTAATTCTAAATCATTATTCAAAATAAAACAATTCTCTCATGAAGCCTAATAATACCACACATTTTTTGTGTAATTATTATTATCACAAATACAGAAGAGAAATAAAACTGCTTTTTTAAATAAATGTTTTACAGTCCATAAATTTAATTAGTACAGATTCATTTCTCACTCAATTTACCTGAATTAGTGAAGGTTTAACATCCATCAAAAATATATAAAAGTAACCAATGTTATTCCTTTTAAAGCTGGTAGAATTTACCAAAAGATCCATAATGTTCAGTGATTATAATATATAAATATTTTAAACTTAAACTCTTAAGTCTCCTCACCAACCAAACAGATTCCTCCTTGGCCAAAGGAACACCCCCCCAACACACACACACACACACACACACACACACACACACACACACACACACCCTGAAAACTGAGTTTTCAGCTATGATAGGATGGGAGGTTAGACACACCTTATTATACCCTCTCCCTTTGTGGTTTAGACATAACCAGTGACCAACATTAATGATAAAATCAAGCTTATAAGATTGACAAAACAGACTCTTGGTGGCAATAAAATACCAAATTACAAACAGGACCTAAGTCCATGCCAGGCAAGAGATAGGTCACACACCCCTGCACTTAAAGAATCAACTATGCTCTAACTGCTACACGCGTTTTCTTTTTCTCTAGCAGCTAAACAAGCAATGCCCTCAAGATAAGCAATATTGAAATAATTTGCAGCTCCACTAGGTACTAACCGACCCCCCAGCCCCTCTTCCACAGCCATAACTACAGCTTTTATTGGACAAGAGAGTGATTTCAGCAACTTTCTCCTGATAAGACCATGGACTGTGGTTCTGGCTGGTGCAGAGATTGCACTCTCAAGCCTTCATGTCCTGAAAAGTCCTTTTCACATATAGGGTCTAATAGTAATGCATTTAATTGTTAAGTCTCCACCCCAAAGTGAACATGGGTCAAGTGTCAGGAACACCTCATGAATATTCATACTTCCTCCTGTAATCTGTTGAATATGCATGTTTGGCCAACCCTTTCAGTGTAAAGCTCCTACCCCAACCCCTCCTCCTTCCAATTACCTATCTCTGGGCTTCCTTCAGAGACTGTGCTTCCCAGGCTGCAGGATGGCTGTCTTGCAGGTTGTAACCCTTTATAAGAAAGAAAGTCTCCTTCTCTCTTTTTCTAAGTTTATATCTTTGATTTTTTTTTAAGTTAACATATCATATCATAATTTTTCAAAGAAAAAAATTATTTTGAGACAGGATCTCACTCTGTCACCCAGGCTGGAGTACAGTGGCAATCATAGCTCACTGAATCTTCGACCTTCCTGACTTAAGCAATCCTCCTACCTCAGACCCCAAGGAGCTAGGACTGCAGGTTTGTGTCACCACATCTGAGTAATTTTTATTGTTTATATTTTTAGAGGCGAGGGTCTCACTATGTTGCCCAGACTGGCCTCCAACTCCTGGTTTCAAGCAATCCTGCCTCCTTGGCCTCCCAAAGTGCCGAGATTTACAGGCATGAGCCACAGAGCCAAGCCTTTCAAAATTTTTTATCTGATTTCACAGTGCCCTGTCCTGATAATCTAGTAATCCTCAGCATGAACTCTTGGCTGTAGAAAAACTTCATCTTGGCCGGGCGCGGTGGCTCACGCCTGTAATCCCAGCACTTTGGGAGGCCGAGGCGGGTGGATCATGAGGTCAGGAGATCGAGACCATCCTGGCTAACAAGGTGAAACCCCGTCTCTACTAAAAATACAAAAAATTAGCCGGGCGCGGTGGCGGGCGCCTGTAGTCCCAGCTACTTGGGAGGCTGAGGCAGGAGAATGGCGTGAACCCGGCAGGCGGAGCTTGCAGTGAGCCGAGATTGCGCCACTGCAGTCCGCAGTCCGGCCTGGGCGACAGAGCGAGACTCCGTCTCAAAAAAAAAAAAAAAAAAAAAAAAAAAAAAGAAAAACTTCATCTTTTTTTTTTTTTTTCTCTGCTACCACACACCTGTCAATTCATCTGCCTGGAATGATCTCTCTGGAATTTTTCTCTACCTTACATCATTTTTCTATTTTAAAGCTCATCATTCTCACTCTGTTTATTTCAACCTACACAGGTTCTTTTCTTACATGTACTCCTATAATAGTCCACAACTTCTCGTGTATGTACATTCTCTACTGTATTGTTTTCCAACTTTTATTGTTACCTATATTATTAAATCTTCAGTCAGACGAGATGTTGCTTTAAGTGAAAAGAACTCTTACATTTTTTTGTAAACGTTCCACAACACCCCATTAATGCTAAACATATAGATATCTCATTTTGAATATTGCATTAATGAGGAAGTCATGCCTAGTTTATTTATTCTTTCATAATGATGTATGTGTTCAAGTAGCCTAATGAAAGCTTTTTTAAAAAAGTCATCTAAGAAATATAACACTAAAACATCTTACATTCTTTGAATTAGTAGTTTAAATAAAGTTTTGCTGTCTGGGCAGGGCGGCTCACATCTGTAAATCCAACACTTTGGGAGGCCGAAGAGGAAGGATCGCTTGAGGCCAAGGGTTCAAAACCAGCCTGGTCAACATAGTGCAACTCTTCCATCTCTATAAAAGAAAAATTTTAAGATTAGCCAGTGTGGTCGCATGTTGTGTCGTTCCATCTACTGGGGAGGCTGAGGCAGGAAGATCACTTGAGCCCAGGAGTTTAAGACTGCAGTGAGCCATGGTTGGGCCACTGTACCCAGCCTGGGCAATAAATAAATAAATAAATAAATAAATAAATAACGCATTTAACCTTAGTGAAGACTGAGAATTTCTATAGTAAAAAAATCTACTTAACTGTCTCAATAAATAAATAAACGTTCTCCAGAAGAACTGTGATACACTATGGGGAGTTATAAGATTCCCTGCAAGATAGGATTTTTTTTTATCTTAATGTGTTTTAGGGGCTACCAGGAGAAATCATTTAAGCACCTTGACCCCAAATGAAATACCACTCTCCCACTTCCTTTCTCTGGTGAACAAACTGTTCTCTACATTACCTGAAGTGTATAGGCTTTAAATATTAAACAACTGCTGCAACTTAGCTCTGACAGAGTAATTTGGATTTAGGCACAAATGTTGTGTTTGAAATGTTAAGAGCAGGATATCTTTTAGCAGCATGTTTTAAAAGGTCTGTGACCGTGTTTGTGTCTTGCCACTGCAGAGAGTCACAGCTTAGCTCAGGTGGCTCCGTAGATGAAAAGGTTCAGATGGCCAGTTCCCTGTTCATGCTGTTGCTCCAGCAGAGACTTGCTAAGAGCAGAGTTGACTCTCTTGAGACAGGCGATAAAGGTCTGTGGAAACCAGATGATGGGTAGGAACAATCCCACCCCACTCCACTATTTGCTGTTAGGCTAACACTTCTTTTTTTTTTTTTTTGGTTTATTATTATTATTATTATTATTATACTTCAAGTTTTAGGGTACATGTGCACAATGTGCAGGTTAGTTACATATGTATACACATGCCATGCTGGTGCGCTGCACCCACTAACTCATCATCTAACATTAGGTATATCTCCCAATGCTATCCCTCCCCCCTCCCCCAACCCCACAACAGTCCCCAGAGTGTGATGTTCCCCTTCCTGTGTCCATGTGTTCTCATTGTTCAATTCCCACCTAAGAGTGAGAATATGCTGTGTTTGGTTATTTGTTCTTGCAATAGTTTACTGAGAATGATGATTTCCAATTTCATCCATGTCCCTACAAAGGACATGAACTCATCCTTTTTTATGGCTGCATAGTATTCCATGGTGTATATGTGCCACATTTTCTTAATCCAGTCTATCATTGTTGGACATTTGGGTTGGTTCCAAGTCTTTGCTATTGTGAATAATGCCGCAATAAATATACGTGTGCATGTGTCTTTATAGCAGCATGATTTATAATCCTTTGGGTATATACCCAGTAATGGGATGGCTGGGTCAAATGGTATTTCTAGTTCTAGATCCCTGAGGAATTGCCACACTGACTTCCACAATGGTTGAACTAGTTTACAGTCCCACCAACAATATAAAAGTATTCCTATTTCTCCACATCCTCTCCAGCACCTGTTGTTTCCTGACTTTTTAATGATTGCCATTCTAACTGGTGTGAGATGGTATCTCATTGTGGTTTTGATTTGCATTTCTCTGATGGCCAGTGATGGTGAGCAGTTTTTCATTTGTCTTTTTGCTGCATAAATGTCTTCTTTTGAAAAGTGTCTGTTCATATCCTTTGCCCACTTTTTGATGGGGTTGTTTGTTTGTTTCTTGCAAATTTGTTTGAGTTCATTGTAGATTCTGGATATTAGCCCTTTATCAGATGAGCAGGTTGTGAAAATTTTCTCCCATTTTGTAGGTTGCCTGTTCACTCTGATGGTAGTTTCTTTTGCTGTGCAGAAGCTCTTTAGTTTAATTAGATCCCATTTGTCAATTTTGGCTTTTCTTGCCATTGCTTTTGGTGTTTTAGACATGAAGTCCTTGCCCATGCTTATGTCCTGAATGGTAATGCCTAGGTTTTCTTCTAGGGTTTTTATGGTTTTAAGTCTAACGTTTAAGTCTTTAATCCATCTTGAATTGATTTTTGTATAAGGTGTAAGGAAGGGATCCAGTTTCAGCTTTCTACATATGGCTAGCCAGTTTTCCCAGCACCATTTATTAAATAGGGAATCCTTTCCCCATTGCTTGTTTTTCTCAGGTTTGTCAAAGATTTGTAGATATGCGGCACTATTTCTGAGAGCTCTGTTCTGTTCCATTGATCTATATCTCTGTTTTGGTTCCAGTACCATGCTGTTTTGGTTACTATAGCCTTGTAGTATAGTTTGAAGTCAGGTAGCGTGATGCCTCCAGCTTTGTTCTTTTGGCTTAGGATTGACTTGGCGATTCAGGCTCTTTTTTGGTTCCATATGAACTTTAAAGTAGTTTTTTCCAATTCTGTGAAGAAAGTCATTGGTAGCTTGATGGGGATGGCATTGAATCTATAAATTACCTTGGGCAGTATGGCCATTTTCACGATATTGATTCTTCCTACCCATGAGCATGAAATGTTCTTCCATTTGTTTGTATCCTCTTTTATTTCCTTGAGCAATGGTTTGTAGTTCTCCTTGAAGAGGTCCTTCACATCCATTGTAAGTTGGATTCTTAGGTATTTTATTCTCTTTGAAGCAATTGTGAATGAGAGTTCACTCATGATTTGGCTCTCTGTTTGTCTGTTGTTGGTGTATAAGAATGCTTGTGATTTTTGTACATTGATTTTGTATCCTGAGACTTTGCTGAAGTTGCTTATCAGCTTAAGGAGATTTTGGGCTGAGACAATGGGGTTTTCTAGATATACAATCATGTCGTCTGCAAACAGGGACAATTTGACTTCCTCTTTTCCTAATTGAATACCCTTTATTTCCTTCGCCTGCCTGATTGCCCTGGCCAGAACTTCCAACACTGTGTTGAATAGGAGTGGCGAGAGAGGGCATCCCTGTCTTGTGCCAGTTTTCAAAGGGAATGCTTCCAGTTTTTGCCCAGTCAGTATGATATCAGCTGTGGGTTTGTCATAAATAGCTCTTATTATTTTGAGATATGTCCCATAAATACCTAATTTATTGAGAGTTTTTAGCATGAAGGGCTGTTAAATTTTGTCAAAGGCCTTTTCTGCATCTATTGAGATAATCATGTGGTTTTTGTCTTTGGTTCTGTTTATATGCTGGATTACATTTATTGATTTTCGTATATTGAACCAGCCTTGCATCCCAGGGATGAAGCCCACTTGATCATGGTGGATAAGCTTTTTGATGTGCTGCTGGATTCCATTTGCCAGTATTTTATTGAGGATTTTTGCATCAATGTACATCAAGGATATTGGTCTAAAATTCTCTTTTTTGGGTTGTGTCTCTTCCCAGCTTTGGTATCAGGATGATGCTGGCCTCATAAAACGAGTTAGGGAGGATTCCCTCTTTTTCTATTGATTGGAATAGTTTCAGAAGGAATGGTCCAGTTCCTCCTGGTACCTCTGGTAGAATTCGGCTGTGAATCCATCTGGTCCTGGACTTTTTTTGGTTGGTAAGCTATTGATTATTGCCACAATTTCAGCTCCTGTTATTGGTCTATTCAGAGATTCAACTTCTTCCTGGTTTAGTCTTGGGAAAGTGTATGTGTCCAGGAATGTATCCATTTCTTCTAGATTTTCTAGTTTATTTGCGTAGAGGTGTTTAGTATTCTCTGATGGTAGTTTGTATTTCTGTGGGATCGGTGGTGATATCCCCTTTATCATTTTTTATTGCATCTATTTTTCTTTCTTTTTTTCTTTATTAGTCTTGCTAGCAGTCTATCAATTTTGTTGATCCTTTCAAAAAACCAGCTCCTGGATTCATTAATTTTTTGAAGGGTTTTTTGTGTCTCTATTTCCTTCAGTTCTGCTCTGATTTTAGTTATTTCTTGCCTTCTGCTAGCTTTTGAATGTGTTTGCTCTTGCTTTTCTAGTTCTTTTAATTGTGATGTTAGGGTGTCAATTTTGGATCTTTCCTGCTTTCTCTTGTGGGCATTTAGTGCTATAAATTTCCCTCTACACACTGCTTTGAATGCATCCCAGAGATTCTGGTATGTTCTGTCTTTGTTCTCGTTGGTTTCAAAGAACATCTTTATTTCTGCCTTCATTTCATTATGTACCCAGTAGTCATTCAGGAGCAGGTTGTTCAGTTTCCATGTAGTTGAGCAGTTTTGAGTGAGATTCTTAATCCTGAGTTCTAGTTTGATTGCACTGTGGTCTGAGAGATAGTTTGTTATAATTTCTGTTCTTTTACATTTGCTGAGGAGAGCTTTACTTCCAACTATCTGGTCAATTTTGGAATAGGTGTGGTGTGGTGCTGAAAAAAATGTACATTCTGTTGATTTGGGGTGGAGAGTTCCGTAGCTGTCTGTTAGGTCTGCTTGGTGCAGAGCTGAGTTCAATTCCTGGGTATCCTTGTTGACTTTCTGTCTCATTGATCTGTCTAATGTTGACAGTGGGGTGTTAAAGTCTCCCATTATTAATGTGTGGGAGTCTAAGTCTCTTTGTAGGTCACTCAGGGCTTGCTTTATGAATCTGGGTGCTCCTGTATTGGGTGCATATATATTTAGGATAGTTAGCTCTTCTTGTTGAATTGATCCCTTTACCATTATGTAATGGCCTTCTTTGTCTCTTTTGATCTTTGTTGGTTTAAAGTCTGTTTTATCAGAGACTAGGATTGCAACCCCTGCCTTTTTTTGTTTTCCATTTGCTTGGTAGATCTTCCTCCATCCTTTTATTTTGAGCCTATGTGTGTCTCTGCACATGAGATGGGTTTCCTGAATACAGCACACTGCTGGGTCTTGATTCTTTATCCAATTTGCCAGTCTGTGTCTTTTAATTGGAGCATTTAGTCCATTTACGTTTAAAGTTAATATTGTTATGTGTGAATTTGATCCTGTCATTATGATGTTAGCTGGTTATTTTGCTCGTTAGTTGATGCAGTTTCTTCCTAGTCTCGATGGCCTTTACATTTTGGCATGATTTTGCAGCGGCTGGTACCGGTTGTTCCTTTCCATGTTTAGCGCTTCCTTCAAGAGCTCTTTTAGGGCAGGCCTGGTGGTGACAAAATCTCTCAGCATTTGCTTGTCTGTAAAGTATTTTATTTCTCCTTCACTTATGAAGCTTAGTTTGGCTGGATATGAAATTCTGGGTTGAAAATTCTTTTCTTTAAGAATGTTGAATATTGGCCCCCACTCTCTTCTGGCTTGTAGAGTTTCTGTTGAGAGATCCGCTGTTAGCCTGATGGGCTTCCCTTTGAGGATAACCTGACCTTTCTCTCTGGCTGCCCTTAACATTTTTTCCTTCATTTCAACTTTGGTGAATCTGACAGTTATGTGTCTTGGAGTTGCTCTTCTCGAGGAGTATCTTTGTGGCATTCTCTGTATTTCCTGAATCTGAATGTTGGCCTGCCTTGCTAGATTGGGGAAGTTCTCCTGGATAATATCCTGCAGAGTGTTTTCCAGCTTGGTTCCATTCTCCCCGTCACTTTCAGGTACACCAATCAGACGTTGATTTGGTCTTTTCACATAGTCCCATATTTCTTGGAGGCTTTGCTCGTTTCTTTTTATTCTTTTTTCTCTAAACTTCCCTTCTCGCTTCATTTCATTCATCTCATCTTCCATTGCTGATACCCTTTCTTCCAGTTAATCGCATCGGCTCCTGAGGCTTCTGCATTCTTCACGTAGTTCTCGAGCCTTGGTTTTCAGCTCCATCAGCTCCTTTAAGTACTTCTCTGTATTGGTTATTCTAGTTATACATTCTTCTAAATTTTTTTCAAAGTTTTCAACTTCTTTGCCTTTGGTTTGAATGTCCTCCCGTAGCTCGGAGTAATTTGATCATCTGAAGCCTTCGTCTCTCAGCTCATCAAAGTCATTCTCCATCCAGCTTTGTTCCGTTGCTGGTGAGGAACTGCGTTCCTTTGGAGGAGGAGAGGTGCTCTGCTTTTTAGAGTTTCCAGTTTTTCTGCTCTGTTTTTTCCCCATCTTTGTGGTTTTATCTACTTTTGGTCTTTGATGATGGTGATGTACAGATGGGTTTTTGGTGTGGATGTCCTTTCTGTTTGTTAGTTTTCCTTCTAACAGACAGGACCCTCAGCTGCAGGTCTGTTGGAGTAGTGCGCCGTGTGATGTGTCAGTGTGCCCCTGATGGGGGGTGCCTCCCAGTTAGGCTGCTCGGGGGTCAGGGGTCAGGGACCCACTTGAGGAGGCAGTCTGCCCGTTCTCAGATCTCCACCTGCGTGCTGGGAGAACCACTGCTCTCTTCAAAGCTGTCAGACAGGGACATTTAAGTCTGCAGAGGTTACTGCTGTCTTTTTGTTTGTCTGTGCTCTGCCCCCAGAGGTGGAGCCTAAAGAGGCAGGCAGGCCTCCTTGAGCTGTGGTGGGCTCCACCCAGTTCGAGCTTCCTGGCTGCTTTGTTTACCTACTCAAGCCTGGGCAATGGCGGGCGCCCCTCCCCCACCCTCGCTGCTGCCTTGCAGGTTGATCTCAGACTGCTGTGCTAGCAATCAGCGAGACTTCGTGAGCTTAGGACCCTCCGAGCCAGGTGCGGCATATAATCTGGTGCACTGTTTTTTAAGCCCGTCGGAAAAGCGCAGTATTCGGGTGGGAGTGACCCGATTTTCCAGGTGCCGTCTGTCACCCCTTTCTTTGACTAGGAAAGGGAACTCCCTGATCCCTTGCGCTTCCGGAGTGAGGCAATGCCTCGCCCTGCTTCGGCTCGCGCACGGTGCGCGCACCCCCTGTCCTGCGCCCACTGTCTGGCACTCCCTAGTGAGATGAACCCGGTACCTCAGATGGAAATGCAGAAATCACCCGTCTTCTGCGTCGCTCACGCTGGGAGCTGTAGACCTGAGCAGTTCCTATTCGGCCATCTTGGCTCCTCCTCTAGGCTAACACTTCTTTACTCGATATTTCACAAGTCTTCCTTTAAATGAGATTTTAAACAAATCTATTTGTTTGTGTGTCTTGAGAAATGCCGATGTCAGTAGATATAAAAAATAAAAAGAGGAAACATCTCACAACCATATAAATGCTGTGTGTGTGTGTGTGCGTGTGTGCGTGCGTGTGTGTGTGTGTGTGTGTTTATAATGCATTTACCTTAGTGAAGACTGAGAATTTCTATAGTAAAAAAATCTATTTAACTTCGATTAACCTAGGGTTTTTCCAACTAATTTGAGGTTGGTGGTTTTTTTTCTCAGAATATCTGTAAACATTTCTTAGTATCTTAGTGTTTCGTAAGACACATTTAAGAAGAACTGATGGCCGGGCACGGTGGCTCACGCCTGTAATCCCAGCACTTTGGGAGTCCGAGGCGGGCCGATCACAAGGTCAGGTGGTCGAGACCAGCCTGGCCAACATTGTGAAACCCTGTCTCTACTAAAAATACAAAAATTAGCCTGGCGTTGTGGCACACGCCTGTAGTCCCAGCTACTCGGGAGGCTGAGGCAGGAGAATTGCTTGAACCCGGGAGGCGGAGATTGTAGCAGGCCGAGATCACACCACTGCACACCAGTCTGGGCGACAGTGTAAGACTTCATGTCAAAAAAAAAAAAAAAAAAAAGAAGAAGCACTGATAAAGCATAACAAGATTTAACTACTTTGTATCATATTGGAACTATGACCCAGATCTAATAATATTTATAAAAGCATTTACCTATATCCCTTTTTCTAATTAAACATTTTAGTAGTCTCTCTTCTTATATTCATATTCTTTATAAATTTTCTTCATTAAATTGAAGGGTGATAGATAAGAATTACTCCTTACTTTTATTAAAGAATAATTTTAAAAGGCAACGTTGTAATTCTCATACAAATTGTGTTCAAGATCTTATCTCATTAAAATGAACATGTGTTCAAGATCTTATTTAACTCATAATTAATGAGTGAACCAGTAAGATGTTGCAACCAGTTCAAAGAATTCAAAAGATACACACGTAAAAGTAATCAGGAATGTTGAAAAAATAGCGTCTCCACTGGGAACAATTCATTGGCATTTTTATCGAAGAAAATCATTTGTATTACTAATTTTTCTACAATTTACATAGCCACAAAATGGCTTAAAGACAGGGAAAGGTAGAGATAACCCAGAAAGGTACAGGGCACCCAGTAATCACTTTTTGCCCATTTCAAAGTATTTCACAATTTTACTGACAGTTTCAATGTAAAACAACCTCACTGAATTTTATTATTATTTATAATAATAATAATATTTGTATTTATTACCCTTCTTAAAACCTACATTCTGTCTGCTGAGTGCTTATATTATTGAGTAGTTACTGTATACCTAATACTGGTACTATGGTTTGGATATTGTTTGCTTGTTTCACCAAATCTCATGTTGAAATTTGATCCCCAGTGGGGAGTGTTGGGAAGTCTTAGTGGGAGGTGTTTGGGTCATAGAGGCAGATCCCTCACAAATGGCTTGGTGCCCTTTTCACAGTAGTGTGTTTGTTCTTGCTCTCACAAGACTGGATTGGCTCTAGGGACTAGATTAGTTTGCCCAAGAGTAGATTGATATAAGGCCAGGTTGTCCCTTGGATTTGGTCCCTCTTTGCCAGGGCCCACTTTCCCTTTGACCTTCTCCATCATTTTTAGATGCAGCATGAAAAGCCCTCACCAGAAGCTAAGCAGACGCTGGTGTCATGCTTCTTGTACAGCCTGCAGAACCATGGGCTAAGTAAACCTCTCTTTTTTAAATTACCCAGCTTCAGATATTCCCTTATGGAAACACAAAATGGACTAAGACACTATGCTAAATGCTTGCATGTATTAGTTCCCTTAAACCTTACAAGCAGGATAATATTGTATTGCCAGATGATGCTAAGACTCAGAGTGATGTAAGTGTTCAAGATCACACAGAAAATAAGAAGTGATACTCAGTTTGAGAAACCGATTTCATACTCTTGACCAATCTGTCAACCTGGATGTAGTGCTTAACCTATGTCTTACATATAGCAAAACAAATTCACCTAAAGTTTAGCATGGACATCAATCTTATTGAGAAAACATGCCTCAACAACAACCTGATAACCTATCCATTTCCAGACCTTAGCTCTCTCTTAAGACAAATACTTACATCTTCAACTACCTCTTTAACATCTTCATGTGGATGTCTAATGAACATCTGGTTTTCCTCAGCCTCGTATCCTATCCATCAACAAATTTCAACATCTCTTTTTCCAAAATTTATTTCAATCTCATCTACTCTTCTCTGTCTTCATTGCTACTTTTCTGGTTTGCTCAATCATTATTTCTCTCCATTAGTAGTCAGATCGTATCTAGACGATGGTAAAATAATGGACCAAAACAAAACTCTTTTATTGTTTTTAATTGTTTTGGGTTATTTGTTTACATTGCCCAAGCAGCCAGTTGAAAATGAAAAATTTAGTCAAATAATTTTTTCATTGGGTTTATTCAAATTCAAATAATGGCTTTATTTATTGATTGAATAATGGCTAGTATGATTGCTTTTGTCAAACAGATTGACTCAACTAGTTATCTGGAATACCAGTTCCCTAAATTTAGGAACAATATCTTATTCCTAATGTCTTTTTATTTGAATCTCCAAGCTTAAAGCCAAGCATATAGTGGGACTTTCATCAAATCACATTGATTAAATGAAATGCTATATTAGATGCAGGTCCAGTTGATTGTTTCTTCTGCTTCATGGTACATCTAATCAATTATAATATGTATAAGTCAGCCATTACAACCAATGAAAAAGAAATTTCAAGGGCTAATTTAGTTGTTTTTTTCAGGCAGTTGCAGATGTTAGGACCTACATGGTAGGTAATTTTAGATAATTAAAAAGCTAATTCACTATAGCCAAGAATTGCAAGATCTAATTTGTAACATTCATGATGGAATATTTAAGTATAGTGTTTTATTAAATAATGGATGAACTTCAAGGATAGTGAGGGTTGACACACTTTTAGTGAGACTGCCTACTTAAAAGTAGATGTTTATAAAAAATTAAATTTCTATTTTTACAAAATAATTGACTCATGGAGATTCAAATCGATATTTTGATCCATTGACTATGGGGTCATAAGATTTCTTCAAGATATTTTGGTACATTTTTTAAATATTCCAGAAAAAGACATCAACTCTTCATAAAATAAGAATGAAGCTGTCAATATTATAATGTAAGAGATGATAAATAAACTTCAAAATTTATTTTAATTTTAAAGGAAAAACTGAGATCATAAATTAAGTCAAGGTTCAAGGCAAAGAGTATCAGGGCTGGGACCCAGAATCCAGGAACAAGGTGACAGCATGGAGCAAGGATGAAGCCAGAAAAGCCGAGTGGTATCAGTTCTTATGTTCCAAACCAAAAGGCACAACATATGATACAACAAATCTAAGTGTACCTCATGGGGCACAGCAGGACGGCATTTTGGGTCTGGATTGTTCTGAAAGATCTGAATATATGGCTGTCCTAAGAACAAAATCAACATATCAAGATAGTAACAGCTAAAGTTAAATCAACAAAAGTCTGCAATTTGTATCAAGGGCACTGATAATAGCAGTCTTATCTTCCAAATGAAGTCTTCTAGAAAGTAAGAAATCTAGAAAGATTACTCATCCTTTATCACGCATTATCCACATTTAAAAGATCAGCCTTGACAGCCACTCAATCACTGAGAGCAATTTTATTTAATTTGTAGTAATAAAGAGCATTAACTGATGAAGACACTAAACAATTGATCTAATAGGAATATATGATTCTAGCAACTAAAATTAAATTTGCATAAAATATTTTATTACTGTATAAAATGAAGTCTCATTGTATTAAATGATAACAACCTGACTCAAAGCAATTGATGACAGCAGTAGGAATAATACCTACATTTATCTGGTCATTGTTATGGGCCGAGCACTATGGTACGTATGTTATCTGATTTATTTTTTAAAGTAGCCCTACTCTTATGAGGAAAATAATGCTCAAAGAAGTTAAACAACTTTGCCAAAGTCACATGTCTGTTAAATGATGACTGAAATAGATGAATGCATGTAAAATTGGGACAGTTCTGCAGAAACTGGGATATGGTGGTTGTCCTAGGAAAAAGGCCACATAACAAATTTTCTTTCCAAGGGATAGTGTGAGAAATCAAATTATACCAACTTAGGCCCTTTGACTTTTTATAACCAATAAGATTTTAAGAAAACAAAAGATTACTAAAATGATAGGGTTTTTTTTGCTCAACAAAGTCATTATATATGATCACTGTAAGTCTAACACTTTAATTGGCTTACAATGATACAGAAAATTCTTTCTTAAAAGACCACAAAACCTTCAATGACTGCTACTGTGTCTGGGTCCATTCCTTTCCCAAACACCTGCAACAGCCTCAGCCCACAACATCTACCCACCATTGTCCCCTCTTCTCCTTCATTAACTTCCACCTACAGACATGTCTGATAGCCTTTTCTCACCAACAGGAAAATGAATAACCAAAGAAAGAATAGGACTCATAGCATGTTATATCCCCAGAGACCCAAAATAGTAAATCCTTAATAAATAAGTTTTAAAGACAACCAAAAGAAAAAGTAATGCAAAGAGAAATAAGTGAGATGGGAAGAAGATTGAGAAGGAAAGAAAGAGGGAAGGAAAGAAAGAGGGAAGGAAGGAAAAAAGGGAAGCACTACATTTTCCATTAAAAATAAAAATGCATCTTAAATTGTTAAAACAGCTCTTTAAGATAACTTTTCTATGCATATTTCTAAGGGCAAATATCAATAAAATCAATTCATATCTAAAGTTAATAAATAAAATATTAATTTGTAACATAGTTTATATTATAAAGATTTCATTCAAAATCTAAAGAAATGTAAAGATTTAATGCAGAATGCAGAATGACATCAAATCTAATGGGAGATATTATAATATTTGTAAAAAAAAATTGTGGTTTTTTTCGTGGTTTTTTTTTTTTTTTTTTTAGACAGAGTCTCGCTCTGTAGCCCAGGCTGGAGTGCAGTGGTGCGATCTCAGCTCACTGCTACCTTCACCTCCCAGGTCCCGGTTCAAGCAATTGTCCTGCCTCAACCTCCCAAGTAGCTGGGATTACAGGCATGCACCGCCATGCCTAGCTAATTTTATTTTATTTTATTTTTTTAGTAGAGACAGGGTTTCACCATGTTGGCCAGCCTGCTCTTGACTGACCTCGTGATCCAACTGCTTCGGCCTCCCAAAGTGCTGCGATTATAGGCATGAGCCACCATGCCTGGCCTTGTTTTGTAATTTTAAACTGATTTGTGTGACCTTGGCAGCTTTGACTAAATATATTCTCATTTGAATTAACAATTGTCTTTTAATGATATGTGGAACTTTACATAGTATTAAAAGATTCTTTAAAATTGAGTCTTTGTGTATCTGGTTTTAGCTTGATAGCATGCAAAACATGAAATACAATGATCGATCTTTATAACAAGGAGTTATAAATAGAAAACTGTTCTTAATTAGCACGTAAAATTTGATTAAATTTAAATTAAAATTTAATGTTTAAATTATACACAGCCATTCTGCTTAGATTATGAATTATAAGAACTTAATAAAGACAATATTATATTAGGTTGGTGCAAACATAATTGCGGTTTTTGCATTGTTGAAATTTGCCATTTGATATTGGAATACATTCTTAAATAAATGTGGTTATATTATAAATCATTTTAATACATATTTCTCACTTTATGGCTTTTTTGATAATGACTTGTTATTTGCTATTTATTTTGTGTTTATTTTACAGTATGGAAATAATGTTAGACAAAAAGCAAATTCGAGTGATTGGTGTTCAAAATGGGTCATAAAGCAGCGGAGACAACTCACAATATCAACAACGTGTTTGGCCCAGGAACTGCTAACGAATGTACAGTGCAGTGGTCATTCAAGAAGTTTTGCAAAGGAGACAAAAGCCTTGAAGATGAGGAGCATAATAGCCAGCCATCGGAAGTTGACAACGACCAATTGAGAGCAATCATCAAAGCTGATCCTCTTACAACTACATGAGCAGTTGCCGAAGAAGTCAATGTTGACCATTCTACAGTAGTTCGCCATTTGAAGCAAATTGGAAAGGTGAAAAAGCTCAATAAGTGGGTGCCTTATGAGCTGAGGGAGAATCCAAAAAAATCTTCTTTTTGAAGTGTCGTCTTCTCTTATTCTATGCAACAATAATGAACCATTTCTCAATTGGATTGTGACATGCCATGAAAAGTGGATTTTATATGACAACCCGCTCAGTTGTTAGACCAAGAAGAAGCTCCAAAGCCCTTCCCAAAGCCAAACTTGCATCAAAAAAAAAGTCACAGTCACTTTTTGGTAGTCTGCTGCTAGTCTGATCCACTACAGCTTTCTGAATCCTGGAGAAACTATTACATCTGAGAAGTATGCTCAGCAAATCAATGAGATGCACTGAAAACTGCAATGCCTGCAGCTGGCATTGGTCAACAGAAAGGGCCCAATTCTTCACAAAGCCTGACCACACGTCAAGCAACCAATGCTTCAAAAGTTGAATGAATTGGGCTACGAAGTTTTGCCTCATTTGCCATATCCACCTAACTTCTTGCCAACTAACTACCACTTCTTCAAGCATCTCGACAACTTTTTGCAGGGCAAACACTTCCACAACGAGCAGGATACAGAAAATGCTTTCTGAGTATTCGTCGAATCCTGAGGCACAGATTTTTACCCTACCGCGATAAAGAAACTTATTTCTTGTTGGCAAAAATGTGTTGATTGTAATGGCTCCTATTTTGATTTTGATTAATAAAGGTGTGTTTGAGCCTAGTTATAATGATTTAAAATTCACAGTCCAAAACTGCAATTACTTTTGCACCAACCTAATATGTTTAATTTTAACAGTTTTATCATAGAATAATAAATACCATAAAAGACTACATGTCTAAAGTACACAATTTTATAAGCTTTGACCTATGTATACAGCCATAAAATCATCACCATAATCAAATAAATGAATATATCTATCATACCCCAAAGTTTCCACACTTTCCTTGAAATCCTTCCTTCCCACCACTCTTCTTTATCCCCTCATTATCATTGATCTGCTATCATCATAGATTTTTTTGCATTTTCTGGAGTTTTATATAAATGAAATCATACAGTAAGGGCTTTTTTCCTAGCATTTTTCATTCAGCTTAATCAATGTGAAGTGTGTCCATGTTATTGCACATCCACCTTTCAAATTGCTAAATATTATTTCATTGTATGGATATGCCACAATTTGCTTATGCATCCACTTGTTGATAAACATTTTGTTTCTAATTTTAGTGTAATAAAAATAAAGCTGCTATGAGCATCCTTGTACAAATCCTTATGTTCATATGTGTTTTTTAAAAACTTTGGTTACTACATAGCAAAGACATGGCAAAAACATATGAAAGGTGTATGATTAGCTTCTTAAGAAACTGCAAAGCCTTTTTCCAAAATGCTTGTACCATTGTACACTCCCACCAGCAGTGTATGAGAGATCCAATTGCTCTGACATCGTCACTAACATTTGGTATGGTGAATCCTTAGAGATTCTAATAGGGATGTAATGTCATCTCATTGTGGTTTTCGTTTGCAGTCCCCTAATGGCTAATGAGCATCTCTTTATGCCATCCCTTTATGTGTTTGTCTGCCACCCATTGTCTTCTTTGTGTCTGAATAAAGTTCTACCCATCTTTCCTTATTATTGAGTTTTAAGAGTTATTTATCTATTCTTTATAGAAACCCTTTGTCAGTTATATGTCTTGCAAATATTTTCTGCCAATCTGTGGCTTTTCTTTTCATCTTAAGTGTCTTTAAAAAACAGATATTTTTAGTTTTAATGAAGCCTAATTTATCAATTTTGTTTTCTTTCACAGCTTGCACTTTTGGTGTTATAGCTAGAAATTTTTAGTTTATTTTGTAATAAAAAAAGATTGAAGTTCATTTTTTGCATTTTTTCAACATCATTTGTTGATATCTTTAATGTATTTCATATTACAGATCATTATGATGAGTTCAGGTTAATAAGGAAAACTTCTAGCAATTTTTTAAATTAAATATATATATACACACATATATACACACACACACACACACACATATATATACACACATAGCTACAGAATAACATTTACCTGGTATTTTTTCTCTTATTCCATATATTCTTCCCTGAAAGTTCATTTGAAAATAGACAGTAATAAAGTCATAAAGTTAGATAAATGTTTTATGTAAATATATCCCAAAATATTTAAATAATTATATAGCTCATTATTTTATGGCCCAGATTTAATTATTAAAAGTAACGTATTAAGTCCAGAGTGTACAAATTAGAAAAGTTAAGAATCAATTGTTGACTTTTTAATAGTGCAAACCAACTTGACCAACTTCCAGGGCATATTTCTATTTCAAAGTTGCTCTTTCCTTTTACCCTTTCTGATGGCAAACAGAGAAATGGAAACTACATGCAGGGATGGGTTCCTGGGTGATCTTAAGGGGCAGAGCTCCCTATCTGCTTTTATGCCCTCCTGTGCATGAACCAGTACGTAAGATAAATATTTGTCCCATCTCATTTGAGACCTTTAGTCTCTATTAGAGCATCTTGGTCTATTCTCCATCATGAAAATTGATACTGGATATTTGGCACTTCCCTAAATAAAACAAAATATATGGCAACAGTGTAATAGTGTGGGCAGGAAGCTGGTGACTTCATTATGGTCATGCTATAATGAAAATTTGCAAAACTATTACATTGAAAACTTAGAAGATAGGCCTGATACACTAAGGCCATGGCCCTAGCAACATAGTTTAACAATGTCTGGGTATTGGTGCATGCTGTTCACTGTCTATGCCATGTAACAAGTGCTGAAAAAGAGAGAAGTAGATAATAACAGCTTCACGTTTCCCAAGCAGAGAACCAAAGAAAGGAACTTTGGCTAGGGGGAGTTCTCTGTCAATTTGCTGAGTGGTTTCAAATGTGAGCCAGTCAGGGGCAAAAGCAGTTTAAGAGTTGTCTTCTCACCAATGCCTAAAGTTTCAAATGTCCTCAAAGTAGCGAGGGTTAAATTAAGGAAAACAGAGATGGTCAAGAACAGCAACCGATGAATAAATGAGAGTCTATATACCAAGAAACCTAGATAGGAAGAATTTTTGACCGTGTTATTCTCAAATTAAACTAACTGGAAGCACTTCACTAAAAGCCTGTATGTTGGAGACAAGTCAGTACTAAAGAGCATGTCTTTCTGGGCCCAAGTCAGTATCACAGCCTGCTTCCCTAGGGGCAGAGGCTAGGAGCCCTGGTGAATGACTTAGGGGTCAATAAATCACCCCCTAACACTTTGGCCACACATGCTTGTGGCTTCTCTTCTTTAGCAATGAAAGTACCTCAAAATCTTGGTAAGAAAAATCTCCCAAAAACAAACCTGGGAGTCAAAGAGAATAATAAACAAGGCAATTCCTCAGAGAGTGGATCCAGGGTAAGAACAAGGAATTTTCTTTTTTTTTTTTAAATTTTATTATTATTATACTTTAAGTTTTAGGGTACATGTGCACAATGTGCAGGTTAGATACATATGTATACATGTGCCATGCTGGTGTGCTGCACCCATTAACTCGTCATTTAGCATTAGGTATATCTCCTGAAGCTATCCCTCCCCCCTCCCCCCTCCCCCCACCCCACAACAGTCCCCAGAGTGTGATGTTCCCCTTCCTGTGTCCATGTATTCTCATTAGAACAAGGAATTTTCTACATGGTCACAACAAAATCTTTACAATGTCTGACCTACAGAACTCCACTATTGCAATAGACCAGTGTATTAATCCATTCTCACACTGCTATAAAGAACTGCCCAAGACTGGATAATTTATAAATAAAATAGGTTTAATTAACTCACAGTCCCACATGGCTGGTGAGGCCTCAGGAAACTTACAATCATGGTGAAAGGGGAACAGGCACATCTTTCTTACATGGCAGCAGGTGAGAGAGAGTGAGTGTGTGAAGGAGGAGCAATCAGACATTTATAAAAACATCATATCTCATGAGAACTCACTTAGTATTACAAGAACAGCATGGGGGACACTGCCTTCATCATCTCATCACCTCCCACCTGTCTCTCAACAAGTGGGGAAGATGAGATTTGGTTGGAAACACAAAGCCTAACAATATCAACCAGTGACTTCTGTGTCTTTCCCCATCTTCCATTTGCCAAATAAAAAAATTTATTGAGACTATTTCAATCATATTTGACTGTTCTTTATTGAATGTGGCCCAAGAGGTCAAAAAATGATTTTCTTATAGATCACTGGACATCAAGGACCCACTTGTGAACATGGTGGAATGCACAGCACATGACTCACAGATCCTGCACTTCGGGTCGGATACAGTAACTCCATGGGACTTTGGTCTTTCTTGCTTGGGGTTCAGGTTAGTGTGACTTCTGTGAGAAGAAGGATGCACAACACAGATTGGGCCACAGCTGTGGACTTGGGCAACAGCAGTTGTCTGTTAAATTCTATTCTTCTTTTCTTCCTTTAACAGAACTATCCCTTGAGTTGTAGTTGGGCAAGTGGCTGGATTTTCCAGCCTAACTTATATCAATTTCCTTTATTCCTATAAATGTCAAGTTTATTTATTGCACTTAAATAAACATTAAGATACCATTCTCAAAGGACCACCAAAGCAGAAATGGTTGATATATGAAGCTGTTTGCCAGCATGGTAGAATGAAAAGTAGAAAAATTATTTGGGTCAGGCTGAAATAATAACATGTAAAAAAAGACAACTGTTTATCTGACAGTATTCAACAAATAATTCTCCATTTAATTTCTCTTTGAAACAATCACCTTAATAATATTATTGCATTGGCCTTGATAAGTGTGAGCACTGGTCATATTTGTGTAAATAATGGTCACTTAGAGATCTGAAAAAATGTGGCTTTCTCAACATATCTAAATATATGTTAGATCTGGTTTAATGTGTGTATATGTATGCATATATATATTAGAGTTATATACATTAAAAGTGGGTATGTATACTAGAGTTGGAATTGTTGTTTGAAAGCTAACAAAATTTTAACTAGAAAAAGATAGTTAATATCTAATCATAGTTGACATGTCAATTAAAATAAGTTATTATGAAAGTGGAAAAAGGTGATTTCAAGTTGATTCATAAGAACTCGCCCAGCAACTAAGATTGTATGATTTCCTCTTTTGAAAAAACATTGAGGTTCCAAGATGGCTGAATAGGAACAGCTCTGGTCTGCAGCTCCCAGCGTGATCGACACAGAAGACAGGTGACTTCTGCATTTCCAACCTGGTTCATCTCATTGGGACTGGTTGGACAGTGGGTGCAGCCCACAGAGGATGAGCTGAAGCAGGGTGGGGCATCGCCTCACTAGGAAGCACAAGGGGTCGGGGGATTTCCCTTTCCTAGACAAGGGGACCTGTGACAGACCATACCTGGAAAAACAGGACACTCCCGCCCAAATACAGTGCTTTTCTAATGGACTTAGCAAATGGCACACCAGGAGATTATATCCCACACCTGGCTCGCTGGGTCCCAGGCCCACAGAGCCTTACTCACTGCTAGCGTAGCCATCTGAGATCGACCTTAGAGGCAGCAGCCTGGCGGGGGAGGGGCGTCTGCCATTGCTGAGGCATGAGTAGGTAAACAAAGTGGACAGGGATGCTCGAACTGGGCAGAGCCCAAAGCAGCTCAGCAAAGCCTGCTGCCTCTGTAGACTCCACCTCCAAGGACATGGCATAGCTGAAAAAAAGGCAGCAGAAACTTCTGCAGACTTAAACGTCCCTGTCTGACAGCTCTGAAGAGAGCATTGATTCTCCCAGCATGGTGTTTGAGCTTGGAGAATGGACAGACTGCCTCCTCAAGTGGGTCCCTGACCCCCATGTAGCCTAACTGGGAGACACCTCCCAGTAGGGGCCAACTGACAACTCATACAGGTGGGTGCCTCTCTAGGACGAAGGATACAGAGGAATGATCAGGCAGCAATATTTGCTGTTCGGCAATATTTGCTGTTCTGCAGCCTCCACTGGTGATACCCAGGCAAACAGCATCTGGAGTGGACCTCCAGCAAATTCCAACAGACCTGCAGCTGAGGGACCTCACTGCTAGAAGGAAAACTAACAAACAGAAAGGAGTAGCATCAACATTGCTGGTCTGCAATATTTGCTGTTCTGCAGCCTCCACTAAAAACCTTGAAAAAAGATTAGATGAATGGCTAACTAAAATAAACAGTGTAGAGAAGACCTTAAATGACTTGATGGAGCTGAAAACCGTAGCACGAGAACTACGTGACACATGCACAAGCTTCAATAGCTGATTCAATCAAGTGAAATAAAGGGTATCAGTGACTGAAGATCAAACTAATGAAATAAAGCAAGAAGGCAAGTTTAGAGAAAAAGAGTAAAAGGAAATGAACAAAGCCTCCAAGAAATATGGGACTATGTGAAAAGACCAAATCTACATTTGATTGAAGTACCTGAAAGTGACAGGGAGAATGGAATCAAGTTAGAAAACACTCTTCAGGATATTATCCAGGAGAACTTCCCCAATCTAAGAAGGCAGTCCAACATTCAAATTCAGGAAATATGAAGAACACCACAAAGATACTCTTCACGAACAGCAACCCCAATACACATAATTGTCAGATCCACCAAGGTTGAAATGCAGGAAAAAATGTTAAGGGCAGCCAGAGAGAAAGGTCAGGTTACCCACAAAGGGAAGCCCATCGGACTAACAGCACATCTCTCAACAGAAACTCTACAAGCCAGAAGAGAGTGGGGGCCAATATTCAACATTCTTAAAGAAAAGAATTTTCAACCCAGAATTTCATATCCAGCCAAACTAAGTTTCATAAATGAAGGAGAAATAAAATCCTTTACAGACAAGCAAATGCTAAGAGATTTTGCCACCACCAAGCCTGCCTTACAAGAGCTCCTGAAGGAAGCACTCAACATGGAAAGGAACAACTGGTACCAGCCACTGCAAAAACATGCCAAATTGTAAAGAACATCAATGCTAGAAAGAAACTGCATCAACTAACGGGCAAAATAACCAGCTAATATCATATTGACAGGATCAAATTCACACATAACAATATTAACCTTAAATGTAAATGGGCTAAATGCCCCAATTAAAATACATCAACTGGATGAACACTCAAGACCCATCAGTGTCCTGTATTCAGGAGACCCATCTCATGTGCAGAAACACACATAGGCTCAAAACAAAGGGATGGAGGAAGATCTACCAAGCAAGTGGAAAGAAAAAAAAGCAGGGGTTGTAATCCTAGTCTCTGATAAAACAGAATTTAAAGCAACAAAGATCAAAAGAGACAAAGAAAGTCATTACATAATGGTAAAGGGATCAATTCAACAAGAAGAGCTAACTATCCTAAATATATATGCACCCAATACAGGAGCACTTAGATTCATAAAGCAAGTCCTTAGAGACCTACAAAGAGACTTAGACTCCCACACAACAATAATGGGAGATTTAACACCCTACTGTCAATATTAAACAGATGAAAGAGACAGAAGGTTAACAAGTACATCCAGGACTTGAAGTCAGCTCTGCACCAAGCAGACCTCATCAACATCTACAGACCTCTCCACCCGAAATCAACAGAATATATATTCTTGTCAGCAACACATTGCACTTATTCCAAAATTGACCACACAGTTAGAAGTAAAGCACTCCTCAGCAAATGTAAAAGAACAGAAATCACAACAAACTGTCTCTCAGACAGACCACAGTGCAATCAAATTAGAACTCAGGATTAAAAAACTCACTCAAAACTGCACAACTACATGGAAACTGAACAACCTGCTCCTGAAAGACTAACTGGATAAATAATGAAATGAAGGCACAAATAAAGATGTTCTTTGAAACCATTGAGAACAAAGACATACGTACCAGAATCTCTGAGACACATTTAAAGCAGTGTGTAGAGGGAAATTTATATCACTAAATGCCCGCAAGAAAAATTAATAAATGGTGCTGGGAAAACTGGCTAGCCATATGTAGAAAGCTGAAACTGGATCCCTTCCTTACACCTTATACAAAAATCAATTCAAGATGGATTAAAGACTTAAACTTTAGACCTAAAACCATAAAATCCCTAGAAGAAAACCTAGGCATTACCATTCAGGACATAGGCATGGGCAAGGACGTCATGTCTAAAACACCAAAAGCAATGGCAACAAAAGCCAAAATTGACAAATGGGATCTAATTAAACTAAAGAGCTTCTGCACAGCAAAAGAAACTACCATCAGAGTGAACAGGCAACCTACAACATGGGAGAAAATTTTCACAACCTACTCATCTGACAAAAGGGCTAATATCCAGAATCTACAATTAATTCAAACAAATTTACAAGAAAAAAAAAACAACCCCATCGAAAAGTGGGCGAAGGACATGAACAGACACTTCTCAAAAGAAGACATTTAGGCAGCCAAAAAACACATGAAAAAATGCTCATCATCACTGGCCATCAGAGAAATGCAAATCGAAACCACAATGAGATACAATCTCACACCAGTTAGAATGGCAATCATTAAAAAGTCAGGAAACAACAGGTGCTGGAGAGGATGTGGAGAAATAGGAACACTTTTACACTGTTGGTGGGACTGTAAACTAGTTCAACCATTGTGGAAATCAGTGTGGCGATTCCTCAGGGATCTAGAACTAGAAATACCATTTGACCCAGCAATCCCATTACTGGGTATATACCCAAAGGACTATTAATCATGCTGCTATAAAGACACATGCACATGTATGTTTATTGCGGCACTATTCACAATAGCAAAGACTTGGAACCAACCCAAATGTCCAACAATGATAGACTGGATTAAGAAAATGTGGCACATATACACCATGGAATACTATGCAGCCATAAAAATTGATGAGTTCATGTCCTTTGTAGGGACATGGATGAAATTGGAAATCATCATTCTCAGTAAACTATTGTAAGAACAAAAAACCAAACACAGCATATTCTCACTCATAGGTGGGAATTGAACAATGAGAACACATGGACACAGGAAGGGGAACATCACACTCTGTGGACTGTTGTGGGGTGGGGGGAGGCGGGAGAGATAGCATTAGGAGATATACCTAATGCTAAATGACGAATTAATGGGTGCAGCACACCAGCATGGCACATGTATACATATGTAACTAACCTGCACATTGTGCACATGTACCCTAAAACTTAAAGTATAATAATAATAAAATTTAAAAAAAGCAGGAAAGATCTAAAATGAACACCCTAACATCACAATTAAAAGAACTAGAGAAGCAAGAGCAAACAAATTCAAAAGCTAGCAGAAGGTAAGAAATGACTAAGATCAGAGCAGAACTGAAGGAGATAGAGACACAAAAAAACCCTTCAAAAAATCAATGAATCCAGGAGCTGGTTTTCTGAAAAGATCAACAAAATTGATAGACTACTAGCAAAACTAATAAAGAAGAAAAGAGAGAAGAATCAAACAGACATAATAAGAAATGATAAAGGGGATATCACCACCGATCCCACAGAAATACAAACTACCATCAGGGAATACTAAAAACACCTCTATGCAAATACACTAGAAAATCTAGAAGAAATGGATAAATTCCTCAACACATACACCCTCCCAAGACTAAACCAGGAAGAAGTTGAATCTCTGAATAGACCAATAACAGGCCCTGAAATTGAGGCACTAATTAATAGCCTACCAACCAAAAAAAGTCCAGAATCAGATGGATTCACAGCCGAATTCTACCAGAGGTACAAAGAGGAGCTGGTACCATTCCTTCTGAAACTATTCCAATCAATAGAAAAAGAGGGAATCCTCCCTAACTCAATTTATGAGGCCAGCATCATGCTGATACCAAAGCCTGGCACAGGCACAACAAAAAAATAACGTTTTATACCAATATCCATGATGAACATCTACGCAAAAATCCTCAGTAAGTAATGGCAAACCAAATCCAGCAGCACATCAAAAAGCTTATCCACCATGATCAAGTTGACTTCATCCCTGGGTTACAAGGCTGGTTCAACACATGCAAATCAATAAACATAATCTATCACATAAACAGGACCAATGACAAAAACCACATGATTATCTCAATAGATGCAGAAATGGCCTTCGACAAAATTCAACAGCCCTTCATCCTAAAAACTCTCAATAAACTAGGTATTCATGGAATGTATCTCAAAATAATAAGAGCTATTTATGACAAATCCACACCAGTATCATACCAAATGGGCAAAAATTGGAAGCATTCCCTTTGAAAACTGGCACAAGACAGGGATGCCCTCTCTCGCCACTTCCACTCAACATAGTGTTGGAAGTTCTGGCCAGGGCAGTCAGACAGGAGAAAGAAATAAAGGGTATTCAATTAGGAAAAGAGGAAGTCAAATTGTCTCTCTTTGCAGATGGCATGATTGTATATTTAGAAAACCCAATCGTCTCAGCCTCAAATCTCCTTAAGCTGATAAGCAACTTCAGCAAAGTCTCAGGATACAAAATCAATGTGCAAAAATTACAAGCTTTTCTATACACCAGCAACAGACAAACAGAGAGCCAAATCATGGGTGAACTCCCATTCACAATTGCTACAAGGAGAAGAAAATACCTAGGAATCCAACTTACAAGGGATGTGAAGGACCTCTTCAAGGAGAACTTCAAACCACTGCTCAATGAAAAGAGTACACAAACAAATGGAAGAACATTCCATGCTCATGGATAGGAAGAATCAATATCATGAAAATGGCCATACTGCCCAAGGTAATTTATAGATTCAATGCCATCCCCATCAAGCTACCAATGACTTTCTTCACAGAATTGGAAAAAAATACTTTAAATTTCATATGGAACCAAAAAAGAGCCCGCATTGCCAAGACAATCCTAAGCAAAAAGAACAAAGCTGGAGGCATCATGCTACCTTACTTCAAACTATACTACAAGGCTACAGTAACCAAAACAGCATGGTACTGGTAACAAAACAGAGATATAGACCAATGGAACAGAACAGAGCCCTCAGAAATAACACCACACATCTACAACCCTCTGATCTTTGACAAACCTGACAAAAACAAGAAATGGGGAAAGGATTCCCTATTTAATAAATGGTGCTGGGAAAACTGACTAGCCATATGTAGAAAGCTGAAACTGGATCCCTTCCTTACACCTTATACAAAAATTAATTCAAGATGGATTAAAGACTTAAATATTCGACCTAAAACCATAAGAACCCTAGAAGACAATCTAGGCAATACCATTTAGGACATAGGCATGGACAAGGACTTCATGACTAACACACCAAAAGCATGGCAACAAAAGCTAAAATAGACAAATGAGATGTAATTAAACTAAAGGGCTTCTGCACAGCAAAAGAAACTACCATCAGAGTGAAAAGGCAACCTACAGAATGGGAGAAAAATTTTGCAATCTACCCATCTGACAAAGGGATAATATCCAGAATCTACCAAGAACTGAAACAAATTAACAAGAAAAAAACAACCCCATCAAAAAGTTTGCAAAGAATATGAACAGACACTTCTCAAAAGAAGACATTTATGCAGCCAACAGACACATGAAAAAATGCTCATCATCACTGATCATCAGAGAAATGCAAGTCAAAACCACAATGAAATACCATCTCACACCAGTTAGAATGGCGATCATTAAAAAGTCAGGAAACAACAGGTGCTGGAGAGGATGTGGAGAAATAGGAATGCTTTTACCCTGTTGGTCGGAGTATAAATTAGTTCAACCATTGTGGAAGACAGTGTGGCGATTCCTCAGATCTAGAACTAGAAATATCATTTGACCCAGCCATCCCATTACTGAGTATATACCCAAAGAGTTATAAATCATGCCACTATAAAGACACATGCACACATGTTTATTGTGGCACTATTCACAATAGCAAAGACTTGGAACCAACCCAAATGTCCATCAATGATAGACTGGATTAAGAAAATGTGGCACATATACACCATGGAATACTACGCAGCCATAAAAAAGGATGAGTTCATGTCCTTTGCAGGGACATGGATGCAACTGGAAACCATCATTCTGAGCAAACTATCGCAAGGCCAGAAAACCAAACACCACATGTTCTCACTTATAGGTGGGAATTGAACAATGAGAACACTTGGACACAGGGCAGGGAACATCACACCGCGGGGCCTGTTGTGGGGTGTGGGGCAGGGGGAGGGTTAGCATTAGGAGAAATACCTAATGTAAATGATGACTTCATGGGTGCAGCAAACCAACACGGCACATGTATACCTATGTAACAAACCTGCACATTGTGCACATGTACCCTAGAACTTAAAGTATAATAATAATAAAAAAGAAACATTGAGTGGATATGTGTCATGTCACAATTAAATACAGAAGTTAAAACTAACAATTGATGTTACCATTAAAGCAACATTAAATAGTTTGAGGGGAGAATAAAGAAGCTAAGAAGATGGCATCTGCACAGTTAAGATGCTCATGTAATTTGATATATTTAAACTGCAGAGCAGCCTGAAACCCATGCCTGCACAATGCTGAAAGAGCTAACCAGTGTTATATATTCAGTCTTAGTTGAAATTATGCATTTATTTTTTAAACACTGGTGTGCATTGTTTTAAAAATGTATAAAATAACAGTTAAGAATTTAAGAATCATAAGAATGAGGCTAAATAGGAAAAAAAATTTGCAATGCCATAACTTTTATGATGAAACAAATATATTTTTATCATATTTTATGCATAATATGTACTAATACTTTTTGAATTCAATGAAATGTGGAAGAGTTTTGTGATTCTGATCTTACTAAAGCAATTGTTTCATAAACAAAACAATTCAGGATTGCAAAGATGGTAAACTATTAAAAAGGTCTGTCATTTAAAGTTTCATTTTATTAAATATCACATTATATTTATTTCTTTCAAGAAATTCTAGATAGGGTATGAGGGACATTTCTAATACTGATTGGGTATTAAATAATTCAACACCCAAGAGTTGTGATCAAACAGATCTGTAGGCATATGTAAGTACCACTGAGGTGAAAGTGCCAACCAAAGCAATTAGATTGAAAATTAATGTCTGGAGGTAATCAGTGGAAGAAGTGGCTGTGGACCTTCCCATCTGCATCATCTTTGTTTATTGCTGTAGCTGGGTATCACAGAAAAACCAACTCATTTCTCAAAGACAAACAAAGGATGCTTCCTTCAATGTAGGCATTTCTAAATTAAATTGGAATCTATAAGAAGTAATTCCATGCTCAGATCTTAAGCTGATTTTTATTAATGTTGCTGGCCAGTAATGAAGATAAATAGTAGGCACATCCACTGAAGCCAGGAACTGCAAATGCAAGGTTGGGAGACTTGGGAGTGGTTAATTATAGTCTCTCTGCAAGGGTTCAAGGGGGTCTGGGGTTACCTTTTTCTCTAATGATGTCCTTTACTCTGACATTAGCATCATTGATGTAGGATTTGGATATTTGACATTCTTTTTTTTTTTTTTTTTGAAATGGAGTCTCGCTTTGATGCCCAAGCTGGAGTGCAATGGTGAGATCTCGACTCACTGCAACCTCTGCCTCCTGGGTTCAAGCGATTTTCCTTCGTCAGCCTCCTGAGTAGCTGGGATTACAGGTGCGCACCACAATGCCTGGCTAAATTTTTTGTATTTTTAGTAGAGATGGGGTTTCACTGTGTTGGCCAGGCTGGTCTTGAACTCCTGACCTCAGGTGATCTACTTTCTCTTAAGTGTCCAATTGTGACTTAGAGGCATCATAATGAATGCTTCAAGGTGAGCCCATCTTGGGCATGTTCTTTACATTTTACAATGTATATTATACCAGCTAATACAAATCTCAACAGGACCCATTTTAGATGGTGTTTTAGGTAAGGGAACCTCTGGTAACTTCTCATAAATAGAATTTTCTGGATAACTGGTAATTTAAATAGAAAAAAATTGTTTTGTTTCAACCTAAGTGGCTGGAAAAGATCTTTGCAAAATGTATTAGTCCACTTCACAGCCTTGCTAAGTACTAAAGCTAATTTAATATTTCTTTTATGATTGATGACTCTGCAGTGCTTCAGGGCCACTATGAATTGTTGTTGAGGTAATAAGCTGCAGTATATTGAACACTGAATCTAAACTGACCAGATATTGGCTTATTTCATTGTGCCTTGATTCTTTCTCTCTAAAGCAGAGAACAGAAAAGAAATTTACTGGTGTTATGGTCCCAGTTAGAGCTGTTACTGTGTATGTGTGTCATACATTGTGGTTCTTAGGACAAGTGTGGGATGTAAAACATCAAAAGTTTTCAATGGTCCTGACACATAGTCTTTGATGGACACTTCCACAAACCTGTTCCTGAATGCGATCAACTGCTACCAGCCCCAGTCAATTTACAGGTACCCCAGTGCTTACACGTCTTCTGAAGTTGCCATGATACCAATCAGTAAAGAAATAAGCACAAAAGTAATTGGACTTTCAGTATTGCTAACTGCTTCATGGTGAAATTGGCAGGCATGACACTTGTGCTCTGAATCCTGATCTTTTAATAAAGAGAAAATAATAAAAATTTATTGACAAATTACACCATCACTATAAAATTACATTCCATATAACTTGCCTACATGCAAGTCTACAGAACTTCACAAGATTTCTCATTTTATTTGTGGAATATTATAGAAACACAGCACCCAGGACTTTTCCTGAACTTCTCTTCAGGAGGTTAAGGGAATCTGGCCCCATCACTCTGTTTCTGTTTTTGTTTTAGGATCTTTTCACTTTGTTCAGACAAAGAAACCACAATTCTGAAAAACCCTTGGGTAACAAATACAGAAACTGTGTAATGGGATAAGACTCTTCGGGAATACTATTTGTAAGAGCTGAAAGACTAGGTCTTGCTGTACCATTGAAAATATAAGACTGGAGATGCCCATGGGAAATTAAAGAATACTGCATGGTAATGGTGATGGGAGACGGGTGAAGGTTACTCCCAATGTCCCCATAACTTTTCTAACCTAAAGACCCAAAATCCTTAAGTTTCATTTTGCTAAAGTTTCCACAACAGCACAACACACTCAAGAATTGGAGAACTTTTGGAAATATCTCTTTTGAAAGAACAAGGAAATTACTCCTTTGTTATATCAAGGAATGAGATGTAAAAAAAAGGGTGGGAGGAATAAAGGATAAAATCATTTATGGAGCACCTACACTGTGAAGATGCTTACGTAAGGCTTCATATATATAATTTAATCCACTTTTTACTCATATGCATAAATCAATGTTGGTCCCATTTATAGATGGAAAAATTGAGATGTAATGCTATTAAATAATGGGCCACAGGAATAATAACATTTACAATGGCAACAATAATAATTACCAATAGTTAATACTTATGGAAAGTCTAGTATATCTCAGGCATTGTTCTAGATTTTTTACATACATTATGTAATTTAATTTTCACCAAAACCACATACAGTAAGTGTTACTTACTTTTTGCAGAAGCAGAAATGGGGGCTCAAAGAGTACCAAGTGACTCCCAATGTCAAAGTAAAAGGCAGTTGGGATTTAAATTTAGGCCTGTGTGGGTCCAAAACCTATGTTCTTTCCACTATACCCAACTTAAATAGGGAGATCAATGCACCCTGGTTCCCACACTTATTGGGTAATGGTTACAGATCCAATTAGGGTGGGCACAAATGGGAAGTTTGTTCATCAACTAAACAAATGAGATTTTCAGAATATGTAAGGCAAAATTTTAGGCATTAAAAGGGTTTCTAAAATGCAAACAACATAATCTGTCTTCTAGGAATTTATAATCTGTAAAATACCCAAAAAAGAAACTAAAATGGCAGTTTATGATATATATCAAGTGGCTTCTAATAATGGCAAATATTTATGAGCACTGAGGTGCCAGACATTTATTATAAGCTTCATATGTATTAGCAACTTTGTCTTATAAGTGATACATGTAGGTAATATCATTACCTCCCATTTTATATAAGAGGAAACCTTACAACATAACCTATAAAGATATCCTAAGGAAGAGAGATCAGTTTCTCCTGGAGGCATTGGTAAATATTTTTTAGAAGCCATAAAGGAGATGGGTAGGGCTCTGTTAAGGTTTCAAAATGGATACTGTTTTACATAGCAATAAAAATTGCATTGATTTTAATATCTTGTTAAGCCTTTCAGTAACAGTGGGGATTTACATAATGGAATATTTCTGATATCTTTATATAGAAATGGACAATAACAAGGAAGCAACAAGAACAGACAGTTTATATTTTAATCACTCAAACTTCTACATATATATTTATGTAAAGAACATAGACAAAGAATGTTCCATTTTTATTTCAATTTTAAAGGAATTATGGAAAAAGCCTTAATAAAAAAAGACTGAACTTTTGGTTAACTGAAAAAAAGGTAGGAGGAAGGGAATATAAATAACTTGAGATCATAATAAAATTAACATCATTTAAAAATTTTCCAAAGGCAGATTTAAAGAAGAAATAGAAATGTTATTGTTAGAACTGGGCCATGGGGGAGGGTAAGGAATGACAGTGGCAATGGGAGATGGAACTCCCAAACACCACCCTGCTTTAAATAGAGTACCTATTCCCATCCCAGTTTGTTAGACAGCCTGGAGCAAAGCTAGGAATAAACAGGATTACTCTGCTTTGCCTAATTTTACAGAGTTTCATTGAAGAGCCAAGAACCACATTTCATCAAATATAAAAAGCCATCCATTGAAAACACATCATTAGTTTAAACGTCATGAAGAAAGAAAAATTAAACTATCATAATCAACCTATGACAAATACTTTCTTATCATTCATTATAAGACAATCTTCATTTCAAAGATGTTAAATGTGAACAAATGAGTATAATATAATCAATGAAATATTACACAATCCAATTCTCAGATTTTAACCTTAGTATACAAGTCTATTCTGGATGAGTAAAAATCTGATTCTATGACTAGGCATAAATTAAGGCTGGAAAAGTTGAATTGATAATCTACTTTTAAGGCATAATATAACTGGAAAGAAATAGCAAATTGTTATAGAAAGCTCATGGGTTTTTTAATTAAGGATACTTGAGTTTTAACCCTGTCTCCATACCATAGATACATATCATGAGAAAAAATTAGTTAATCTTTAATCTTCAATTGTCTAGTCTATACAGGGGATAACATCGCCTGGGTGTTCTTGTGAGGGTTAAATAAGGGTGTGTGTGTGTAACACATACTACAATTTCAGGCACAGGGAACAATTCACTGAACAGACCTTCAGCTGAATAAGTGATTTGTAGGCTATTGAATCACACAACCAGGTGTGTTATTAATATTAATATTAAAGGCACAAGATTCTTTTCAATCTCATGAGTAAATTCACTGCCTCTTCCTTTCTCACTGATATTATCATATATTTCTCTAGTAATAACCTACCAAGATATGGAATCAATGGAAATAAACATTGACCAAAATAATAAATTAATTTTAAGCTAATTTCTAGATTGAGTTCTTTAAATGTATTATAACACAAACGAAAGCAAAACTGGGGTGTAAAATATTATTATAATTGATTAAATGAATCAAAGTTTCATTGATAATATGTGGTGTCACATTCAAGGGGAAAGCGAATATCGGTGGCCACAAATTTTAACGTATTGTTTTTTCTAAGGAATAATTTGTTGTAAAAATGGATTTTGTTTGTTTTCTAGTTTTAATTTTTTCTTTATGTCTCTTACAGTTATAATTATCTTTAGACTTAGATTTTGTTTCTCCCTAAGGTTATGATAAATTAAACTTTCCTATACTGTGGCTGATTACATTTCCCTACATTAAACTCATCTGATCTCTGTTGTATGTGGTTGTAGCTTAGAAATGCTCTAGTGGACTTAGCTTTTTTCCCTTTTTCCTTCAGTAATATGTGCTGTCTATTGAGTTGTAGCCACTGTGAAGAATAAGTTCAGAAAAATCAGACCAATAACATTCTGGGTTGTCTAAAGGACATTAATCAAGCAAATTTCCCTCTCAAAGAAAAAGATTTTTTGAGAATTTGTTGAAACCAGGATTAAAAAAAAAAAGAGCCCTGACAATTTTAAAGAAATGCCTTATTTTCAATTATACCATTGAAGCAAGAGTCAAGAATAATATTTTATATCATTAAAATTAACAGCTAGCTAGAAATCTGAATATATATTTAAGGTTCTAATACTCAAGGGAAAAGCTTACATTGCCGTGTTTAGAAGTCATAATAGTAATTTTGTTTGCATAAAGTGAGATCAGGGCTAGGCATAATGGCTATCTCAAGTTCCTATTTAAACCAGACAATTAATTAAAACCAAGTCAATCTAAGTCAAGTAAAGTAGATTACTTAAACTAGCAGGCAGTATGATCTAAATAACAATTCTTTATAGCCACATCCAGAGCCTTTGCAAGAAGTGTATGAATTAAAATTAAAGTAACTATAATCAGGCAGAAATCACCAAAGGATTTCATTGCTTATGATTTTTATTGCAATCATTAAATATTTGATATGTGTAAATAAAACCGATTTAAGATCATGATTAAACTCTGAATTTTGGATGTGATATGTTGATCAAAGCAGTGCTTTTGAAAGGAACAAAGAAACATCATAAAACCACAGAGAAAATTCCAGTCCAAGCCCTTGTAGGCCAAATGTGTGTATATGAGCTTCGTGCCCACAGGTACATGAGGAAATGAAGATCAGTTAGTGAAGATCTCTTAAACAAGAGGTAACATGAGTTTCTGTGAGAAGATTCTTAAGGACTTTGAGGAAATCTAGTACACAGTTTCTTACTTTATTTTTCAAAGTTCCTCCATGATTGAAAATTATCAAGCAAGGAGGTTGCCTCTCCCTTCTCTGCTGCGGGATGTAGCCACGAGATTTTGCTGGAATTACTACCTGGAATGGGCCCGGAACTAGTCTTCCCAATTAGGATAATCTGTATCTCTCACAGCCATATGGACGGGTGAATACGTGTCCTAAAATTGTCCCTGTCAGGTATTTTCTTCTATGGACATGATCAGGGAAACCTATAGCCTTCGTTGGTGCTAGTGGTGCTATCATTCATGATAAAAGCTACCTGAGGACAAAGCCAACTCACAGCCACAGAAAGATCTAAAAGTGTCAGAGAGAAGTAAGAACATGCTTGAATTCTCTTCCATCCCTGAACGTTTTAGTTACATGGCTCAATAAATCCTCTTTATTATTTAAGCCAATGCACTTTCAATCAATGCATCCTAACTGAAGCAGTGAAATGGGCTGATCTGTTCATGCAGAACCGGGCTAGAGTCAGTGGACATATTTTCTATTTCCCAAGAGATAAGAATTAGTGACCCAGAATGTGTTGTGCCTTGACAGAAGCAAACATTCTGGTTTGTCGTTCTACTAGAAAATTTAGACAACAGCTACCTATTTGTGTCCTCCCAGCTTCAGTCGCCTAAGCAGACATCAGCTTTAGGTTGTCCCATAAAGCTATGGCAGTAAACCAATGTCCCTTCATATCTGAACAAATCAAGATATGTTGCATATTGGAGTTTTAAATTTTATGTGAGATAATGACATTATAGTTTCAGACTTGGGTAATTGAGAGGCACTTGAAGACTTTTTTTTTTTTTTTTTAACCTAAAAGCAATCAAAAACCCTATGGAAATGACCAAGTTTCCAATTGGAACACTGGGGAGGTAAAAACTTCCCTTTCTGAATACAACTTTAAAAGGGATAATGGAGGCCAATATAAAGTTATTTAATAATTTCGTTAAATTGGTTATCGAGGACTTTAAAATATATTCACATGACGAGATCCTTGTAAACAGGAAAGATTTTTCTGTTGGGAACATCTTGGCAATACAAAGAGGTGATGAAGTAATAAAGAAAAGGCACTTGGAAGGGAAAGGTTGTTCTTTATCTGATGGGTAAAAAAGCTTCCCACTCTGGAACAGAGAAATCATTCTTAGAGCAGACAGTACAATCTGTATATGGGTGGGATGCAAAGATCCGGAAGCTTTGTTGAATACATGAACAGTCTTTTATGTATAATGTCCATGCCTTTGAAATTTGTTATAGCCTAAATGTTTCCTTATAGTAGTATAATTGGATATAGTTAACAGTGAAACCTCACTAATGTATAAAGGTAATGTGTGTTTGTTTACTACTACAAAAATCCAATATTTTTATCAATATTCATTGTAACTCTGTAGCTCATGTTTCCTCCAAAGAACTCAAACCAAAGCAATTACCTCAGGTGCCTCTGTGACATAGGCAAGATAGCTCATTATCATGATGATTTTCCCAAATTCCCACGATGAAATGACCCATGGCAGCTAAAACTAACTGCCTTTATGTTGATTTCTAGTTCAGCGTTCAAGAGCATTAGCATGACTGCTTACCATTTTCTTGTTAAAATCTTAAAAATCAAATCAAATGACAATGAGATACCATCTCACACCAGTTAGAATGGTGACCATTAAAAAGTCAGGAAACAACAGATGCTGGAGAGGATGTGAAGAAATAGGAATGCTTTTACACTGTTGGTGGGAGTGTAAACTAGTTCAACCACTGTGGAAGACAGTGGTGATTCCTCAAGGATCTATAACTAGAAATACCATTCGACCCAGCAATCCCATTACTGGGTATATACCCAAAGGATTATAAATCATTCTATTATAAAGACACATGCACACGTATGTTTATTGTGGCACTGTTCACAATAGCAAAGACTTGGAACCAACCCACATGCTCATCAATGATAGACTGGATTAAGAAAATGTGGCACATATACACCATGGAATACTATGCAGCCATAAAAAAGGATGAGTTCATGTCCATTGCAGGGACATGGATGAAGCTGGAAACCATCATTCTCAGCAAACTAACACAAGAACAGAAAACCATACACTGCATGTTCTCACTCATAAGTGGGAGTTGAACAATGAGAACACATAGACACAGGGAGGGGAACATCAGACACTGGGGCCTGTCAGGGGGTGGGGGCTACGGGAGGGAGAGCATTAGGAGAAATACCTAATGTAGATGATGGGTTGATGGGTGCAGCAAACCACCATGGCACATGTATACCTATGTAACGAACCTGCACGTTCTGCACACGTACCCCTGAACTTAAAGTATAATAAAAATAAATAAATAAATAAATAAAGGATAGTCTGAATTTGTGTTCATTAAGTCAACAAATATTTATTTGGTACCTACTTTTCCAGATGTCACACAGTTTTAATTATTATAAACTGGCAAAACAGCCATACATACTAGGAATATTAATAATTATGAAGGATATAAGTAAGTGATTTAATTTTGTTACTAACACAAATATTTCAATTTTGCTTTTCCTAGCAATGGAAAAAGAAAAAATTTAGTCATGAAAGATTTTGACTGAGTCACTTTCAAGTTACATCCAGCCAACAGAGACTTTATCTCACTAATTGGAAACAACAACAACAAAAATTTTATTTTGGATATCAAGGGCTTATTCTGTTTTCAAATATTCAAATATTTAATTCTTCATTTACTTGTATTACATTACTTTTGCTTTTTTTTATTGTTTGTAATACACTATTCTTTTTTTTTTATTACTGTAAGAAGCCAAGATATGACTCTTTCTATGCTTTTTTTTTCTTACCACAAAAGTATGTTAGCAAAAATCAGTCTTAGAATGGATGCATGCAGGCTCTGGTGGCTCTTGTTTGGCATTAGTTGAAACAGAAACTTTTTATCAACATCTACTGTGTAGCTTATCAATAAAGATATAAATACATAAATATC
The DNA here is from genome assembly GCF_000001405.40 of Homo sapiens. Lineage (NCBI taxonomy): Eukaryota > Metazoa > Chordata > Mammalia > Primates > Hominidae > Homo > Homo sapiens. The sequence continues at coordinate 28,212,514 of NC_000018.10, read as the reverse complement.
TGTTGTTCTTATAGAAGTACAGAATAGAACAGTGGTTATCAGAGGTGAGAGGAATGGTGAGAGATTGATCAATGGGTACAAAGCTAGTGAGATAGGAAGAATAAATTCTGGTGTTCTATTGCACAGTAGTTTGCCTAGAGTTAGCAATATTATATTGCATATTTTGAAATAGTTAAAAGAGGCTTCTGAGCACTCTCATTATAAAGAAACGACAAATGTTTAAGATAATGGATATGCTAATCACTCTGATTTGATTATTGCACAATGTATATATGTATTGAAATACCACATTGAAACCTATAAATACATATGCTAATTATGTCAATTATAAATAAAAACATAAATACCTACAATCGTTCCCTTTTATACCAAGCCATTTAAAAAATCAAATCAAATCAAATTCACAATCTGTGTTAGATTCCCAAAACCTCTTTGCCTTTACGTGAGAAAACACTGACACCCACCTTTCACATCAGCTCACCTGGTGCGTACTGCCTCAAGGTTTCAGAGACAGCCCCCACCTCTTTGGGCAGGCCCTTGCTCATGACCTCTGTACCTTATCCCTAAAACTGTCCGCTCTCCTTTAATATGTTACTGATCTGCTCCTGTGTAGCCCCTCTCAAAGAGACTGCAACCTCCATACTATCTCTCTTTTAAACTTCTTGGCAGAACAGGGGTACCGGGTCTCCCCTAAGAAAGCACAAATATGCACCCCCTCAGTCACCTATCTAGGCCTAGCTCTTACCTCGTGAACCTGAGGGCTCACAACCAACCGCATATCCCTCCTCCTGTACCTCCTGCCTCCGCAAACTAAGAAAGAAATTCTCTCTTTTCTAGGACTAGCAAGATATTTTAGGCTCTATGTTCCCTCCTTCGCTCTACTTGCCAAACCATTATACCAAAGCACAAAAGGCCCTCTCCGTGAGCCTTTAAACCCTGCACAGCCTATTACCCAACCTTTCCATCTACTCTCACCTCAGCCCCTGACCTCACTCTCCCAGACCTCACCAAACCTCACTCCCTCTATACCAAGGAACGGCATAGAGTTACACTAGGTGTTCTACCCAGTCTAAGGGACCCTCCTTCCGGGTTGTTGCCTACCTCTCTAAACAGCTTGAAGCCACAGTTCTCAGATGGCCTGCCTGCCTCCGAGCATTGGTGGCAGCTGCTGTCCTCACCCTTGAAAGTCTAAAACTATCTCTCCATGCTAACCTAACAGTTTATTCAACCCATAACATCAAAGACATGCTAGCTCACCACAGTGTACTAAGTCTCATCTCTGCCCCACAGCTCCTCCAACTGTATGCTCTATTCATAGAAACTCCCCACATCATCATGCTAACCAGCTCCCGTCTGAACCTGGCCATGCGCTTACCTGAAGCTACAACCGCCCAAGACCCTACGTATTTCAGTGTGAACACTGTTCAAACCTTTCTTATACCTTTTCCAAACCTAACAGACCAACCCCTTCCAGACAATACCTATCCTCCAAAGTCTCCATAATTCTTTCCGTGTCAGTTACAAACCTCTCTTATAACTTCTCTGCCCTGTTCTCACTTGTCCTCACCTTTCCAGCTGTGCTCGAGAAATCACCCAGTCTTGCTCTATCTGCCACTCAGTGTCACCCCAGGGCTCCTTCCGGCCGCTGCCTTTTCCTTCCCACCAAGCCTGGGGCCAGGTACCTGGGCAAGATTGGCAAGTAGACTTCACTCACATGCCGCCTGATAAATGGCTCTGCTATCTTCTAGTCTTTGTCTGTACTTTCCCCAGGTGGGTAGAAGCATTCCCAACCACTTCAGAAGGTGCAAATGTCATCACACAAACTCTCATCATGCATATAATTCCCCATTTCGGACTCCCAACATCCATCCAGTCCAATAACAGGCCCGCCTTCATCAGCCAAATTAACCAAGGCATCTCTACATCCTTAGGTATAAAATGGGTTCTCCACACACCCTACAGGCCTCAATCTTCAGGCAAAGTTGAAAAAATTAACTCTGTCCTTAAAGCCCAACTCACGAAGCTCACTCTAGAAACCCACCAGTCGTGGACAAAAAGTCTCCCTTTTGCCCTCATAAGACTCCGCACAACACCAAGCCACCCTCTTTTTACAGTACTTTCGAAATCATGTATGGCCGAACTTTTGTCTTAGGGCCTCCACCCTTACCAGTCTCTGAGCCATTTGGGAATTACCTCCCCTCCTTAATCCAGACAGTCTTTCATTCATGAAACAGCAAATGAGGCCATGCCCCTCCCTGTCAACACCTCCTTGTCCTCTCAACATAACTGTCTTGCAGACACAGACATGTTTATCTGCCAACTCGACCCTCACAAAAACCTATAACCAAAGCAAACAGGCCCCTACACTGTGATACTAAGCATGCCAATTGCAGTGAGAGTCCAAGGACTCCCCCACTGGATCCATCGCACCAGGGTCAAGCTCACCCCCAAGGCTACTCCTTCCTCCAAAACTTTAACAGCAGGCAACACCCTCAGAGTCCCTGTACATAATAACCTAAACAACAACAAAAAAACGATCCTTAAAGGTAGGAAGAAGGCAAAGATGGCCACAGGACAATGGCCTCTGCAACAGATCATCAAATATTACGGTCCTGCCACTTGGGCTGAGGATGGTTCATGGGGTTATTGCACTCCCATATATATGCTAAATAGAATAACTAGACTACAGGCGATTCTAGAGATAATCACTAACCAAACCGCCTCAGCCCTGGAAATGCTCACCCAACAACAAAACCAAATGCGTGCAGCAATTTATCAAACAGGCTAGCACTAAACTACTTATTAGCAGAAAAAGGTGGGGTCTGTGATAAGTGTAATATCTCTAATTGCTGTCTTAACATAGATGATAACGGAAAAGTGGTTCTAGAAATTGCTTCAAACATCAGTTCCAGCCCATGTACCAGTCCAAACCTGGAAGGGATGGGACCCAACAAACCTTCTAGGAGGGTAGTTCTCTAATTTAGGAGGATTTAAAACGCTGTTAGGGAATGTAATCTTCATCAGTGGGTTCATCCTGTTTCTCCCCTCTATTATCCCGCTAATAATAAAAGCCATTAAAACTCTTGTTGAAACTACAGTTAGCCACCAGACAATCGAGACGATGCTCCTGCTACAATGACAGGAAGAATACCAACCCATCTCTCAAGAATACCCCAAAAATTAAGTTTTTCTTTTTCCAAGGTGCCCACGCCACCCCCTGTGTCATGCCTGAAGTAGTTATTGAGAAAGTCATCCCTTTTCCCTTTTTATGACCAAATAGACAGGAATGAAAGATTCTCCCCGCTGCCCAAAAGCTTAAGGGAAGGAATTACTCCTCCCTTCTCGGGCCCAGTCCCAAGGTGCAAGACCACTTGTGCCAGCAGCGTGTGTCAGTAAGATAGCAGAAGCAGGAAGAGAGCTGGCCGGAAGACACACACCCCCTGAAGACCGAAAGAGAGGCCGTCTGGGTATACATAGCAGTTACATCAGACTGAGACACCTCCTGTTTACAGGAGACTATAAAACCCCTGCCCCATTCTCATTTGGTGCTGATGCCATTTAGGGCCTCAGCACGCCTGCACCCAGGTGCTCATTAAAACAGCGTGTTGCTCCACACTTCCTCATGTTGTTTGTTGGCATGCTCTCAGGGTTCGAAGCGATACAAGAGCCTTGCAGGTGCAACAGCCAGCATTTACCCATGCAAGCTTCCAGCTTGCTTGTCTGTCTGCAGCTCGATTTTACAGTCTGCTCTTTGTTAGAAAACCAAATGATTTGGGGGCTATTTTTCATTAAAAGGAAAACCTTACTGAGGACTTCCTTACCCTCACTACCTGCCTAAATAATTCCTTTTTAACTCCTATATCAATAACAAGAGTGACTTTTGCTCCAGTTCCCAATAACTTTCTCATTTCCATCTGAAATCTTGTTGGCCTGACCTTCACTGTCCTTATTTGTCCTGCATTTTGGTCACAACCACTCAACAAGTCTCTAAGAATATCCAAATCCCCCGTCTTCCTGTCTTCTTCTAAGAACTCCAACCTCTGCCTATTACTCAGTTCCAAAACCACTTCCACTTTTTCAGATGTCTTGACAGCAATGTCCCCACTCCTCAGTACCAATTTTCTGCACTAGGCCATTTTTGTGTTGCTATAAAGAAGTACCTGAGACTGGATAGTGTATAAGGAAAAGAGGTTTAATTGATTCACAGTTCTGCAGTATGTGGCATCACACCAGCATGTTCTTGGCTTCTGATAAAGGCCTCAGGAAGGTTACAATCATAGTGGAAGGCAAAAGAGAGCAGGCACTCTACATGGTGAGGCACTCTACACGGGAGCCAGAGAGAGAGAGAGAGAAGGGGGAGGTCCTAGACTCTTTTAGACAACTAGATCTTGCATAAACTGAGCAAGAACTCACTCGTCACCCAGGGGATAGTACTGAGCCATTCATGAGGGATCTGCTCCCATGATCTAATCATCTCCCACCAGGCTCCATGTCCAACATTGGGAACCACATTCCAACATAAGATTAAGAGGGGACAAATATCCAAACTATATCAATCACCTACTTTTGTTCTGTAGATAGTTGTGATCACTACCGGTAGTTTTCTGTGGCTTTAGAAATTCCCTGCCCTAAAGACAAGAAATAACAAAAATCAGAGCTGAACTGAAGGAGACACAAAAAATCACTCAAAAGATCAAAGAAATAGGAGTTTGCTTTTTGAAAGAATTAATAAAATAGACTGCTAGCTAGACTAATAAAGAAGAAAAGAGAGAAAATCCAAATAAACACAGAAACAATAAGGGGGATGTTACCACTGACCCCACAGAAATACAAGTAACCATCAGGTAATATTATGAACAACTCTATGCCCACAGGCTAGAAAATATAAAAGAGATAGATAAATTCCTGGACACATACACCCTCCCAAAACTGATCCAGGAAGAAATTGAATCCTTGAACAGACCAATAGCAGCTCTAAAATTGACTCAGTAATAGCTTATCAACAAAAAAAAAAAAAAAAAAGATTATTACCAGATGGATTCACAGCAAAATTCTACCAGATCTACAAAGAAGAACTGGTACTGTTCCTACTGAAACTATTCCAAAAAATTGAGGAAGAGGGACTCCTGTATAACTCACTCTATGAGGCCAGCAAGAATTTGTAAACAAATTTACAAGAAAAAAATAAACGACTTCATTAAAAAGTGGGCAAAGGACATGAACAGACATTTTTCAAAAGAAGACACACATGTAGTCAATAAGCACATGAAAAAAAGCTCAACATCACTGATCATTAGAGAAATGCCAATCAAAACAACAATGAGATACCATCTCACACCTGTCAGAATGGCTAATATTGGCTATTACTAAAAAGTCAAAAAAAAAAAAAAACAGATGCTGGTGAGGTTGCAGAGAAAAGGGAACACTTACACACTGTTGGTGGGAGTGTAAATTAGTTCAAGCATTGTGGAAAACATTGTGGCAATTCCTCAAAGACTTTAAAACATAACCTACCATTCAACCTAGCAATCTCACTACGGGGTACATATCCAGAGAGATATATCATTCTGTCATAAAGACACATGCAAGCATATGTTCGTTGGACCACTATTCAGAATAGCAAAGACATGGAATCAACCTAAATGCCCATCAATGGTAGACTGGATAAAGAAAATGTGATACATATACACCATAGAATTCTATGCATCCATAAAAAAGAACGAGATCATGTCGTTTGCACGAACAAGGATGGAACTGGAGGCCATCATCTTTAGCAAACAGGAACAGAAAATCAAATGCAACATGTTCTCACTTATAAGTGGGAGCTAAATGATGAGAACACATGGACACAGAAAGGAGAACAACAGACACTGGGGCTTATCAGAGGGTGGAGAGTGGGAAGAGGGAGAGGATCAGGAAAAAGTAACCAGTGGGTACTAGGCTTAACACCTGGGTGATGAAATAATCTGTACAGCACATGCCCATGACACAAGTTTAACAAACCTGCACGTGTACCTACGAACTTAAAATAAGATAAAAGAAAAAAGAAATTTCATACCCCTTAGTAAGATAGTGGTAAATTTAAGAGTTAACAGAGATCTTCAATGAATGACCTTTGCTTCTCTGGGCATTCTAGAAATGAAGAAAGAATCTAATACCTTCTATTAAGTCATCTCCTGTCTGATAAGCAGTTGTGCTTATCCAGGTACGATTTTCTGAGCAAGTATTTGGCACTAAATGTGGTCCTAAGAAACAGTTTTTGAAAATGAGGAGGATCTGGGGTAGATTATCTGCTTAGTTAAGATTAGAGATGGCCGGGCATGGTGGCTCCTGCCTGTAATCCCAGCACTTTGGGAGGCCAAGGCAGGTGTATCACCTGAGGTCAGGAGTTTAAGACCAGCCTGCAGCCTGGCCAACATGGTGAAACCCCATCTGTACTAAAAATACAAAAATTAGCTGGGCACGATGGCGGGTGCCTGTAATCCCAGCTACTTGGGAGGCTGAGGGAGGAGAATTGCTTGAACTTGGGAGGTGGAGGTTACAGTGAGCTGAGATCATGCCATTGCACTCCAGCCTGGGCGACAGAGCAAGACTCCATCTCAAAAAAAAAAAAAAAAAAAAAGATTGAGATAAAAGATTAATATCAGTACCAGTAAAGAATGGAATATCCGTATACCTGTGATGTTCAAAGATTTTTTTAAAATATTTAATTATTAATGTAAATACATAATTTAATACAATTATTAAATAAAGGACCTATTAAAGACAAGGATTTGGGAAATAAAGAGGCTGCTATATTAAAACATTCTATTATAAATAACCACGAGGACTTTGAGGTAGACTATTTCTAACTGCACCACTTCTTTCTAATAAAGACACTTAAAGAGCTCAGGATTCTAAATGTTGAGCTCAAGACATGATAAGAAAGCAAAAGAGCTTCTTAAAATGTAACTTACTTTCATAGCCAAATATGAGACAAATGTATTTGAAAACTAGACTCAAAGTCTGATGCTTCATATTGCAGAATTACAAAACTTGGTATCTCACGTAAAAGTTGAGGCATTTATTGACAGAGTGGGGACTTTTGGGTGGATCCTGATGGATCTGAACCTCCAAATTTCACTGAACCTCCTTGTAAGTAGAAGAAACCTTTCCTAATCCATCTGAAGCAGCTGTAAGGGCCATACTTCAGGCATTTACCTTCCTTGGTGTTACTGATTCTCCACAAGATTTGCCCCATCACCTTGTCTTGCTTCCAGACCCATTCCTAGAATCAAATTACAGGAGGACGGGTACAAAGGCCGACTTGGGAGGAGATAGTTTACACATGGAAAGAATTGAAAGGTTTTGCTAATTTATATTGGCAGAAACTTGGCAAGGAATGGTAGGAATGGATTTTAGGGACCTAGACCAGGGAGAGAAAAAAAGAGACGCTTGTGTTAAGACACATTTATTAATGTAATTGCACTTTTCAGATATTCTGGATTCAAAATGTATGATACTTGAGTATACGCTTGTGGCTCACCAGATTAGGTATTCAGTAGACTGAAACCTGGACTCCATGGTGGTCAAGGCTAAATAAAATTGAGATGTCAGAACTTCCAGGAAATAATGTAGAGGAAGGTACACGAAGAAAGACAGAAGTCTAGTGTTGATGTATCATGTGTGACCTGCTTTATATCCCCTCACTATGTTATCTGGGAAGGCCCAGAGGACCTCCCTTCACCAAAGCACTAGGAAGTAACACTGAGGTGGTAACTACAGGTAGTTACCCCCATTGAAATGGGCTTTCAAAATTCAGTGAGGATAATGGGATCATGGAGAGTGGCAGAAACCAAGTGACTGCACTTTAGTGTGAAAGCCAGAAACAAGGTGGGTATCATTCCCAATGTGGGCAGCAGGTTAAAGCAGGGATCAAAATGGCTTACGCCTCAGGAGTCATTGGTGATGGCTAATAGATCATAGCATCCCCTGTACTGAAAGGAACTGCTGCCTATTAGCTACTTGGTTTTCATAATTTAAAACATCATAGGTCTCATTATTAGAGTTTTGGCACAACAAAGAATTATGGCCTCTTACTAATCTCCAGATTCAGAGCCCTGGAATGAAAAGTATGCTAGATTCCTTTGAGGAAGTGCCTTGGGTCTTTGCCAAAATAATAAATTCTAAATAACCCTAGAGATTCTGCAAAGGAACCTGCGGTCATTGACCAGGGTGACTGTGCATTTTATAAAATGAGGTGATTTCCTCACTTTTTGAATGTACACAGTGGGCAAAAATACACTCTGCTGATGCCAGAATACCCATATTAGTTCTTAAACCCATAAGATATTAGGAAGGGATGCTTCTTAGCCCTTTGAACTGCCTTTTTCCTTCAAATAGTGAACTGAATTGGGAATGACACAAATTAGTGCCACCAAAAAAAGACTAGAGGTGTGCAGATGTAAGATTCTTCTCATATCCACATTTAACTAATTATTTAACCAGGCTGAGAATAGATGGCCTTAAAGAAAGATGGTGGATTATTACAAACATAATCAGGAAGTAAGTCTAATTGCAGCCACTTTGCAGATGTGGTCTCTTTTTTTGAAACTAGTCAACATATCACTGAGGTCTGTTATATAGATATTGATCAGAGGCCGGGCTCAGTGGCTCACACCTGTAATCTCATCATTTTGGGAGGCTGAGGCGGGAGGTTCACCTGAGGTCGGGAGTTCGAGACCAGCCTGACCAACATGGAGAAACCCTGTCTCTACTAAAAATACAAAATGAGCCGGGCGTGGTGGCACATGCCTGTAATCCCAGCTACTCGGGAGGCTGAGGCAGGAGAATCACTTGAACCCAAGAGGCAGAGGTTGTGGTGAGCTGAGATTGCGCCATTGCACTCCAGCCTGGGCAACAAGAGCAAAACTTCATCTCAAAAAAAAAAGATATTGATCAGGCAAATGCTTTTTCTATATGCTATTAGGAAAAAAATAATACAGTAAAGATCTTTGATTTCCCCTTATGAGGACAACAGTATATCTTCACTTTACTTCACCTCAGGACTGGGTCAACTGTCTGCCCCTCTGTCATAATCTAATCCACAGGGATTGATTATTTAGCCATCTCATAGGATATTTTGCTGATCTTCTGCATTGATGACTGTGGCAGATTTCATTTTCCAAGATGGATGATGGTCTGCGTAGGTTTCTTTTAATCTGTGATGAATCCTATCCAAGACATGTGTCTCTTTTGTTTGAGAAAACACTGAAATGGGACTTTTCGATATGAAACATAAGGTGCTGAGTACTAAGAGGAGACAAAGTAAGCTAAATTATTCTGGTCCTTTAAAATCAATTTCCCATTTTATTTTGGTAGCTCAAGGGAGAAAAGTTGTAGAAAAGTCCCTCGACTTGGAGGAAAGAGATGCCAGAGAAAGACCTCAATAGAGACAGTGAAAGCAGGAGTCAATCCCAAGGCACAAAGCTAGGCCCTCAGAAGACAGGCAGTTCCCATGAAGGGAATCTCCGTGGCTCAGAAATCATGACATCTGATACTGATAGGCCGGAGCAAGTGGCTTATTGCTTCCGGCTGCAACCCTAGTTCATTAGCCCCCTACGTTTTAGAAAACCTCCATACACTGTAGAAATTACAACAGTAAACTAAGCTGATTTTTTTCAGTGCTGTTTTGTAAAACTTCAGCTGCCACATATTAGTGCTCAATAGGAAAACAAATGGATAAATTGAATGGGTTAATAGTGGTTTTAAAAATGTCTACAAGATGTTCTGTCTGTGCTTTGAATGAAGTGTGAGGAGTACAGAATGGTAGTGCACAGATAAAACAGCAACATGTGTGTGGGGGCCGTGAGTTGGAGTTCAGAGTAAGAAGTGTGGACAATACCACGTATTAGGCATATATACTCTGCACCCGCTGGAGAATCCCTGGAATAGTGAGGAAGTCATTGGTTTTCCATCAGTTACTCGGGATGGAGGCTCATGTATCAAAGAAACAGTTGACTTCAAGAGGCTGAAAGATGTGGGGACATTAGATAACACATAATAGATTAATTTCAGCTAAATCTCATAAATGTGCACTCAGCTTTGGTGAGAGTTATAAATTACTGACATAGATCTTGTCAGCATAGAGAAAATGCAAAAAGCAAAGATGCACAATTCAATTTTGGGCCAAACCAGTGCAAAACTGAAGAGCCAAACCCTACCAGCTGTCTAAGTAAAGATGCCATCTGACGGGCTCTTACTTTTTACACTGGACCCTTGAAAAGAGAGAATCCCACTTCACTGCAGACTGAACATTGTTATTTGCTGTCGGTGCGTGAGGCCCCTGAGCGAATCATAAAAGGGGCACTAAGTCTGTTCGTGCAGGGGCCCAGATGGAGAACTGGGAATGTGGGAGTAGTGTTCCAAGCACACAGATGTTCTGCCTTCTCATAGTTCTCAGAAGGGCTATCCACTCAGACATAGCTCCTGTTTTCTCTGTTCTTTGAAGAGGCCCAGAGGATGAGTAGTATAATGGTGGTGCTGCGGCTACAGAAACATCTTACTTCTAGGCAGGTTAAAAAGCACAATGCTGCCAGGTGCATTGGCTCACGTCTGTAATCCCAGCACTTTGAGAGGCTGAGGTGGGAGGATCTCTTGAGGCCAGAAGTTCGAAACCAGTCTGAGCAACACAGCAGGACCCTGTCTCTACAAAAAACTAAAAAGTTCAAACTATTTAGAAGAAAGATTTAGTGTAACAAAGCACAAAAACATCCTTTCAGGATGTTTCCTTTCCCGGAGTCCTAAACTTGTATTTAAAATTTAGTTCAGCATTTGTTCTAATATTGAGTACAAACTGTGCTAAATTTAGTATAGACTGGATACTAATTTTCATAGTAATAAATTAGACTTAGGTGTGCACCTGGTCAATTTCTTTCTCTTCAACTGGACTGAACTTAGCCCTCAAGCCCTAATTTCTGCTGTTGGTAAATTTTTGTGGCAGTCAAGGTTCCTTCACTCAAACTGGTGATTACTTAGCACTTTTGGGTGTAAACACCGTCTATTTTGGGTGACTTCTCAGGCTATCAGGATGTGTTTTCTCTTCCTCTCTCACTTCTCCCCAGGGGCCATTTAAGTTCTGGGAATGTGTGCAGAAGGGTGGCAAGCAGGGTGTGGGTACCATCTTAGACTATTTGGTCTAGGACAGTGCTTTTCAAAGTGACGTCCGTGGCCAGCAACGTCAGAACTGCCCAAGAAATTGTTAGAAATGCAAATCCTCAGGCTCCACCCCAGACCCACTGAATCAGAAACTCTGGCTGAGGGGCCGAGTCATCTGTGCTTTAACAAGGCCTCCAGGTGATTATGCCTTTGAGAAGCACTGGTCTGAAGGCATCAGCAACCACCCACCTTGGTTTCTGAGGAGATGTACTGGCATTGCTGAGCTTTGGTTTTGTGGCTCCCAACTCATCCTGTCCATGGCTGGAATGTCTTCTCCTGCTCACCAGCCATCTCTGTGGTCATCCTGCTCCCTCCTTAGCCTGACCACAGTGCCTGGTTTCCCACCCTCTTGTGCCTGCTCAGAGCTTGGGATACTCTGGATGCTCTTTTCTAGCCACTTCGACTTTACTGCCTACGTTCCATGGCCAACACAGTTTCCCTAAAGGCTTGGATTCTTTCTACTATTGACTGGAACCTGGGTAATGCATCTTTTCTCTCAATTCCCCCCAACTACATGGAGTTTCAATTATCTTTACTTACCAGTAATTCATCTTAGGAGTGGACAGGGTGGTAGGTCAAGTTTTCAGGCCCCTGAGCCATTACTTATTACACATAGACTTTTTTTTGAGATGGAGTTCTTGCTCTGTCGCCCAGGCTGGAGTGCAGTGGCACGACCTCAGCTCACTGCCACCTCTGCCTCCCGAGTTCAAGTGATTCGCCTGCCTCAGCCTCCGTAGTATCTGGGATTAAAGGTGCCTGCCACCGTGCCCAGCTAATTTTTGTATTTTTAGTAGAGATGTGGTTTCACCATGTTAATCAGGCTGGTCTCGAACTCCTGAACTCAAGTGATCCACCTGCCTCGGTTTCCCAAAGTGCTGAAATTATAGGTGTGAGCCACCACACCTGGCCTACACATAGACTTCTAAACCTACCATTTTTGAAAAGACCCCTGCTTTTTTGTACAAATTATTTTTTTCTCTAAGAATGACCATGCTTGTCATTAAAGCCCCCTTAACTTGCAAGACTATTGACTTTTAACAAGTTTCAAAATCTGTTTTACATCTCAAAAACTTAACATTGATGGTTCTTTGCAAACCTGCCTTAGTCATTCTCATTTTCCTTAAAACCTCTGACTGAATAGAGGAAAATGAAGTAGAAGGATGTGTAGAAAAGCAAACACAGTTAAAATTTCAAGATATTATCATGCCACACCTGAATTGGAAACACTGTAACAGTTTCCCAAGTGTACTCCGATTCTAATCACCAAAATCATTCTACTACTAAAAAATTCTCATAAACTGTCCCTCTAACATGATTTTCCTCTTTGGGTTCTTTCAATAGGTGTCTCTTTTCAACTTCATGTGTAGATAATTCTTTAAAATTCGCATTTTCATACACATGTAAAATGCTTGAAAATGAATGAATGAATTCCAAAGCATCCCTGACCTGGTCTTGCCTCTTGTATTAAATCTTATTTCTAACATATTACTTACTCCACTTACACTCAGCCTAACTGACATCATAAAGAGACACATACTAAAACTGTAGAACGTTTGTTATAGAATTCCATCTTCTGGCGATGTATTCCCATTGGATCCCCATTTGTGGGCTCAGCCAGGCTCCAGGATCTAGCATCAATTTTCTCTTTGACAAGGAATATTTAAGCAACATCAGATCAAATGTCTGGACTCAGAACCAAATTACCCTGTGTCTCACCTGGCCCTGTTATAAATAAGGTTTCGACTTTACTCCCAGGAATTGCCCCTTGCCATATTCTCAGTTATTACTTGTTTAGTTTTCTTTTTAACTGAAATTTAACAGATACAGTACATATTTTAAACTGTCTTAATTCATTGAGATTGTTTTCATTTTCATGGGTTCTATGAAAGGATTTCCATTGCCATTTGCAAAATCAAAACTTCCTTCCACTTACTGCAGTATTACTACTATGCTATGACTCAGAATGTATTCCATTCATGAGGATTTCACAGGCCTGAAAGATTGAGCCCGCTTTAATAATTTATTCTGACACATTGGATTCAATAAAATAGTCATATCTAAATTCAGAGTAACTAATAATAATTTATGCACTTGCATAATGTAATATTTGGCTGAAAGGTTTTTTTCATTAAATGTGATATATAAAAGTTGAAATGACAGTTTCTACTTTATATTTCTAGTCTTATATTTCTAATATTTCATATTTCACTGTGACGTGAATATCTGAAACATAATGAAGGGAGCTATAATAATTCTTTAAATATTCCTCACCAGCAGACATAGTCATACTTCCTACAGTTTTGGTGTTCTGTTTGAAGACAAAATCATTTCGAACTCTTTTCCCAGGTATTATAGAGTATTTTATTGCAATGATGTGTCCTCTCTGTTCCATATCACCACCTCTCAATGCACTTCTGTAAGGAGATTGTGGCAATACAGAAGTGCTTCGTGATTATTTTGTGGTCTCTATGACTCCTTTTGAAACCCTCTTTTTCTCACTCCCTCTTTGTCCTGGCAGCCTTTCAGGTTGGAGAAAGATCCACTTGTTCAAAATTACCCATATAGCCATGCGTTGAATTAGTTATAGAGAAAGGATCTCTGTTAAAATTGAAGGGCTCCATGATAGCCACATTCTGGTCTCCCAGAGAGCTGCGTAGAAAACGAAAGACACAGACTAGCCAGGATTCTTTTAAAATAAAATTTATGAAATGCACATTCAACTATGCTTACCTAATATATTTCTATTATGGGCACCTAATTCTACTGAGTTGTTTTTTAAAATTTGAAATAAAAATATTACAATATCTAAAATATAAACAACTCAGATTTCATGTCGCAGAATAACTATTTTGAGTGTACATATTATTTTTGAGTATTTGTATCATTGGATTTGGAAAAGAATCAAGTCTTTTTTAAAGTATGTAAAATATTATACCTATAGGGAAGCTAATGTGAGTCCATTTTTAACCTACAATGATTTTTACAGCCAAATAATAGAGCTTTGAATAACAGAACTACTATAATTAACTCAGTTGTCAATGAAGGCAGTTTTTCCAGGGCGTCCATTCATACTTTTAAATATTTCTAAATACTCTAGACTTTTGTCATTACTATAGCATTATAGAAAAGAACACTTGCCTGGGCCTGAATCTTTTTGTTAATCCTCCATTTAAAAAACAATTAAAATTGTTTCTCTGATGGGTTTTAAGAAAATAGCAACATGTAACTAATATCGTGACAAGAACTTCTGGAGAAATTGGTGGCTTTTTATTTGCAAAACCAAAGCAAAATTATAACTCTTCTATGTCAACAAAAACCATTTCATTGTGTAGCATAAATTGCTGTCTGAGTCAGAGCAGCGTCTGACCCAAAGGCCTTTATATTTATTATTTCTGCTTTAAGAAAAAAAATACTACAGCAAAATAATTTACTTAAATTTAAAAGCAGCAATCACCACATTCAGTAGATTCACCAGTTCTAGAAAAACTCATTTAATCTTGTTAATTATAAATTACACTACACACAGGATTATTTGATAAGTTTTAGACTAATAGATTGATTTAATAAAAATGTCTTTATAAGGTAGACAAATACATCTTTCCCTTTCTTAGTTATTTTCTTTGTCTTGAAAAAGCAAATTGAGGTATTTATAGAAGTAAAGGGAAATATAAAAGTACAAAAGTATACAGATGCTCCTTGACTTATGGTGGGGTTACATCCCAATAAACCCATTCTATGTAGAAAATATTGTAAGTCAAAAATGCACTTAATACATCTAACCTTTTGAACATCATAACTTATCCTAGCCTACCTTAAAAGTGTTCAGAACACTTACATTAGTGAGCGGTTGGATAAAATCATCTAACACAAAGCTAATTTATTATAAAATAACATTGAATACTTTATGTAATTTATTAAATACTGTACTGAAAGTGAAAAACAGGATGATTGTGTGGATATTGGAAGTATGGTTTCTACTAAATGCATATCACTTTTGCACCATTGTAAATTCAAGAAACATCTAAGTCAAACTATCCTAAACCAGGGACTGTCTGTATTCTAAAAAGATTGTGATAATTTATATGAAAACTACCTAAGTCTTCAAGTCTTCTTTTTTTTTCTTGCTATGTTGCCCAGGCTGGCCTTGAATTCTTGGGCTCAAGCGATCCTCCTGCCTGAGCCTCCCAAAGTGCTGGAATTACAGGCATGAGCCACAGTGCTAGGCCTCAAGCCCACAAAGAAAACAAACAAAACAAAACCTAGCAGGCCTTGGTAAGATAAAGCCTTCTTCAGACTCTGCTGGCGAGAAAAACCTTGGCTGTTTCTAGCCTTACATTGCTCAGAAATGGGGCCGGAAAGGATTAGGTAAGGGAGATCACAAAGTAAGAATGTGCAGAAGGGGCCGGATGCAGTGGCTCACACCTGTAATCCCAGCATTTCGGGAGGCTGAGGCGGGTGGATCACGAGGTCAGGAGATCGAGACCATCCTGGCTAACACGGTGAAACCCCGTCTCTACTAAAAATACAAAAAATTAGCCGGGCGTGGTCGTGGGTGCCTGTAGTCCCAGCTGCTTAGGAGGCTGAGGCAGGAGAATGTCGTGAACCCGGGAGGCAAAGCTTGCAGTGAGCAGAGATCATGCCACTGCACTCCAGCCTGGGCAACAGAGAGAGACTCCATCTCAAAAAAAAAAGAATGTGCAGAGGGCAGAGCAGGAGCTTAGGATGCTAGTGCTGTGCCTCCTGACATACCACAACTCCGCTGTTTGACTCACAATACTGGGGAAGAGATCTGGTGACCACAGAATTGGTGGAAACCTGGGACAGGTGAGGAGAGCTTTCCAGGGAAGCTTCAGCAGGAGCCAGGAAAGCAGGAATGCACTCCCGACAAGGCAGAGAAGGCGGTGCTAAATGGAACAATACCATGAGCCTCTAATGGGGAAATAAGCAAGCAGTTCAAAACAAAGCAAGCAGTCCAGACTTCAAAAATAAATCTCTGCACACCAACTAAAAAAGCATTTCTGTTAAGTGAATGCAAGAACGTTTCACTTCACCCCAAATGTTTAGCGTCTTGTGAAAATCTGTTGATCAAAGGTCATGATCAGAAAAGAGCATGTAGTTTGGGTTCAGTATGTTCTTGAAAGAGAGAAAAGAGTCTGGTTCAAAGATTTGACCCTCAAAATTTTCCCCTTTCCTCTGATGTATGTGAATAGCAGGCTAAACAATGGTGGAAATAATTAGGTTGGTGGCAATTTTTCCATCTTTATGTTCTTAAAGGGCACATCAAATCTTTTTGCTCATACTAGACTTAAAAATATATTATTATTTTCTAACCAAACTCAAGGGTCACTGATCCTCATTTAATCTTTAAAGGACATGCTTACCACCATGAGGTCTTGTCTTTACTGCAAAGAGATTTTATGAAAAAAGACTGCATGGGGAGATTAATATTACTCCCTAAAGACCCCTGACAATTTTGCTATACTGATTTCTACCACATTATGAAGTCTATGTCTTCTGTGCAAGTTAGCTATGTAGCAGAATTTCCCAGATGTCAGATGGCAAATGAGTTCCCTTTGTGGCAAATTTTTACTAATTCACAAAATGTGCATTTCTGAAAAAGGCTTCGGCCGAAATCAACTGGTGCAAACTTGTGAGTCCCCTGCCAGTGGCCCCAAAAGCCCTAGTGGTCTTGCAATAAGATCCAGATCTCTGGCACCAAAGACTCAGGGCGCTGCCCCTCCCCACTACCACTCCCTCCCTCCTCAACAACCATTCCTCCTCCTGTCTGCCTAACATTTCCAGGAGCCTCATTCAACATGGATGGTCTAATTTCTGTGCTTTAAGTTTATCCAATATTGGTCACAGGCTTATTCTGAGCCAGTTACTGCCCAAGGCACTAAGAGTCTCAAAGTAAGTAAGAAACCAGCTCTGCTCTCGAAGAACTTAGGGTAAATAGAGGTAGTCAAACACTAACAGATGAGGGAAAGCTCTTCACAGGCAGGAAGGTGCCATGCAGCTCCAGAGCTTGTAGCTTCACCTAAGGATTCAATCAAGGCTTCCTGGTAGGGATGACCCTTCAACTAGTCTTGACAGATGAAGGCAAGTTGTCTATTTAAGGAAAAGTGGGAAGGGCTTTTCGGCCTAGGTTATAGTATGAATGAAGTCCTCAAGGGTTATAGCACTGCAATGTATGCCTCCAAAATTCCCATGTTGAAGCCTAAATCCCAATGTGACTGTATTTGGAGACAGTGTTTTTAGGGGGTAAGTATTTGTAAATTAGGTCATAAGGGTGGAGTCCTAATCCAATAGAATTTTAACTTTATAAGAAGAGACAGAGATCTACACCAATATATCATGATAAGGCCATGGAAGCACACAGAACAAAGGTCGCCATCTGTAAGCCAGCAGGAGGGCCCCCACCAGAACTCCATCGTGCTGGCACCCCATTCTCAGACTTCTAGCCTTCAGAACTGTGAGAAAAGAAATCTCTGTTAAGTCACCCAGTCAATGATCGTTTGCTCTGGCAGCCCATGAAGACTTAGATAAGTATCCTCATGCATTTTGGGTTACTTTAAAAACTACACTTGTTAGACTGTAAAGTTTGAGGCCTGCGGTGGGTAAAACAGTACTGGAGATTCAAGGAAGTAGGATAGGGGAAAAGAAGGGAACAGGGAATAGAAACATACACCGCTCCCAATAGAAGCTTTGGATAAGGGGAAAAGAAAAGCTTATTCCTAGGATTCTTGGAAGTATGTCATGAATTTCACATTTGCAGAGCCTGGGAGGTCAAGCCTCCAGTGAGCAGTGATCCTGCCACTGCACTTCAGCCTGGGCAACAGAAAGAGACCCTTTTAGCCATTCTTTTTTTTTTTTTTTGAGAGGGAGTCTCACTCTGTCGCCCAGGCTGGAGTGCGGAGTGCAGTGGTACAATCTCAGCTCACTGCAACATCCACCTCCCAGGCTCAAGGGATTCTCCTATTCTCCTGCCTCAACCTCCTGAGTAGCTGTGATTACAGGCATGTGCCACAACACCTGGCTAATTTTTGTATTTTTATTAGAGATGGGGTTTCGCCACGTTGGCCAGGCTGGTCTCGAACCCCTGACCTCAAGTGATCCACTGACCTTGGCCTCCCAAAGTGCTGGGATTACAGGTGTGAGCCACTGCACTCAGCCCTTTTTCCTCATCATTCTGCCTACTGTGTATGGAGGGGTTAATTTTACTCCCTTTGGCTGGCTGCCCACATTTAGTGGAATTCTGATTCACTTCTACCTTAGCTCTAAAGCACAAAGAAACGAGAATTTAGGAACAATTCTCTTGGCCTTCAACTTGTGACAGTAGCGTTCCTACAGCCACTGCAAACAATGACTACAGAGAATAAAACTAATGCTGAAAACTCAGAATAATTGGCATTATTAGGGTAATACAAATGCAACCACTTAAAAACTCCAATTTCTTGAAAAGAGAAATATGTATAGATGTATTAATGACAAAGTTTATGTAACCAGATTAATTATTAAAGACTAAGATATGGTAAAGGAAGTACAATTAATAAACAAGAGTCTTCTTATTGCTATTTTGATTAATAAACAAATAGTTATGAATATATCTTAATAATTATGAGATAACCACAAACAGAATTAAACACTGGATGTCTGTATTCTGAAGTAATGAGAAGACAAAGTAAACAAAACAGCCTACGGAAGAGAGGCCAAATGGTGAGCAAACAAAAAAGCAGACAACAGGCTGGGCACGGTGGCTCATGGCTGTAATCCCAGCACTTTGAGAGGCTGAGGTGGGTGAATAGATCGAGCCAAGGAGTTCAAGCCTAGCTTCAGCACCATGGCAAAACCCTGTCTCTACAAAGAATACAAAAATTAACCAGGCATGGTGGTGCCCACTTGTAGTCCCACCTACTCAGGAAGCTGAGGTGGGAGGATTGCTTAAGCCTGGGAGGTCAAGGCTGCAGTGAGCAGTGATCCTGCCACTGCACTTCAGCCTGGGCAACAGAAAGAGACGCTGTCTCAAAAAAAAAAAAAAAAAGAAAAGATATGTCAGGCCAACATAATTAATGAATATAGTTCATACTCTTCTATTAAAAAGGTGAAATGGGCTGGGCGTGGTGGCTCACGCCTGTAATCCCAGCACTTTGGGAGGCCGAGTCGGGCGGATCACGAGGTCAGGAGTTCAAGGCCAGCCTGATCAATATGGTGAAACCCCATCTCTACTAAAAATACAAAAATTAGCTGGGTGTGGTGGTGCACATCTGTAGTCCCAGTTACTTGGGAGGCTGAGGCAGGAGAATAGCTTGAACTCAGGAGGCGAAGGTCACAGTGAGCCAAGATCGCACCACTCTACTCCAGCCTGGGCAACAAAGTGAGACTCCGTCTCAAAAAAAAAAAAAGTGAAATGTATCAGATTGAATGAAAATAATCCAATAATTTATTATTTTTAAGAAACAGATTTAAATAACAATAAACAGATGTGAAAATTTACACAAATGGGACTAAAAAGGGTTATTATATGTTGACAAAATTATATAAACAGTAAAAGAAATAATACTGAATTTCTAAAGTTGAATAGTTTAAAATACATAAAATTATTAAGAACATAGGGAATAACATTTTAAACCTATAACCTTATCATTTATCTATCATCTGTCTATCATCTATATATACTGTTAAACATAGCAACATTCTCTGTATCTATAGAGATAGCTAGATGGAGACAGAGATAAAGAGATAGTTACACATGGCAAACATCTCTGTTTCTACATCTATGGCTATACTGAGTTGACAAAAACAATTTTGAAGAATTTGATCAAGGTAGAACTAATATAGATAAAAATTTATCCTCTACTCATATCTCAGGAGAAAATTATCCATGGGTGTCTTGCATTTCTGCACATCTTGCAAATACAGCCAATAGATGCCCTTGTTCCAGAATGTATTTTCTAGGATGTTTGTATAGACAATTACCTTGGAGTAAAGAGATAATGTGTCCCTCTGAAGGAAAGAGCTGGTTTGCTTATAGTCCAGGAAGATGGAGAGAGTGTCTCCCTCCAAAGCAAAGGTCAGACATGCTTGCAGCCCAGCACAATGAAGATATCTCCTTCCAGGAAAAAAGGGAGGCATGCCTACTGCCTTTTATAAAAGAATCAGATGCCCTAAGTTTAGGATTCCTCTCTTGTAATGCATCCATTCTGTGTGTTGGTGTCATCTCGCCCTCTTCACCCATCCTGTGTGAATTGGGGTATGGGGAACTGACACAAAAATGATGATACTCTAGCTACTGCTATTACTGTGAATAATAAAATACATTGTCTCTGACAATGTATTGTTCATCTTCCATACAACCATGAAAGGTAACTTTTTAAGTAGGGTAAAATCTCAACCTGTCATAGTTCTTGACATAACCAGTAACTTCCTTCATGTAAAATATGCAAGAAGCATGAATGAAAATTGGTATCAGACCCAAAACAGTCAGTAATCCAAATAAACTGAAATCATACACCACATTAACTGACAACAATTGAATGTAAAATATAAAGTTTTCTGTCACTGGAAACAAGACTTTACCACCTGAGAATGAAAACAAACCTGTTAAAGTGACTATTGGACTAAGGAAGAGATAAAAATAAACAAAACCATCAAAGCAAAATTGCTGCATAAAAGTTAATTCATAAGTACAAATATTTTTCTATATGTTTTAAAGAATGCAAACATACTAAATTTTAGAAAAAGAAAGTAAGACCAACATGGATTAAAAGAAGAATTAGATAACAAAATTAGTTAATAGTAAATTGTTTAAATTACCAAGTATTTAAAAAAATAGAATAAAAGCAAATGTCTAATAACATTATTAGCAAATATGAAATAAAAATATGTGATAAATACAATTAACAATGCTTTTAGAAATAGATGAAATGACAAATTCTTCCAAGGATATCAATTTTTTAAAAATGCCAACTCATTTCCAAACGATTTTTTTATATAGTGCTAAGCTCTATTTGTAAGATTTCCTTTGTGATTTTAAACATTTATATTCATCAAGTAGGATTTATTTCAGGAATGCAGAAAGAATCAATATTATATAGTTTATTATTATAATACCTTAAATTATTAGGTTACTTAAGAAAACATGATCATAATTTTTGAAATAAAGCCATCAGATAAAATTCAACAGTCACAATTTTGGGAAATACCAGTGGGTACAGAATCAACATGATTAAATTATTATTAATAATCAAGTTATTAATAATTAAAACATTTATTATTGATAATTAAAATATTTATTCACAATTACTTAAAATCAATATGATTTTAAAAATTCCTAATGATAAAACCCATGAGACCCTACCATTAAGTCTAGAAAAAGCTATTGCTTTTTCTAAATAGCATTTAACGTTCTTTTTCTGTTGTTTTTTTTGAGATGAGTTCTCACTCTGTCACCCAAGCAGTGGCACAATCTCGGCTCAATGCAACCTCTGCTTCCTGGGTTCAAGCAATTCTTCTGCCTCACTCTCCCAAGTAGCTGGGATTGCAGGTGTGCACCGTGCTAATTTTTGTATTTTTAGTTGAAATGGGTTTTCACCATGTTGGCCAGGCTGGTCTCGATCTCCTGACCTCAAGTGATCCACCCACCTCAGCCTCCCAAAGTGCTGGGATTACAGGCTCAAGCCACCATGCCCAGCCTCTAACATTCTTACTAGAAGGTTTTAGCCAATGTTGTAAGACATACAGAACTAACAGATATAAATACAAGACGAAAAATAGTAACTCATTTAGAGAAATTGCAAAATGTCATCCTATGGAAAATGCATACAATTATTTTATTTTTTACAAGAGGAAGATACAAAAGCAGTAGCATACTCATATGCAGATACTATAGCAAATGTGAAAATAAAATTATGTAAAAAACTCTTAGGGGTTATAACAAAATATAACATTCCAAGGATAAATTTTTATAAAAACACATTTAAGATGAATAAAATTACAAATATGTTGGAGAGATAGAAAATACTTAGATGAGAAGACTCAATATGTTATTAATTATTATAGAATTAATTTGTAGTTTCATGCCATTTAAATAAAATCAAATGTCATTTGTGATAATTTAACAAAATAATGCTAAACTTTTCCTGGAAGAATAATCAGGTGAGAATTACAAAATTTTTTTAAAACCATATCAGTAAGAGGAAAAAGAGGAAGTAAGTGAAAGTCTTCTCATACAGTAAATGCATCATGAAGCTGTAACAATTAAAATAGCTTGGAAGTGATGCAAACACAGAAAGACTGATCCATGACAGAAAAAGATGTTCCAAAATAGAGACTTAGTACATGACCACATCACAAATCAATGGCTAAGGGGAGAAATATTCAATGATTTTCCTTGGGACTCTTTGCTAGTAATTAACGGTGGGGTTGGAGGCAGAATTGACATTTAATCTTCATTTCACATCTTTCATTATTAATAATCTGAGATTGACAGGTAGTGTGTGTAAGAATGAAACCTTTGTCAGAGTTTTAGGGAGTTTTTTTGGCACAGCATAATTTAGCTTATATGAACTGATAATCATATTCCAATAAGACTTTTCTAGTGAAATTTAACTTAATTCATAAAATAAAAGTACAGATTTCAAATATCTTTATTTTAGATAGGTAACAAAGGGCTTCAGTGTCTTATGGAACTAGGGTGCAAAATCCTGTCCTGCCAGTAGGTGTCATCATCAACATTATGCAGTGCACGCCTAATGCCTCTCTTAAGTCCTAGCAAATGCTTGGACTTAAGACATTATGAGTTGGGTGCCAAAGAAATGAAAAGAAATAAGATAAGCGTTCCCATTTGCTAGGAGTTGACTCCAAGTAATAATAATTATTTTAAAGTTAGGCCAGGTGCAGCGGCTCACGCTGTAATCCCAGCACTTTGGGAGGCCGAGGTGGGTGGATCATTTAAGGTCAGGAGTTTGCAACCAATCTGATCAACATGGTGAAACCCCGTCTCTACTGAAAATACAAAAACATTAGCCGAGCGTAGTGGCACATGCCTGTAGTCCCAGCTACTCGGGAGGCTGAGGCAGGAGAATCGTTTGAACCCGGGTGGCAGAGGTTGCAGTAAGCCGAGATTGCACCACTGCACTCCAGCCTGGGCGACAGAGCAAGACTCCGTCTCAAAAAATAAATAAAATAAAATAAAATAAAGTTGGCTTCCTGTTTTCTCAGGCATATAATTTTGAAATTTTGTGCATTGATTTCCTTTAATATGGAAAATTTTAAATTAAAATTTAATGTCAATATTTGATTGTCACACTGAACTTGATAAATGACACAAGATTATGGAAGCCATCATTAAATCAGTTAAGTAATTCATGCATAGCATTTCATGCTTGTACTATCTGTACAAACACCTATAACCCCTTAACAATAACTTCTATTATAAATAAGTAGGCGAACATTGTTTACTCTCCTCCAAACAGTGCTTTAGGGGCCAATGAAAACCCACCAAAAGATGGCGCATACTTGTCCTTCAGCCTTCTTTGCTCCAAACATATCCACACTTGTGCCAAAGGCTCGTCAAGTTGCCAGTCTGGGTCTGTTATAGCAAATAAAAAGCAATAATGGTAAAACAAAAATGAAAAAGTAACGGTGTGAATGTGTCTATAATAAACAGCTGTGAGAGTGGGGCGTGGTGACACGAGCCTGTAATCTCAGCTACTCAGGATGCCTGAGGCAGGAGAATCACTTGAACCTGGGAGGCGAAGGTTGCAGTGAGCCGAGATAGCGCCACTGCACTCCAGCCTCGGTGACAGAGCAAGACTGCGTCTCAAAAAAAAAATAAAAGAAAAGAAAGTACACTCTACCCTGTAGGCATATTTCAGAATACAAATATGCCCTTTACTTTACAAAATTAGATATAGCCCTTGGAAACATTTCCTGAAGACCACTGCCTTACACCAGTTAATATCAACCATTTCTCTCTGAAAGCAAAATAGCCAAGAAGGCTTTCCTTCTCAAATACATGTTTTTCTTTTAACCTGATGTGGTTGTCTGAGGGCCTATTGGTGTTCTGTGGTGATAGATGCCATAAAACATTTGTTTTTTGGACTAATTGGATGACTTTGGTTCCCAGAGCTGTCGGCTACACAATTTTTACAAGTGGTATGTTCAAGTGAAAGAAAATTTCTAAAATTAAAGTTCTACAGAACAGAAAAACTAGACAAGTCTTAAAGGTCTGAAGAGTTTGTTCTAAACTGTGAGCACCTCCTAATGGCTGGTTCAAAGAGCAGGATTCCACCATACTCCCTTTAAGATTAGACATTTAAACAAAGCATAGAAAAAGTCAACAGTTCATAACTGAATTTTTTTTGTTTCTTCCTCCCCTCTACTCCCTATTTTTTCTTTCCTTGCTTATTTTTAAGACATTGTAAGCTGACTCAAAATAAATAGACCTTTTAAAAACTGCACCAAGTAAAGAGAACTAAGAAATTATATTAGCTAAGGGTTTCAAATCAAAGGAGGACAAAGATGAAAACTGTTTAGTGAAGAAGATTGTGGTCAAAAGCAAATATTTCTAAATGAAAACAGAAGTTAAGAAAATAATAGCTAGGGATACAAAGTATTTGTATGTTCAAAACTTTTTATAAAGATTTAAGAATTTTATTTCTGGAAAAAATATTAATTATGATATTGGTTATTTAAACACATGTGGGGGCACATATGTATTTTATTACCTAGATGGTAAAGATGATTAAACTTGTATTTTTAAAATATTAGCTTTTAAAAACTAAAAAACAGCAAATATATTATTTTGCCTTTGGTAATAATCCAATTATGCTGTATTGATTATAGGAGATGCTGTCAGTAATCCAAACTGCAGAACTTAGAGGGTGCAAAGGGATCTCTTAGAGGTTTGCAATGTGCAAGGAACTGGATTGACTTTGTGATTCTTAGAAATAAACGAACAAAAACATGTTCTACCAGGGAACATCTTTAAGATTTTAGTCAGCATCTTGAATTAACTTTTCTAGGATCTTCTGAACCAAATGAAGGATTTTTTGTTTATTGAGATCTTAGGATGTTGCTTTTCTTCAAGGAGAAGATATATGAACTTAACATCTCTTCACTGCTAGCGTTTGCCGGACACACAGAGTTTAAGAATCTCATTGGATCCTTCATGTGTCCAAGCTCCAGCTCACTATAGTGCTCCTTCCCTTCCACACTGTTGGTGACCCCATCGTTTCTTTTCTCATGCACTCTGTAGTCTGTGCCATAGCTGTGCTAAAGCCAGCTTGTCCTCCATATGGCTAAGGGTGAAAGAAAAAGATAGGCAGTATTGGTCTTGTACTTTTTTGTTATTCTCAGGTAAGTTCTTCAATTTGGACACAATCTTTAAAAAGTTACCTCTTTTTAAGAGAAGGTATTTGCTATGTAAATAAAAGTAGGCTTTTTTCCTCTGGTATGTTTACAAATGTGTTACTAGTAGGTGGTCAGCCTACCCAATTTTACTGTAAGGCAAAACTGGATATTCTAAGCAGTAGAGATGCATTTAATAAAACTAAGTATTTGGATGTAACTTCGGGTGAAATGGTGACTGATTTCTATGCATCTGTTCAATAGACCCTAATATCCTAATCTATTAAGTGAATCGTAGTATTTCAACTCCAAGCTTGAGAGCATCATGTGAATAAAATCTTCACAAATACCTATAAGGTGAAGTGATGGCACACCACTGAATAGCAAGATAACATTCAACCTCATGAGACTTCAAATGAATACAGAAGATTTATACTAAATGAGAGTGAAGAGCAATTAAATATTAAATTGCGATTTTCAACAGGAGGAGTGTTAGCAGGAAAAGTAGCAATGACCTTCCCTAAGAGGAACATGTCACAATATTTGGGATAAAGTATAATAAAAGCACTTATTGATCAACGTATATTTATAAAGTACACCTTCCAAATGAAAGATGCTATTTCTAGGACATGTTAGCAAATACATTATGACAACAACAACAACAAAATTGAAGATAATTCTACTAAATGCTTTAGTTACTGACGTGTTTCTATCCTATTTACTATAAATAGCAGGGTTGCACTACCAATATTATAAATTTATATTTCTTATTGTCTATTGAACACATACATTTTTTCATATTATGGAAATGGCTACTTCACTCTGGATAGATTCCGTTAGTGGGAATGGAGTGAACGCATTAGGGTGAAGGTACCTCCATAGACTGCTTCCACATAAAACCTTGGAAATCTGATTTCACATAACTGGTTTTTTTTTTTTTTTTTTTTTTTTTTTTGAGACGGAGACTTGCTCTGTCGCCAGACCGGAGTGCAGTGGCATGATCTCGGCTCACTGCAACCTTTGCCTCTTGGGTTCAAGCGATTCTCGTGCCTCAGCCTCTCGAGTAGCTGGCGTTACAGGCACGCACAACCACACCCAGCGAATTTGTGTATTTTTAGTAGAGACGGGGTTTCACCATGTTGGCCAGGATGGTCCTGATCTCCTGACCTCGTGATCCACCCATCTCGGTCTCCCAAAGTGCTGGGATTACAGGCATGAGCCACCGTGCCCAGCCCATGTAACTGTTATTATGTTATGCTGAGGATAAAGCATTTAGATTTTTTTTTTAAGCTGAAAACTATAGGGGCCCATACAAATAATTTGGGGTGAAGTAATTTGTGGAGACGACACTATTTCTCACAGGACATGAAGCACGGGAGGCCCATCATTAACTTCAGAAAGGGCCATGTCACAAAAGGAGTCCTAAGCTGAAAGCCTCTTATGATACTGATGTCTATCTCATCCTTGGGAAGAGGTAGATGACCAACTCAGACAAGAGAAAAGCGTTAGCAGTCATCCAGAAAATAATTTAGGGCTCCTGCTTCCCTTTTTATCAAGGAATAAATCACAGGTGACATCTTGTCACAGATAAGTAAGGTCAAGCCCCCCGCGGAGCACAGTGTGACTTGAGCCAGTCTCACCTGGGGAGGTTCTTTAAACACCTTTACAGGACAGGAACTAGTCCCATGGTGCAGATGGGAATGAGGCATCTGGTCTAAGTGAGGGAATAACAACCCCTGTTTCCTCAGAATGGGAGGAGACAGTGGTTAGAAGAAGTGTGGAGGAGAAGGTTCCTGGGAAGAAGCCTTAGGGACAATCTGTGACCTCTTGCTTCAAGCAAAAATGAGGCAGGGTAGGGTGCCTCATTAAAACCTGGTAGGAGTAGGGCCGGGAGCGGTGGCTCACGCCTGTAATCCCAGCACTTTGGGAGGCCGAGGCGGGCGGATCACGAGGTCAGGAGGCTGAGGCCACGGTGAAACCCCGTCTCTACTAAAAATACAAAAAAAGTAGCTGGGCACGGTGGTGGGCACCTGTAGTCCCAGCTACCTGGGAGGCTGAGGCAGGAGAATGGCGTGAACCCGGAAAGGGGAGCTTGCAGTGAGCCGAGATCGCGCCACTGCACTCCAGCCTGGGCGACAGAGCAAGACTCCTTTTCGAAAATAAAATAAAATAAAAATAAATAAATAAATAAATAAATAAAACCTGGTAGGACTAAATGAAATTCTGCATACTAAATAATATCCTCAAGAAAACCTCAAACATGAGACAAAAACAAACACTGCAAAAAAAAAAAAAGAGAAAGAGAAGAAACTCAGATAAAGCAGAAGCAGAAGAAAACTTTGAACAATATGTAGAGTTAGGAGAAGCTCTTACATTTATTAAATGAGAGCAAAGTTCTATAAAAAATAAATCAGAGAACATTAAAACCTCTTGGAAATCAAAAATATCATCTCAACAGAAAGGTAGGAAAAAAAGGTGAAGAAACTCTCCAATTTTTTTTTATTTTAGAGAAAAAGGGAAAGAGAGGGAGAAAGGGAAAGAAGAAGAGAAAGAGGGAGGAAGAGAAAAAAGAAAGATCAAAAAATTAAAAATCAATACTCCGGAAAGTTCTGCATCCAAAAAAACGGGTTCAGAAAATGAGGCAATAAAATTAAGAAAGCCAACTTACATCTTCTTCAGTTAAAGCTTATACTATCCCATTTATTTTCAGTCAAATAGTGCTTATTTTTGACTGAAAAAGACTGTAAAGTACAAAAACCATTTCATATCATTTCCATCCTTATAAAAACAAGTTGAGAAGTATAAATAGGTATTTCACATTTGTTGAAGTAGCAATTTTAGAACTGAGGATAACCCCACACATCCCCAGCAAGCATCTCATGAGAAGCTGCTCTCCCTCATCAAGAACTGTGCAAATCTAGGGACAGTACAGGGTGAACTGGCCTGGATGAACTGTTACATATCAGGTACTCCCTTTGTGTGGAGCTTCCTATCAGTTCTGGATACCGAAAGACTTGTCCCCACCCTCCTGTCCAAATCCATGTCCTATTTTCCTGTATGACTCACTCCTAAATCTGGGCAAGTATTTATTGAGCAATTGCTACGATTATGACCTTCCCCAGATCCTATCGTTTGACCATAGTCCACGCTGTATCCACATCATGAGCCCCTTCTGCTGACAGAATACAAACCTCAAGTGCTTTAGTCCTTCCTGATGTCCACTTGTGACCTTTATCCCTGTCTCTCACCTCCTTTCCCTCACAGCACTGACCAGCAGGCTCCTCAAAGCCCTCTTCCCTCAATTTGAGACAGCCTGTGTCCTGGCCTGCAAGACTTGGAAATTTCACATGGCTTGGATAAACTGGTCTTGGAATGCAAATGCACTTTTATTATTGGCTCTAGTAAATACTTTACAAATGAGACTATCCCCATCTCTTGCAGACAGGTCTTTAAAAACCTTTCTCAAGGATGAGTCAAAATAATAGACCTCCCAGAGATCATGCTTATCTGTGATAATCACTCAGCTCTTTTTAGTTACTATGTAAAAAATGGGTCAGAGTGACATACATTGTAAATTCTGTAATAAATAGGAATATTGTTGATATTTTACATTCCCTGTTTAAAAGGAAAACTCAGACCATATCTGCCCAGCTGGTACTGGAATATAAGGATGGGTAAGCATAATCTATGAATGTTTATGATGCATTTAACAATATAATTTTCTCAAATATCTGTGAATGTTGCCTTTGTAATGAGAAAGATAACTTATTTTTAAAATTTATGA
The DNA here is from genome assembly GCF_000001405.40 of Homo sapiens. Classification (NCBI taxonomy): domain Eukaryota; kingdom Metazoa; phylum Chordata; class Mammalia; order Primates; family Hominidae; genus Homo; species Homo sapiens. The sequence continues at coordinate 28,183,185 of NC_000018.10, read as the reverse complement.
ATAAGTGGGAAAAAGGATAAAAAAATTAATAAGCACTTGGCTTGTTGATTATACATCATTAAAATGTGACTTAACATTAGACACCAATCATTCCTCTTATAGTTGAATCCACAGCCTTAAAGAATAACATGTACTTATGTAGAACCTCTCTATGAAGAACTAAGTGGATTTTACTGACATTGTTTTCTTAGTCCTCTCAGCATTCTTATGAGAATAGTGGCATTATTTCTGTTCTATGGATTAGAAAACATTTAGAGAAATTAAGTGTCACACGTAAGATTATTCAGTCAGCCATAGACCTGGGAAGAGAAAACTGGTCTCCTGAACCCAAGCCAATACTTTATCCATTGCCTCAATTTTCACTGGAGGAAAGGGCACAATCAAATATAAGTTCAGATAGTAAATATGTTTTGCTATCCTCTAAATACTGACAGTTGTGTTTCAGAACTTTCCTGAAGACAGATCGTTGCTTTTAAAAGGACATGAAGGCAAAAGTTTGGCACCAAGAGTTACCAAAGTCTTCAGCATGATTTGTTTTATTTTCTCAAGATTTGTTTATCTTGTGAAATAGGCTTTCTGTATTTTAAGTGATCCAAAGTGCTGGTATTCCGCTGTAAGTATCCATGCTTCTGGTGCAGAAGGTAGATTTCTTGGATATCATGGAAATCTTATTTTCTCAAATATAGCTGATCTTTAAACAAGACTCATGAAATCAACTATGCAAACCCGACTCTGGGAGCACACAGGCAGAAAGCATTCAAGAAACCATAAAAGCCAGGAAAGGTCCTAAGCAAAATGGAGTTTTAGCCCTGGTCTCGGTATTATCAATTTATGAGTTAATTCAAATATGAATTCATTCTCCTACACCAAATCAATACATTAATACTGATTATATTGTTTCCTGTGAATACTTTGTCTAGACTTATTTTTCTGCACATTACAAAGCCACCAAATTTTTATTTCTTTTACCAGTCTGTAGATTATTTACTTAGCCATTGCTTTTTTACATTAGAGGTTTTGTGTTGTTTTGTAAAATTTGAACCTCCCAAATAAAATTTTGATTAAAAGCACTTTTTTTAATTGCAGACAGCAACTGGGAGAGGTGAAAGGGTGTTCCCTCAGATTCTTAAGTAACTGTGCTCTGAATCCTCTGTGGAAATCAGCATACCTAATACACTATAGATAAAATGCTAAGGCCCTACTGTGCTCTATTGTGTTCCCATCAGACTTTATAAAGAAATACTGCATTTTCGAGATAAAAGAGCCTTAGACATGTTAAGAAATTTACTCAAGGTCATAGAGCTAGGTCTACTTGAATTTATAGCCATATCTGTTTATTATACTATACCCCTCTACATTCCAGAGTCAGAATGGGATTCTTTTTCTGTTTGTTTGTTTGGTGGGGTTCCTTGTAATTCAGGGCCTGCTTATGAATTACTCGCCTCTGTTGAGTTGCTCATCTGGCAACTTTATAACTCACTTATGTGACCATACATACTTCAAGTTACTTCTTTGGTTATATTTTCCATGAAAATGTTGATTTTGATTTTCAAATACTGAAAAACAATAGGTAAATAATATCTTCAAACAAGAGTAGATTTTTTTAAAATAACCAGGTTTTTCTTCTAATATTGGATCAGATCACTACTTCTCTGAGCACCAGATGAATGGCTATCTTGTGTTTAGCAGCCAGGTTGTATCAAATATATGGATCTTTAAATGCCAAAATCATAATAAATAACACAAGATAATCACACTAAGAAAAGCATATGAAAACTGAGAGCAGTGAAGAGTTATGTCCTCAATTTCACACATACTTTGAAGAACAAAAAACTTGAGAAAAATAGTAGACTAATCCCTAGCATCATTATATTTTCTTCTTTAAAAAGAAAAATCTCCCTTTCATCCCATATAGTTGAATTTTTCAATGTTAAAGGAACTTCCCAGAATAAGATAGAGAGCATAGGTAAGAGTGGGAGTAAGGGGACCTGGGTCCCATTCTGCATTCCCTACTTTCCAGCTGGTGGCCTTGTGTACCTTTTTAAGTCTCAGGGTGTCCCATCTGTAAAATGAAGGGGTTGCAGAGACCATCTTTAATGTTTCATTTAGAACATTCTATGACTCTATGAAAGGGATATTACCCAGGGAAAGTCAGCTTTAATGTACACTAAAGCTAATTATGGAGAAAATGTAATTTGAGGGGTACTTTCTAAGGGAGAGGGACAATCCTAGTTTGCTCTGAAGATGGGGAGAGGAGGAAGAGTGGAGAAGGGGGTCTTCATTCAACATTGGGAAGGACACTGCGCTAGGTGTCAGAGACAAAGACAAGTGTAGGGCCTGTCTTTGCGGTGTGTATCTATAGGGGGTAGGGAAGGGGAGGTGGGGGAGAGGAGGCTCTAGATTAGACTACTACTGCTGAGCATTTATGTCCAAAGCAAGAACCCTTGTACACAAACACCCACATGGTGAATTTGTACATTTAGCATCTCCTGCCTGACAAAACACACCAGAACAAAAATTATTACGATTTTCGAAATGAATGCTTAGAAACAAATCATGATCTCTACACACATATAAAAACTACACATATATAAAAATGAATGCTTAGAAATGAATCATCGTGACCTCTACATATATATAAAAACGGGCCATGTGTTCAGAGCACATCATTTAATCAGGTTTCCATAACGGTTTGCAGACCTCTTATAGTCAACAGGCATCACTCCATAGGTCAGAAATGAAGGATTAGGTTGATTTTTGATGTGTGAATGCAGTCATGTTTTATATTATTCTATATTTTTTTCTTGTCTCCATCCATCCAACCCCTAATAACACCTGGTTGTTTCTCTGGGTCACTGACAATCCCCTACATCCCTGGAGTTCTACAGGCTGATGGAAAACCAGTCTTCAGACAAGTAATGCTTTGAGCAGGGGCTAAAAATCTGCGAGTTTGGTCATCAGTTGCCCAGGACAGTGAATGGCCCCGTTAGCTAATCTTAGGTATGGTATTACTGAGGTAAAGCTGTGTTTGGATATCATAGTCAACACCAGATCTACTTTCATTAACATCAAATGGATGCACAAAGTCTCCAACAGCATGATTTTAGACTAGACTATTCCTTCTTGTAATCAGAGGCCTATTATTTATTATTAGCAAGATTTGGCTGACCAGGTGATCAACTTAAAGTGAGGCAAGATGCTAAAACAATTCACAACCACTGAAGAGTGAGAGGCATGCAAATTGGACTTTTAAAACATGCTGCAAGTGCTTACTTAAAGGATCAAAAACTGTTGGAATCAGAGAATTCCTTGACTGACAGCCATTCCAAAGGAGATTTTGAAATCATAAGTGCTTAATTTATAAAGGACATGTTTAAAGCTTCAAGTAAATACTACTAACAAGAAATAGAGTTATTCATGTTGAAATTTGTTCCACCTTTAAATTAATCAGAATGGCAATAAACATCAATGGGTACTGCTAGGAGTGATGAGGATACAGTCGAAACCCCACGACGAGGGTCGAAGCTTAAATCTTAGCCATGGAGATGAGATCTCTACATCTCACTCTGGAATACAACAAACATATCCCCATATCTCAACTGAATTTTTACTATTATTTTGCATGACTCCCAGAAAGCATAATTTATAAATACTCTATTGCAAAGATAACTTTTAGGCGGACTAGCAATAGTGTGACAATAATATCTAGCAAAAAAAGAAGAGAAAGGGTAAGAACAAGCACTTCTGATTACTATATTAAGTGTTTCATCTCATCTTTTAAATTTAATTAACATAACCTTTCTTATTCTTTTGAAAAGAAAGAAAATCCAGGAAAAATTTTGTTTCATAAAAAACTTACAATATTATGTTTTAATTAAAATTGAATAAGCCTCCCTATGAATATTAAATTTTTAAAAGCCTAGCCAGCAACAGTACATTATTAAAAGCTGTATCAGTTATGTCAAGAAATTAGTAGCTGGTTTTTAAAGGTTCATCATCAGATTCTTAAATGATCGGTATCTTGAAACTCAAATAAAGTTAATATTTCAGTCACCCAAAGCAGAAAAGCAAGCAATAAAGGCAGAAAATATTCATTAACTGCAATGAAGTTCACCGATCTCCCAAGTGTTGAAAAGCTTACATAAAACGGATATTTCTATTTACTTGTAAACCTTTCTTAAAAAAGGTTCCGGAAAATTTATTACCTCACCAGAATTAGAAAAAACAAAAACTGCTCCCCATCCCCCGCTCCATTCCACAAATGCTTGTGACTCAAACTTGTAAAGTCTCTCACTGTGTTGCACTTGAAGTTCATGCCTTAAAGGAAGCCAGCAGAAATCCTTTACGTGGTGAGAATTCTGTATCAGTCATTTTATCTTTTATATAATCCTATTTTCTCAAGTTCCGGCTTTTAGTTTCTCTCTTTTTTAAAAATTGTTGTTAGGGGTGGTAGGAGAGGGTAAAAGTACCCTGAAACTGTTGGCCCCAAATGTGAACAGTACCACTAACAGGTAGTAATAGAAATAGAAAACGGGAGATTTCAAATAAAATAACAAACATGCACTCTCAAACTCCCAGAGGGGACAAAAGAAAACAAAACAAGAACACAAAAACTTGGGCTGTTCCAGTACATCCTCAAGGGTGGGAGCTGAAGGTGCGAGCTCCAGAGAGGAGCCGCGGCCTCCGCCCTCCCCCGCCCGCAGGTGGCTCCCGGCGAGCGCCTCAGACAACAATAGCTAGGATGAGCTTGGCCTGCGTCCTTAGTTTGCTGTGTCTGCCCCTGCCAGGAAAGATTACCCATCTCCAAAGAATGACAAAATAAAGAAGCGTACGTTAGGCTCCCAAGGAGACACCGCCCCCCCTTCCCCACCATTCTTCATCTCCATTAGATTCCCTACCGCGGACCAAAGATGAACCTGCTACCAATCAAGTTCCTGCCCAAGTTATTTTATTTCCCGCAGCCCCTCCACCTGCCGGGGCGGTGCTCGGCGCACTCTAGGCTTCCCTCCGGCGACCCCCCGCGGGCTGCAGCAAAATACGGGGCGCTTCGGCGGGGCGGGGGCGGGCGGCTGCCGCGGATCCGGCCGGCTACAGCCGCAGCTTGGTGGCCTCCGATTGGCCACGACGCGGGCGGGGAGGCTCGGCGGAGGAGGGAGGCGGGGGCGAGGGCGGCGGCGGCGGCGGGAGGAATAGGAGAGGGGAGCGGGCCGCGCAGCCAGGCAGCGCGTGGGGCGAGCGCGGGGAGAGCGGCGGCGGCTCGCCCAGGTCGCGCAGCGGAGGCCGAGCGGGGTGCGCGGTCGGCGACGGAGGGCGGCGCGCGCGAGTGAGCGGCGCAGGGCGAGGACCGGCGGGCGGGTGCCGGTGCGCGGGCAGCAGGGGCGGCTGCGGCAGCAGCTGCGCGGGACGGAGCCGCGGCGGGAGAGACCGCGCCGGCCCCTCGCCTCACCCCCTTGCGGCCGAGGCCGGAGAACAGTCTCCAACTCGCCGGGGGACCGGAAAGAGGAGCCGAGAAGCGCCCCTCGGCCCCCACGCAGCGGAGGCGCGGAGTGGCGGGACTGCTGCTCTTTGTGGGTGCAGCACGCACGACCCGGAGCGCCCTCCCCGCGGCGCTGTCCCCGGCGTCTTCGTCGCGCCGAGCGGCCCTGGAGCGGGGACCCGGAGGAAGCAAAACCACGAGCCCGAAACCTCGCGTGGCGGAGCTCTTGGGGAGCGCCATCCGCTCCACTTCCACCTCCACATCCTCCACCGGCCAAGGTCCCCGCCGCTGCATCCCTCGCGGCTTCCGCTGCGCTCCGGGCCGGAGCCGAGCCGCCTGCGCTGCCACAGCAGCCGCCTCCACACACTCGCAGACGCTCACACGCTCTCCCTCCCTGTTCCCCCGCCCCCTCCCCAGCTCCTTGATCTCTGGGTCTGTTTTATTACTCCTGGTGCGAGTCCCGCGGACTCCGCGGCCCGCTATTTGTCATCAGCTCGCTCTCCATTGGCGGGGAGCGGAGAGCAGCGAAGAAGGGGGTGGGGAGGGGAGGGGAAGGGAAGGGGGTGGAAACTGCCTGGAGCCGTTTCTCCGCGCCGCTGTTGGTGCTGCCGCTGCCTCCTCCTCCTCCGCCGCCGCCGCCGCCGCCGCCGCCTCCTCCGGCTCTTCGCTCGGCCCCTCTCCGCCTCCATGTGCCGGATAGCGGGAGCGCTGCGGACCCTGCTGCCGCTGCTGGCGGCCCTGCTTCAGGTACGCGGCGGTCCCCGCGGGCCGGGCCACGGGCGGGGTGGGGCGGGCGGCGCCGGGTCCCTTTGTTCCCCGCGCCGCTGCGGGGCCGGGCTGCGCACCCGGGAAGGGAGGTGCCACGCCGCGCCGCGCCGCGCCGCGCGGCCGGTAGCTGCGCAGGCATCGGGCTCCGTCCGGGCGCCGGGGCAGGGTTGCCGGGGCCAGTAGGTCTCTCGCGCCTTTCCTGGCGGGGCTCTAGGGGCTGGATTGCGGGTCCCCTCTGCTCCTTCTTCGGGGCCGAGCAAGCTCGCGGGGGGTGTCCCCAGGCAGCAGGAGGGTGAGGCAGGATAACTCCCAGGTTTTGCAGTTTTCTGTGCCTTTCGCCCCTCGCATAGTACTTTGCTCCAATTTTTTTGTTTATTTCTGCAGGGATGGGTCGCGAGTTTACAGTAGGAATTCTCACTCTGGTGTCTTAGTTACGGGACTTGCCTCCACCTTACCCCACCCTGCACCCGTGCGCCTCCCGGTGCTCAAGGGCTCTACTGTCCTATTGTCTTTATCCCAGTCTGGAGTTGCCTCCTTTTCTTCTTCTCTTGCCCTCACAATATTCTGTGTTCGTCCCACCTGGAAAGAAAATCTGGCCCTCTTGCCCGGAGGAGTCTCTGCCGGTCAGCGCCTGCCTGTAGAACGAGTCTGGCCTCTCACGCCTAGTATCTCCCCCGGGCGAGAAGTTCCGTTACGCGGCTGCTCCTTTCTCTGTCCGGCTGCCTGTGCCCTATATGCGCCCCGGGGGCGCCTTTGCCTGGAGCCTTCCGTACTTTTCATACCCTCGGGAGAGAGCCAGCGAGCCTTTTCATTTAATCTCTACTAAGAGGCTCCTCCGCGGCAGGAAGCACCTGCTCCAGTCCGGGCGCAGGTTCCCTCGCCACTGCACGCTGCGGGTTCCCAGCCCGGGGGCAGCCCAACTTTCCGCCGCCTCCAACCCGAGGATGCCCCCAGGCTCCTCCCGACCAGCCAGCCCAGGCCTGGAGGCCACTTCACACAGCCTCGGCCGGGACCCTCTAGCTGGGCGGGTGCAGTGCCCTGGTCCCAAGTCGGTCTCCGCCTGCCGTGGGGTCCCTCGAAGGTTGCGGGAAAGGGGCGTGCCCACCCTCGCCGCGGGGCAGGAAAATCCACGGAGGGTCCCCCTGCCTGTCGCCCTCGGGGCAAGGGGAGAGGTGCTCTACTGCCAGCTGGCAGCCCCGAAAAGTGCGGACGCAGCTCGGAAGTGCCTGCTCCGGGGGTGGAGACAGGTGGTGTGGATTACCCCGCTCCGTGGTCTTCACGGGTCAGGGCCTGGCGCGCTCCGGCCCGCCGGGGGGTGAGTGCTGCTGGGGCGGGGGCAGGGGCTGGACGGGGCTGGCCTCCGCAGTCTCTCGCGCTTTCTCCCGCAACCCCTAGACGGTCGTGGGCCGCCGCCGCGCGGAGCCCTGTCCATGGTGCGCCATGGTGCGGCACGCCTGTCCCTGCCCGGCTCCACGCTCTCCTCCCGGGTCGTGCTCTCTCACTTTGTCTCTCCCCACCCCTGCCTCCCAGGCCAGGGTCCCAGCGTTCCTTTTCCCTTTCTTGGATTTCTTCTTTTGTTCTTTAGTCTCCTACCGGTCTTTCTCCCTTCCCCCACTCGCCATCCGCCACTCGGCTCTCTCCTGACTCGGGGATTTCAGAACTATTAGACTAGACATTTTTGGCCTTTGCAGTTTTGGAGAGTGGATGGAATTCCTTCTAACTTGGGGGAGGAGACCTGCCAGTCACTTGCTAACAAAAGTACCTCCTGTTATAAAACCGCCCTTTATTCTCCCAGCGCACACTCCTCATTCTTTGACCTCCTGTCACTTCATTTATTGTTTCTTCTTTAAAAATGGGGTTTATTAAAGAGGTTAGGCTGAAGGAGGAAGAAGGAAAAAAGTCCTGCTTCTAAAGTATTTGAAGTTAAATGGAAGGCAAGACAAACTTAAAGACTCCTGTGTATTAGGATTTTTTTTTAACAAAGGAGATGTGATACATTTTTTACAAATCTTACTTTAAAAACACTAATTTTTGGACAGCATTGGGTCGTCTTATTTACAGACAGTAAATCCTCAGTGTGAATCCAGCAGCAGATGGTTATTTTCACAAACTTTTTCATCTAAAAGTGAGTTTTAATTGAATACTGTGCAGCGAAGTTAGGACACGAAGAGACATTTGTTGGTCATGAATACTGTGGGAAATCTATGTGTGTTACAAGTGGAGCACTCTCATTTTCTGTTTTAGTCATCTGCCTTGAAGTCAGGTGTGAATTTTCTGTCAGTTTTTTCTTAAGTGTTTCTAAAAATATCGTTTATAAGCATTAAATAATGTGCTTTTCCATTGTATGTTCTTTCTCAGTTTCTTCTATACCAATGTTGACTTTTTTAAACCTTCAGGAAAGGAGAAATTATAACTTTCTCATCAAGTTATTTGGCAGTCCTCTAATTCATGAGTACAAGTCAAGCAGTAACATTGAATGATTTGAAAGGTCATTAGGAGTGGAAGCAGAGCAGTTTACGCAACATGAGTTTTAGGGTTAAGTGCACCATGTGGATTGTACAACTGAGATTAGAAATGACTTTGTGCTAATGGTCTGCTTTACACGCCCGAACAACAAAGCTCTATCTGCAAGGTGAAAGTGGCTGTCCTGCAGTCAGCTGCTATTAACAGTCTAGGTTTTTTTTTTCTTTTTTTTTTAAATTCCAGACTAAGCAGCCGATAGTTTTAGAAAAGAGAATATGTAGGTTATTAGTGCAGATACGGAGCACCCTTGTTTTTTTACAAGCTAAATATAATTGAATATTCAAAGGACTCTGTGCCTTGAATTGTTAACTGAAGTGTCTGTGTACCTTATTTTACTTAGAGAAATTACTAGTTTAGTTAGTCTTGTTATGTAGATTTACATAATTCTAGTCAATCTTGCATGTTATGATGTTCAACATCAAGATTTTCTTTAGTCTTATTTTAAGATGTTAGCCTTTTTTATATTAAAAAATCCGAATTTGAGCATTCAGCTTACCTGATAAAAGTATAAAATATTATATCACAAAGTTATAACTAGCTTTCCTTTTAAATAATACAAGTGACTTTCAAATCTTTACATAGGTTTATTGTTAAGAAAAAAAATCAATGTTGCTTTTACCATTGACCTAGTTAATTAATATATTAGAAACCTGTGTTGTTTTTCTAGTTCACATCTTAATTGCATAACCCCATTGTTCTAATTTAAATACGTTTGTATGGGTTATGGGGCATCTAGGACAGTATTTTAATGTTCATAGAAATTCATTTCTAAGACTTAACAGATCCTGGTTTCAACCCTGCGTGAGGACCTTGGAAAAACGATGGATAAACCTTATGTGTTTTTCACCTATTAGGTACAGATTTTAAAGAAATTAATATTCAACATATGAAGTATACATAAAAAGAAGCAGCTTTGTTCTAGAATGTGGCAAGGATTCAGCAGTGATTTTAAGTGTAAATCGTGTTTATTCTCAGTATTTATTTGATTTTCATGTGCTTTTGAAACATAAGTTCTTGTGAAAATAAGAAGAGTTAACTTGGTGTTCAGAGTTTACTTACTAGACACAGTTATGTATATTTCTTTGCTTTTCTTAACTTGAGGCATGCGGTCATTACTAATAGGTGAAAGGTTACAAACATACTAGGTGTAATTTGAAAAACAGTATTTTATGTATCCTCACTTGTTTTTAAAACACTATATATTAAACCATAGGTACTTTCTGACTTTTATACTTTCATCAAAGTCTGCCCTAACCTTCTAAAAGTTCAGACTGAGATTTTACAAGGAAATACTTTTTAGATATTTCTTGCTTTTTACATGTAGAGACTAAAATCTTTCTGGAGCAGATTATTTTCATGATGGTATAGAGCACCAAACTGTCCTTAATTTTCTTTTTCATTAACAATTTCAATTCTTAAATCTGTTGTGCCTCATTAAGCTTTAGGGTTATTAATAGGGAAATGTCAAGACTTAAAGCAACAGTTAATCTTGCTTTAAATCCTATTTTTTTTAATCCTAAGTGATTAAAATCCCCATCTTCTTTTCAAGGGGTTATTATGAAGTTAGAAGAGTGATTTTTAAAAATCAGAGCTGTTATTTAAGAAGTGTTGTGTTCGTATATACACTACCATTTTTCCCAGGTTAACATTCAGATTTGTTCTTTTGGCTCAAATACAAAAAAGTAATCAAGTTTAGGCACTGCTTAGATTTGGTGGTGGTTTTTGTCAGCCATTTAAAAATGTGATAGATTTTTAAATTTGGATTTTGTCATCTGAATAAGTATTTCGCTCTGACAGCAGTATACTTGCTAGAACCTAAGTATTTTCAAGTTAAGAGTTTTAAGTTGAAACATAATTGGTACCAACAAATCACTGTGTCTCACATTTCTGTTTTTTTCTACTAAAATTTTATTTTTATTTTAATTTTTCAGAAAAAGACATCAGTTAATTTGAGCAGATGCTAGTCTTTGTATTTAACTAAATACATGTAAGTTTTAATTAAACAACCTTATCCATGCCAAGGAAGAGGTATATACATATTAATGTTTTAGTAAGAGCTATATCTTCTGCATGTATGAAGTGATAGGTCTAAAGTAGGCAGAACAAGGTGAATTCACAAGCTAAATGGGACTTTTTGAAAGATGTAGATTTAAACATTATGATTTATGTTATAATAGTCTCTTTAAGGAAAATTTAGATTAAATTCTGCTTAGATTTTTATTCCTTGTCGCTCACTCTTTGGTACTCAGTGCACTTCCTCATCTGCTTCCAACTGTACTTACAGCCCCCAAGCCCTTGGATTGCATACACACACGCACACACACACACACACACACACACACCCCAAATGTATGTTGAGGACTGCTATATACATATGAGTCTCCTGCAACACTGAGTACAGTCTGATATGAAGTGTCAATCAATAATTGATTGATTACTTTATGTCATGAAAGGTGGTTTAGGCACCAACAGTATAATAACTGATCTGTGTAAGTGAATGCCCTTGTGTAGTGTCAAGGGCAAGAGCTAGTGTCCAGGGCAGGAAGCATGGGGTTCTGATTTCGTCCAGATGTAGTCTACTCTCTTAAAGTCCCGTGACCTCATTTTCCTCAACAATAAAATCTTGGGCCTAGTTGGATTAGTTGATCTCTAAGAGACTGTCCAGTTGCATGATTCCTGGGGCTACTTAAAAAATATCTCAAACACATCTCCTTTTCGAAGGTTGTGGAAAGGCTTTTTTCAGCCGAAAATGTAAGAATTTTCAGATACTTGGAGTGATAGAATGTGAGTTTTGAAGATTTATTAACCGTAGTTTATCGTGATAGGTTTAAAGTCATCTATATTTTTTATATGCCTGAATTTTAAACTTAAAATTTTCTTCATTGGCTGTGCTACCTTTGCCAGTAAAAGTAAACAATTTTGGGGAGGGGTTTAGGCTTAAAGGAAGGTAAGTGTAATATTACTGAGAATAAAAATTATTTTTAGGCTTAAAATGAAGGTAAGTGTAATATTACTGAGAAAATTTTTTTTATTAGTTTTATGAGCTCATGTTTCTTTGAGAGAAGATAGCCTTCAGGAGAGCCATTGAATTGAGTGATAGGGGGTCAACATTAAAAATATAAGTGGGTCAGCATTAAAAATACAGCTCTAGCCCTTTGTCAAGTTTTCCTCTAGCTTTTTTTTTTTTTTTTTTAAAGACAGTCTCGCTCTGTCAGGCTGGAGTGCAGTGGCACAGTCTTGGCTCAACTACATCCTCCGTCTCCCGGGCTCAAGGAATTCTCCTGCCTCAGCCTCCTGTGTAGCTGGGATTACGTGTGCCACCATGCCCAGCTAATTTTTGTATATTTAGTAGAGATGAGGTTTCACCATGTTGGCAAGGCTGGTCTCGACTCGAACTCCTGACTTCAGGGAATCCGCCTGCCTCGGCCTCCCGAAGTGCTCGGATTACAGACACGAGCCACTGCTCCTGGCCTCCTCTAGTTTTTTTTTTTTTTTGGTACAGGTATGCATGTATTTATGACAAACACATGGTATAGATACATATACGAAGATATTTATTGAAGCATTGCTTATGATTACGAAAGATTGGATTATTTGATCTCTAAAAGTCCATGAGTAAGAAATGATTTAAGAAATTATGGCATAATGTTAAGCTAAATTTAATAACCCCTGCTGTAGGGAACAAAACATTTTCTACTAGTTCAGGTTCAAGAAAGCGATTGTTAAGCCACCTCATGTTTTGGGAATAGTCATGAACCTAAAAAAGCTACAGAGGGCCAGGCATGGTGGCTGATGCCTGTAATCCCAGCACTTTGGGAGGCCAAGGCAGGTGGATCACGAGGTTAGGAGATCAAGACCATCCTGCCTAACACGGTGAAACCCTGTCTCTACTAAAAATACAAAAAATTAGCTGGGCATGATGGTAGGCACCCGTAATCTTAGGTGCTTGGAAGGCTGAGGCAGGAGAATCACTTGAACCCGGGAGGCGGAGGTTGCAGTGAGCCGAGATCATGCCACTGCACTCCAGCCTGGGCAACAGAGCGAGACTCCACCTCAAAATAAAATTTAAAAAAGCTACAGAGAAGGACAACCAAAATAAATGAGGATTTCAGGCTTCTGAATGAGGATTAATTTGACACAGACCACAATATAAGCTATAACTGAGAAATATACAATCAAACAGTAGATTTAAGAATGAAGATAACCTAAACTAACACTAGGACAATCCAAGTTAGGTTTAGAACAACCTATAGCAGCCTGAGCTATAAGTAGATCCAAAGGAAGATTGGCTGAATTAATGGATAGCTAAATAATGGATACGTTTCCATGCTGACATCATGGAATAACCACTTTATGCTGAGTTCTCAGTGCCTGAGAGATTATAATAGTTGGGTAAACCATGGTAATATTTCACATTCTCCTGACTGATTGAATGTTTAACTTTTCATCTGTTCTAATAGTGGAAGTGTAATTGAAAGTGGACCTTACTAGTATGTGGAACTGGAGATACAGAAGAACATTTAGTATATGAATGAGAGTTCTAGTGTACCCACTGCCTTGATTAAGTAAGCAGTTTAACTTGGGTTTTTCAAAGTAGCATTGGGAGAATTAGTTGTATAGTGCTTTAAAGCAGCTTGAGCTATTTAAAAAGAGTTGCTATTATACATATGGTATGGGAATTATAATGCAGAGATGTTTGATCCATGATCTGTTCTTAGATTTTCTTTCATAAAATATACCTAGCTATAATTTAAAAATTAGATAGTGTACTTACCTACTCCCATATATTGTAGTTTTAATTTTAATACTGATTTTTGTGTAATTAAAAACATTAATTGGCCATTATAATTTAAAACATGTATGCCCAGATTTTCTTTCCATTCTGATATGTTACTTAATGTTTGGGTGGATTAAATAATTAGTTTTAAAAAGTAAATTAAAAGGTGCATAGTTTGGAGTTTTTATTATTCCAGAAATCACTGGCACTAAAAATGTAAAATGACTCTTTTCTCCCTTCATTACTAAAATACACTTTGAGTTTTCTTAACTTTCTTCTGTTGCACTAAATATTGGATTTTGATGTTACTGCTTTCGTTAAAGGTTGTAAGGATTGCCCTTTTAGTTTTTTCCCACATCTGCAGTTTTAAGACATTCCTCAATTTATTTTATATTTGGTAATTGTCAGTACGTCATTCACAGAACTCAGTAGAGCAGATACAGCAGAGAAAACCCTTGAAACTAGGTATTTGCTGCTGCCTCTTTAAAGAGTTTTTCAAGCCAATGTCTGTTAGTATTAAACCTCAGAAATTAAGTATTTTTAATTTCAGGGAAGGAAACTATTATGTTTCAGTTCATTGTTTCTGTAACTCTATGAGATAGGTGGTTTTGCTCTCATTTTAGAGATGGTAAAACTGGAACTCAAACATTCTGAATATGAGAATCCAGAATAAAACCATATTTGTCATATTCAAGTTGGGCTTGACTACAAAGCATACGGGTTTCTCCCTTTATCAGACTGCAGCCCTTTTTGTATAATACCCAGAGAATGACTGTCACAATAAAGAAGAGTTTCAGTTTCTCTCTACTTAGTTGATTTTTTTTTCTTTAAATAATTAACTTTTGAATTACACTCTCTGTTTAATCTTGGCCTTAAATATTTTGCTTTCTTTTGGCATCTGAAGCCAAAACATAATGCTTGGTTAAGATTTTCATTCTTTTTTCCTGTGGTCTTTAGGAGAGAAAAAACATTTTAGAAGCATTCATAATCAGTTTTTAAAAGTTCTTCTAATAGTTTTGATCAACAAATAATATGCTGGTAAGTACTCAAAAATAATTTTTTTTAATGAATCTTGGAACTTAAAATACTTTCTGAAAGCCTATAAACTCTCAGGCCACAAGACCACACATTTTTTTTGAAACTCTTTTTTCCATATTCTTCAGGGTGAAAGTAAATGCAAGATATTCCACCACCAATTTTTGAAAAGTTTTAATGTTTAATGTTCAAACATTTTCCATATTTGAACACTTTGCATTACTTTTTCGCACACTAATAATGTTATTTGGCATATTTTAATATACATGTCCACATCTTGAAATGACCCACTGCAGACAAGTTCCGGTGAATATTCTGTAGTGTAACTGAGTACAGATACTGATTTGTTTGCTGCTGGGAAAAACCTAGAACTATTTTACTTGTAACTTGACCTGTTGTTGGTGGGTGGATACACTTGGCTTGACTGTAATCTTGCACGAAATGTCTTGTTTGTTGGTTGGGAAACTATTAAGTGGAATCTGAAATAAAGGACTAAAAAAAATTACATTTACTAAATTGAAAGGGGATGTAATCCCCCCGCTCCCGCTTAACATAAATCTTTAATAAACTCGAAACTGTGACCACTTTGTTATTATTTTTCCTTTTGTTGTCTTAATTGGTTAACACAGACATTCAAAGTCTGAAGTTCATTCTTTATGGCTCTCGGGTTGAGTAAATAAAGAAAAGTCTGTTTTTGCAGCGAAAATATTGGCCTTTGGCACCCACTCTCTTGCTAAAGTCTATTTGGTGTCAACACCTTTACGATTGAGTTCTAATATCCTGCTACCTGATATGATATTTTAGGGAACTCAAAATTCAGATTATGTACATATAATACACACATATACATTTACTTTATGGAAGTGTCAAATGCATACAGGAAAATATACATAGAAGTGGACAGCCTGCTAAATGTTCCTAAATGGAACATACTAGTTAATCAGCACTGAATCAAGACAGAGTTTTACCAGTACCTCCTTCCAATTTTAACCGTCCCTCAGTGGTAACTATTTATTTGACTTCCAACAGCATGATTTTTTTGCTCATTTATACTTTGTGAAACCATATTCTCTTTTGTGTCTGGCATCTTCCACTCAGTACGCAGAATCTTTCTTATATTTATATCATATGTATTTGTAATTGTCACAAAATTAGGAAAGACGGACACTATAGAAATATATTGGAGGTAAGGAGGGTGAAGTTGGTTTAAAATGGAAAGATTAATCATTTTTTGCAGCTAAAGGCCACTCGCACATTTATGGTGTCAAGCCACTAAATACCTTTTGTGGGTTTTCTTACAATATCTTTTGCCATAGTTCTGGTAGTTTGGCAATATCACTTCAGCCAAATGCCAAATACATTTGGAATTCTGTTAAGTTATAGTCTCTCTTGTCCTTCCTTTTATTAGAACGAGAGTGGAGACAAAGAACTAAATATCTTTCTGACCTGAAGTTTTTAATCAGAAGATTTAGGTGTTAACAGACTCTAATCTTTTCAGCGATGCTTCTTAATACCTTCTCTGAGCTTACTAGTGACCCAGTTTTCAACAAGGCTTTACCCAGTTTTTTGTTTTTAATTTTGGAAAGGGTACATTGAGGGGTTTCTACTTCCACACACTGTGTGTATCCGGGTACCATTTACCTTTTTTTATATTTGTATATCTTTTTTAAAGATCTGAGAGTCTGCCAGGAGGGATGCAGATTGTCCACATTTGTCCCAGCATCTTTCTTTCTGGAGGCCTTTTCTGTTTATAATGGTTTAGTAGCTCTAGATTGTTGGTAGAGGCTTCCATGCATAATGATGAAGACTTAAGGAATCAAATTCCATAGGTAATTGCCCACCAAGGATTTGTTGGCTTCAAAGCTTCTCTAATTTATTTATCTTCTTACACTTGTGGATTTAATTTTACCATATTTTAAAGATTGTGCTTTTGGTGTGGCCTTAGCTTATTGATAGATAATTTGTATTTCACTTGCTTTTGCCTCTACACATTGTTTTGCTGCCATAAAAGTAATTGTGTACATACCATGTTTGTGTTTGAGGACTTCACTTCTTATTCACAGTTCTATCTTTTTTTGTTTGACAGATAAGAACATTTGGGGAGAATATCATAACCATTGATTTAATTTACAAATTGATTTAGAATTAAGTACCTTGTAAATGAAACTGAGTTAAATTCATGATTTGGTTTATGATCCTTCTCTTTATTTGAGGCCTTCTTGATGAAGCTGTGTTTTAAAGGGAGATAGTGGTGTACTCAAACGTCGATAACAGTGGATTATTTTGCAGATTGCGTATAACATTTTAGGGTGCAAAATAAAGCATTTGGAAAGACAGGTTACTTTTTTTAGTATTTGCATATATAATAGATACTGTCAAGATTGTGATTCCTTATTTTCATAAGTCTTGATTCTTCATAATTAAAATACAGACATATATATATATATATATATATATGAGTGTGTCTGAATTACTCCTCTTTGGTAGGTAAGCAGTCATATAAATTGAGACCTGTCCACCTCCAAAGACAGCTTCCTCAAACGTCACACTATGTCAGATATTACTTATCTGTTTGTGTTTTCACATATACATATTTTACTTACCTGAAATTTACTTTTCTATGTGTTTTGTGGAAAGAGGTCTTGCTTTATTTTGTCCCCTGGATTTTGTATATGTGGTGACATATATACACACAATAATACATTTGGCATTTGTTAAAGTTTCTGTTTTTCTGAACTGAAATGCTTCTTTTATCAAGTACATCATTTCTGTAGATTTCTAAATCTTTTTCTTTCTTTTCTCTTAAGGTTACACTGACTTAGTAGCCTGAAGAAGCAGTGTGACACAGTGGTTAAGATTGGGGACTCTGAAAAAAAGAAAAAAGAAAAAAAAAAAAAGATTGGGGACTCTGAAGCCAGATTTGCATTGGTTCCCTGGCTCTGACACTTGTTTTTTGTGTGGACTTGGACAACACATTTGATGTTTCTCTTTCAGTATGCCCATCTGTAAAATAGGGATAATAAATAGTATCTATCATAAGGTTGTTATGAAGAATAAATGGGTTAGTGTGTGTTTGTGCGTGTGCATATATAAATCACTTAGAAAAGTGCTTTCAGGCTGAGTGTGATGGCTCACAGTTGTAATTCCAATACTTTGGGAGGCTGAGGCCAGAGGATAGCTTGACCCCAGGACTTTGAGAACAACCTGGGCAACACAGTGAGACCTCCCTCTCTACAAAAAATAACTAGCTGGGTTTGGTAGCTGGGTGTGGGAGCACACACCTATAGTCCCAGCTATTCCAGAGGCTGAGGCAGGAGGATCACTTGAGTTCAGTAGTTCAAGGTTACAGTGAGCTGTGATCACACCACTGCACTCCAGCCTGGGCAACAGAGCAAGACTGTGTCTCTAATAATAGTAATAATAATAGAAAGAGAAGTGCTTTCATATAGTGAGCAAGATGTTGGATATTTATTTGAAGATTTTGGGACCTGGTCATTACCATTGTTTTACACAGACACAATCAATGGATAATTTAATTGTTTGAATAAGTTTGAGCACTTAATGCATGCAAGACTTTGTTCTATATTCAGTGTGACAACCAGATAAATTATAGCTCAGCAGGGACTACCTACCACCAGTGTTCCATCGACCACACTTGGAAACCACAATTGAAGGGCAAATATTTTAACAATCCTCCTTAAATTTTAACAGATGTTATCTAGGCTGATATAATTCCACTGTCTTTATAATTAGGGGAAGGAATTAGTGTATGTAGAGTGTTAATTCTGCCAGTGATTTGATTTGGAAACAACAGGTATATCAGATAGGAGCTTTTCTGTTGTCTCCTCCTAGATCTGTCTCTTGCTTCTGTAATTTAATTGTTTCATATGCTAGTAAGGACCCATGTGTGTGCACATGTGGGAGTATGTGTGTGTGTGTGTCTGTGTGTGTGTGTTTTGAGACTAGGCTAGAATCAAAGTTACTCAGCCTCTGAATGCTTTTAACATGATGATGACAACCCTGTAGAGGAGAGGGTTGAGTGTAATGGTACCATATTGGTTGATGCCAGTACAGCATCTGGGAAAACAGGGAAGGTGGATTCATTGTTCTCATAGGTGCTGATGGTTTATTGACGATTAGATGCAGGAAGTATTGCCTTTAACTTAGCATCTTTCTATTCTAATAGTAGCTTTTCATTTTTTTAGTAATTACTATGTACCACACGTGGTTCAAAGCACTTTACATGTATTAACTCATTAAATTCCTCCCCAAATATACCCAATTTACATATTAGGACACCAAAGCATGGTGAGGTTATCTGAGCTGCACAAGGTTATTTTGTTAAATGTTGGAGCTGGGGTTTAAATGCAAGTAGCCTGATGTCAGGGCCTGTGTATCTAGGTTTGATATGTATTTGAATCTAGGCAGAAAAACACCGAAAGCAGATTGACATCCATTTGTATTTTATATATATATGAAGGTCACTTTTGAAAAATAATTTTTATTGTGAAGTGTGATATGAGGATACGATATAGAGGAGTCTATAAAGTGTATGTGTACTATTTAAAGGACAATTAAAGCATATAAAGTACATCCATGTAACCACCAGCCTGGTTAGGAAAACAGAATATTCCTACTTCCTTGGACATCCCCAGAGTACTGCATCCATTCCCCTCTCTCCACCCAGAGTTAACTACTATCTGGCAGAGATAACTACTATCTGGGTTTTTCTAACATTTATTCATTGCTTTCCTTTGTAGTTTTATCATCTATATAGACATTTTTATATATGCATATACATCATGCATAGATGTATACATGTATCATGCATGTGTATATATAATGTATTTTTCTGTGATTTGCTTTTTCTACTCAGCGTTATGTTTATAAGATTCAGCTGAGTTGTATAGCTGTAATTTATTCATTTTCACTGCTGTAGAGCATTGCATGCTATGAATATGGTACAATTTACTTATTTGGTTTATTGTTGATGGACTTGCGTGTGTGGTTTCAGTTTTTTGCTGCTGTCAGCATTCTTATGCATGCCACCTGGGTATAAATGCCAGGGATACTCTAGGGCTGTGTTCCCCAAACTTTATATGAGAATCACCAGAAAGCTTGTTTAAATGTGGATCCCTGGCCCTAGCCCTGATAGTCTGATTCAGTAAGCCTACAGTAGAGCCTGAGAATTTGCCTGTCTGGCAGACTCCCAGGTGATGGAACACTGTTCTGCTCTTGGATGTGTACCAAGGAGTAGAATTGCTAGATTGCAAGGTATGCATGTTTTCATCATTACCAGCTAATGCAAGATTGTGTTTTCCATACTGGTCTGCCAGCAGTATGTGCATAGTTTCCCCCTAATTTTAGGATACTTGTTGTAGTCAAACCTCAACATTTAAAAAAATCTGGTGGACTGCATAATAATGTCTCATTTTGGCTTAAATTTGAAATCTGGTTTCTGATGAGAGTTTTTCTATGTATTTTGACCTTTTGGTTTGCCTTGAAGTGTCTTTATGAACACTAGCCTGTTGGATGAAGTTTGTAACTTGTCTGTAGCTTGGCCTTGCTGTGTGTTTCTCATTCTCTTCACCTAACATTTTCAGTCATGGCTTGTGTAGGTGTGTTTTGAAGCACTGAGAACCTTCTAGATAGCCGACACAGGGGATTAATATTTACTGAGTGCTTACTATGAGCCAGGCCAAGCACTTGACCTGCATTTTCATATAATCCTCACATCAATCCTCTGCAATAGGTAGACGTTATTATCATTATCCATCTTACAGATGTCTGAACAGAGATTGGCTGAAACCACTCACCTGAAGGCACACTGTTGTGAGGTGGCTGGCCAGGGCTTTAACAGTGCTTTACTTTCCTGATAACAACTCGGCCAGTTCCTTGAAAGTCTGCAAAAGAATGGACCCAGTGGGAGCAAGATTAGTCTATTCTGGACTTTGAAGGATTGTTGCCTAAAGGAGGATTTGGACTTTAGAATGAGGATTTAAAAGATCTCAGTTTCATGGAGCAAACTCGGCTTAAGAATGGGAAAATCTAACAGATTGAGCCAGATGCAGGATAGGCTACCAAAGAAGCAGGCAGTTTCTGCCGCTGGCCATGCAGCTTCTTGGTGGTGACTCGGAGATGCAAGTGTCTCATGAGCTGTTGATAGTTCCTTCTGTGAATCACTCTCTTTCTCCTGACCTCACCCCACCTTGGCCCAGTTCTGTACTCACCCAGCAATCTAAGGGCACATGTGGCTTTCTGTTCCAAGCATTTGTGCTCCCCTAAGTACATGAGGGGTCTTGGTTGAGTGCCTCAGACTCAGCACAGAGACATCCTAGTGGGCCTGAGGCCCTGCTGGCACTTCAACAATGTTATTTGGACCAACTTCTTTTTGATCATTTAGCCTTGGCCTTTGAGTATTCAGTAAGATTGAGACTTTGTAGATAATTTTGTTGTCTTTGAAGGGGCCTAAGCAATAATGCTCCTTATCTATTTCAGTTCTGGACAAATAAGACAAAAGAATCAGTACATAGAGAACCAAAATTACAACATTTATTACTGATAAAGACAAGGTTAGAGAATGTGGCTTTAATCTTTCACATCTCAGATTTAGTTACCCTTGGCATCCCATCTTTGACAGTGCTCCCATCTGTCGAAGCTTACGGACCTATAGCTTAACAATATTTGCATGACATAGGTGGCGTGGCTCTGACAGGAAGAAAAGGTGATGAAGAGCCTGGGTTCTGTATGCCCACTCGTTTTATCTAAGTTGGCCAAAGGTCAAGAATGTTATTACTAGTGCAGCTCCCACTACATGGAAGTAGAGGATGAGGTTTACACTCTGACGGTCCCCAAATTTTGGATTGACTGTTGAGCTCATGTTCTTAGTCATCAAGTGTGTGCTTATTCCAAAATGTGGCAACTCCCCTCAGAGGGCGAGATGGGCATCTGTCAGGACAGACTTATTCCCAACTTCTTGAAGTCTTGGAAGATCTATAGCTTTGCTTTTTTTTTTTTTTTTTTTTTCGAGACAGGGTTTCACTCTGTCACCCAGGCTGGAGTGCAGTGATGCAGTCTCGGCTCACTGCATTCTCCTCCTCCTGGGTTCAAGCTATTTTCCTGCCTCAGCCTCCCAAGTAGCTGGGACTACAGGTGTGTGCCAACATGCCCAGCTAATTTTTGTATTTTTTGGTAGAGATGGGGTTTCACTGTGTTGGCCAGGCTGGTCTCGAACTCCTGACCTTAGGTGATATGCCCGCCTTGGCCTACCAAAGTGCTGGGATTACAGGCGTGACCACTGTGCCCGGCCAGCTTTACTTTTTAAAGAGTTCCCAAACCAAATGATGACCACAGCAACAGTCTTAACAGTTTTCAAAGTTAGAAAGCAAACCAGGCTCTGCTCTGGAAGAGTCATCCAGGTGAAATTGTTTCTCAGTGTTCCAAAGAACACAGTAGAGAGCTTGTGGTATGTGAGGGATGGACTGATAGTGGGCAGAGAAAACATTCTTCATTTTAACCTTTCCTGGATGCTGGTCAGTCTAAGCCTCTTGTCTATAATCTGCAAGCTTTGAACTAAACAAAGTTGAAAGGGGGAAGTGGAAACATAAAGATACTGAATATGCTAGATGAGAAAAAAGGCACCTCAAGAAGGACAAGGATCATTGGACATTTCTGAACCTTGTGCTAGGTGACAGTATCTCAGATGCCAGCTTTCTGAAAGAAAACCCGGTATGCATGAGGTACCCCAAATGGTAAATAGGAAGTGCTAAACAACCTCCCACTGGGAGCCTCTCCCCAGTTGGGTTTTGGTTTGCAGCCAGCCTGTTCAAACCTGCTTTCCCTTTGAGACTTTCCCTTCGTCTCCCTTGGATCTGACAGCCCAGTGTTATCACCATGTTGGGTTTGGTCTGGTGGTTGACTGGTGGAACAGGTGTTTTCAGTCTCGGGCCCCACTGGCTCTTTCTCTGCCATTTACTATGGAGTTGCTTTGGCCAAAGACGGCTGCCTCAAGGGAAGATTTCTTGTTCACTTGTAAAGGCCATCCAGACCACTTGGTGGAGGCTGACCCTTGAGCCAGTGGTCGAGCTGTCAGAATCCATGCTGTCCCCACCTTGCCCAAGTGAGACCCTTGCTAGTGTTCTTGAACTCAGTGTTATTAAAAAATAACAAACATTGCTCATTGACTAGTCTTTAGGCAGTAGATGTTGAAATAATCCTCTTTTTATGCCCCTCAGCACGTTCAAGCTGAGGCCCCTCAGCACTTCCAGAGTCCTGAGCTACCTTAGACCATTGCCAAGGCCAAATTGCGGCAGCTTTCACCCAGATTGTGGCATCCCTCACCCAAATTGTTCACCACTGGGCTAAGGTCGCTGTGCATCCTGCCTCTTTTCTATTCTAGGATCCTTGGCCTATAGTCTTTCCTGAGGTCCTGCTGTTTTTTTTTTTATTTTTTTCTCGAGGCGCTACCTCTTAAACAGCTATCATTTTCCTGGAGATAAGCTACCTAAGTGGTGGTCAAGCATCAAGGTCAAAATACTCTGTGGTTTAGAAATTTAAGCCTTTTGATGTTAAAAGCCACCTCTCCAACTATAAAAACCAGCCACCCTACACAATCAAGGCTATAAACCACCAAGTTAAAAGAAGTGCCGGGGGCCAGGCGTGGTGGCTCACGCCTGTAATCCCAGCACTTTGGGAGACTGAGGTGGGTGGATCACCAGAGGTCAGGAGTTCGAGACCAGCCTGGCCAACATGGCGAAACCCTGTCTCTACTAAAAATACAAAAATTAGCTGGGCGTGGTATAGGACACCTGTAGTCCCAGCTATTCAGGAGGCTGAGGCAGGAGAATTGCTTGAGCTGCGGAGGCAAAGGTTGCAGTGAGCTGAGATTACGCCACTGCACTCCAGCCTGGGTGACAGAGTGAGACTCCCTTTCAAAAAAAAAAAAAAAACAAAAAAATTGCAGGTCCTGAGTAAAGCACCCTTTTCCCACTGCCAGAAGCCCAAGTTCCTCCATGAGTACTTTCTTCCCCTACATTGGACTCCTTTTTTATTTCTCAAGATCCCCAGATAGTTCACCAAGTGCTGAAGTCTTTGAAAGGGCCCAGTAAATAGGACCTGTCCTCCCTGTCTTGAATTCTGAACCGAGGGAAATGTAAGCCAGCAGAATCAGAAAATATGAAAGGAAAATATCACCGTAGTCCTGATAAGCACTAGGGTGGCAGGCATGGCCTTCATCTATTGGCAAGTCCCCCTTACAATGAATCCCAGAATCCCAGCATTTCAAAGACATGCCCACTTCCTTCCACTGCCAGATTGCTGCAGGGAATCTGTGAGCTCCCAGCATGGAAAATGAGATCACCAAGCTTCTTTTCTGTGGACCTGTGACTCCCAGATGGGCGGAGTAGGGGACAGGGTTGGGCACCAGCTGCTCAGATTATTCTTTCAAATGCAGGCTTCAGGTAAGTTTGGTCCATCCCTCTTTGTTTAACATAACACTTTACAAACTTTTTAGTCTCAGGACTCTTTTACATGCTTAAAAAATTATTGAGTTCTTCAGTGAGCTTTTCTATTGTAGATAATATCTATTGCTGTTTACCATAGAGAATTTAAACTGAAAAAATTATATATTTAATTCACTTAAAATATTAAACCAGTTGTATGCGTAACATAAATAACAATTTGTATGAAAAATTACTGTATTTTCCAAAAGAGAAAAACAAGATTAGTGGGAAGAGTAGCATTGTGCCTTTACATTTTGCAGTGTCTTTAATGTCTGGCTTAATAAGAAGATAGCTGGCTTTTCATATCTGCTTCTGAATTTTCTCTGTTAAGGTATCACACATAACATAGCCTCTGGAAAACTTTACTTTACACTTGTGAGATAATGAGAGTGAAAAGGGCAAATATGTTGTAATATTATGGAAGTGGCTTTGATTTTGTAGATTCCCTGAGAGGGTCGTGGGAACTCCTAGGAGTCCACTCCTCGGACCATACTTTAAGAATTGCCATTCAGGGTAACACTGACTGGGCAGTGGAAAGCACTGGGACAGTGAGAGTTAGCAGAGTGCCTTCCCATGGAATGAAGCATCAGGAAGGGAAGAAGCATTTCCTCTATGGGTTACACTGTGAAACTATCCAGATGCCAAACATCAGTCACCCAAGATATCCATGGGTGGACAATGCTTGTCCTTCACCCTTGAGTTGAAACTGGAACTGACGATATTAGCTCTGCAACCTCTCAGCCTGCAGGGCTTGGAGATTTATTTCTTTATTGCTTGATCTATTAGAACACCACTGGATGGGGTGCTGCTTCCAGAATAAGTTCAGGAAAGGCTTTGAACTCTGGCGTTATGCCTCCTTTCGCTGCAATGCATTTCTGGAAGCTGTGCCTTGAATGTTGTTTTCTCACAAGAATAATGCTATAATTGGGTTGTGTTTATCTTATCAGGGACTCAGAATTACATAAATCATCACTATGGCCAGCTACTCAAATTAAATCAGAGTTCCGGGGACTGTAAACATCTGTAACCATTTTTAAAAAGTGAAACCATGCTCCAGGTTTTATGAAATGGGCCTAATTGTACATGAATACAGGGGACTCCAGAGCAAATAAAGTGTATAAAGAGTTCATTATAGACTATAATTATTCCTTCATCAATATCACCTCTGAAAATTAACATACTAGCCATGATAGCTATTGACTGATAACTTTCCATGTATACTTTTAGAAGAGTTTGGGCTGGGGGGTGTGAGGCTTTGATTTGGAGGACTTAAAACAAAATGTTTAAAAAAGTTTTACCTGAAGTCTTTTTTTTTCCTAATTTTTTCCATAGTGAACAGAAACATTGAAATTGTTTTATTAGCATATATCACATATCGTATGCGAGAATCATATTTTAGGAGAAAGTTTATTATGGCAGCAGGCAGATTTTTCACTTAGTCTCAATTCATATAGGACAGTTTCCAGCCCTTAGCCAGTTAGGTACTATGTGTCAATGTATGTGAATGCTTCCTAATGGAAGTTGTAGTGGTTGGGTTAAGGGTAATCCCCAAGGCCTTTTGATGCCGGTTTGAATAGTGTCCCTAAATTGACTAACTAGATGACTTAGGGCAGTTTTCTTTAAGTTAGTTTCCTTGCCTGCAAAATGGCGGTACTAACAGCATCTACCTCATAGGGTTATTGTGAGGACTATTTAAGATATATTGCATGGAAAGCATTGTAGCATGCTTTTTGGCACATATTAAGCACTCAGTAAATATTTGCAGTCACTGATATTGAGTGTCTTTAGTTGAATGAATTTCCAAGTTCATTATAAACAGTCTAATGCCAAGTGCTATACTATTTGATAACATTTTGAGTATAAGCGTGTTGCAGTCTCTGCTGAGTGTCATGAGTTGATGGGACAGAATCAATCTGAGCCATGATTGGCCATCTCTCCTGGAATGCCACGGGCACTTCTGGAACTTTTTCTGACTGTTTAATTGCACAGCTGCCTGGGCCATTATCTAATGATAGTATTAGCCTTTTACCTGCCAATTAAATCTGTAGGTACATTGTTACTACCTGTTACATTAAGCATCCACTTCATGGTAAGCTCCTGTCTATCTTTTGAGACTCTACTCAAGGAAGCCTGGAAGCCTAGGAAGCCTCTTCTCACTTTGGCAGAGGAGATGTGGGATTGCACAGAGGTCTATATGGATGTCACTCGATGTATGTTTTCATATTGTCCTAAGCCCTGATAGGCTCTACTCCTGGGAAGGTGACATGCTATACCTGGGAAGGTGACATGCTATACCTGGGAAGGTGACATGCTATACCTGGGAAGGTGACATTCTGTACCTGGGAAGGTGACATGCTATACCTGGGAAGGTGACATGCTATACCTGGGAAGGTGACATGCTGTACCTGGGAAGGTGACATGCTGTACCTGGGAAGGTGACATTCTGCACCTGGGAAGGTGACATGCTGCACCTGGGAAGGTGACATGCTGTACCTGGGAAGGTGACATGCTGTACCTGGGAAGGTGACATTCTGTACCTGGGAAGGTGACATGCTGTACCTGGGAAGGTGACATGCTGTACCTGGGAAGGTGACATTCTATACCTGGGAAGGTGACATTCTGTACCTGGGAAGGTGACATGCTGTACCTGGGAAGGTGACATGCTATACCTGGGAAGGTGACATTCTGTACCTGGGAAGGTGACATTCTGTACCACATTTTGTATGCAGACCCAGATTTTGACCCAGATTTTTGTCCATCAAACTCTTGTATTGTGGGGCTGCCTTTTAGCTAAGAGTTCAGTTTCAACAGTTTGCAGGTTCCTGTGCCAGCATCAATGCTGTTTTTGCCTATTCTCTTTGTCCTTACTTGATTAAAAGAAATGACAATGAGAAAACTAAAAGTACTGATACTAGAGATACTCAAGGACACATCCTAATAAGATAATTAAAATAAAGATGAAAATTACTAGGCTGTCAGATGGGGCAAATGTGTGGCCTCAGTGTGGTATTCATTGAACCTAAGCTGGTCTAGAGCACATCATGAAGGCAAGAAAGAGTTAAAAAACCCATGCAAGACAAGATAATCTCCTTCCAGAATGGTACTTGACAAAACAAAAATATTGCAGCTGTTCAGGGTTAAACTTCTGCACGTTTTAAGCATTTTTGCAGGGATGTGAAATTCAAAAGTGCCATCAGTGGCATTACTGACACAGAGAAAATCTTGAAGAGTGGCAGTAGCTCTTGAATAGTCTTCTTAACATAGCCTCCAACATCATGGATGGAATCCTGTGAGATGTCGAGAATCTGGCAACTGTAATTGTATGGTGAGAAATTGGATTAAAAAATAAAAAAATTAGTCGTGCTGAATGTTCTCGAACAGTGTCATTACTCTATCACCATGTACTCAACTAACGACGTTAACAGTGTCTTCATTAACTGTTTATGTTCGCTTATGTCGTTTGGAAGACATAACCGCATAATAAAAGTATTACCATAGTTGTCACCCTCCCTGTACTGCGGCTCCATCCCCCAACCCACAAATCACGTATCATGAAGGGAATTCCACTTGTGCATCTTTTGTCCTTGTTTGTGAGTGAATTTCCGTTTTTTTGCAGGCTTGATTTCTTTACGGTATTCCTTCTTCACAAAATAATTTTAAAATATTTCTCAGTTACTTACAGAACAAAGAGATAAAAGTCTCCACAATCAAAACAATACCAGCATCATAATAGCTAACCCTTGTCCTGTGGTGAATCACGTATTGTTTTTTAAGCCCTTTGTATTCTTCACAACAATCCTAAAGACCTGTACTTTAGCTATTATTATTATTATTACAGAGGAGGAAGCTGAAGCACAGATGAGGTTACATGGCTTGCCAAGGTCACACAGGTAGTAGATGGTGGAGGCTGGATTTAAACCTGAGCAGGTTTGCTGCAGAGTTCTCAGTCTTAACCCAGTCCTACCCATTATTGCCCTTATTTCCACAAGGAATCAGGGGAGCAAACATAATGCAAAAGAAGGCCTCAGCTTTGTTGACTGCATTTGGTAATCTCCCAAACAATAATGTAATTGTTACAAGATTGTGACCATGGAATCTCTGATAGGGAAAAAGTAAGAGATCAGTGTTTTAACCTGACATCCAATGGATTACATTTAAGAGTTTATGATAACTAACTTAGTCTAGGTTTTGGTTAGGCAGTCTTCAGAGCCAGAAAGAAAAGTTATGATTTCCTTAGGTTTAGGCTGCTTTCAGAGGTGAAATTTTTAGCCAATAATCATAAATGATCTTAATGAGGAAGAGAGTGAGGAGACAAGGCAACTGAAGTCTGTCCATGGTGATTCCACATGGAATATTTAAGAGCTTGGATTTAGGAGTGACTTGGAGGAAATTGGAAAGCAGATTGAGTGACCAAGGATGACTATGAAAAAGAATAATGAGAACGGGAACCGAAAAGAGTAGTGGACTCGGCTTTAAAGCTCACAGCATTGAGACCGTGGAAAAATTTGAACAAGAACAAAAACAATGTCCCTGCGAGTGCAGAACCAGAACAGAGAGACTGATACTCACAGGCAAGCAGAACTCCTCAACTCCTATTACACTTCTGTCCTCTCTAGACAAGGAGGTCGATCTTCAGCCTGGGAAGAGTAGAGTAAATACTTGTAAGAGGAAATTGAAACTCAAGATAGGTGAGCTGATTGTGCGAGAGCACAGAGCGGCACTAAATGAGTTCAGATCCTCTGACCAGCGTGAATTTCACGCTGGTGGGCCGAGAGGGCTTGTTGACTGCTTGTCATCCTTGAGGAATTGTGCAGAAGAGGAGAATTGCTAAAGGACTGGAGATGGGGTAATGCTCTGTTCAAAGCAAAAGAAATTCAAAATCAAGAAGGTGTAGTTTTCAGAATAAAGAGAGCATGGGATTAAGAACAGAAAAATCATGGTTTCTGTATTCCTTTTTGTTGTTGCTAAGCTATTGGGTTTGAAGACTAGGGTCAAAAGGTAGCTGTGCCGTTTTGAGAACGTTCAGAAAGGTTTCCAGAGGTAAAGATAAGGGCTGGATGTGTGGCCACCACTTGCAGCACAGGCACTTGTTAAATACACAGATTTATCCATCATGCCTCTTGAGAGTCTGTTTTAATGAGTCTTGGGCTAGGACCCAAGAATCTGTATTTTAAACAAATGTCCCAGATTGCTTGCTGTGTTGAGTAAGTTTGAGACCTACCGGCCTGTATGGCAGATGTACCATGAGTTGGATTCGTGTTGCCCCAATAGTATTAGTACTGTGATGACAAATAGCTAAGACATTGAATAACCATGTGCCAGACACTATCCTAAGTGCTTTACACATATTAACTCATTTAATCCTCTCATCTGCCCTATGAGTTGGTGCTGTCTTTAGTACTCTTGTTGTACAGATGGGGAACTGTTTCTTCTCAGAGGTCTGGCAGATAGTATCCATGGGACTGGGATTTAAAGCCAGGCAGTCTGACCTGTTGGAAGTTCATGCTGCAGTCACTCTGCTCTTCTTAAGAGCCCAGGGCTTAGGGCCCCGGGGGGTTGGGGGGTGTTGCCCCTGGGCAGATTTCCCCAAACCATGTCTGGGCATGTGACATACCCTGTTTTTAGCATCTAAGTAGCATCTACATGAAGACTTTGGGGTATCTCATTAGACTTTCTTGATACATAAAGCTGGAAGGAATGACTAAAGCCAGCTGGAATTATTAATTTATTGAGACCAAATTTTGGAGGGTTAAATATAAATTGCTCCCCCTAAGGACCCAAAATCAGCAGCAAAGATAATAGAGGAGGAAGCCATAACTTAACAGTTGCCTAGAAAAAAAAAGATCAGGATGGTTTTGGTGGACTACAAGCTCAACATAAATCACCAGGGGCTTTGTTCTGCTGTACCTTTTGCCTGGAATGCCCTTTTCCACTTCCCCCTCTTTCTCCTGGCAAATTTTTAATCATCTTTAAAGTCAGAGCCTAAATGTCACTTCAGCTATGGAGTCTTCCTTGACTTCCACGGACAGATTTATCATCCCATTCTTTCTGCTTCTTTAGCACTTTGTTCCTGACATTATAGTTTTGCAATTATTTTTCCTACTTGTGGCACCCGTGTTCACAGCCACTCAGCTGGAAACATGAGGGAAGGCATCATTTCCTCCCTCCCTCCCCCAGTGAGTCCCTGCCTCAGAAGGCCCTATCGATCTTAACTATCTTGGTATTGACAAAATCTGCCCCTTTTTCATTCCTTGCAGCCCCTGCCCTGACTCAGGTCTGTGTCCTAGCTTGTCTCCCAGTTGTCACTTGTCATCCCCTATCACACACACACTTTCCCACAAAACTATCAGAGAATTCTCTGTCAGATGCATTCGGTCTGTGCTTAAAATCTGTCCCTGGCTCCCCCAGCCAACAGGATAACCCCAGGCCCCCAACCATTTGTGATCTAACCCTGTCTAACTCTCCAGCCTCAACTTTTGACATCCTGCCTTGCTTCTTGGACTCCGGCGACACTGAACTCATTGTTATTCCCCAGGCACTATGCTGTTTCTTGCTGCCTTGTTTTAGTTCAAGCAGTGACTGCCTAGGATGGCTTTCCTGCCACTCTCTAGCGCCTTGCTACTCCAGCTCTCTGCTTGGGAAGCCCCCAGATTCCCTGCCCTGGGCTTTGCTCATATCCTCTGCATATCTTAACCTCCCACATTAAATCTTGAGCTCCTTAAGGGCAGGGGCTGTATCTTGTTTTCTGTTTCTAGTGGCAAATGAACACTCAGTACATGTTTCTTGAAAGATTGTATTGTAATTATTTGTTGTACTTAGAAAGACTACAGAGTTTGAATCCTGCCCTTTCTCTCTTGGATGTGAGGTCTTGGGTATTTCACTGTACCTCTGTGTGAGAATCGATTTGCTCATTAGCAAAATGCAGATAGTTTAACCCCCTCTTAAGGGGCCTATTGTGAGAATGAAGTGAGATAACAATGTGATACGGAACTTAACACACTATTCGAGGGATCTGCAAACTACACTCCTGCTGCCATTATTTTTGTCTGGCCAAGAATATTTTTTACATTTTCAAATGCTTTTAAGCAAGAAAAAGAAGAAGAATATCTTTCAAGACTTGAAAATGGAATGAAATTCAAATTTCAGGATACATGAAGTTTTATTAGAATGAACACAGCCATGTTCATTCATATACTGATTGTCTATGACTGCTTTTGCACAACAGCAGCAGATTGAGTAGTTTCAGCAGAGATCCTATGGACTACAAAGCCTGAAATACTTAGTTTACCCTTTACAGAAAAAGCTTGCCAACCCATGCACCATTCAAATATTAGGGAAATGTATGTTATTCACAACCTCCTCCTCATACCCACAGATAACTTGTTGAGGGTAGGATGCCTCTTTCTCCTCTTGGAAGTTCCAGAATTTCATCCTAGGCCTGGCAGAGTGATGACTTTATGTGGGAGTAAGCCTCAGGGGCTGGGTTTTGGCTTTCTGGGATGCAGGATGTTCCAAGAGTGATGAGGCTACTTGAGCAGACAGTGATCCTCATACCGATAGCAGTGTTAATGGGTAGGTAGATACCTCTTTTTCATGTGTTGCTGTAGAACAGGTTTTCTTAACCTTGGCTCTGTTGACATTTTGAGCTTGGCACTCCTTTGTTAGGGATGCTGTGCTGTGTGTTGTATAATGGTTAGCAAATTCCCTGCTCTACGTATTTTATAATGAAAAAGAGAAAATGCCAGAAACCAACTGAGAGCCAGTAGCCACTAGTAGCCAGTAGCACCCCCTCGCAGTTGTGACAGCTAAAAATGTGTCTGCACATTGATAGATGTCCCCTGGGGAGCAAAATTGTCCCTGATTGAGAGCTACTGTTGTAGAACATTCAGGCATTAGCTATGGGTTAGACCAGAGAACTTCCAATGCCCAACAAGGATTACCACCACAGTGCAGTCAGCCCCCCTAAGGGGATTCTGCTCATCAGCTCTTGGTCTCCTGCAGTCTCATACCTGGTATCAGTCACAGCCTTGTAGGGTTGCAGGGAGAATTGAATGAGATACTGATTTACCAACACAGTGCTTGGTGCAAAGTAAGCCTCCACTATGTCCAGCTGGGAGCTTGTATTCATTTGAGTGCTTCCTGTTTGTTTTTTGAACTTGGTAACTTTGCTATTTTTTGACTGAAAGTTAAGAGAGGAAATAAATAGGGAGAATATATATTTTAACAATTTTATGGAGATTGTTTTTAAGAAAATACATTATAGATTAGTATTTTGGATCCAGGATTATATTATTTTGTGGATCCGTTTTGTCTTAAGGAAGAAGAATTTAGGAAAGTTTCAGCTATTTAAGATGAATATGAAATTATTCAAAGTATGACATGACTTCCATGGATATTTAATATTAGTAGTCAGTATTCATTAGAGATGTGCTTTAAGAGCATTTTTTCAATAATTCTCATGGCCAACCTGGCTGGTTGGTACCCTTTTTTACATGAGGAAAATGAGCATGGAGAGGTTTAGTAAGGGGCAGCACATTGAGGACAGAAGGTCCCTTTTCTGAAATAAGGCAGAGAACAAAACACAGAGGTGAACATTCACTGTCTTCCTGACAGCTTCGACATGGCCCTGAAGTCCTATTTCTGTGGGTTTGGACCAGGAACTTGGTGCCGCTGATTCTCCTGCCTTAGGGCAGATCCACTGGGAAACAAGATTGAATAAAAGCTTACGGTTTTCCTCTAGTCTTGAGACTTTCTTGATCTCTGAGTTCTTACCCACAAACCCGCATACTCTACTACCCTGAACGCCCCCATTTGAAACGTGACCCCCGTCTGCTCCGTGCCTTCCATCGCTGGCTTCTGGCCACGGCGTTTCTGGGCTCCGGCCTGACCTGTCATGGGCTAGCACCTGCCATGCTTCACTGCTCTTAGAAGCCTGGACTAGAAGGGTGAAGAGGCAGACTCGTAACATGTTGGTGGGACACAGGTTTACAACACATTTGTCCATTTTATATGGCAAACTGGGGAGTTCCCTGTGTTCGTTTGGGTTAGCTAAAAGCAAAAGCTTTCCTTTACTCAGTGCCTGCACTGTGCCAGGCATGGACAGTACCTGGATGTTTACACGTGTCAAGTATCAGACTGTCTCCCAGTGTCCCAAATTTGATGGGTGTTGGAAGCCTCACTTCTTATTTCTCAATTGGTTTCTGATATTTTCTCTTTTTCATTATGAAATATGTAGAGCAGATAGTTTGTGAGGTGAATACTGTAATTTGTACCTGTGTGTCTATGCGGATCTTTACATTTTACCTGGTTTCCTTCAGTCTTTTTGAAAGAAAGTAATTATTACAGATAAAATTGAAGCCACTTGTACAATCTTTCCTGATGCCTTTCCTAGTTTTCCTTCCCCTGGGGTAACCACTATCCTAAATTTCATGTTTATCACTATGCTGTTTTCCTTTTCTTCTTACATAAGTATGTGTTCAAAACATTATGTTATCTTTTGTGTTTAAATTTTATATAAGCGGAATCATCAGTCATGATTTCTACTTTTTTTTGCAAGATTTCATACTGCAGTGTGCCTTGTCTTCAGTCTGAATTTGGGATGTCACACAAATGGGTTTCTGAACTTACTAAATAGTCATCTGTAGGTTGATTTATAATTAAATTTATATCTTAATCATACATGGAACTTAAAGAAACTGACTTTTTGTTTTGTTTTAGTTTGCCTCTGAGATGTAGCTGTTTGGATAAATGTAGTTCCAGTTCTTTCATTTTAATGTTGTTTTCTTCTTTTGGCTTTGTGATGATGTATTAGTCCATTCTCCTTTTGATGGACATGTACAGAATCTCTGCTATTACAGTCATGTTTCAGTGGACATTCCTGCACATGTCAACTGGAGCACTCATGTGGCGTAATATTTCCCTAGGAATATGGAGGATATATCCACATTCATCTTTACTAGAGTTTGCCAAAATATATGCCAAGGTGACTGTACCAGCTTCCACTCACACCTTTTTAGGGGACTGGTTCTTCTTTATTCTTCACTTGATACAGCCCTTTCTTGCACATAACAGACTTAAAACTGCTTACTCATTCGATGGGCCTGAACTAGTATCTCACTGTTGCTCCTAAAAATTTTTTGAGAATAAATACTGTGATATTTAATACTGTTTAAATTTAATTTATTTCTTATTTTCTTGGATTTGAAAAGAACAGTTTATTAGATTGGTCTAGATTTTTGCAACATTAGTATTTGCAAAATTTCACATGCATAATTCAGGTAGTCATTTAATTATGAAGCTGCCCTGCATTGCTTCATCCAGACAGTTGTTCTGAGATCTCTCTGTTTCTGGGACTTCCCTTCTTCTTCCTCTCAATTTCTGGTTCTCACTAGGGTGGACTGTCCCTAATGCTGTCCCTATGGCCACTGGAATCCCTTCATTGGGTAGCCTCATTCTACTCGTCCTTCCTCTGTATTTGAATCCCCATTAGTACATGGTAGAGTTTCCTACAATTAATGCAGATGCTACAGGAGCTCTGCTGAGGGCTGACTGTCCTCCAATTGTGTCAGTAGGGCTGAAAGAAGTAGGGCAACTAACTTGGAGGGTTAGCTAGACAGTAGTAGGTATGACTGAGTTTTAAGCACACTGAGTAAATTAACTGTGCATATGATGATATAGAAAATGACAGATACTTGGTTACTTTCTAATTTTAAGTGTAAAAACATAGTTGTATTAATCTTTACTTAAATTTTTAATGTATCACTGTCCTTCAAATTATAGAAATAAATATATAGTTTTGATTGGTTTTACTTGGTATAAAATATTATCTGTCCCACTGTTGTAAGTATATTATAATTTTATTTTTAAATGAACATGGCATCTTGAAACCAGTTTTATAGAAAATTAGCTAAAAATATAAAAATCTGTGTACTTGAATGTATACATTTTTCATGAAAACTTAAGTTAGTGATGGTGATTTGTGGAGCCCAAAGACTATTTGGCTGTCCCCCAAACCCCACGCCCACTTGGTAGTTCTTCAGTCACAATGAGCATTTTAATGGAAATGTTCAGTCCTTAGAAGAACCTAGAATGTGTATTATTTCGCTTTTACTGGACTAGACAAGTGGGATTTGTTTCTTCTACTCCAGTTATCAAAATGATTAACCCTTTGCCCTCTACATTCTAATTGTAAGCACTTGGAAACAAAGGGGTTGTTTGTACAAGATAGTTGAAAAAATGAGGCTTTATGCCAAGTGGAATGTTTCTCAGTTGAAGGAGGTAGCAATCATTGCACACATTTTTTTTTTTTTTCTTGTGTTGCAGGCGTCTGTAGAGGCTTCTGGTGAAATCGCATTATGCAAGACTGGATTTCCTGAAGATGTTTACAGTGCAGTCTTATCGAAGGATGTGCATGAAGGACAGCCTCTTCTCAATGGTACTATCTCAAAAGATATATTTGTACATGCAGTGTCCATGCTCATGAAACAAATTAGCCATTAAAAAAGCCTAAATCATTTCTACTGTATAACAAGTATGAATTTTTCACAATCACTATGATGAGACTGTAGGGACTTTATTTTAGGATTACAGAAGAGCTTATGAATCTCTTATATACATAATTTGAAGGCTCCTGATCTCTTGAAATCGTCAGATTTCTTCCATTTTTAATTTACAGAGAAACCGTTATGTAACTGATTATTACCATTTTTGTGTATACATTTTATTTAAAGAATAATATTTTGAAGAATATGAAACATCTAGTTCTAATGGCTTTAAAATTTACTTACAGCAAAAAATTACTTAGTATTTTGAATTAAAGAAAGGAAATTATTATAATATTTTATTAGATAAAACGTGAAGCTTTAATATATAGCTGAATTACATTGAATGAATTTAACATGTAAAGTCTCAGTGCAAGAGTATGAAATTCATATTTTTGTTATGACATTGTTTATAGCAATTACTAGAAAGCTAATTTAGTTGTAGCATATGTGAATTTTAAATATAGTCTCATTTCCCATTTAAATATGGATCAAGTTCATTATAGTTATCATATGGAAACTCTTGCCAATAAGTCTAGATAAAATCTGAAATAAAACCTAAGTATCAAAAGGAAAACTGAAAGCCCTTTCCTTTAGCTCTAATTGAAAGCAAATAAAATTTTGGTTAGTAGTATTTTCATGGACTTATTTATTATTACGCAAAATGTCATTGAAATGTGAAAGCAAGAAGAATTGATTAGTAAGTTGTGTTTAAATTTTAATTCCCCACAAATCTTGCATATCTCTGAGGCTGTTTTAGAGAGCTGCTTTTAGAAAATCTGCGTAACCTCAACTAATTAATTTACACAGAGCTCTACCACACAGCCTTAATTGAAGTGTCTCCACAGTACCGACAAACCTTAGTGGTATAGTACTTAAGAATACCATAGACAGAGGACTTTGAAATGTAAATGGCCTCTTAGCTACTATCGTTCTTGGGTGCAGGTTACATTTTATTTTAATTTCTATTTAAATTAGGATTTGCTCTCACCTGTGCTGTCTTTCTGAAGTTGATTTTTAATTTTTTTAAGGCATTCTCTTGTCCCTGCCTCATTACATGGTATTTTAATGGGTGAATGTTTGAGTTAGTCTGTCTCAACACTGAATTGCTATCTCATCTGGTGGGTAATGGAGGTTTAATTTAAATCCGTGTACAGCCTTTCTTTAACTTAATATGACTTTTGGAGTTCTTCTGTGTGTATCCCATTTTCTTTAAATCTTTAAATTATTACTTGGCACCCTAGAACTTGTATGACCTGTAAATGTGTATAAAATATATTGATATGATTCTGTAGAATAATTCAGACAGATAATAAAAAGTGGAATTTGTTGCATTGCTGCAGCATATTTTTGAGATTCATTTTTAAATGGGTAATTTCATTTTCTAAAAGCTTATAATTTGTTGTTTAAAGTAAACACATGGTGTGTCACTAGCAGCCATTGATTTAAGATTAATTACTTTGGCGCGTTGAATAGTTTTGAAAATGATAGCTTGTTTTCACATTATTAGATAATGCTGGTGACAGGAGAAATTGGACATAGCTTTTTGCCAGTGTCTTTTTAGGATAACTAGAAACAGGATTTTTGCTAAAGTTGTAAAGGTGAAAGATTGAAAATATTTTTTACTTTGTGCTCTAGCCATCAGTGAGAAAAGTATGTATAATGGTCTCTGGTAGATTTTTACAGTTTTGGTATATCCACTTGTTCCCAATTTTAGGTTTTAGCCTTTTTTTTTTAAACAGTTTTTCACATGACACCATTACTTTTTTCTTTATCATTCTCAGAATATGTTAAAGGATACCAGCATCGTAAAGCTTGAAACATACTGTTTAAAATATTGATTAGTAGAAAAAAACAACTTTTTGGAAGGAAGAAAATTTACACAGGCTTTTGTGGAACATCAGCATTTCTATTCAACACAAGCATGTTATCTCCAGTTAATGTTTCTTCTGGAG
Source organism: Homo sapiens (assembly GCF_000001405.40). NCBI lineage: Eukaryota > Metazoa > Chordata > Mammalia > Primates > Hominidae > Homo > Homo sapiens. Next base: position 28,145,611 of record NC_000018.10, on the reverse strand, counting down.
AATTGCTACTTAGGATAATTCTGGGTTTTTACCTTTTACATCTTTTTGGAGTTTTTATTAGAAGGATAATCCAATGCTATAGCTATACACTGAAGCCAAATACCACACCATAATTATATCTATGAATTCTGTGTACTGCAGTAAATTCATGTACTGTATATTTGCCACAGCTGAAAGGGATATATTACGAGGCCAACCAGAGTGATGACTTTTGCTATGATTTTGTCGCCTATAGTGTTTAAGGAAAGCAGTAATTGTACATAAGAGGTATGTGACAGTTTTCCAAGGCATTCACCTCATAGCATGTTCTACCATATATTGGCTGACTTTAGAGTCCAAGACCCTGTTGGAATCGTAACTCCTAACTCTGGATGCTTCCTTTAATTTCCCGTTGATGGCATCTGGGGACAGGATGACAATGGCTCACCAGTATGTACAATATACATTCTTAGGATACATCTGACACACTAGACTTTGTATAAAAGTTTAATATGTTGGTGTATTGGTACCATGAACGCTGATGATTTTTCCAACAATTAACATAATCTTTGCAAAAATGCTTGAGGAACATTGAATGTAAGGTAGAGACATAAGTTGGTATTTGTCACGTTAGAAAATTATATAGAAGAAGCATGAAATGTACAAACTGGACTGTGGTTTAAAGAGCATTCTTTCCTCCCCATTTCCCTTTATTTTTTGCTAGTGTAATGAATTTTATCAAAATAACAAACTCAAAGAACTAACTGTACAGCTTCCATTTATCTTCTAGTTTTTAACCGTGTGTTTTTTGTGAAATCATAAAAAGGGTGTTCTGTGATCAACCTTAACATTTAATGTAATATCACATGAATACATCCACTCTTTGAAGATAGTTCTGTATTTTAAAAAATGGCTATATAGGCCTTTGTCCCATTTTGTTAGCAAAACCAGATTCTGCTTAACTGTGCCTCTATTTTTGAACATACAGGTTGTTTCTAATTTTCCTCTCTTATATGTAGTGCTGCTATGGAGATTCTTTTTAGAGATCTTTGATTTTTCTTTAGGGATTTTTTTGGGGGAATTTGTGTTCAAAAATAGAATTACTAGGTCAAAGGGAATGTAGAGTTTGACAGTATCTTTTTTCTTTGCATTTTGTAGCATGCTTCATTACAAGGCTTGTGTGTTAGTTCTTTTCAATATCCTCATCACCATTTAATTTCATAATATATTGTCATTTTGCTCTTTCCCCTCTGGTGAAAAATCATTCCTTTTTTATCCCGTGGCATATATATGTTTGCCTTTATAAATTAGGATCAATTTTTGTATGTTTAGGCAGTCATTTTTACTTTGCGTTTTTCTATTCTGTTTTAAAAGCATTTATGGCCAAACTCTTCATTTTAAAAATAAGCAAATTAGAGCTCAGAGATCATAGGCTTTTCCCGTGATTATATAGCTCTTTTTTTTTTTAATTTTACTTTAAGTTCTGGGACACATGTGCAGAACGTGCAGGTTTGTTACATAAGTATACATGTGCCATGGTGGTTTGCTGCATCTATCAACCTGTCATCTATGTTTTAAGTCCTGTATGCATAAGGTATTTGTCCTAATACTCTCCCTCCCCTTGCCCTCCACCCACCGACAGTTCCTGGTGTGTGTTGTTCCCCTCCCTGTGTCCATGTGTTCTCATATTTCAACTCCCATTTATGAGTGACGACATTCAGTGTTTGGTTTTCTTTTCCTGTGTTAGTTTGCTGAGAATAATGGCTTCCAGCTTCACCCATGTCCCTGCAAAGGAAATGATCTCATTCTTTTTTTATGGCTGCATAGTATTTCATGGTGTATATGTGATTATATAGTTCTTTAGATTGTTAGCAGCAGATCTGGAATTAGAACCCAGGTTTCCTGATTTCTAATTTAGTTCTGATGATGGTGATGATAAAAAACTTATGGTATAACACAGAGAAAGGATCCAGCCTAAATATCCAGGTGTCTTGTGGCCACTTTATTTTAGAGCAGGTCTTTATTCCCCATTTACCACCATGACTTGTGTGTTAACTAGATATGTTTGCGAATTGGGGAATATGTTAAGCAACTCCTTATAATTAAAAAGCATCTTTCAATTATTGTCACTGTTAGTATTTTGTACACACCTGTTTACAAGCAGAAGAACCTGGGGCTTTTGAAGATAATATGTAGTCCTTAATATAACTTAACACTCCACTGACTAGGAAAAAAAAATCTCTTGTGGTAGCATATTTCTTGAAAATAAAATAACTGCAATCATACATTTTCATTTTGTCACTAGCAGTGTATCTAACACTATGAAATAACAACCACACTGTGACATTGCAGAGAGGATCCTGGGCTGTTTTTAGTGTGGATGTCAAGAGTGATATTCTGTGTGTTTTGCATTGGTGGTCTGCATGCTTAGATATTTCTCTAAGTAAACTCCTCTGAATCTGGTCAACAGAAATAGCAACCTGCAATTACCATGAATATTTTCAGTAATCCATTCATGCTCACCATCTCTGGGCAGCACATGATGATTATTTTCAACTAGATGGAATTTGATTTAGATTAGTGTGCTTACTGATTGAGGCTTGTCTACATTAACATGGTCAGAAGAAGCTGCGGTATGGTATCTTAAGATAACAGAACTGAAGTACTTTTTATTAGTTTAGTAGGACTATACAATTGTACAACTCTTCTATTTTTTAATAATATGAGTACTTTTGTATGATGTATTACTAAATTGGGAAAGAGACTTGAATTATCTGTTAATGAGTGCATGGCTTTTGTTTTTATGTATATTTTTATTTTGATACATCTTTTTATCAAATGTGTAAATGTTTTAAAATATTTGTAAGGCAGGTTTATAAACATCTTGTTAATAAAGCCAGCCAGGCCCTTGCACTTTACGATTTCCAACTGATTGTGGAAAGTGGTTCCAAGACAGAGATTGTTCTCTTGGATATTGATGATTAAGGAGGAAAAAATGAAATGTCATCCTGTACATTCTCAGGGGCGGAGGACATTTTTTTAAACCTTGGGGTATTTTTTGTTTGTTTTTAAAAAATAATTGAATATATGATAAGATCAATAAAAGAACCAAGAACTTTCCATCCTTCTTGTTTTTTTTTTTCTATTTCAATCCTTATTTCATAGCAATCATTTAGGCTTATTTAATACTTGGAATTTTTTATATCCCTTTCGATGTATTTTAGGTCTAGTTTTCTTAATGCAGTGCAGCAAAGTAAGATAAGCCAGTTTGGGTGGTCACTTTTCTATAAAGTCCTTTTGTAGTTCTTCATAGCCTTCAGTAATTTGGACTAGCTGAGATCTCTTCCCTCACAAACTTAGAACGAGGAGATATGTGTTAAAGAAAGCAAGTCACAGCTCCACATCTATCATGCATGCATACAGACATATTAGCAAGCAGACACCCAAATGGTTTAAAACCTGTCCTTTTAAGATCGCACAGGCCGTTACTCTTTATCCTTTTAGGCTTTCTCTAGTAAACGTCTAGTAGGAAGTAGAAAAGAAACTCAATAAATAAGTAAAATATACTGAATGATAGATGGTGATAAATGCTATGGAGAAAAATAAAGCAGAGAAGGGAAATAGGGAGAATGTGTGCCTTTGCATTTAAATAGGATGGTCTGAGCAAATGTCATTGCATAGGATACCATTGAGTAAGAACTGATGTTGGTGATGGTTCAAGGATGTTGGTGATGGTTCAAGGGCCTTACATATTAAGGGGAGAAGCATTACAAAGAGAGCTAACAGCAAATGCAAGAGTCCTGAGGCAGAAGTGTGTCTGAGGTCAGATGAGGTCAGATAAGTCATAGGCCACTTTGTGTGGGGCTTTGACTATGAGGAGCTAATGATCTATTGGAAGGCTTTCAGTAGAGGTAAAACATGATCTGACTTTCAAAACAGGATCATTCTGGCTGTTGTGTTGAGGAAAGAGCAGAATGACAAGAGGGGAAGGGGAGACCAGGTAGGAGGCTAGTAATAATCTGATGAGAGAAGGTGGTGTGGATCAAAGTGGTAGCGGTGGAATTAGAAGAAGGGATTAGATTCTGAACTTTAAAAAATAATAATTTATTGAAGTGAAATTCAGGTAACATAAAAATAACCATTTTAATATGAACAGTGTAGTGGCACTTAGTACATTCACAGTGTTGAGCAACCATACCTCTATCTAGTTCTAAAATGCTTCCATCACTTCAAAGTAAAGAGAAAACACTCTAGTCATTAAGCATTTTCCTTCTGATTTCCCTTCCCTGTAGCCTCATACACCTTTTGCGACTGACTTCTTTCATTTAGCATAATATTTTGGAGTTTGTTCATATACTAGCTTGTATTATTACCCTGTTCTTTTGCACTGCTAAATGTATTCCATTGTGTATATATCTGTATACTTTTCTGAGTTCCTGTTTTCTTTGGAGTATATACCTGGGAGTAGAATTGAGGGATTGTATATTAATTTTTTCTTTAACTTTTTGAGCAGCTGTCAAATTGTTTTCCACAGCAGGTGAACCATTTTGCATTCCCACTAGCAGTGTACAAGGATTCCAATTTCTCCACATACTCATCAACACTTGTTATCTTATTTTACATTTATTTTGATTGTATCCTAGTAGGTGTGAAATGGTACCTCATTGTGGTTTGATTTGCATTAATGACTAACGATATTTCATACCTATATATATATATAGGTATATATATATATATCTTGTTTGGAGAAATGTCTATTCAAATTGTTTGTTAGCTTTTTAAATTGAGTTGTTTACCTTTGTGTTTTTGAGTCGTAAGACTTCTTTGTATATTCTGGATACTAGATCGTTGTCAGATATATGATTTACAAATATTTTCTCCCATTTCACAGGTGATTGTTTTAGTCTTTTTGAACTACTATAACAAAATCCATAAATTGGGTAGCTTATAAACAATAGAAACTTACTTCTCACAGTTCTACAGGCTGAGGAATCCAAGATCAAAGTGCTTGCAGATTCAGTGTCTGGTGAGGGCCTGCTTCCTTATAGATGGCCATGTTCACATTGTAACCTCACATGGTAGAAGAGGCAAGGAATGTCTCTGGGTCCTCTTCTGTAAGGGCACTAATCTCATTCATAAGTACAGAGCCATCATGACCTAATCACCTCCCACAAATTCCACCTCCTAATACTATCACATTGTTGATGAGGATTTCAACATGTGAAATTTAGGGGGATACAACCATTCAGACCATAGTACTTGTCTCTTCACTTTCTTGGTAATTTCCTTTGATGCACAAATGTTTTTAATTTTAATGAAGTTCAACCTACCTGTTTTTTGTCTGGTTACTCTTGCTTTTGATATTGTATCTAAAAATCCATTGCAAAATCCAAGGTCATGAAGATTTACCCCTATATTTTTTTCTAAGAGTTGTATGGTTTTAAAACACTCATATTTAGGTAATTGATCTATTTTTAAAATTGTTGTGTATAGTGTTAGGAAGAGGCCTAATTTCATTCTCTGAATATGTTTGAAGATAGAGTTGACAGGATATGATGGACTGAATGTGTATGTGGGAGAGAGGAAGGGTTCAGGGATGACTACATGTGGTGTTTGAGCACTGTGAAGGATGTGACTGACTGTGATAGAGAAGATCGGGAGCTTGGTTTGAATCTGTTGAGATGAAGATCAGAGATGTCAAGAAGACATTTGGATATGAGTCTGGGGTTCTGTGGAAAGGGCTTGGCTACAGAGTTGGGAGTACTCAGTATACAAACAGTAAGTAAAACCTTGACACAGGGTAATAAAATCACTGTGGAGCTGAATGTGAGGACGAGAAGCCTAAGAAAGAAAAAACAGTTTAAATATCAAGCCTTTGAGAACTGTAGTGTTAGGAAGTTAGAGTTAAGGGGAGAAATGGAGACTGAGTAAGAGTGATCAGTGAGGTAGGAGAGGAATCAGTAGGCTGTGATGTCTTAGAAGGTAAGTGAGGGAGTGTTTCAAAGGAAAGGAGTGATCATCTGTGCCAAATGCTATGGAAGAGTCCACTCAGATGAGGACTGAGAAGTCACCATTGGATTTAGCAACATGGAGGCAACTGGTGTTTTAGATAAAAACTCTTCAGGACAAGGATCAGAAGCTTGATTTGAGTGTGTTCAACAGTCAGGTGGAGTCTGGAAACTCAGTTTGGATACAGATTGAGTTCTTCATTAAAAGAAAAAGAAGAAATTGGGTGGTAGTTGGTAAGAGAAGTGGGGTCAACTGAGGCCATTTGTTTTTGAAGATGGGAGTTACAATATGTTTGTGTAATGAGGTCAAAGAATCCAGTGGGGAGGGAAAAAGTGATGGTGCAGAAGAGGGGAGACACTTACTAAGACAATATCAGCGACTAGGCTAGAGAAATAAGATCAAGGAGGTTTTAAAAATCTGCGTTTTTTAACACATCCTGCAGATGTTTTTATGTACCTGCATTTTTAGAACCACTCTAACACATTTTGTTGAGTCACTCCTAAAATGGTTAAAAACTCTTCATTTTGTCTTGATGATTTTATGTCAGCAGAAGGTTTTCTTCACAGAAATGGCAGAGAGGATAAAAATGAAAGCCTTGTGGTGTTCAATGATGTAAACAGCATTTTCATTGCTGTAGCATCCTTGACAGATGGTTTTCCAGTTTCTGCAAGAATACTACTGTCACTCCCTTCCCCCAAATGAGGAGGAGATCACTCTCTTACCAAGTCTTCCCCATCTTTGGAGTGCTCTCACCGTTAAAAAGTGATTCAAGTTTAACTGAAGCATAACGTTTCTAAAATTTTTACCCACTGGTGACTTTGGCGTCACACAGAGCAAGCATATCCTTTTTTGCTCGGAGGGCATTCATTTTATTATTTCTTCATTTGACAAGTCATGTTGAACGGTGATCATGTGGCAGGCCTTTCTCAAGGAACTGCGCAATAGTGGTCAACAGACAAGCAAAATCCCTGTAGTAGGAACTTATGTTCCAGAGATTCTTCAAATACCTGAACATAATCACCTTGGCTCCTTAAATCTCCTCTGCTGCAGGCTAAACATCAAACAATTTCTTCAGTGATGTTTGAGGATTCTTGTTTACTCTTCTCTTTCAAATAGGGGAAACTGAGGTTCCCTCCACAACTGAGCTCAATACTTCGTGGGTCTTGATACATGGTACTGAGGCATTCTTCTTGCCTTTGATGTAGATGCGGGACTTCTAGTACAGCCCAGAATGGATTTGGCATTATTTATGGCTGCGTCATTCTGTTGGCTCCTGTTAAGTCTGTGGTTAACTAAAACTCCTGGGTGTTTTTTTCAGACAAACTGCTTACCATCTTACACTTGTAAAATTGATTTTTGAACATAAATGTTAGACCTTTTGGTTGATTTTTTTTAAGGTCCTAGCTTCAACGTTATCTGGAGACCCCACTGACAACCCAATCACGTAATGGCCCTAGGAATTAATGCCAGTACTTATTTTAAATCCTCATTTGAAGAAAGGGGTATACAATAAAATCGACAAGTTTTAGATGACATAAGCTGTCAAATTGATGGAGTAAAACCTTCACACACACACACACACATCCAGACACACACACATTCTTTAAATAATTAAATGAACAAAAATTAGTCCATGAATTTCAGCCTACAGCAACTTTAAGACACATGTTAAGACTATATTTTAATTCTTGGCCTGTGATTTTCTTAAAATAGAATTCTTAATGCCAGGCAATGGAGAAAAGGCCTACTGCAGATATATGAAAGTAACGGGATTTAGATCATTCCAGTTATGACTGCTTTAGATCTCTCCTGAAAAAAGCATCTTATTCTTTTTAACAAAAAAATAAAAATTATATATTTCTAAGAATGTATTTATTTTATTAAAGAACATCTATAGTTGTTAAGGAGTGTCCATTTCATCTTGAGGACTTTTATATCAATAAAGGGTTGTCTCCTAAACTTATACAACATAGAACAAAGATCCCTTATGGTGTTCGGACATTTGAGCACAGTTTTTTGTTTTTGTTTTTGTTTTTGTTTTTGTTTTTTTGCCTTTAATACCTTCATGTTTTGAACTGTGTCTCTGCAAGAGTCTAAAGTTTGCTTTTTTAATTGTTCATTGTTAAATCTTTTATAGATCACTCTGGTTGGGATTTGCTCACTTATAAGGAGAAAGTCACCAACAGCTTGATCTATTATTTTTCCCTCTTCAATGTGGATTAAGGTCTTTTTATGGATGCTTTCCTGTCATTAAAAAATATGTATCCTTTAGACTTCTTTCCAAATGGAATCATCTTTGATGCTAATATTTATACTCTGTGTTGTATGAAGAATAAAACTAAGAGCCCCAGCCACTTTTGAAGATGTGTGTCTTTACACCAGGGCCAGTCTCTGCTGCTCCTCCCTGAGAGCCAGTCATTCTTTGTAACAATGCATTATTTCACCTGAGTTGAAGGTTTTCATTAGTGTGAGGAAGTAGCCCTTCAACATATGGACTCATCAGATTTTAATTGTACTAACTTTTAAATTGACTGCTACCTTATTCTGTGCTGTTTATATGCCTTTATTTTTCCAGTTCAACTTTTTTTTCTAGTGTTCTGTATTAAAAAGTGTAGGAAATAACTCAAAGTCCTCATGTTTTAACTCTTCTAACCCAATAGCATTGGTTTTCAAATTTTAGAGTTCTTAAGAGTTATTCTGGGGAAGCTTGTTAAAATGCAGATTCCTGAGCCCCAATCCAGAGTTTGAGATCTGGGTCCTAAGAAATGTATTTTCTCAAGTGAATTCCGAGTGATTCTGGTAGATTATTTTCTACTATACTTAGATATTTGGTCTTAGCGTGTATTTCCACAACAGAAATACAGATTATCTTCAGTTATGTTCACTCTGTTTGGATAGTCAACCATATTAGTCTAGATGGATTTTTGGAGGTGTTGTACTTTGGAGGTTATAAATTAAGTCTTCTTTCTTGTCTTTTATATAGAAGTCTACTTTATGTCTTTGGGTAGACATTACCATCATCTAAAACAGATACTGAAGAAACCTTTATTCATGTTAACAATTGATCAGAACATGTCTGTATACATTATTAGTACATTTTTGTTTGTTTTTAAATATTTGAATATTTATTTCACCAGATGCTCAAATAAGGAGATGAGTAAACTCTGATAAACGAGTTTAATGACAAATTGCGACGAAGATTCTTCACTTTACTTGATGGTAAAAAAAAAAAAAAAAGATTACAGCAAAGAACGTGGCCCATAAACTACTTCTCAGTTCATTCCTAGACCTGAAAGCTCCTCCTTCCTTCCTTCATTAAACTGCTGATGTTATCATCTGACCACAGACATTTTTGGCAAAGAGGAAACACCTGATAATACTGCCTTTGATTTTCTTCTGACATCAGCTGGCCTTCCTGATGTTCTTGACTTTAGTTAGCAACTTGTTGGGTTATATTTTGAAACCCTATAAGTCAGGGCCAGTTCATTATTACTTTGTCTTTCATTTCAGAAGTTAACTTTAAATTAAGTATTCTCAGATTTGGCATGTATTGTGCATTTGAGAAAATGTTGATAAGGAAATTCTCAGGTTCTGGGAAGTCTTTATATTCTGTACATTCATTCAACAGATACTTGTTTTATGTTTTGTGTAAGGAAGTAACTATGTATTTCCTTGGAAAATGCCAGTGCCCAGCTAACAATTACTAGTTGTGGTAGTGGAAAAATATGCATAATTTGTGGCAATCATTTAAATTTAAATGTCTCTTTGTAGAATTTCTGCATGGTTTTCAAGGCTTAAAAAATAATGGACCACCTTAATGAAATGACCAGAGAAAAATCTCAACACAGATGAATATTTGTCCTCCTAATTTCTTTGTGAGATTAAATCTTTCAGATTTTCACCTTATGCATATATGCAATTATTCCTTCAGTTCAGTCACTGAGATCTGGTATGGCATCTTTGTTGACTTGTCATCTATATTCTATTGATGCAGAAGACAAATTTATTAAAGCATCTCTTTGCATTTATATTGTAGGAAAATTGTCCCTTATGGGATAATCTCACACTAACTACTCAAACTGATAAACCTAAGGTATGGTATTTTCACTCCACTAATGATTAACAGATTAGTAGAGAGTGTGAATTCTCAATCATATTGGTACCCCATTGTCCAAGTTTTAGTAGTTTTATATTTAAATGTCCTAAGGGTTTAACCCATCTCAAACAACAATTATAATTTATTATTTCCTAAGCAATAATTAAAAAATAGGAAATGAAGAAAAGATCCATTCTTCATTTGGCTGCCTATTGGTAGATCATCTGTCTGGTCACATGTGGACATTTCAGCAATGATACATTGATATTTGTAAGAGACACTTTACCTTTGCCATTTAGATTGGTTATTTATAAATGTATTACATTTGCATAGCATTTTTTACTTCTTGAGCAATTTCATAAATTCTATTTAGCTGTCCCACACCCTATGAGTCAGGTAGAACAGGGGGCATTTCTATTTTCACATAATGCTGAGTCCACGGAGCTGAAGTAATTCACTTAGAATCATGAGATGAATACGTATCTGTACGCAGTCTGGATTATTGTGTTCGCACTTCTGTCCACTGTGGAGGGCCCTTTCCCTCCAGCCCATGATGTCAGTGCTTCTCAGAACGGCTGCTTCTGATCGAGCCTTTTGGGCACCTTCCGCTTTCCCATCCCCTACATGCCAGTACTCACTTGCTTATCTGGGTTTTTAAAGTCCATGTTGCTAGTCAGGGTACACATCAATTTTCCCATCCTCTTTTCAAGAATGATCACACAACTTTGCTTGGTTTCTCTGAGGTGTCAGTAAGTGCACACAGGATTCTTCTCAAGTTTTGGTTGTGCTGCTGAACATTTTGTTTGTTTGTTTTTTTGAGACAAGATTTTGCTCTGTTCCCCAAGCTGCAGTGCAGTGGTACGATCATGGCTTACTGCAACCTGAACCTCTTGGGCTCATTCCGTTCTCTCATCTCAGCCTCCCAAGTTTGCTGGGACTACAGGCATGCACCACCATGCCCAGCTAATTTTTTAATTTTTTGTAGAGACAGGGTTTATGCCATGTTGCCCAGATTGGTCTTGAACTCCTGAGCTGAGCAATCTTCCCACCTTGGCCTCCCCAAGTGCGGGGATTACAGGTGTGAGACAACTAGTCTAGCTGCTCAACATTTTTTTTTAACCCTGACGGGTTCTGAGCAATTTTTAGTTCTTTTTTGTGGGGGAAAGGCTGGGGGAAGGGGACAGGTAGTTGGTATCATCAGCCATCTTCCCAGCATACTTTAAGCCACGAATGTCTTCTATTTAAGAAATATAAATTCTTTTTTTCTTTTTTCTGATCTGTCACTGCTGGAGTGCAGTGGCACAGTCTTGGCTCACTGAAACCTCTGCCTCCTGGGTTCAAGTGATTCTTCCGCCTCAGCCTCCCAAGTCTTTTTTTTTTTTTTTTTTTTTTGTAAATTTAGTCAGAACTGTAGTAACACCATTATTGTTCATGGCAGCCTCAAGCTGAAGGAATTCTTTTACTTTAGCCGCCTGAGTAGCTGGGACTATAGGCGTGACTCACCATGCCTCGCTAATTTTTAAATTTTTGTTTTAGAGATGAGGTCTTGCTATGTTGCCCAGGCTGGTCTCAAACTGCTGGGCCCCAGCCATCCTCCTGCTTCGGCCTCCCAGAGTGTTGGGATTACAGACGTGAACCACTGTGCCTGGCCCAGAAATACATTCCTATGCATGGTGATAGAAGACAAATGTAGCCATCATGAAGCAGCATCACGGTTTTGCAGTTTACAGTGGCCAGCAGTTGATTAGGCACAAATACAGATATAAAAATATAAATCTTCTTGTTTGCCCCAGAATACTTGTTGTTAAGAGCTAGCATATGAAAGCACTAGAAAGCAACAAAAACTGCACGCAAACAAGAGAATTCATGGCTCTATAATGACAATAGATTTTATTTATTAAGCAACTTATATATGCCAAGTTCTTTTTTTTTTTTTTTTTTTTTTTGAGACAGAGTCTCGCTCTGTCACCTAGGCTGGAGTGCAGTGGCGCAATCTCGGCTCACTGCAACCTCCGCCTCCCAGGTTCAAGCGATTCTCCTGCCTCAGCCTCCTGAGTAGCTGGGACCGCAGGCACCCACACCACACCCGGCTAATTTTTTGTATTTTTAGTAGAGACGGAGTTTCACTGTGTTAGCCAGGATGGTCTCGATCTCCTGACCTCACGATCCACCCGCCTCGGCCTCCCAGAGTGCTCGGATTACAGGCATGAGCCATCACGCCCGGCCGGCCAAGTTCTTATTATAAATTTTCTTTAGTTTTTAGCCCTGCAAAAGTGGTAATCCTGTGTTACAGATATGGAAATTCAGATGTAAACAGTTTTAAAGTGATTTACTGAAAGCATATCATTAGCAAATGGCCTGTGGGATTTCCTCTCGTGTTCTTTTTGTGACATACCATGCTATCTCCATAGGATTTGCCTGAAAAGTCAAAGTAAGTGAGGAACCAGATCAGACAGGTATTGCTGATTTCAAGAAGGGCAGTTTGAATGGATAAGGAAGAGATATAGATAAGGAGAATGTGTGTGAGATTGGTTTGACATGGGAGGAAGATTTTAATTGGAGAATACTCCCCCCAAATCTGAACTATTTGGTGAGACTAAGTCTTGAGGATGCTTGAGTTGAGTGCCAGAGGGAGAATTAGAATTGGCTGATAGGGTGCGAGTCATCTAGACCTATGCAGGAGAATTAAGCAGTTATGGATTTGGGAGAGGATGATAAGGATGAAGCTGACTGTAAAGGCCATAAGCAGTCTGTGAATAACATTTTGTGTGAAATCAGTTGCATAGGGGACACTATGGTGGCCTCCCCTGAGATTCATTTTTTAAATTAGTGTTTGGGTATCTGCTCCCTGCTGCTCCTGTGCCATCCATAGCTTTAGGAGGGGCTAAGTCCACCTCTGGTTCTAGGGATGAAGCATCAAAGTCCTGTTCCTCTGACTGCAGTGGAACCCCTTTGGATCAGTGAGATCACATTTAGGGAATTGTTGCTCCCTCCCACCCGTTGCCTCTGTCTTTTGCCCCCTTCCGTCCTTCTCTCCTCACCTCCTTCCCTTTCCCTCAGTGGTTCTCTCACTCCTTGACTGGAGAAAGGGAAGCCAGTAATCTCAAGAATCCTTGTCAATCATCCACTTCCAGGCAGAGTGGAGAGAAGGAAAGAAACTGGCCCTTAATGAAATCATTGAGCTGCTGAATTAATATAATCCAGAAGCTTTTCCTATCCCTGGGCCTCCAGTCACGTTAGCTGATAAGCACCATTGATTGTGTAAGGCAGCGTGAGATGAGTTTCTGTTCCGTGCAGTGAGTTGCATCCTAACTGATAGTGGGTTTCACTGAAGGTCTCAGCAAGGATGTGAGCGCAGACTGCATAACTTTGGGGGAATGAGAGGCTGGTGTACATGGCGAAGGCCAGAAAGGGGAAGTATCACCTTAGAGAGAAATAAAAGGTGTTTCTTTTTGAACAAGGGGTCCATACTGCTGTGCTTTTTCAATGAGCCTGAGAGGAGGTCACCTTTGTAAGGCAGGGACCTTGTCACATTTGCCCGGTATTCCCAATGCCTAGCACAATGCCTGACGAGTCCTGGCCTTTTGATACTCATTGATAGATTAAATGAGTGTGAACACAAGTTTGGATGTTTATTGAGAAATAAGAAAATAAGGTGAAGGGGAGTAATATCTATTGCAGAGAATAGTATGGAAATATTTTTAATGACATCGTTAAGTAATTTAGAAAGATGGAAATGGGATGCTAGCTTGCAAATTAGTGGAAAATAGTAGGTAAGATGAAATTTTAACTGAGCTGTAGGATCACACTATTTCAGGCCACACACACACACACACACACACACCACAAATGCTTTTTGAACAGTATCTTCTCTCTTTTATCCTTAATTTTCTCCCTCTCTCAAAATGGACCAATTTTCTTCTAAATGTCTTCCATAATATTTTGGTTTTCTCATAAAAACATAAGATGGAGAGTACAGGAAAAAAATCAAGGGCTTTTTCTAGGTCAGATCTTAATATAAAATCACCACTGCAGTGATTGATGTTCTGTGTGAAGATTCTGTCAAATGTTCTGTAACTTGCCCAGATGTGAGGGAAGGTGGTGTCAATTAAAACCCATGATGAGCTTGCACTGAGATCTCGCTACCTCTTTACTCCTGTGGCCTCTTTTTCCCACAAAGTTGGGGTATAACAATTACTCAGAGTGTTAGATTATTGAAAACTGACAGAATATTTACTATCTGATAATTTTTTTTTAGTTCCTAGCAGTTGTATGTTTTAGTATTTTTGAAAAAAAATCAAGATGATATAATTCTAAATTTGTGAATAGACCAGATGAAACTTCTAAGGGAATTATAACTTTCAAATACTGAAGAACTTAAAATATCTTTTTTGTCCTTTTTGGTGTAAGTTATTTTACGAACAAATTATGTGGTATTTATTGGTCCTACATGGCATTTGCTCTCTTGGATTTTTGGAACTGTTTATTGGTTATGTCTGGTTAGCCGAGGAAATGGTGTAAGGAGCTGTTTTTATTAATAAAAATAAAGATTCCATTGAATGGATTAGCGTGCGTGTCCATGCATGTGGTGTCTGATTCTAAATTTTTAATTAACTTTTGCTTTTTCAAGGGTACCTCATCAAAACTTGGGATTGCCAAAACTTAATAAGTCTCACCCTCCTATGGAAATTTAGTCATTTTACTACTCTAGACCACTTTGAAAGAGGGGTTATTGCTCTGACAGTCTAATTCCACTTCAGAAAGTCTTGGCAGCATTACAGCCCTCTGTGCCCCTAAGGAGGTAACAGAATTTTCAACTTCAGTCACTGGGGACAGAGCCCAAATCCTCTCCCGCAGGGCTCCCTGGAAGAGGCCTGCTCAGCAGCCATGCGCACATCTGGATGCGCTCCATTTTCTCAGGACTTGTGCCAGTGAATTCTGTCTTCTGCATCTCAGCTAGGCTTGGTGCCATGGTTTCACAGGTGTCTCTGATTTGGAGTGGATATATACCTATGTCTTTCAGAGCAGTAGTTGTCAGAATGTTATGTCGGAAATACATTTTACATCACGATACTGCACTTACATGTGTATTTCACAAGATGTGAGACTTACTTTTGACTGTGATATACTCCATTTTCCATTCCATTCCTTTCTAAATTATAGCAATAATGCGTTGCTGTCTGCACTTTGAAAAGCATTTCCTCCTCCTTGCTTTCTTGGGTGGAGGGAGTACTTAGCCCCTGAGTCTCTCAGAAGTGTTTCTGTCTTTCCTGCAGCAGTGTGGACCTCTGATGACCAGCCAGGACTTGCTCATGCCCACAGTCCTTCAGTTAGTCCTGAGCCAACTACAAAATGATCACGATGCTTCTGACTAATATTTATTGAAACCTGTATCCTAGACATGAAAATGTTTTACGTGAATTAGTTTCTTTATGCTCTACAATCATCTGTGAGGTACAGGCATGGTGATTGTGTATCTGTTTTACAAATGGAAACGGAAGACAAGAGAGGTTCATTATTCTGCTAAGGAAGCAGCAGAGCAGGGACACTGTGCTTAATGTCACATTATTGCAACAGTTCTGCTTTGGTGGCCTAATAACGCTTTTCTTATGTAGTTCTAGATGTCCTAAAAATGAATAATAAGAAAGATCTATAAATTATGTTTACTGGGACATAGACAGTAGAGTCATTTAGTTTTTTAAAATTTAATTAATTAATTAATTGATTTTTGGAGATAAATGTACGATCCCAGCTCACTGCAGCTGCAGCCTCCTGAGCTCAAGTGATCTTCCTGCCTCAGCCTCCTGAGTAGCTGAGACTACAGACATGCAACCACCACACCCAACTAATTTTTTAATTTTTTGTAGAGACAGAAGCTCACTATGTTGTCCAGGCTGTTCTCAAACTCCTGGCCTGGAGCAATCCTCCCACCTTGGCCTGCCAGAGTTCTTGGATTACCAGTGTGAGCCACACAGACCCAATTTTTATAAGTTATTTATTTGTATTTTCCAAGTTGTAGCTAGGCCTAGAGTCTAACTGATATTCATCTGTTTTGGAAATCGTAAGCTGGGCTTTCATTAAGGAAAATAAAGTTTTGATATTTTGGTTCATGTTTACCTAATATATCAATGCAAACTCCTTTCAAATATTTTTTGACAGCACAATTAAAGTGTGATGGCTTATATTATAGATAGGTTTTTATATGCAGGTGGTTATGTTTTGTGAGTTTAAAATTTTACAGCTGTGATTTAAAAATACCAGAATGATGGAAGTAAATTTTTTCAGAGAAAAATAATTTAGCATTAGCAATGCATCACCTTTTGACTCAATGGTATTTTGAAAGACAGATTATAATTTTCAGTGGAGTAGCTATTAACCAGAAGATCACACAAAGCAATTCTAAGGCCTGTTTGCATATATCAGGGGTAAAAATTACTTAACATACGATGCCTAATGCTTTTGAGTGGACTGGGATATATCTGAAAACTATATAGGAAGGTTTGATGTACTTAGATCTTATGGGTGTGGCCTGTTGTTGGTTGCATCTGAAAGTAGTTTACATATTGACTTTCAAATGTAAGCAAAAGAGCAATTCAAATAGGCCTTTGGTTTGTACCACTGGCATATCTACCAGAAAAAAATAAATAGGATGCCTGTTGCCTGTGTGGCCGAGTGCATCCTGTTTGTGTTTTTTGTGTCCTGTGGAAGGTAGCCTCATTAATCATGGGGTTAATGCTAAACCCAGCATTCACTTAGCTCCTTAATTCATGAATGCCACTGAAGCACATTGAAACAAAACTTTAGGTATTACAGTTGAATAGTCAGACTTTTTTTTTTTTTTTGAGACGGGGTCGTGCCCTGTTTCCCAGGCTGGAGTGCAATGGCATGATCACGGCTGTCTGCAGCCTTGACCTTCTGAGCTCAATCAGCTCTTCTATCTCAGCCTCCCAAGTAGCTGGGACTACAGGCATGCCCAGCTAATTGTTTGTTTGTTATTTGTTTTTTTGTAGAGACAGGGTTTCGCCATGTTGTGCAGATTGGTCTTGAACTTCTGAGATCCGCCTGCTGAGGCTTCCCAAGTGCTGGGATTAAGGTGTGAGTCACCGTGCCCTGTCAGCAGTCACTAGTTTTTGAACAGTAGCCACATCATTAGAAATAAATACACGTATATCTGATATTTTAGGTGCACAGACAATATTATATTGTACACCTAGAGTTATTGATGCAGAATCTGTGACTTTATGTAAGTGATGAGATTATGAGACTTAGCCAAATTGAACAAGTTTTTCAGAACATAATTCTGTATTCTGATGTGACCTATTTCACTTTTACTATACACTTGAAAAACTGACAGGGAATTTTATGATACACTTTTAAAAAGTGTGATCATGAGTTACCATAGACTCCATTTTGTTGTTAGTGGTATACTAACCATATTTTAACCACTTCCTTTAATCAAATATCCTGGGAATGTGGGAGGTGTCCCAGGATGACAGCCAACCTGTCATGATCAATGGATCATCTGTTTATCTTTTTATTGTTATCTAAACTGTTTGCCACTGAGCATTCTTTTAGGATTTCTGGTTAATATTTGATAGGTTAGCTTTGCAAAATATTTGACCACTGCCATTCTTGGCCAGTATTACCCATGTGCTTTGATACCTGTGCACATAAAGCTTCACAATATGTTAACCATACAATTAGCTGAGTTTATGTGTGTATATAAAATGCAAGAAATGTCACACATTTGTGTCCCTTTATGAAAGAGTTTTCTATTTGAATTCGTCTTGAAATAGCCTTGAAGGACTTGTAGGCACCCCTACCTCTAGCTGTAATAAACTCTGTTTTTTTCTGATGTAGTTGTATTCATAAGTATTTGCAGGTTTTTTTTTGGTCATGGCTTAAATTGCTATATTGTAATCAGCCTTGGTGCTCAGTTAATAGATTTTCTTGTTAAAAAGTGAAATGAGCATTATTTTAGGAACATTAAATAAAATCTTAAATGTATTTTTGCCTAGGAAAATTGGCTTGACCATTGCGCCACGATAAGGAAAGTATTTTCCCTTTGCCGCAGGGCCTTGCGCTTATGGCTGCGTCCCAATTTCAGATAGGGCTGGAACAGCCTGTCACTATGGCTAACAGAATTGGAAAATTTGCTATTATTAGGGGGAAGCTTATAAATTCCCAAGCCACTCAGAAGTTGAATCCATCCACTGAATCCGTAACTGCTCCTGTGGGAACTAGGAGAAAAGCCAGGTAGATTTTAGTATTATTTCCCCTAAATCAGGTTGGTGGATAGGATGATTTGACAATTAGTTTTTTTTTCTACAAAAGAAAGTGATTTCATAAATAACACAATACTCATCATTTTTAAAAATTAATACAGTTTTTCTCCAAGCTGTCTTCCATTTGGTTTCTTTATACACAGCAGGTAGCATGTCTTTCTCCTGCTTAAGAACTCATGCGTGGGTCCACAGTGCCTTGAGGAGGAAGTCCACCTGCCTGGCCAAGTGGGACCTTTGGGTCTGGCTCTGGAGCACCCCTCCAGCATCTCTGCCTCATCATCCCTCTGGACATTCTAGGGTCACATGGAACGCTTCCTTATTGATGCGTCCCGGCTGCACCATGTGATCACATTGTCATATCTTTTCATGTTCTGGTCTGTTTCTCTGGAGACTACTTGTCCCCTCTGTCCACCTTTCAATTTTAGGAAGTCACTTTTCCCCACCAGACCGATAGTTCTGCCAGGATGGCCTATGTCTCAGTCACATCTCTATCTTCTGTGTCAAGCACAGCACCCTCAATGAATGTTTGAAACAAAAAATGGATAGCAGGCACTCACTCTCTTTATTTAATAGAAAATTGGAGCAATTTACCCCAATTATTTTTTTCAAAGTTAATTATTTGTAGATGAGAGATTAGAAGCCCCCTGACCTTATTTTATTATACTTATGTAAGTATATCAAATTTGCATGAATTCCAGATAATGTCTCGGGGTTTTAGATGTATTACTTAGCTTAATTAGCATCACAGCCAGTTGGAGTGGATTTTATGTATATTTTAAAGGGATTCAGTAAACAGATTGAGAAAAGCTAGGGAGTTTGCACAAGCACCCAATGAGTAAATAGAAGATGATGTATTTTTTCAAAGGCCATATGCCATCTTTCTTAAGCTAGGTTATGTTATGTGCTATGTTTTAAATAAATAGTTCACTTTGATTTTTGGAAGTTTTATGATGTAGCCATATTAACTGTCCCCCACCCTGCCCCATTAATCTATTTAAGTGTTATTCCATATATCTATTTGGTAATAATATATAGCGAACAGTCATGCATATCTGTAGTTCATTTTTCTCATAATGATAGCAGTCTTCAAAATAACATTTGATTTTAAAGCATATACATCTGGATATTTCCTATAGAATAAATAATCTATAAACTTTTAACAATCTCATTTTTATTAAATATCATGTTTTTCTTTAAATGTGAACCCTTGTCCAGCAGTTCAAAGTATTAGATAATGCAATTGACCATAGACTCTTTTCCTGTAAAAATACTATACTTGAGGTAAGCTTTCATATTTCTAAATTTTTATACTATTTTCAGTTCAAAATTAAGGAAAATGATGAAACCACCTTGTGTATTTTCTACACCCTAAAATATTTCTTAAATGTAAACTTAACGCATTTTGTAATCAGGAGTACTGATCTCTGGATTGTAAATGAAACCTGAGATTAACCCCTTCAGTTTCTTTATTGAAAACTGAGGGTACTAATGCTGACTGTCTTACGTGCCTGTTAGGGTGCATACATGAGTTAATATTATAAAGTGCTTAGAACAAGCTCAGCACATAGTAAATGCTCAGTAAATGCTCATTATGATGATTTAGGGGTTTTTAACCCAATTTTTTCAAAATGAAGCATTTTCTTAAATCAAGTGAATTTACGCTTAATGTTTACATGTAAAACATGAATATGTTAGGGTGGATAAGTCCATTCTCATAGAACACATTTTTTGGATTAGGTTTGCCATTTTTTCCCTCCCCAATACATTTCCACTTCATCCTGGCTTCCTTTTTTAAAAGAAAGTGAATTTTGAAAAAAAAATTTTTTTTTACTCCATTCCATCTCCTATCTGCCTTTGGAATCACTGCCAGCAGATATTAGTTTTTACATTAGGTATTGCTGTATTAAGCAGCAACATTGCTTAATGTATTATTCATCCTAGGTACTTTGTAAATATTGGGTAAGTTATTTAATGACTGTGTAATAATGTACAGGCAGTCCCGGCTTACAATGGTTCAATTTACAGTTCTTGACTTTACAGTGAGTTTCATTGGAATGTATTCCCACCAGAAGTTGAGGACCATCTGTCATGAGTTTCTGTCTTCTTGACCTTTAGAGGAAGGAACTTAGAAGTTTTCTAATGTCTCACGTACTGGAACGTAAATTGTAAAGTAGAAGTCTGTCCCCTTTCCCTGCCCAACTAAAAAGTACGTAAGGTCTTTGTGACAGCTGTAGTCTTCTCTGATAAAGTGGACATAAAGATGTTAGCATTTAAATCCCACACAGTTTAAAAAATAACTCATATTTGTGTCTAATGCTGTTTTCAAATAATTATCGTAAAATGTGAGAACCAACCCAGTGAACAGGCAGCATGTACTCCATATCTTGAAACTGAGAGGCATAGCAACTTGCTGAAGATACCACACTGTACAGCTATTTAGTGGCCAAACCCATATTTGGATTGCATTCAAGCTTGAATTCAGTTCCTGGGCTAGAGTTTTCTCCCTCTTGACTGGAAACAATTACTTTATTTGTTTTAAGTTGAAAAGAGTTAAGAAATAGAAAAATTAATGCAGTGGTTGAATACAAAATCATTGTTTTCTTCTCTTTTAAATACCAAGATATCGAAGTAGTAGATCAGAGTACTTAAGTCCTTGAATGTGAAAGACTAGGTGGAAAGCCTTTTGGGAGATGTTCCAGTGGCCAATATTTAGAAAAAACAACTAGGCTTTCTTTTTGTTTGTTTTAAAATTGAGAACGCTTTGAATGTGTAAAAATGGGTGCTAACAGAAATTGGGAAACACATGCTTGGCCTGTGTTCTGAAAACCAGGATAAAGGGGTGTGGTTTTCCTTTTTCTGAGATAAAAGCCTGCTGTAAATTTTGGCAGCAATATTTTATTATAATAAGATCAATTCGCAGCACATTCAGGCTTATTTTGAATGAGAATTGAGTTTGACTAAAGAAAATAATGTCCTTCCAAATGAAAATGAAAATGAGCAGATGTACAAAATGAACCTTAAAATTAATCTTGGATTTACCCCTCCCTGTATGCATCATTTAGCAGTCAGTGAAAGTGATGAGGGTGGGGAAGAAACTGCTGTGTAGCCTTAAAAAAAAAATCACTACAGGCATATTTTCGGGGTTTGAAGGAAACAACTGTGTTAGAGACTGAGTTGCTTTTCTGCTTAGAAACATGCAAATAAAATATTCCTCTTTTAAAGATAGTTTTACCTTTCACTTGTTACTACATCATTCTTAAAATTGAGAAATCTTTGAATTTAACATAAGTTTTATCTCCCCCACCTCCCGCCATCCTGTAACTGAATGCTGTCTATTATTTTAATCATGTTCATCTACTACTTAGTGTAAATTGCTGCTCTGTGGCTGCCTGAGAACAAAAGTGCTTTCAGTTCTTCCTTCTTCAGTGAACCAGGGCTTCACATCATGCATGGTCTTGCAAACAGTTAGGGGTTTAGTCTGAGCTGATCAATAAATTCAGAACCCTTTATTTAGTGAGATCGATACAGTGGAATGAAGCCTGTGCTTCAATTCCCTTCCAAGCATCACTGCCAGGGTAGGAAGGTGTCTGTTTTTCTTTCTAAAGCACGATCAAAATTATGTTTGAGGTTTTTTCTTATGAGCCAGGATGGAGCAATGCATTTGAACCCCCTCCAAACAAGCCTGAAAAGAGCTTGCTCCTGGGTTCATCCAAAAACCTATCCTCTCTCTAGTAATGAAGAATGAGTGAACAGAAATCATTTGATTCAAGAAAGGAAAATTGAGTATTAGCAAAATAATGCTTCAGTTAATATCTGTGACTTAATCACATAAGATGATTGCTGCTAAATGATTTTGAATAAAATTCTTCATTTTATGAAACTACGCCTGCAGGTTAGCAGCATGCTTATCAAAAATACATGGATCATCATAGCATCTGAGAGGTGATCTGTCAACTCTTATTTTACTACAGATACATTTGTATGCAGCATGAATAAAACACTTTGGAATATATTGTACTTTCTTTCTGAATTGTTATGCTTAGTTCAGGATTTGCTTTTAGTGAGACTTTTAAGCAGTTTTTATCTTTAAAAATATTTATATATTTGGAGTAGTATTTTAGACTATTTGGGATATCAGCTTTCTAACACTTGTATCAAGATAGGCAGAACTGAGGCCTGAAAATTGATCTCTTATATAAAAAGTGTTAAAACACAATTTGTCACCTTGTTGGCTACCATATCTTAACATTTTTCACAAACTTTCATCATGATCTAAAATTGTCTCGAGATTGTTTTTTACTAGAAACATCTATCTTGATAAAGGTTGTCCTATTAATTAGAAATTACTCATTTTTAATACATGACTGTTAAATAATTCATATGAGGCCCACTGGAGAATTTCTTTTAGTTACTAAGTGTTTTAAGAAAATGTTTATACTCATAGGCAATAAGTGTTTATATTCGTAGGCATTAAGAGTGAAGCACCTCTAGTCTGCTAAAAGAGTTGTGTTTAAGAAAGTTTGATGGAATCACCTTATAAGGTCGTGATTTAAAGAGTTTATTTCTTAGTGTTTTATAATTAGAAATCTTCGTGCTAACTTGTTTTTCCGTTAACCATATTTTGTATGATCAAAGACTAATAGAATTCTAGACTTGGAAGGAATTTTTCAGATTACATAGCACCACCCCACTCTTTACCATGGAGTCCAATAATTAATAAAATGAAAAACCCAACTTAGCTAACTTAATTTATGTTGACTTTGCTAATAGCGTAAAATGTGATTTTTGAAATACCGAAGATTACAAAAGCCAGTATGTAATAATGAGTAGGGAAAACAAAAAGAAAACTCCTAGGAGAAAAAAGGCAGCACCTGCTGTGCACAAATACCATAGTACAACACTGAATAGAAATAGTCTTGCTTTCCATAAGCTTTTCATTAAAAAGGGGGGTTGTTTGATACAAATACAGACAATATTAGTAGATCCTTGAAAGACTGATTACTTTTTGCTGTGGTGGAGGTTGAAAAAGGTTTCCTGGAGACATGGCATCTGAGCTAAGCCTTAAAACATAGGTATAAATTAGATGAAGCCAATTGAGATGTTTTGCTTGACATTTTTTGGGCATATGGTACCAGGAAGAGAAAGGAGCCTAAAACTTTCAAGGTTTTGAATATAAGTAATTAGAAGAATGCGAGTACCACCAAATGAAATCCAGAGGCACCAACACCATGTGTCAAGAGGGAGAAGGGAAGACCACCCTCATTTTCTATCACCTTTAGTTCTTTCTCTACCGAAGGAAATCATTGCAGTTCCCAAACTCTCTGGGCTGTACAGCTTTGTATGAATCACTTACTCATCTCACCTCCACCGTCCCATTCTGCCCTGCTCACTTCGCTGCTTGGGGTTTTTACAAAACCCAGGCAAAGTATCACAGCTTTGTGCACAGCCACTGAGACAGGTGCTTCTATGCTACTGGTTCAGACTTTTATCATCTATCGCACCAATGTGAGTGTGGTTTTAGTTTATGGGACTACAGTGTCTGTTTTTTTTGGTAACCCTAATCCCCAGCACACAGTCAATACTTAGTAGATGAGTGTTGAATTGATGAAAGTGATAAAGAATTTGAATTGTTGGAAAGGTAGCTACAGGGAGGACATCCAGAGCTGGAGATTGGGTCTAGCTTTGTGGAAGAAGTTAGGGAATCTAATGCATGAGAGTTGGTGCAGAATATAGAGAAGAGTAAAGAAAGCTGAGGCCTGAATTGTGGGACCCAAATGTAGAGGTTAGGGGAGAAGTCAGTACCACACAAGCTAAAGACAAAGAAAATTCCAAGAATTAAGGAATGACCAAGGAGTTAGAATACTGCAGGGAGGCCAAGAAAAATGAGACATAATGAAAAGGTTGCATTCAGTGAATGGGCAGTTTTGAGGCCCTTTGAGAGTAGTTTAAATAGAGTGGTTGTGATGAAAATGCATGTTCCTTTAAGAAAACAATCACATGTTTTCTCATGTCATTTGTAATGATCTCTTGGACAATTTAGTTTATTTAGGTGTTTTCTATTGACCCTAAACCCCTGGGTAACCAGAAGGCTAAGGATTTCTTGCGGTCATTTTTAGTTGATTGAAAGCTGGTTACTGGGTAAAACATATTCTAAGCACTGGATACTTAATGTGAAACCGCACAGAATAACATTAGTGTTTCACTGTGGTTTCCATGGATTTCTGTATTTGTCCTTGACTTGGAAGGAGCCTATCAAATATCAGCTTTTACAGTGCCTGTGAGTAGAGTCAGATTCCCTAAGTAAAATCTTAACACCTGTGGCCAAAGGGGCTTTCTCTTGAGTAGGGCTGAAACCCTTACCTAAGAGTTTAAGATCATTTTCAAAGGAAATAAAAACAACAACAAACAACTTAATAGTGTGGGTGATATCTGTGTCTAGGGGTGACCCATGTGTGTTGTGACTGAGTGTTTCTTCAATACTGTTCTTTCATTCATAGGTTTACAATGTAGAATAGGATAGATGGGGTCGATGAAGTTCCATAGGTTTTCTCTCTGACTTGGGCATAAATCATGCCTCCCTTTTATATCTGTGTGTTTTATAGTACTGTTCATCTGTCTTCTTTATTATAGGTTTGACATATCTTCTAAATACATACAGCGTGTTCGGCCATGTACCATTACAGGAAATATCAATTCTGGTCATGAATAGACATATATTTGTTTTATATCTATGACTATGTAATAGCAAAGTTTTTGGAGAAAACTAAGTGATGTATATATTTTATATATCAAAATATATGGATATATTATTGAACATCCTGTGATTTCTTTAGTCAAGTTCTCAGTTGGTCATATTTTAAAACATCTGGTTGAATGACTTGAGAGGAAGTTGAGGAAGTATCTTGGACCTATCAGCATGATGAAATGATATGCCATCTGAAAATGGGGCCTATATGCATACATACAAAATATATATATATGACACACATTATGACCCATATGAATGTGCCTGTGTGTGTAGTTTCAATCATGATGTGTGTATGTGTGTATGACAGAATTTAGTCAGAGTACTTAGGGATAATTTAGACATAGTGGTTTTTGTTCACTTGGTTTATTATGAGTTAGGCAAAATGCAGTTTTGGCTGTGTGAAACAGGAAATAGAAAAAACAATAACTTAAACAAGGAAGACGTTTATTTCTCTCACATGTAACCATTTGGAAGCTGGCATTCCAGGAAAGATACGATGACTTTGTTCCATGAAGTCATCCAGGGATCCCGATTCCTTCATTGTCATTTGGTCCTCGTATAGTATTGCCCTCATTTGCAGTCTGAGATGGCCAACAGTCAAGTTCACTGTCCAAGCAGCAGGCAGGCAGAGAATGCCCTCTTCTTTTTAAACGCATGACCTGGAAGGTACACATATCACTTACCCATGTATCCCATTGGTCAGAGGTTTCTTAAAAGGCACAGCAACCTCATGGGAGACAGAGAAATGCACTTTTTATTGTGAGTGGCAGTATGCCCAGCTAAAACATCTATTACTGTGGGAGAAGACGAGAATGAATATTGGGTTACAGTTTCAGTCCTAGGGCACAATAGAGGTGGTATATATAAATAGCAGACATATATTTTCTATATTTGCATTATAATTGATCAGTTGTAGAATGTCCACTCAATATTGCTCAATATTAAGGCATTATTGAATGCTTTATAAATTATGCATAAAACATCTAAATTTGCAAAACCTGATGATCTCAAATTCTAGAATTTTAATCTTTAAGGATCTGATTGTATGTAGATGACAATTACTGATGGAGATCTGTTTGTTTTCTAGCAGGTTGTGGTGGTCTGTGTCTGATTGCTTCTTGAACATTATTCTATTCACACATTCGTTTTGGCTCTTTATTAAGCTCCCCATATGGTGGTCCTTTGCCAGGCTGTGCATGGGATATACCTGAATGGGACACAGGCCCTAGCATTAAGGCATTTACAGTTATGTTTACATGCCTATGAAAAGCAGTCCTGACAGTAGTGGCTGTACCTGGTCCGAGTCACAGGAAAAGTTTCCCAAAGGATTCTTCCTCCTTGTTCAAGAGTCTTCTTTGCACCATTTTCCCTGAACATAACCCACTTTGGACTTGGTTGCTGCTGTGGGGAGCATTTTTTGAAGACTCAAGTTCTTTATGTTCCCTGGATTGTTCTTTTGGTTTTGAACTTTCCAATGGATTGTATAGTAACCTTTTCTGTGGTATATAGGACATGTCAGGGAGCAAGGAAAATAACTTTATTTATGTCTATTTAATTAGAGATTTTTCAGGATTTGGAAAGTTATTTTTTAACATAACAAAGTATACTTTTAGCTAGTAATTATATATGTTGTTTCCTTTCATAAGCAGTTCAGAGTTCATATTTTCCCATTTAATTAGACTGTAATTTGGGGACTTTTTAGAATGAACAATCTTAATAAAAGGCTGGTTTTGATATAAAATTAGTGGAATATGTCAATAACTACTAAGGTATACGGCCTAAGTCTTCCTTCCTTAGGTGCACTATTTTGTTTTTATTCTTAAAATCCAAAACAGTAAATTTTGCTATGATTCCCATACTGCTCACAACCTAAAGTCAGCGCACACACACACACACACACACACTGAACTAAATTTAAAAACAGACTAATTAAACTGTAAATGCATTATAAAACAACAACAACAACAAAGAACACTTGGCTCACCCAGTTTTGTCTTGCTTTGTGTCATTCTTTTTAATGAGAACTGTGGAATTTGTTCTTTTTAACAATATTCTTTGAAAATAGGTTGATTATTTTCTTTGATTATTTAATTGCATTAAAATAGTGAGGATCAATATTGATGTTACTAAAAGTCATACATAATAGAAGATGGAGCACTTTGGCTGTAAATGTGCAGCAGTGCATTTGTGGCAAAATCAGCATTTGTTCCTAATTCCTTTTTTCCTGTTGCATTTCTGTCCCCTCACTTCTTACTCTTCTTTCCATCTCAAACTGCTCTCGGTTCTTTAACACAGGTGTATGTGAATATTAATTATCATAGAGATAACTTTTGAAGGATTCGGTTTTATTGTATGGATAGAACATCATTGGGGATATATTTAAAAAAAAAAACAGAACTCAGCAGAAAAAAAGGAAAGTGTGTGTTGCCCTAAACTTGATGGGAGGGTAGATAATATTTAAATAAGGATGCAGATGGAACATCACTGCTCTTTGCTTTTATTTTTAATAAATTAAGTCAGATGAAGCCCTTAAGTTCTGATATATGAAAACTCTTAATATTTTTCCCAGGGTGGTGCATGTCATTTAGATGACAGGTGGCCTAACATACTAGAAAGAGTAATAGTCTAGGAGTCAGGCAACTTGGGATTGGGGTTTGGCTCAGCTGCTAACTTCATTATAAACTTACCTGGTGTGTACGACCTCTGGGTGCCATTTTCTCGTCTGTAAATTGCAGGCTTTGCACTACGTGGTTACTGAAATTACTCTTAGATCTGTGATTATCATTTTACTGGCCACTTTTGTCTTAAAACCAATATAAAGTAAAACAAAAAATGAGCATTTTTCAAGAGCCACCTTCTGCAAAGTGGGATTTGTGCACACATCTGTATAATTCATCTTCCTTTGAGGCTATGAACTTTTCTTGATAGTTTAAACTCTTTGTGAATCTATTTTGTGACCTAGTGATCCTAGGCTCTGGTGTCTGTGGTACAGCATGGAGCCTCTTTCTACTGTATTGTAGGAGCACTTAAAATCTCTGAACCAGCTCACAAGTGAAGCTGTTGGTGTGTGCTTGGTGTAAGCAGCCCTAACCCTAGTGTATATGCCACAGCGTGGGCCAGGTGGCCAGCCTGGAAGGGATATCTATGTCCTGCTAGTTGTGAACATTTATCCAAGTCATATATTTTTCCTTTAGCCATATTCCCCTGCAATCACATGTCTGGCCATATGGATTTAGTTTATTTAATTTGAGATTGGTATATCCAGTCTCAGTTAATCTTATTTAGAGCAATTTGTTTTTTTACAAGTATGTGAGTGGATGCCTTTTTGTGTGCCATGGCATCCCCTTTTTGTGGCAGCAATTTTAATTTAAAGAGAATATTAAATAGCAGCATAAAAATCAGTAAGATAAAGCAAGCCACTTCTCAAACTTCAAAAATTAGAAGATTTATCTCAAATACATTGTAATTTGTGAGGGAGGAAGAGTACAAAAATCAGATCGTGGGCACATCTGTAGGAGATGAGGCTGCTTAGTGAACCCTACTCCGCCTACAAAATTTGAGTAATCTAGTTTTTTAAAAGATAAAATACTGATTCTTCTCCCTTCATTACTGAGACAGGTACTTATTATATAAAACAAGCAGCTATTCCTTTAGAGTATGCCAGTGTTAATTCTTTCAGGTAGCACCGGTATCTTTAGTAAAGCTGGGTCAGTTCTCTAAGTCAGGAGTTCACACTTTGAGGCACTCAGACCTTGAGCATTCATTGTATTACACTGATTCTGTGCTCAAGATCAAAGACAAACAGGGAAATGACAATCATTAGCTGGTTTTGTATAAAAACCTTGAATGTCAGTGACCTTTGGTATCATCTGGCTTAGTCTACCCTTTTGGGAGTTGTTTCTAAAATAGGCACATCCATGGTCATTCACTCTCCACTGAAAATCTTGCAGTGATAACTGACTTCCTATTGAAATAGTGATTTCCTCAAGAAACTTTGCTTTGTTCTAAGCTAAAATTCATGTGGCTTGACTCAACATAGTTTATAAAAGGACACTCAAAATAATACCTAGAGTCTGAGGAGAAAATGTGCTAAAACAGTAAAATTTAAAACATGATTCAAAAATGTCACATTATTATTTTCGTTGTTACAGATGCTTGGGCTTCAAAGCCCAGAAACTGTTTGATTATTAAACTATCTTGCCTAGTGGCCTCTCCCTAACAAGTTGCCTTTTTTATATGCCAGGCCATATGGATTGAAAAGTAAAATTTCAAAAAAAATACACCTACCGAAGACATTAAGCCAGGGTTTTTCAACCTCAGCACTGTTGGCATTTTGAACCAGATAATTCTTTGATGTATAGGGTCGTCGTTCTGTGAATTATAGATTGTTTAGCAGCATTCCTGACCTCTACCCATTAGAATTCACAGGTGTGACAACCGAAGTTTCTCCAAAGATTGCCAGATTTTACCAGAAGCCAAAATCACCCCTGGTTGAGAACCACTTCATTAAATAAACAAATGATTATTATCACTGTTTAACATAGAAAAATGTTTGAATGAATGCTTTTCCAAGAAAGAATAACGTGGCAAACTTCAGGTGACCTAATAAAAATGCAGTGTAAAAACTTCATGAGATTTACTGAATTTGCTTGTTTTCTTGATAGCTGTTTGAAAAATTCAGAACAGCATGAGATGAAGTAGAGTGCGGATATTCCACGTGTTCTGTCACTTAAAAAAAAGTGTCGTAAAATTCACATAGACATGTTTGTATAAATGGAAGTCATCATTTTAATTCAGTTTCCTGACTTTGGAATAATCTTGGAAAATTGGAAAGCTGGCCCATAATAAATTGGTTGTGGTGGTTCCTGTGTGGTTCTGGATGAGGGCCGCAGCCATCTTCTGTCTATCCTCAGGATTGTGTAGCTGGGGGCCCTGGTATCAGGAATTTCTCTGAGCAAGATACCAGGAACCAGTGGAAGCTTTGTCACCAGCCAGTAGGAGACAGTTGCCCTGGCCCATGTTTGATAATCCTTAGGGTTGACTGGTTTCACTTCTGCTAAGTCACTGGTGGATGTTGTGGTGGTCAGCACCAGGACAGCACAGTGATTCACACTGGGATATTCCTGCATCTTCCAGTTTGGAGGGTCTGGAGAACAGGGGAGTAACTAAAACAGTATGACTCATGCCCCACTTCCCACAAGGCATTTTTTGTGGAAGTAGTTGCTATGGGCAATCCCCTGTGGGCAGAGGAATCTTTGTCAGGAATCTCTTTCATAAAAAGCTGCAGCCTCAACACCTACCCCAGGAGCTAGCGCTCTGAGTAACGCCAGGTCTTTCTGGATATCAGTTTGTTTCCCAGGCTTTAAGGACAGGTTGAAGACTCCTGCCACTCCAAGGTTCTCAGCCCACTGAATTTCTGTAGGCAAGAAACGTTCTCCTCCCTCTTGGAGATCACTGGAACATGACTTAGGAACCCCTGTTACACTTAGCTGGACTGGGCAAGAAAACGGTTGAGAACAACAAGGAGCCTAACAATTTTTGACAAACTGAATTTAAACCTTAAAGCTATTCATTGTAAGACTTTTTTTTATAATTTTTTTTTTTGCATTCTGTAGGCAGCCTACAATTTAGATGGAGAAGAATACATTCATTTTTTTTTAAGAAGATGGACAGGTTGAGTCTAAGGTTGTAGTGTGCCTAAGGTCATGGCATATTAATAACAGATTCTGGATGTGAAAATTTAGAAGCCCTATAACTAAAATCTCTCATGACTTAGTAACTTAAGTATTTTACTGACACCGGGTCCAGACAACGTCAACTTTGAACTACAGCTTGATATGTGAGTCATTATTAAAAACCACCTTTGACTGCTCCATGGCAAAGGAATTTAAAGGAGAAGAACATAATTTAAATGAAACTAAAGCCCATTTTATTGCTCATCAATTGTCAGGCCAATTTAGGAAAAATTCAAGTATAAGTTTAATCCAGATATAAAATATTGAATCACTTT
The DNA here is from genome assembly GCF_000001405.40 of Homo sapiens. Lineage (NCBI taxonomy): Eukaryota > Metazoa > Chordata > Mammalia > Primates > Hominidae > Homo > Homo sapiens. Next base: position 28,114,484 of record NC_000018.10, on the reverse strand, counting down.
TTTTTCCGATTGGATATATGTTTCTGTTTATATACTGTTTATATGAGGACCAATAGAAAAAATAGTGTACTGTGTGCATAGAGGCTTGGAATCAATTGGAAGTACTCTAAGATCCAGTTCTCTTGCCCCATCTAACATCTTTTTTCTTTGACCAATAATGGTTGTACATATTCATGGGCTACATAGAGATATTTCTATACATATAATGTATATTGATCAGATCAAAGTAATTAGCATATTCATTAGCACGCACAAACATTTGTCATTTGTTTTGTTGGGAATGTTCAGTGTCTTCCTTCTAGCTATTTGAAACTATGAAATATTGTTAGTGTCATCCTACAGTGCTATAGAACACTAGAATTTATTCCTCCTATATAGTCGTAATTTTGTATCCTTTAACAAATCTCTCTCTATCCCTCCCTCCCCAGCCTCTAGTATCCTCTCCCACCTAACATCTTACTTGTTGGAGGATGCCACTACTAAATACTATGAAATCTGATTTCATTCCAAATGACTGCTCTTGTTTTAGATAGTCTTTTTCCTTTTTCTTTCTCCAGATACTGTCATTTTTCCTTCACGATTTTTAAAAGGAAAATGCATATTTTCATTGTGCCTCTTGGGAGTTTGTATAAATTACTCAGTCTTTTATAAATTACTCAGCCTTTTATGGAGTGTAACTTTATATACATTAAGAGTCATCTTTAAAAGCTCAAAGGAATTTATAGCAGTATTGAATATTCCCTGTCTTTTTTTCAGAGCTAATTCTGTTATTTTTTTAAACTATGTGTATTTTATACAGTATTCCAAGGAAGAGGATTCTGTAAAAATGCCCATAGTAGTAGAAATGTTTTGGTCCCATCTCATCAGCTATGAAGCTATCTAAATCCAAATCATTCTTATTTTAGTTATGCTAAATCTACCTCGCCTTCCCTTCTTAGGCAGTGGAGAATATTTGTGCCACGTCTTTGGTAAACATATTTCTTTTTTTCATCATCTTTTTTTTTTTTTTCCTTTTGCTGGCTTACCTCAGTATATTGACACTTCTGCATTCCAGATGATTAACTATGTAGGTATTTAAATGTTCTGTTCAATATGGTAGCCAGTAGCCATATGTAACTATTGATCATTTTTAATGTGGTTGCCTTGGATTTTGAAGACCAAGTACCAAAAAAAGAATATAAAATGTCTCCTTTTAAAATATTGATTATATATTGAAATGATAATATTTTGGATATATTGGGTTAAATAAAATATGCTATTAAAATCCATTCACCTGTTTCTTTTTACCTTTTTAATCTGGCTGCTGGAAACTTTCAAATTACACTTGCAGCTTACCTCATACTTCCACTGTCCTAATTCCTATATAGATGCTTTGCACTATAGTATCCACATTCAGTGTTTTATTCAAGGTCTGATAAATATCAGTTGTATTGAAAGGAGATTTATTATCATCATAGTCCACACATACTTCCCAGTGCATTTACCTACCCCCCTGGCATTCTTAAATTTTAGCAAAGTTGATTTATTTTTTCTTATTGTTTTGAGTCCACAGATTTGGCCTCTTTGATTCCTTTTTCTGTGTTGTCTCTGCTGTTGACTTTTCTTCAGTAAGAGAATTAGGATACACTCTTGCAAAGCCTGTATGCCTTGTTTGCTTGCCAGCCTGTGGAAATAAGGAGCCTTAGAGTGTGGCTTTGATCTCCACTTTGAAGTAGGTAAATCTGCTACTCTGAATGTGGGCAGGGATCCTCGGGAAATTGTTGTTGTTGTTGTTGTTGTTTTTCTCTTTTCCTGTAAAACAAGGTTTGAATGACTAATTAGAAGATATTTATAAGAGCCTACATACTTCATGGTAGTAAAGGTTATTGGCTTATTAAAAAGATGATCATGAGAACTATAATGTAGTTTTAAGAAACTTTCTTTTAGAAAACCTGCCTGTTAACTTATTTTAAGTGCGTTTGAAGTTATGAGTGAAATTTTACATAAACTTCACAGCCTTTTGCTGAATCCACCACCTCGGTGCCTCCTTCAAAGGAATTTGAGTCGGCCTCTTTACTGGCCATTTGGTATCATCTCTGCTGTGAGCCAGACAGAATCTTTTTCCACTCATTCAGATCATGGTGTGGAATTCTGTGGGCAAGACATCACTAACCCATTTTAGGACAGTGAAAACAGCAAGTCAGAAGGTTTTATTTTGGTTCAGTGAATTTGCCTGTGACCGTGGAGCTAAAATATGAAACAAACCAGCTCTGGAGACACAGAGTCTTGCATTTATAGTGGGGGTGATTAGATAAGTGGTCTGCTGGTGACATGGACGTGATTCATGCTCTATCTGCTGATGACTAAACTTTCCAAATACTTTCAGTGTACTGATAGTACATTTCTTAAATGCTAAATATATCTAACTGTTAACAGCTAATTGTCTGTCGGGCTCATTGTCTGTTACCCTTAAATGCTAAGGTCAGACTGTCCTTCTAGTTTTGTAGATAGAAGAATATGTGTGGCAGAGGCCAGGGAAGAAAATCTATAAAAAATGAGGGTATACTTGTAAAAGTTTGTTAGTTTAAAATTTTGAAAGTAATTATTTTAACTGCAGTTTAAACTGTTTACATTTTTTTCTTGTTATTTATTCTTATTCAGTTCAGAACAGAATCATAGAACTTTACATCTGAGAAAAAAAACTTGAAAGATCATGTGTTTCAAGCTCTTAATCTTTCCCTGTTGCATATTAGTATACTGGGTTTAAACAGGTGAATGACATTTTCAATCTTTATGCTAATTGATAGCATGGGTTAACGCAAAATTTGGCACTCTGACATTGAGGTTGAGTGTTCTTTCTGCCAGGGTTTGACTTCACTCAAAAGTTTCAGGTTGATCAAGACATCTGGGAACTCAGTGTTTTGAATTTCAGAGAGCCGGCACCTGCCTCTCTGATTCTCAGTTCATTTATAAAATGCTAGGTCTTGGATAGATCGTTTCTAAGATTATCGTTTTGCTCCCACAAATTATAGGACGGAGTGCTTTCCTTCTTTTTCTTTGATGTGGACAACATTCTTACCTCGAATACATGTTTTCAGTCTTTTAAAAAGCCACTTCTGTTCCAAAGTTATGCTAACTAATATTGAAAATCCAGATGAAATTTCATTGCTTGGGGGTTTGGGATTGGGGTCACGTATGCACGTGCTACACCCATGCCTCGAAATATCTCTGTCTAGGTCAGCAAGTGGGCTCCGGGACAGAGGAGAAGGCTGAGGCTAAGCTGCGGAGGCTTTGAGGTTTGATAATAGAAGTCCTCCTCTGTTGTTTTCTTCCCTGGCAGCATTTGATTTGCCTCTTTCCAATGCCTGTAAGTAGGCCAGGGGCGCCACTGCAGACTGGGCTTGGGAGTCGATAGGAGAGCTGATAAGAACTCTCTTTTTGCAACACTGAGCAAGAAGGCCCATCTTCCATGACTCTGCACAGACCGATGGCTGGATGGGCATTTTCTTTCTTTTTCAGCCTCTTTCCTTTCTCATGCTAACCTCATTTAGCTTGATGTACTCCGAGTCCTGCTTGATCTAGAAGTGGACCCCGGAGAGAGCGTGGCTTGGCGAAGAGAACCAACAATTTAGAGAATAGTGGTTTGGGTTCTATAGCCATCTTTGTCCTGTGCAGCTGGATACCTTTGGCCACATCTTACCACCTCTCTTTGGCCTCCATTGCAGCCTATATAGATATAGGTGTCTTTTTCATTTGAATTCTTGTTGCAGTAAATAACATATTCACTTTAGCAATTACAGTATGCATTGATTTCACGATCATTAATTTCTTTCTTTTAGTGGCAAAAAGAAATCCTCAGTCTACTTTTAGTTTCCCAAAAGCATCTATATTCATGATCCCACTTCTCATGACTCCTGCTATTGCTTAGGTAGATTGGCCCAGTAGCTTGCAGAACAGAGTCGTTATTTCAGGCATGAGGAACAAAAGCAAAGGCTTTTGCAATGAGAATTGGCCATTGCTGTGTGCATTTGGCCGCAGTCAACTGACTTCTTTTCTTGGTCTGTCTGCATTACTCCCTTTTTCCTAAATTTGATTCTGACTGAATTCCTGGCTGAAGTGGCTGCAGCAGTCTCTTACTCCTGGCCTTAACTCAGCATCTCACAAAGGGCTCAGGTTCATTCTCAAGAAATAATTTATGCAGTGAAAGCATGTGGCTGACAGAGGGTCCCATGTAGGGAGACACTGTTTTGTTATGTTAGTCTTTGGCTGCAACTAAAGCAAAGCAGAATTAACTACGGGATAATGCTAAACAGCGGAGATAACAGCAGAGGTCCCTGTATGTAATTAGTACAGCATGAGTGTGTTCTCATTTCATGTGTTTACATGGGCAACACCAAGTTCTTAATTCAGAAAGGGAATAAACTCCTAAGTGTGTTGGGTTATTGCCTCTTACCTCAGAAAAGGACACCATATGGCCTTGTATTTGTATGCTCTTGCCATGACAATTCCTTCTGTCAAAAGTGATTTTCTCCAAAAGTATGGTATGTACATTCTTGGGCAGTCATTCAAAAAAGGAAAGGAATAGCCTTTGTTAACCCGCATTTTTGAAAGTACTATTTTGGCATATGAAAGAGGAATCAATAACACTTTATACATGCTGACACTATGTGCTTTTTGTTATTGTAAGAATCTATAATTTCATAAACTGTAAGAAAAGCTTTCTTCTTGATCTTCAGATTACCTGGACGTGGAATTTTTAAAAAAGAGTTTCATATACTTAAGTGTTAGAGAAAAGTGTCAAGAGATTTTTGACACCAGTTATTTGTGAATTCACCTGGAAGCTAAGACTTGGTTTTGTCTTGAATGATACTGAAATTTGCAATAATAAATAATTCTCCAGTTTTTGAGAATAACAGTGCAGAGTTTCTTATTTGTATGGTTATTCCCTATCCAGCTCCTCCTATTGTCTTGTTTCTATGTATTACTATAATAATGTAACAGAGGTGTGGCCAAAGAATTCAGCTGTAAGTTTTCATTATGTTCAGTGAATCTTCCTCTTTAACTACCGCATGAACTGTGTAAGGAGGAGAAAAACTTTACTGTTTACTTCCAACAGTGTAGGGATGTAGGAATTCCTCCACTTAAAATTGGAGGGCATTTCATGTTTTGCCACTTCTTTGCAAATTAGTAAAACATTTTCTGACATAACAGTGTTAAACATTTGTTTTAAACAGAAAAAGCTTACTTGTGGTCACAGGCCAGTCTACTAAAATACATTTATTTTGCAGCATAGATACCTTGTTTCTATGGAAAATATTCTTAATTTGATTGGCCATTTTAAGCGTGAATATTCTCTCTTATTTCTTACTAGCTCCAGTAATAGGAGTTTGTAGATACAGTATTTAGGTCATTAGCAGCCTAATTATTCTCCCATGGCATGGTGGCTGTGGTTCAGATGCTGGTTTAATAAGATTAATCATGCTGCTTTTAGCACTGGAGAAGGCGCTGTTGTGTTGTCAAAGTATTTAATGTTCAACAGGAACACAGCCTGTTGAGGTATGACTAAACTTGAGTTTTATGATTCTGCCTTTCATGATTTGCCAGGTAAATGGAATTCTGCAGAGTAGGAGGGAAGAGAGGGGAAGTTTTTTTATTTATTTAGACACCCTTGCTTCTACGTGAGGTTAAGAAAATTTGGGGAAAGCTGTTTCTGTCTTTTTTTTTTTTTTAGGTACATCTATGTTTTTTGCAAAGCACAGTTTACATCTTTAGGAAATGGCTAGTAACACCTGATAAAGCTCTGCTTAATGCAAAATAGTATCACAGAATAAACTTGAATTTGTAATTTTGTAATTGAAATTTACATATATTGAGCATGCGCAAATGCATTTTGGAGACTTAGAATAAACTTGATTTTATGAAATTCCTCATAAATTGGATGGGTTCTGTTACAGGGACACAAATGTGTCTTTGAGCAGCTGCTTGATTAAAAGCTGAGCCCCAGTGTGTCAGGGTGAGTTAGACTTGGCCAGGACTCAAGTGTATGTGATTGCATTTCATCTATTTGCTATCTCAACAAATGGATCTTTTCCTTGAGTATTTGTAGTTTGTCCTTCAGCAATGACTAGATATACCAATGACTGTAGATTCCAGTGACCAGAAAGAGTTAATGATGCTTTTCTGTAGAATGTTTCTCATAGTAGTTTAAACATTTATAGATCCAATAAGCAACTGAGAGTTTTCCACACTTTTTCAGATCTTTGGAAGTTGTCTCCAAATCCTGATCCAAAGCAAATGAGGCCATTTATCTTCCCAGGGGTTTCCATGCCCTCTCAACACCTATCTGTTAATGGGATAAGTAAGGGTAGTTTTTACTTCTTGAAACCTGCAGGCTATCAAATAGAGAGGAAAAAAAAATGGGAAGGTTACTGTTTCCTCTGTCTACCAGGTTTTATTATGGAAACTGTTCGCCAGATAATTGGGTTTAATTTGTAACAGAGGGGAAGATTTGTATTGTAAACAAGAAAGTTCTTTGAAGATAAATCTCATCAGTAGCTGTTGGAAGGATACTGGAGGAAACTGTGAATGTTTTTTAATGGCCTAGAATGGGAGGGTGTTTTTCTTTTTTCTTTTTTCCTTTTCTTTTCCGCTAGACTACAAAGTGTTAGCGGGGCTAGAAGGTGATAATTGGTAGTCTTCACCTGATTCCTTTTTTTTTAAATGGCTAATTAAAATGCATAAAACCTTCCACTTTTTTGTCCCCAAAGGAAAACATACTATTTTTGACATCTGCCTTTTTTGACCTGCTGCACTCTTTCCTGGTATGCTCTGTGTTTTATTGACTGCTTCTTTATACAGTTGAGAAGAGCTCTAATATGCTTATTTGTAACTTTTAAATATTAGGAGAATAAGTCCTACTTGTAAATGTAAGGTATGTACCAGTATTTATCAGTGTTATGGCATACATATTATACTCCTATTAAGTCATTTATTTGGTTCTCGTATTTTCTACATTGGACTTTTTATTATTTAGTTTTGCATCATTTTAAGTGTCCTCAGGTATACAGTTTTCTATATTACAATATATCACGGATTCAACAGTTTCCATTTTAATATGCATACCGTCATACACTCCATATTCTGTGGTCACACCAACTAATTTTTTCAACATTTTAAACACAGTATTGGTAGGTTTTGAGTTTGGAGTATTTTAGTTTCACTACAGTACTACAGACTTCACTTTAAAGCTGTAGGTGTCTTCTTTCTTTACATAACAATAATATATTATTTATATTATATGTATATTGTTTCATAAAGGAAAAGAAATTTATTAGATCTTTGAAATGATTAACGTTGATTTTGTAGTCTGAAATGGTGCGAGAATTTCCAGAAATATTGCTGCAGTAAATGGACTATAGTAGTATATTTTAGTTTTGCCTGATTTTAATTGTCAAACTTGTGGAGTTTTTCAGCTTCACTGTTTTCAAGTTTCTCATCATCTCACAAAATATTCATGGAATTGGTAATGAATGCCCAGTTGTGTGTGTGAGTATGTATTTAATCAGTGCCAGATTAGGTTGTCCCTTTGTATATAATTTTGACTTTCCTTGCTTATATCTATAATAATTTTCACTAAACATTTGTGTAACTAGGTAAACTGTAAAATAATTATCTCATGATATCTGTGACATAAATAATACAATTAGAGATGCTAAACTGAAATTATAAATTATACATTATTTTAAAGACTTGAATTTGATTTCTTTTAAATGCTCATACGTATTTACCATCATATAGTAAAAAGGTTTTAAAGAATAGTTAAGACAGAAACAAGGTCTATTAAATGGGACAGAAGTGCTGAAATTTACAAACAGAAAAGTAGCTCATCTTGTGGTCTTCCTCACTGTTCAGTGGTTACATGTGACATCATATTTTTAAATCATACCTAGAAATTTTTAACTGTACTGGATAATGTTTGTCTTCTTTGATGATAAAGACAAACCATCCATCTGGGAAGAAACAAAAAAAAAAACTCTGGTAAGTTGATGTCCATAACATAGATATAACACTTTTTTTTTTTTTCTTTCTTGAAATGCAATCTCACTCTGGCACCCAGACTGGAGTGCAGTAGCGCCATCTCGGCTCACTGCAACCGCCGCCTCCCAGGTTCAAGCGATTCTCCTGCCTCAGCCTCCTGAGTAGCTGGGACTACAGGTGCACACCACCATGCCCTGCTAATTTTTGTATTTTTAGGAAAGACAGGTTTTTGCCATGTTGGCCAGGCTGGTCTTGAACTCCTGACCTCAGATGATCCACCAGCCTTGGGCTCCCCAAGTGCTGGGATTATAGGTGTAAGCCACTGCACCCGGCCAGATATAACACTTTCTTATCCCACATTTGCTAATGGTGACTGACTACTGGCAGGATATTAAAATTTTCAAGAATCTCACATTAACTGCCTGAGCAGAGAACTTGTGAATAAGCACTGTGAGTTAAGTAACATCTTGAGGATATTAAAGAGAATGAATTCTACTCAATTCGTATCTATTACAACTTCTGGTTATTGCTTTTACAATAAATCCTCAATTAACTAATCTGCATAGTAGAGAGGTTTTTGTCTGGTAAATTAAGTCATGTAGTTTACCAGAAACCCATTTTAATGTGAAGCTTTAATTTCAAACATCTTTGTAAGACGTATTAGGATACTTTGGTTATTAAGATTCTATTAATGAATGTAATTATATTTTAAATTAAGAACTATACATTGATGTGGGTGGATATTTTTCTGAATTTGAATTTTTATTTTTGAGTTTAAGGTCCATGACCCAGAAATTAGAGGTGTGTGAGAAAGGTTTACTGAATGACTGATATAAATTTGTTGTCAGTTTGAACTTTCCTTCTAGGTTTGGAGAAAAAATAATAATAATTTTTTAATTTATGTATAATTGATATGTTCTGTTTAATTGAGACTGTATTTTTTTTCTCATGAAAAGCTTATTTTGAAAATGATAGCAGGAATTTGGAAGTATTCCAGAACTCTGTAAAATTCATAGTTAATAATTTGTTTCATTCAGATTTATTTTGATTGGCATGTGATCCCTATGTTGTGTTCTGAATTATCTGAAATCACAACATCTTGATAGAGTTTGCTCTATTTCTGAATTGTTTTAAATAGTAACTTTAAAATTTGCATTAATTGAAAGGTACCTTGTCACAACATTTGCTTTGTGTCATGGAAGGTTATCTATATTTGGAAGTAACATTTTGGTAAAAGGAAGATTATGGAATATTTATGAACTTTCTCTCTCACAGATTCATAGATTTTTAGAACAGGATGGAACTTTAGAGCTTTTCAACCACAACCTTCTCAATTTACAGTTGAAGGAAATGAGTTCCGGAAAGATTAAATGACTTGCCCAAGGACACACAGCTAGAATAGTATAAGAAGGGTTGTGACCCAAGAAATCTGGCTCTAGATCAAGTGTTTTACCATTGAAAATTTTCTTCAATAAACATGATATAACATTTCTAAAAAAAAATCATGGTATCAAGCTAGACAGGAGTGAACTTTTACATATATTTTACATGTATTTCATTATGGTGAGTATCTATCTATCTACAAGTAAAATTATCATCCAAGATAATCATCTTCATTCACATAATTAATTCACAAACAGAATTAAGCATAATTCAGTAGGCGAAAAAGCATTTGATTACCTAAACATACATATAGATGGAACATATATCTATCTAGATAGAAGATAGATATATATTACAGATAGATAGATAGATAGATAGATAGATAGATAGATATGTATTTGCATCTATATGTATGTTTAGGTAATCAAATGTTTTTTTGTCTATTGAATTACATTTAATTCTGTTTGTGAATTAATCATGAGAATGAAGATGATTATCTTGGATAAAGATAATTTTACTTACACTTCTCACCCATTTTTAGGACTATTACTCCTTAATAAGAATAGCTCCATAAAATAATGGAAAAGCATAAGAATTCTATGTAAAACAGTTAGTTTGAATTCTTGGATTGCTTCATGGTTTTTAAAAAATATTTGAAGAAGGAGAAAAATTAAATATCTGTTTGTTATCCTTGATTTCAAGATATCAACAGTTACAACAATCTCCATTTTCCTGTTATCAAATTTTATGATAAAGAACAAATACCTGTGCACTTTTAAATCATTTTGATTTAGTCAGTTTCTTCAGAAGAAAAGACTTTAGGGTTCTTTTAATGAATATATGGTAAATACTTTTATGGTCATAATATATGTTAGAGAACCTAAAGAAATTTTTGATAAGAGTGTTTATAGTAGTTCTTCATCATAAGTCTGTTTTAGTAACAAAAATCAATAACACAACCTGCTGGAATTAACACTGATTGTTTTCTTGGATAGGCAGACAGGAAAAAGTCATAGCCAGCTGGCATCAGGAATTACTGCAAGAGCTCAATGCCACTGGCCACAGCTGGCAGACTTTGCCAGAAAAAGTGGTGCCCCAACTTCTCCTGGGCCAGTGGTATTCATACTGTGTCACCCATTTTTCTATTGTAGAACCAAAAAAAATTAATAGTATTTAAAATTTCTGGTGATTTTTTTTATGTGTATATAAATATATAATACACCATGGAATACTATGCAGCCATATAAAAGTATGAGTTCATGTCCTTTGCAGGGACATGGATGAAGCTGGAAACCATCATTCTGAGCAAACTAACACATGAACAGAAAACTAGCTACCGCATGTTCTCACTCATAAGTGGGAATTGAATAATGAGAACACATGTATGCAGGGAGGGGAACATCACACACTGGGGCCTCTCAGGGGATGGGGGCTAGGGGGATGGATAGCATTAGGAGAAATACCTAATGTAGATGACGGGTTGATGGGTGCAGCAAACCACCATGGCATGTGTATACCTATGTAACAAACCTGCACGTTCTGCAGTGTATCCCAGAACTTAAAGTATATGTGTGTGTGTGTATATATGTGTGTGTGTGTGTGTGTATATATATACATACTTTATGTGTATATATATATATATAAACATACTTCATATATGTATACTTTATATATATACATACTTTATATATATGTACTTTATATATATACATCCTTTATATGTATTTTATATATATACTTTATATATATAAAGGAGTTTTTATATATATACTTTATATATATATAAAGGAGTTTTTATATATATACTTTATATATATAAAGGAGTTTTTATATATATACTTTATATATATATAAAGGAGTTTTTATATATGTACTTTATATATATATAAAGGAGTTTTTATATATATACTTTATATATATATAAAGGAGTTTATATATATATATAAGGAGTTTATTAATTGGGCATAAGTGTTTTATTTACATTACTTCATTTGTTTCTTCACTGACAGTTTACTGAGTATCAGCCTACTCTGAGTACCTAGTGTTAAGTAACTAGTGAAAACAGAGTATTTTTTATAGGCAAATAATAGGCTTTGATTATTTAAATCAGCACAGATATACGTAAGAAGTACTTCACCTGACTTCAAATTTACCCCCTAATTTTTTTTTTCATAATCTGAAACCAGTTTTAATTGCAGTGTTAGGGATTCCTAGATATTTAGCATTGCTCACCATAAACTGTAGCCTATTTTTATGCTTTATATTTTCTTCCAATTTCCATTTCAGTTTCTCAGATAAGTACTTTGAACCACTACTGCCCACCCCTTGCCACCTTTCCTCCCACAAATAAGTCAAGTAAATAAGGCCTCTCAATAGCAATAATTTGCTCCAAGCCACAAGATAAGTTTTAGGATTTTGTATATTTAATTTACATTAAGTGGCTAAACTCTTGACTTAAAAAGGCAAGGGAATAATTTGCATATTCATTATAAAATAAATAATCTGCTCTGCAATTGCTCTTTCCCAAGGCACCAACTACTGTCAGTCACTACTGGATAGTCAGTGTGAAAAGAAACCTCTTTTCTTGCACGTAGTCCATAGCTTTGCTCACAGGGCTGGATATATAGAATCAGAAAGCAAGGATATGGATAAGGATTGCCTTCTGTGTTTCCAGTTAAAAAACACCAGAACATTTCAAGAAATGATTCTGCAGAGATGGGTCAGAATACCCTCACTGTGCTTGAAATTTTCATTTCTTATTAACAATTCTTTAGGCAGTTTGTAGTCAATCAATTCCAAACACTTGGGATTTCATTTCTCCATTTAATATAATGAAAAAAAATAAGATTTTTTCTACTAAAATTAACTCATGATTTTTGGGTTTACGGAGAATGTAATACTTTGTCCCAAAGAGAGGGAGGAAACAGTTATTTTTGCTCTGTCTTCTAACTGGAAAAGTAGGACACAGGCAAATTTCTAGGAGACAAAGTTTCTGCTCCATGATTAAGGTGAGTGGATACGACTTGGGCATTTCTTTATGGGTGGCTGTGGGAAATAGGAACATGCTTTAACTTCTCAACCAGCACATTCCTCGTTTTTTTTCTCTTGAGCAATTTGAGAAATAGGAAGAGATGTAGGCAGAGATGGAGAGGGCAGAGAAAAACTGAAACAGGTGCGCAAGTGGTTAATTTTGCCTTTGGTAGGATATTCACTGTGACCAAAGTGGGGTGTGTTTGTAGGGTGAAGTGGTTTTTTTCTTTCTTATATTTGGAATTCTTAAGCAATCAAGGAAATTAGAAGCCCTTTCATGCTTAGGGTAGATTCTTTTTAATCTATTGTGTACCTCAAACTATGCAACTTAGTTTCCTGGATGGCAGAAAAGTTTATGCTTGTACTTCAATCAATCCTTTTTCTTTTTTAAAACTGATCCACAAGAACAGCTATTTCAGCAAACATAGCATTTTGCTCAAATTAAATTGCACATAGGTATGAAATAAGCTTGGTGAGATTAAATTCTGAAATGTGTGACGATGTATTTGTTTATAAATCACAAGTGTAGTTACAGTCAAGTCCCCAGGTGGCTTTTGGAGAAATATAAGTCAATAAGGTGCTGTTAAATAAATGAATACAGGTGCAGATGACTTTGAAAGGCAGGAGAATTCACCACTAACTTCATTATGGCAGATGAAAATTAAGTTGTGTTTAGTCAGGAGAGTCATATAAATAGCTACAGGGGTCGTATGACTGATACTGCTAGGGAGGTAGAGTTTTTGTGTATACTTTAACATTTGAGGGCATGGGAAGGTCTGAAATACTATACTCTTGAACAAAAGTTAAGATACATAAAATACTAAGTGGGAAGCAAACTGCTAAGGTGTTCTAGAGCCAATGCAACTAGAAAGTTATTTAAGCCATTAACATCAATTCTAGTCATTAGCAGTATCTGTGTTAAAGGTAAAATTTTATGTTTTACGTGTTTAAATCATCGTGTATACTGGATGGTCAGTTCTCCACTGGGGTGTTCAAGAAAGTGTGTGTTGAGAACAAATATGAAGGGTCACAAGTTATATAATACTGATAATTGTTTAAAAGTTTTGCAGAACTTCACATTTTAAAAGCATATGTCAGAGTGAATTCTAACTCACTCTTTTTTATGGTATTAGCTATTCAGTGGGATAGGAAGATGTAATGTTTCAGCTAGTGAGTTGGGCAGTGTGCACATTGCATTGATGTGGCCCATAGTGAGTTGGTTTTATATATTTACACTAATAACTGTGAAGATTCTATTAATTCGTTTCTTTAAGTTCCAACAAAAAGTTCTTAGGTTTCATTAGAAATTCCTTCCAACTTTGGGAATGCAATGTGTATGTGAATAACATAGGATTTTCATGGTTGAAAAATCTGCGAAGCTAGACTGAAGACCACAGGTAAACTGTGCCATACACCAGGTTTGGAGAAACTCAGGACTCCTCTGACATGCTCATGTATCCTGGTAGCCCAGCATGGTATACTAGCCAAGGTTCTCCAGAGAAACCGAGCCATAGGATTTTCTTTCTAAGGAATTAGCTCATGGGATTATGGAATCTGACAAGATCCAAGATCTGCAGGTTGAGTCAGCAAGCTGGAGACCCAAGAGAGCTGATGGTGTAGTCCAATCTGAAGGGTGGCTGGCTTGACACTTGGCAAGAGCCATTGTTTCAGTTTGAGTCTGATGGCAGAAAAAAGCTGATGTTCGAGTTCAAAGGCAGTCAGGTAGGAGTTCTCTCTTACTCAGAATAGGGTCTGCTTTTGTTCAACTGATTGGTTCAACTGGTCTTCAGCTGATTGGATGAACCTCACCCACATTAAAGAGAGCAATCTGTTTTATTCAGTCTACTGATTTAACTGTTAATTTCATCCCAAAACACACTCACAGAAACACCTAGAATAAAGTTTGGCCAAATACCCAGGCACCCCATGGCACAGCCACATTGACCCATAAAATTAACCGTCACATGTGGTGTTTATCCAGTGCCCCAAACAGTACTTTGTAAACATCAGTACTCAGTAAATATTGGATGGATGGGTGGATGGATGGATGAATGCTCATCATAGAAATTAAACAAACTTAAGTTTTCATATCATAGATAAAAAAAAACTTCTGTTTTTGCTGGTTAAAAATGTATAACTTCACAGATGTTTGTCTGAAATATAGTAATATTTGATCATCGTATTTAATATTTAGGCCACTCTAAAGGTGATACCTACCTTTGAAAGTAAGATTTTCAAAAGAGATCAAATATTTTTCTATCTGAAATTGCACATGCTTTCACTTGCTATTTGCTTTCTCTAATATCACACTGTCTCTCAATTTTTCTTATACTTCCATGGCCTTGTTTTCTTATCAAGGTGTATTTAATATTTATATTTAATTTTTTATCTTTATATGTAGTGGTTACCTGCTCTTCTCCCTAACTCCTTTTGGGTTTGGTTGGTTTTGCCCTTACTAAACTTCTTTCTAGTGGTTTCTTGCCAATTGTCATTTTTACTGTGTAGTTATAACATTTTATATTTTAATTGATGTGGAAGTGTTCAGTGAAGTCTTGCAACTGGTTAGCAGCCATATTAGTGTGACTACAAACATAAAATGTAAGATATGACATCATTGTTTTGGAAATGAATTGTATCAGCTATAAATAACTTGAGTCCATTTTCTCTTCATGTAGTATTATCACCACAGAAAGTTAAAGTCCTCTTGACCTGCATTCTTTTTAACTCCTTAAAATTAGATACTGCCAATGGTTAAGGTAAATGGTTAATGGCAAATAACTCTCAGTATCACAAACTATTTAACAGTGTAAGATAGTTCTTAAAATATAATGTAAACACCAAAATTGTAAAGGATTTTGTTAGTGTTAGTTTTCTTCCTATAATTCAAAAGTTAGTAAATATTTGCAGTAGATAATTAGAATAGGTAATCAGATATGTCATTTTTATAAGTAATTGATGCATGATAAATTTACCTTGAAACAGCAGATGAGCAAAAAGAAAATAAGTATTACCTGTAACACACTTACTTAGTTACTCCATGGAGAGACTTCTGTTTATAGATTACTTAAATCCATCCAGTTTTTCCCCTATGTATATATACAGTCACTCTTCCTTATTTGTGAAGTCCATATCTGAAAATTCACCTATTCCTTGAGACTTATTTGTAACCCCCAATTAATGTACATAGCACTGTCTTGGTCATTGGCAGACACATGAAGAGTAGCAAAAAATTTGAGTCAGCCAGCACACACTTTCCCACCTGAGAATGAACAAGTAGATTCTCTGCCTTACTATTTCAGTCCTCAGACTCTAAACAAATGTCCTGTTTGCAGCCTACTTAATATCATGTTTCCTCATTTGTGTGCTTTTTGTTGGTGATTTCACTGTTTAAAATGGCCCCCATGTGTAGGACTGAAGTGCTGTCTAGTGTTCCTAAGCACAGGAAGGCTGGATGTGCCTCACCGAGAAAATACGTGTAGTCAATAAGTTTTGTTCAGGCATGAGTTATAGTGCTATCGGCCATGTGGTCAATATTAACAAATCAACAGCCAATGTTAAATAAGGTGTCTTTAAACAGAAATGCACATAAAACAAGGTATTGATCAGTTGATGAAAATCTTGTGACCAGAGGCTCATAGGAACCTAACTTTGCATTTCTTCTAGGAGCAGTGGTTCAGCCTTTACAAATTCAGTGTTTTTTGGCAACTTTATGGATCATAACTACTGCAAATGATAAGAATAACTCCAGTTATTTTATTTTTTCAAAAATTGAGTTTCCTCTTTAATGCATTTTTCCTAAATGATATATTTTAAGTTATTTTTCCTGATCACTAGATCTTCTTCAATGTAATTGTCATATCTGTGTAGCAATACAGCATACAGATGTGCTATTAGTATATTTACTAAAAGCTCTTTTATAGACCATTTACAACTTCCCATTCCCCAACATTTTGCTATTATATAAAATTCTGGAATAAACATCCTTGGCACTTAATCTTTATCAGATCTATGATTATTTCCTTAGGATAAATTTTCTGCAATGAAATTTTGGGACACAGGATATACAAATTGAAACTTTTGCTATTTGCAAGAGTCCTCTATAGTCTTTCAAATATGCTGTTTCTTTTTCTGAACAAAAGGAAATTAACAAAAAAACTCCATTTTATCAAAAATTGAAAATCTTTTTAGGAACATGAAAAAATTATAAAACTTATTTTTAGCTCTTATTTCAATGGCCATTTATAGTACATTTTTAAATAATGCATTTAAGTAGCAATGCATAGTACAGATGTCCCTCGGTATTCTCAGAGGATTGGTTCCAGGAACCCCTTTGGATACCAAAATCTGCAGATGCTCAAATCTCTGATAAAAAATGGCATAGTATTTGTATATAAGCTATGTGCATCCTCCTGTATACTTTAAGTTATCTCTAGATTACTTATAATACACACTATGTAAATACTGTACTTTTTGCAATATTGTTTTCATTTTTTTCAAATATTTTTTGTTAGCAGTTGGTTGAATCTGTGGATGCAGAATCCATGGGTACTGTGGGTCAACTGTACTTTAGAAATGGACAGAAATGCAGATTAGATATGAATGCACTTGCAAGAACAAAATGCTGGGATAATAGACATTAGCCACTGCACCCGGCTGTGAGTTCCATTTTTTTTTTTTTTTTTAAAAAAAGGAACAAAACTCCATAGCTGTATTTCCTTTGGAATATTGTAACCATATGTGTGTAGGAGGACTCAGACTGTGCATCTCCATTTTCAATCCCTTTTTGGTCTCTTTTTTCTAGCTTTGAAACACAGGTATCTAAATTTAAGAAACACAAATACACATTGATTCCTTGTAGACACAGATGCAGAAGTGAAGAAAGGATACTACTTTCTTTTATCCTGCACATCAGAGCGGGTACACCGTCAGCTACAAGGGAGACCCTGATAATGCCTCAGGGGGACTCTAAGCAGAGTGTACTGGAAATACAGAGGTAGGAGAAAATATTACTTGCGGCTGTGAGAATTGGATGGCTGAATGAGGTGGCATGTGTGCTAGACATTGAAAGATGGCTTAAAATTATCATGGGAGAAATTATCTACTGCTAAAAATTTGCATATTTTCACTACATTGGCAGATTTTTAATTTTGATCTTGCTCAAGTACGGAGCATGCTTAGCTTGTCATTATTTTAAGCATTGCTGCTACAGAAGAGCAAATGTTGATTTATGCTATTTAAGTCTTATTTACAAAGTGCACGTGGCATTTCACATTTTTTACATATCCTCATAACAAATTTTTGTTTTGTTTATGCAGTGCCTTCACGATCATAAACTATTGAGTACATGATATTAGATTGTGTCAATACACTTTAGTTTGTTAACATTCTTCCCTGATTTGATAATTTTGGATTTTGCTTCACTTTTTGATTTTTACAGATAATGCCAAATAAACAACTTAATGCTTATAGCTTTTTTATTTCTTGTGGTGTATTTTTGGAGAATGTGTTCTTAAGAGTGGAATTATATGAAACTACTTTTTTTGTTGTTATGTATTTTCATATTGCGTTCCAGAAATGTGTTACTAATTAATAGTATTCTCTACCATAGTTACTTCATCATTGTGTGTTATGTTAAAAAAAAAAAAAAAGAACTTGCCTCCTTGGCAGCCATAAAATGGCATCTCAAGGTTGCTTTAATTTATACATCTTTGATTACTAGCATGGACCAATCTTTTTCTAATATTATTTACTATTGGAATTTTGACTTGTGTAAAATTGTTCATAATTTTTGCCCAAATACTTGCCTGGTAAAGCCTTTCCTTTGTCACAGTAAAGGTCATTCCATTCTTTCAGGAATCATTCCAAGTTATATATGTTTTTATGTTTGTAAAATTTAAAGTCTGTAATATGTACTTTTACATACCCAGTGGTATTGAGGGAATAGCACCTCATACTGTTGGGTTTCCACTTGGATCCAGACACGTTAAGGCATAAAAGCATGTCTGAATCACCCTCACAGTGACCTATAAAGGAAACAGAACTAGTTTAAACTGCATAATTCCCAAATAGTTTGTTTTCTGATGTTAGGATGCACCATAATTCGTGCTGTAACCTTTATGCCTCTCTCCAGTTTTTTCAGGCCCTTTCTGTGTTGCTATTGTACCTTGTATGTATTCTCCATTTCCATTGAGGAACTTAGTCATTAGTATGTGGTAATTCTCTTTTCTTTCTTTTTTTTTTTTTTTTTTGATGGAGTTGCATCCTATTGCCCAGGCTGGAGTACAGTCACATGATCTCAGCTCACTGCAATCTCCACCTAATGTGTTCAAGTGATTCTCCTGCCTCAGCCTCCAGAGCAGCTGGGACCACTAGCGTGTGCCATCATGCACAGCTAATTTTTAGTGGCGATGGGGTTTTACCGTGTTGCCAAGGCTGATTTCGAACTCCTGACCTCAGGTGATCTGCCCGCCTTGGCCTCCCAAAGTGCTGGGATTACAGGCATGAGCCACCACACCCAGCCTGTAATTAATTATTTTTTACCTGCCTGTGTCCCCTTTTCTGGATGCATCCTGAGCAGTGGAACCCTGTAGTTAGATTCTTTTTTTTTCAACTTTTTATTTATTTTTTATTTTTATTTTATAGAGATGGGATCTCACTATGTTGCCCAGGCTTGTCTTGAACATCTGACCTCAAGCAATTCTCCCACCTTGTCCTTCTAAAGTTCTGGGATCATAGGCATGAGCCATTGCACCCGACCCTTTTTTTTCTTTTAAATTCCACATGCCTAACTCACAGCAGTGCAGTCACTCCTTGGCTTGTTCGTTCATCTAGCAAGCATTTATTAGATGTCTGAATACTCTCCGAAGCTTTATTGGACATGGAGCATATACATATGAAAAAGCCCTGGTACCTGAAGCCTGGCCATTTACAAGGAGGAAAAACTTGAGTCCCTAGTTAACTGACAGAGTGTGAAAACTGATTTTAGAGCTTAGAAGGATCTTAAGGCACTAAAAAATATGAGTCAAGACACCTTATTAAAGCAGCAATGAACAGAAATTGTTGGAAAACATATGTTATAACATGTCATATAACATGTTATAAATTCTTTAACATTTATTTCCCCCCAATTTATAGGTTTTGAGTTAAATTGGCCTGGCCCATTGAATCCTTGCTTTCATTTTTTAAAAATGTGAAGTCTCTGAAAGGTAGCATTTAGAGTGGGGAGGAACTATAGCAGTAATTTTTTTTTTTTTTTTTTTTTTTAGACAGAGTCTCACTCTGTCGCCCAGGCTGGAGTGCAGTGGTGCGATCTCGGCTCACTGCAAGCTCCGCTTCCCGGGTTCACGCCATTCTCCTGCCTCAGCCTCCTGAGTAGCTGGGACTACAGGCGCCCGCCACCACACCTGTCTAATTTTTTGTGTTTTTAGTAGAGACAGGGTTTCACCATGTTAGCCAGGATGGTCTCGATCTCCTGACCTTGTGATCCGCCCGCCTCAGCCTCCTAAAGTGCTGGGATTACAGGCGTGAGCCACCGCACCTGGCTTTTTTTGTTTTGTTTTGTTTTTTTAAGGACAGAGTCTAACTCTGTCTCCCAGGCTGTAGTGCAGTGGTGTGAACTTGGCTTTCTACAAACTCTGCCTCCCAAGTTCAAGTAATTCTCGTGCCTCAGCCTCTGTAGTAGCTGGGACTACAGACTTGCACCACCATGCCTGGCTAATTTTTGTATTTTTTTGTAGAAACAGAGTTTCACCATGATGGCCAGGCTGGTCTCGAACTCCTGGCTTCAAGTGATCCGCCCACCTTAGCCTCCCAAAGTTTTGAGATTACAGGTGTGAGCCACTACACCTGGCCACAATCATCTCTTTTAACTCCTCATTTTTATAGTTGAGGAACTCCAAAACAGTTGCAACATCCACTAGGCTAACTGGGGTTTCTTTTAAAGGGAGATTATTTCAAAATTGTAGAAGGATATATTTTCTCCTAAATGTGATGAGGAAGTTTATTCACATATTTGCTCATTTGAGTCTAAGTTTTTAATGTGCTCCAAGAATAATTTAGATTCATTGGTGTGTGGGCTATGGGACGTGTCCAGTCGAATTTGAGGACCACCTCTGCTCAGGCACCCCGCTGTTTCCCTTCATTCTGTGTAGACCTCCAAACATGCCTCAGGGAGCTGAGAACTGTGATATTATATGTGTATGCTCTTCACTTTTTAAAAAGTAAAAGTGAAATTTACTTTTGAGGTTTAGTTATGATTCTCTTTGTGACAAAGACATGTACAAGTTACTACTAGGTTTCAAGTTTTAGTTTTTCAGTATAATGTATAAAAGAATGAAATAGAATATGTCGAGGAAAATGTATTAATCATTTAACTGGCTGGCAGTGATGGTGATTTTTCGCAATGTTTTATCTGAACCTTATAGCTAAATTTTTTGTTGGTTTTGAGAACATCCTAATGTGTTTTGTTTTGTTTTCTTTTTTTTTTTAACTTTGCTTAGACTTTAAAAGATAAAGACATTCATATCTTAATCATACCAGACAAAGCTAAATAGTATCTTCCATATGGGAGTCGAATGGTGTAAAGAGTAGAAAGAAACCTTTGAAAATCTATATTATTGATTCCCAGAATTTTAAAAACAAGTTAGGACTCCCATCTTATTCCTTTATTACATGGAAACAGTCTTTTAGTTGAGATGAGGGATCAGGAAGAAGAGACTTTACCCAGTATCTTCTAACTTGGGCTTTGTTTTTATTTATCTGATTCAGAGGTTTAAATATTATAATACTTATTGGGGGATATTTTCAACTCTCTGAAATGCCAGATTTTGTGTGTGTATATATCCATCTATCTGTATAGCTATATATGATTTTTTTCTTGGAGAAAAGCTTCACATAGTCATCAATTGTATTTTAAAAGGTGTTCTTTGAGCAAAAATATGAGTAGTAGCATTGTTTCAATCTTTTATGCAGTACCTACTAGATCGTGATGACTTATGAAATGTCCAACCGCTCTGTTGCCACTATCCTTTTTAATAAGTCCTTCGGAGGGACAGATGTGACAACTCGGTGTTACCTACATTTGTGATTTGCTCAATAATAGAAAAATATTCAAAATCATTGTTTGCCTTTGAAAGAGCACAAAATGTAAATGTAGGGGGTGGCATAGGCTGGAATATTGGTGGATTCCATTTGGTTGTTAAGAAAGTAATTTCTTAATGGACCTCATCCCTCACTGTTAAAATAGGGGGACAGATGTGAAGACTTCTACAATTCTGTTGTTTTCCTATAATCTCATTTATTTTAAGAAAGGTAAATAAAATTAGAAATATAGTAATGTCATTTGATACCACCTCTGAATTAGGGACTTTTTCTTGCTGTGGTTTCTTCAAAGATTTTGCCGTACAAAATAATATTATTTAAAATAATAGTATATGTTAATATTTTCAACTGCAGAGTTTTTATGGGGCTTTTACAATTTTAGATTCTTTTCATCCTTTTGTTTTTTTTTTCTCTCTTCTAATCAGTATTTCATTCCTATTCCTTGAAATAGGGTAGCAGAAGGAATTTTGATAATTGGATTGAGCAATTTATTACAATAGTCTTCTGAGGGTGACAAACAAAATTATGTGTGCTACTTTTCCTCTGACTTATTTGTTTCATTTCATAAATAAGCATTTTATATTTATACATGAAGGTAATCATTTCTTTAGTAAAGGCTAAGGTGAGACCTGTATTAGTACTGACTATTGTTGATTTGGCATCATGGTCAGTAATTTCTCTGCCTTCTGAAGGTCTGCCTTTCTTGGCCTTTAAGAAGCAAGACTGTCATTACATGTTAGACTGAGAGAAGGAGACATTATAGAGCCACTTGGAAATGAAGAGTTAATTTTTGGTTCGTAGGTGTGTTACAGGCTGAATTGTGTTCCCTTAAAATTCATATGTCGAAATCCTAAACCCCAGTATGTGATGGTATTTGGAGAGAGGATCTTCATCAGGTGGGCCCTACTCCAGTATCATTGGTGTTCTTAGGACACAGGCATACCCAGAGGAAAGACCACGTAAAGAGACAGGGAGAAGATTGTCTACAAGCCAAGCAGAAAGGCCTGCGAAGAAGCCAACTCTGTTAACACCTTAATCTCAGACTTGTAGTTTCTAGAATTGTGAGAATACACATTTCTATTGTTTAAGCCAGGCAGTCTGTAATGGCAGCCCTAGCAAACTAATGGCGGTGGTGGGGTGGGGGGATGTTCCTTAAACAGTGATTAAAATAGCTCAGTTAATCAAATGAAAAGATAAGTTTACCATTTTCTTTGGAAACAAAATTTGTATTAATGTCATTTTCAAATAACTCCTATGAGAACGTCCCAAAGCCATTGGTATTTTAATTAATTTTCCAGTGGTAGCTTCTTCAAATAGTAAATCAGTAAGTTGTCTTTAAAGTATCATTTTCTGTGAAGCTTCAGGAAACGTATACTCTAAAAAATAATTTGAGTTAATCATTTAGAATTAACTGCTTTATTCCCATCAAAATATTGTCTTTGTCTTCTTTGATGGTAAGAGAAATGAATAAGGTTTTTTTTTCCCACTACTTTACAAAAACATACAGAGAGAATTGTGAAATATTTACCAGACAGACTGAAGGACAAAGTCCACTAGCTAACTGAACTAAAGGGAATTAAATCCAATTCGTTACAGAGTAGGTGAAAGGTATTTAAGTGTCAGGGGGTGTTTTCATTTTCTTCCCATTTCTGAAAGTAATTTAAGAACAGAGGGGGGAAATGAGGGATTGAGGAGAAAGTACAGTTTTATCACCTTTGCTCTCAAGTTGGTTTGTGATCCCCAGTGTCAATTTCTAGTAGGAAAAAAACAAAACAAAACTTTTTGCAATCATATAGTTATTACAGAAACCAGTGCTCTTAAGTTTACTTTCTTCTTTTGGCTTCATAGCAGAGTACATCTAGATCCTTTCATTTTGACAACTTTGTCCTGGAAAATATGAGAAAATCAGCCTATGCAATTAAATGCAAAATCAATGTAAACTGCCCGGAGGACTAGCATATTAGGTATTATCTTGTAGAGACAAATGCTTTTTCAGTCCTCTTGTGATTCAACCACTATTGGATATAGAAATTTAAGGCTTAATCTCTATTATCTCAATGTTCTACTTGTAGGCAGAGTGAAAAGGAATAAAAGGATTATTTTTTCTTCCCCAAACCAGTAAGATACATGTTGTATTAGAAATATTATACTGGCTTCTGGGTATTTGTAGGCTATGATGGATACAACATTCTTCAGTACAATAAAAGAAAATTTGTCTTTTGCCCTGAAGTTATATTTTAGCTTTCATTGAGTTCTTATCTACCATAAGGTTGGAAAGGGAGAGCATTTATAGCATTGCCACCAGTTTGCTGGAATACAGTACAAGCTACTCTAATAAACATACACAGAGATGACTTCTGAATTTTGTAGCTAAAGGAGAATTGTCATCTGTGGAGGGAAGGGTATGGGTAACACCTGAGCAGATGCTTGTGGACGCTGCCTGGGGGGAAGAAGCTGTAGTCCTCAGTGTTCTCGCTAGCCAGTGGTATGACCTTGGAAGATAGTGCAGTCATTTCTGGCCCTCATTTGTGCTGCAATGAGGACATGAAGGAGATGGGTGAGATTTTTGCCTTTATTGCCTTTTAAAGGCCCTTGGAATTATTGTCCAATACACAAATCCATACGTCAGCCAATGCCACACATTTGTCACTGTGAGACAAATTAATTTAGATGTTATTGAGATTACTGTAATAGACATGTATTTAAAAGCGTAGTGAATTCAAAGTAGTTTATAGGCATTGTCTTAGTCAACAGATGCAAAAAAGAACAATTACTAATATGTGGGGTCCACATAGCTCTGTGTTTGTGTATAATTCTGTTTTGTTTATAAATTAAAAATTGATACTTATATTCAGAAAGGAAAGGAACCACCAGACTAATTGATCTCCAAGTTCTTTGACATCTGTGGCATCCAATAATTTTTTGTAGTTATGCTAACTACACTTTAGTTTCTCATCAGTGAAACCTCATAGATTTACTAAGGATGTAATAAAACAGTTTATAAGAGCATAATTCACGTGGATATGGAAGATTCTGTCAGGTGAATATGGATCTGAAGTGTGGAGAGCTCTATCAGGACAGGAATCGGGCTCTGTCCTGTTTACCTCTGTATTCCTGGCACTGTTCACATACCCAGGGTAGCAGGTGTCCATTAAATATTTATTGCTAAATGCATCTCTTGGAATAAGACCTGGTAAAGAGTACTAATTATGAATTTGGCTAACCTTACTTTCTTTAATCTTGTTTTAAGAAAACCAGTTACAGGTTGGACCAATTAGGAAATGCATAAATTAGATATAACCATTTGCTTTAGAAAAGATTATTGGACTTGAACAAAATTGCAATTGAAATTGCTTTAAATTACTTAAATAATTCAAGGACACTTAAAATGTAACTCTATTTACAGACTATCAATTTATATGCAATTTTTTGTTAAAAAAATGATTATGGAAACTAGATAACCCGTATGTATAGTAAGGCATAATAACCCTTTAAAAATTTCCTTCTAGGAAACACTACTGACTGTAATGATTAAAATGTGAAGATTTTATAATTATAATGTGAAGAAATATATGTGATTGGTTATTATAAGTTGTGACTGAATATTGTTGTTTGATTTTTCTGTTGTAGTTATTATATAGAAGGAATTTCATTGTATTTATCACTCTTTTATTTGAGGTCCTAAAATCTTTTTTCTAGAAAATTATCATTTGATGGTGTCCTCATCTGGTAGAGAGTCAAAGATCTAGGTTTGGCATTTAGGTTTTTCTGAAGTTTCTGTATATTGGTTCTTTATTATAAGCAGGCTTTTCCAGTGTGCTAGAGTTGAATGACATGTAAAGGAGACGTACTCTTGATGAGCTCTGTTCCTCCTCTCTTTTCTGTTATACTTCTATTCAGTTATGAGAAAGAGCAAATGAATGAAACTAAATCACAGTGTGTAGGCTTTTGTTTCCAAAGCTCTTTAAGAGTGGCTATTTTGTAAATTATACTAAAGTGTAATAATCTAGATATTAATATTTTTTCAAGTCAGATTTGTTTCCCCTTGAATTGGCACTGTAGTCTTTTTGTGACACCCAGCGTAGAATTTGTATTTTCTCTCCTGATATGCAATATCTGCCTCCACTCATTTCACACTTTGGCTTCTTTGTATGGTGTCTATCTTTTGCTATGCATAGAAGGCCCCCAGTTTAGCAACACTTGACTTGCTGGGAAGGTGGCTGTCAGGGAACATGCCCGCCCCCTTAGGAACCCTTTAAAACCCCTGCAGGTGCTGTGCTAGAAACCCTCTTCCTCTGTCCACCTCCTTTGGGAGGTGCCTAGCTCACCAGATGCCTCTCGGACAGACTTACATAGGCCCCAGGACATTTCCTCCCCATCACCTTCAGGGTCTGAAAGCCTTCAAGCACATGAGGCTGAAAGGCAAGATTGCAAGATTCCTTGTGCTGTTAATTCACTCTGCTCTAATTTAGAAAGGGTATCTGAGCTAACTTGGAGACATCCAAATGATTTTCAATTTAATTCGAATGAAAAAAATTATGGTTCAAGTGTCAGATTGATAAATTAACATTAAAACTCATTTGCGTGTTCAGGGCTTACGTATGTTTTATTTCTCACATTAGATTTTGAGTATCAAGGGGCAAAGACTATGTCTACAGTGATTTTTGTTTATATCTTCAAAAATGTAGTTGACTTTATGAGTATCAATATATTCCTTCCCCAAGAAAAGTAGAAAAAGAAATTATACTTTAATCTGATGTGAAACAGCCTCCTTTTTCTTTACCCTGTTTTTGTCAATGTAGTGTTATAAATTAGTTGCTTCTCACCCATTAAGCCTGATTAATCAAGGTAGTATTTAATTTTCTCTGACTTACTGTCTGGTTTAATATTTTCACCAAGCAGCCTAGTTACTGAAGGGTCATCTTTCCATTTGACAAATCAAGTGTATCTATTGAGGAGCTTGTCTGTGTAAATTTCACATTCACTCCCTCTTTGAGGGGGAGGAAAAAAATGAGGCGGGAGAGAGTAAAAAACCGAGTATCTGTAGTGTGGTTTGCCTGTCCTTTATAATACAGCTATAATTTCTTGGTCCCAGGGCTCCCATCATGAAAGTTTGGTCAGCCTTATTTTTTGTTTTGTTTTGTTTTGTTTTGTTTTGTTTTTTATTTTCATTCATTCTTTTTTTGTTTTGTTTTGTTTTTCTTTTGAGTGGCTGAGCCTCTGAAATTTGGAGCATTGGTGAATATGTGTGTCAGTAGAACATGATGACAAGTGATATTGCCACAGTATTTTTAATATAACAATATCCTATCAAAGGAATACACATTTGGATTTTGAAGTGTGGAGACAAGGGTTATTTTTTTTTCTTCTTAACCCAATGTAATAAAAAGCTTGGTTGAAGACTGTCCCAGGAGTAAAAACCCAGTTTATCTAACTGGTGTCATTTCAGGACGGCACGATGCCAGTGGAGTTCAGCCTCTGCAGTTTGTTTGTGTTGGCATGCCGTCATGTATAGAGGGCATTTTAAAATGCTCTGGCATAAGAGAGGAAGAAGATGCTTCAAGTATTTTAACCTGGTTACTGCTCCCGTTAGAACATGTGCTTTTGCTTTCTTTAGGCGGGCTTATTGTGTTTACATCTTTGTCCCTCATCATGGTGTGGGGAGAACCGCTTTATGCTTTATCATGCTTCTCTTCACACAGATGCACAGCCCTTTGTGTGTTTTGCATCAAACTTGTCTTTCATCCTGCCTTTTGTATCTTTCTCAAGGAAATTGATCTCATAAAGAATGCTATCAAATTCATCAACAGGCAAAAGATAGCATTTCAAAGTATAAGTAAGAGACATGAAAAGGATGCAGTCGTAAGCTTGGCTGTCTCAACAGAGCTGCTTAGCAGAAAATATTAAATTCAGCCTGCCTGCCATTCAGTCACTCTGGGCATAACTAGCCAAAGAATTTCACAATGTGGATAACCTCCAGCCCTCTGACTGTATGCAAAGTAGGAGGCCTGAATGAGAGCATTGTGTTATAAAACCTTAAACTGGAGCAAGACTTAAAAAGCCCAATCTCTCTGGTTATTTTGGACATTCAAATGCTGTCTAAGAGAAAAGAACTCATTATGACTCAGTTCCGTTAATTAGACGTAAATTACCATCTTTTGTCTGATACAAAAGAAGGTAAAGGGAACTCTGCAAGACCAGAGGATACTGAAATTCTAATGAGATGAGAGCATAGGCTGAAACTGAGTGAAAACAAGAAGCCATTCAACTAGAGGCAAGCCCCTAGTGTGTCTTGTGTGTGAGCAAAAAGCAAAAACATACATTTGTAATTGTCCAGATTCATATATTATTTAGAACCATGGTCAGTGTCCCCAGAGAGCTCATAGGGTCCTGATTTTTGACAGGATATGATGCTGACCCACACAGAAGGAAATAGTCTCTTTTCCCGAGTACACTCTGAAGATTTTTGTTAGGTACACAGTCTTTCTCAGTGGGAGACCGTAGTGTGATTGAATGATAAATAAATGGACCTTTTACTTAAAAACAATGAAGGCTTAATAAATAAAGGAAATTAGCAAAGTTTGACCGAGAGATTTACGGAACTATACAGTAGTAGAGGAAATGTTTAAGCATAACAATAACTGAATAACTATAGAGTTCTAATGTTGGAAAGGACTATAGGGTAGTTATAACACTGGAAAGCCACTTCTTTAGGATAATAAAATAGTATAATAATCCTGTTAATCCCTTCTTTAGAACAGTATAAACACATTTTCTTAATTGTATCAACTTCTCAATTGCAAACTAGGTTGTTCCAGAGTGAATTTAGCTGTACTGTTGCTGCTTGCTAGAAGGTTGACGTTCTCCCTTGTGTTAGGCGAAAATTAACATGGTCTCAAAGGTCTTGTATTCTGGTCACTAAATGTCATTCCTTTTAAAAACAAGTTTATAATACAGTGGTGAGCATGATTCCAGATGGATAATATTTTTATTCTCCTTTAGAGAAGATGGGTACAGTGGTAGTTAATAACCTGTGTCCTGTGGCGTTATCATGTGATTAGTTCACATGACCTAAATACTAATTTTGTAGGAAATTATAATATTGAAAGTAATTAATCATTTCATTCATTCAGCACATTAAGTACTTACTAAGTCCCAAACACAGTGTTTTGCACTAGGGATTCAAGGATTACCGTGACTCTAGGGTTGAGAATAGGAATATAGAGTATGGGACCAGATTGAGAACAAAGTTGAAGATTTCCATCCGATGTGTGACTTTGAGATGCTTATGGACATGACAATGTCAGTCAGTACAAAGTAGGTATTTAAACATGATTTTCTGAAGATGGAGGTTGAATCTTGGCTAGAAGGTGCAGATGTAGCAGTCAACAGTGGGGAGTTGTTTGTTGATACTATGTGGTAGTGGTTGCAACCATACAAGGTGAATGAGAAGAGCCATGATATGGGAATGATGCCTTGGACAGTTAAGATTTGAGGGGCAGGATGGAAATGAGGATACTGAGGTGGAAAATCACGCGTGTGCAGAGGAGCAGGTGAACAAGTAGAATGCAGTGCTTGCGGTCCTGTGCTTGCTAGCTAGGGAAGTGTCTTTTCTCAATATATTTGAGTTGGAGGAGATAGAGAGAGTGTGTGTTTGTGGAAGTGTAAGAGAAAAGAGACGGAGAAAGAGACTGCTAAGTAGAGCTGCGAACACTAAGATAAGGCCGGTGGCGGGAGGAATGACCCATTTTTTAAGTTTATGGCTGTGTACAAGGAAAGCTTAAAGAGAAAAATTGAAAAAAGGAAAGGACTGAGGATAATCTGTCTCTCTAGAGGAAGTCAGGGTCAAGAACTCAATTGGGAAGTAAGTCTCCAACAGGAGGAGGAGTTCAGAGTTAGGGATGGGTGTGGCTGTCTATACGTATAATATATTTTAGATAGAAGAGTAGAGTGGGGAATTCAGCTTTGACCAGGGCTGGTGGCCTTCATCTTTTCAGGAGAGCAGGAGATAAATCACCTGTGAGTTGGTCCAGAGCCTAGTGATGATCTAGAATAGTCTCTGAGGGAATTGAGAAAGAGCTGTACCAAGGATAGCTAAAAAAGTTCATTGTTACTGGTTACCAGATTAGGATTTAAGTCATGGATTGGAGGAGAAGCACAGCACAATTTTCCCCCAGAAGTTTTCAGCTTCCTGCATCTGAATGAGAGATCGTGCTTTGCTGTATTGATCCCAAGTTTAGGATTTTGCTGGGTGGATGAGGTTGAAGGAACAGGTCAAAGTGGAAGAAACAGTTGTTTAGCTGGCCCATAAGCTGGTAAGAGCAGTCTGGTACTTTTGATATTTTATGCTGTGTGTGTGTGTGTGTATCCTTTTTTTTTTATTTTGCACTGCATGTTACTTCCAAGTACTATTCCCTTTCTTTGAAACAGTGTTAAAATTGGCTTTCTTCTGCTATGTGACTTGGAGAAACCAGGTAAAGAGGAAGATTCTCTGGCCATTTTTCAGAAGCTTGACCACAGATGAAGACAAATAAGCAACTCCTGAAATGGTGGTGACTCTTAACTATTTTTGTTATTTTGTACTATTTTGTACTGTTGTATATTCTCATAAAAACAAAATAGCAAAGAAACAATAACATGAAATAAGGAAATCCCTTCCCTGCTGTGTTAGAGTTCAGTGACATTTTTAGAGGCTCTGCCCTGTTGGATTTTTCCTCAGTATTGCTTGCGAGTTCTCAGGCAAAATAAAAGTGATACGCACTGCCTGAGTGATTATTTCTAAAAGCTCAGAGGCTAATAGGTATACGGAGAATTAAATAAATCAGATTCATGTATGCCAGCTCCTGTCACCAAGTGTTGTATTGTTGTTGTTTGTTCATTTGAATTTGTCAGACAAAAGTCTTCATGGCTGATTTGCTTACTGGCTACCCAGGACAGACTTCAGATTATATGTGAACCAAGTTAGACACAGCTCTCTAAATGCGGCAAAATTGCTGTCCACTGAGCTCAGAGAGAGGTAGAACTCATTAAACCAAAATACTTACCCTCCCACCCTCATGTGAAAATGTGAATGTGAGGAGTTGCTCACAAGCCACCATAGTGTTTTCTCAAAATACTGGATTAGAACAGTGATTGTCAGCCCTGGCCTGGGGCTAACTAGTCTTATGTCCATTTGCCTCAGCAGAAAAACATGAATTCAGTCAACTATAGGGTGTATATTTATATTTTCAATCGACCTTAAAATCCATCATACCTTTTATGATCGAAAGAGCATATTCACATCAAACTTAAGTAAGGTATAGGGAACTAGTGTACTAAATCTTGGCCTGAATATAAATAAGAAAAATCTGTAGGCTAGTTCTTATTCAGCAAGTTCTTATTCACAAAGCAAACTAGCTTTGTGACCTTAGAAAAGTCACGTACCTCTGGGATGTTAGTTTCCTTAATCATAAAATGATCTCTAAGGTCTTTTTCAAATTTTAATAATTAATTAAATTGTACTTCAAAGATTTTTAAAACAATTTCTTTCTTGATGTTTTCTATTCAGTCCAGTGTGGTCCAGGTTTTTCCTGGCACAACAGTGCTATGATCAGTCTAGCTATCCATGTTTCTATTGGATCAAAGCCTTTCATTTTCTTCTTAGTTCTGTTTTCCAAGTGATTTTTGGCTATTTGTCTATTAGTATCTTCAGCATAGGGTGGACTGGGACAATAAAATACAAAATTCAGGCAAGGCACTACTGCAATCTTGGTCTGGTGCTGAAAATGAGTTTCTTGGGGGGTATTATCTTTAGTTATTTAATTATACTATCTGTGTCTCCAGTAGCTAATTGAAAGAATAGCTCTGCAACCAGATCAACAGCAACAAGCATGTTTTACCAAGTCTCTCCCCTAGGAAGTCCATAGGCAGGAAATTGAATATCAACATTCTTTTTTGCTCAGTTGGCATCAACTGTTACTTGCTTTTAGGGTAATCAAAAGGTATTTTTAAACTCTGCTACTTTCGTTGACTGTGAAGAACAGCAAACCCTAACCCTGTTGTCACAGGAGGGTGGGAAAGAACCTTCTAGTTGGTACAATCCAGCCTTCCACCAGTGCTGAAATACTTTTCTTAAGAGATGATATTAACTCTTGTCTGTGGGTATTGACAGCATTTTCCTTTTCTTTTTCCATGTCTCCCAAATAAGGCATTTTTTGAAAGTATATTTTCATTATATTCAAGAAACCACATCTCAAGTTCAATTAAGGCAGCAACTATTTAAGGAACAGCTGTGTGGTCATAAAACAACATGTATAATGCACCATTTTATGATCTAATATAAAATAGGATTAATGAAATGATAAGAATTGCTTTGTGTATCTTTGAGCAGTTTGTAGGAAAAAAATGTAAATTAATTTTTGAATGGGGGGTACCTATTAAAATCTCTGATTGGCAAAAATACTCAAGAACTTGACCTATTTTTGTTAGGCTGGCCAATCTTTGTTATGATGTCTCTAGTGAAGGAATGTATCCATGCCTATAAGTATTATGTTCCCTATTATTTATTTATTTAGAGTCTTGCTGTGTTGGCCAGGCTGAAGTACAGTTGTGTGATCATAGCTCACTGCAGCCTCAGTCTCCGGGGCTCAAGTGATCCTCCCACCTCAGCCTCCAGAGTAACTGGGAATGTAAGTGTGAGCCACTACACTCAGCTAATCGTTTAATTTTTTTTTTTAGAGACAAGAGTCTCCATATATTTCCCAGGCCGGTCTCTAACTCCTGGGCTCAAGCAGTCCTCCTGCCTCTGCTTCCCAGAATGGTGGGAGTACAGGCTGATGTCAATTTAAACACTTTTTAGAAATCCTAAATTGACTGTGATCCTTACAACAAGAAAATATTAGATCAGTCATTTTTTCACAAAAAGATTCTCAGTAGTTTATAGCAAGATTTTACAAGGCTATGAACTTAAGCTTGGACTTATTATGTGACTTGAAGAGCTGACACTGAAAAAGATGGTATTCAAAAGATGACGAGGAAAATGCTATACTCCTTCCTTCCTTGCCGGCTTATGTTATATAATTTGATCAGATGAAATACCCTGTTCTAAAATGTGTAACCTTTGATAAGCATTATTCACATATATTTTATTACCTTAATGCTAACTTATATATGAAGTTCAGCAGCCTCTGGGCTAACCGTTAAACCATTGTCAACTTATGATAATGCTGCAGCATAAGAAAGGGTCAGTTTTATAAATGCAACATCATCATTATTCAGGGAAGTCTTATGGACAGTCCTGAAGCCAGATGGTATTTTATCCATCAAGCATTGTTACACATAAGTGGAATAATACAAGTAATTATGTATTTGATTTATATATGGCAAAAATTTACTTTTGTTGGATGTCCAAGAAATAGATTTATAATATCATGACTTGCTAAATATTTTCAGATAAAATATTACAGCTAGTTTATAAAAGACTTTTAAATTAGCCTGTTTGTAGGGGAATTTCTTATAATTTTAAAACATTTTCTAAAAGTTGCTCTTACTGTCTAGCTATCAGTCTGTTTTTTTAAAAATGGATTTTCTCAGGCTTTCAAGGATAAATGAATTAATGGTCAGTTATTTTGACTAGTGCTTTAGGAAGTGCTTCAGTGTATATGATGGGATCTGCCCTAAATGGTATGAAGTACAGCTAGGGAGAATCACTAACATAAGTAAACAATTTCAAAAAGCAGTGATAAGCTAAACTCTTAAGAGTTAAAGGAATCCAGAAAAGGAGAGCTTATCCTGACCTAGATGAATGCATCACATCTTGGGCTGGATCTTGAATGATGAGACTCTGTGTAACTAATTCCTGTGGTGTACAGGAAGTCAGGCAAGGTCCTTTGCATATGGTTGAGCCTCACAGGTGCCTCTTCTCAGATGAGGAAGCCAAGACCGAGAGTTTAATCATTTACTCTTGATCCCATAGCTAGGGGCTCAGTGGGCTGCTTGCTTCTGGGCAGAGAAGACTTTCAAGATGGAAGGAAAGGTGCTGACTCAGGCACAACTATGCTTTCCAGTAGTTAATAGGTGCTAAGTTTATAGGAAATCTGTATATCACAGGAAATCTGGTGTAAGCAGAGGCATGGGCCTTTTTCAATTTTGTTAAATATTTTTCTTTGTATTACAAGCCGTTCACAAGATTGTATGTGAAGGTGGAATGTTACTGAGGATCCACGGTGCTCAGTAATATTAGCTGATTGAGTGAAGGAGTATTGCATCTTTCCCAATTTACTGTATAATTCTTAGTTTGGTCTTTTGTTTAAATCTTAGCATGAGCATGATTTCACAAATAAGCTGTAAGCATTATACAAACAAAATAAATTTAAACTCTGTTAAGATTTATGGTAATTTATTTCAGCATTTTTTGATAATCAAAGGTTTCCAGGTTTTTTTAAGTATTTCTTTTTCTGTTGTCTTATGCTTTGTTAATTTTTGAAAGACCTAGTTATTAAATTTGGGTGCTGTCATCTCACAACCTCAAAATTTAGAAGGCGAGGCAGCTTTATGGCAGAAACCCATTGGAACTGTAAACTTGTGTTTTAACATAATTTCTGTGGAATTTTAATTTCTTTTTGAATGGGAATAGAGGTTCTTTCAAATTGCCTTATTAAATAGGAAGTGAAAACATAGATTTCTGAATTCTGGTGTTATTCGTGGTTTTCAGATCATTGCTGTGAGGCTTCGGGCTTGTGTTGGATTTCACAGGTAGTGACCTTCCTCTTTATTGCTAATTCTCTCTTTGCCCTTAAAGCCAGTGTCATTTTAGTTTTTGCTTTGCCCTCAGGGTCTTGTCTTTCCTCCACCTTCAGGTAAATTAATTACCAGCACATTCCTGTTTCTCTTTTGAATATCAGCACTGTGTCTTCTTCCTGAGGAACCTCTCATTAGTCACTGAAAGCTCCTCAGGGTCTCTGGATCATACTCTAGTAATGCTGTTCTGGAGAATTTCAATTCATGTGTTAAATGTTAAGAAGGTGTTTTTCTGGCCTCATGTTTCCACTTGCTAAAATTATATTTTGCTGCTTTAAAAAATTGCTCATAAAATAATGGGCCATTTCTAAAAAAATCAGTTAAGTCCCTATGGTCACATGACACGTTTTCTGAGGGGGGGTGGAATTTACCTTTAAAAAGCAGTGACCCACTACACATGCTAGAACAAAGTGTCCACCATAGGGCATTACCGTGATGATGCAGTTCCGTGGTTTTAGGACAGTGTCCTGCTTAACAGGGCTCTCCCCTTCTCAGGGGCTTGTTGGCTTGCCTCTGATTTGATAGCAGAACTGGAATTGAGAATCTTTACCCCTTAAACCATTAACCGTAACATCAATTTTTGTTTTGCCTTGGTTTTGTTTTAAAATAAATTTATCCTGCAAAGGAAAAAAATTTCATTCAGTGGGATTATGAAACAAAACTGTGATCTCTTAAAAAGCAGAATAATTTGCATCAAGGGAAGACACTTAGCTATAGAATAACAAATAATTGGAGAGACCCAAATACAGCTGCATATGTATTCTGATTCTTTATAGACAGGACTAAGACCCACACAGGATTGAAAGTCATGTAAACTTTACACTGTGCTCTATTGTAAAATATTACCTTCTGCATGTATTACATCCTAAAAATTAATAGAGAAATTAAAGAAAGCAATAGAAAAAATGTTTAGAGAGCAAGGGTTTTTGTAATCTGAAGGGAGGATGAGAAAAAACACTTATCCCATTCATGGATGATGATGAGGGGGAATTATGTTTTACCACAGCTTTATCTTGAGAAATGATGATAAGCATAGGTTGGAATTGTAGACAATTTAGATGGCTAAATGTTAGACGATTTTACTATCTTATTGAGCAAATATTTGCTGAGGATTTACTAAGTTGCTAGGTACAGAGTTAAATGAGAAACATTCCTGAAGACTTAAGGAACCAACAGCCCATTAGTAAAACAAGATAAGCAGATAATGACAGTTGAAAGTAGGCTCTACTCTGATTAGTGTGTGGAGGAATGAGGTTATTATTAATGTCCAGAGGAAAAATCCCTTTCTAAGTTAGCACGAATTTGATTGTTCAACCAAATGTGAAATAAGCATGCTCACAGTGGAAGAGTGAGCAGCACACTTTGTCTGCATAAATGACTGGGATTAAACTGCTGGGGCGAGGAGTATAGAAAACTGTTATTGTGTGGACATGTTAGGGTCTTAAAAGGTAAGTAGAAGTTTTTCAGCTAGAGAAGGGTATTTCATGCAAAAAAAAAAAAAATCAATGTACAAATGCCTGGGTGCTTGGAGGAGCACTGTATTGGAAGGGAGAATTTAGTATAGCTGGAATATCAAATATGAGGGAGTTGAGGCAGGCAGGCAAGGTCAGGAAGAGCCGACACTGCCACTGTTAGGAGTTGGTACTTTGTCCTGAAGTCAGAAATAGCGTCATTGCCCTCCATCGCCTCAGTATCCTAATGAGTCACCAACTATGGTCTCTGCTGTCTTAATCTATCTTTAGTTAAGTTCCTCCCCAACACTCTACCTTTCCCATTGCTGAAGTTCAGATACCCTATTATTTTTATCAAGACATTGAGGTTAATGAATCTCCATTTTCGTTTATATGTGTACATCACTACTTTGCTTATATATATTAAATCATATAGTGTTTGCACAGTTCCAGGAGGTCAACAGCTGATTGGGGTTCTCTCAGCGCTGGAGGATCCTGTCAGTTAACCTAGAGAGTTCTGAGGCACAGAATGTATCTTGAGAAGCATACTCTAAAATTTTAACTTTGAACTTCATTTTCATGACAAGCAGAAATGCAAAAGGAATGTAATCTGTCCTGCATGAAGGACATTTTACAAATAGTCAGAATATATTCTGTGGGAGGGATATCTTTTGATACAAAGTTTATGTCCAACTTTGATGTTGATAAAGCTGTGGTAAAAACACGTCCTTGCAATAGCCACAGATTCGATTTGGTATCCAGATTTTGCAAAGCTTAAATGTTAATGATGTTCACTTTTCCTTTTCTTTCCTTTTTTTTTTTTTTTTTTTTTTTTTTTGAGACAGGGTCTCACTCTGTTGCCCAGGCTGGAGTGCAGTGACGCAATCTCAGCTCAGTGCAACCTCCAACTCCCGGGTTCAAGCAATTCTCCTGCCTCAGCCTCCTGAGTAGCTGGGAATGTAGGCACACGCTGCCACACCCGCCTAATTTTTGTATTTTTGGCAGAGACGGGGTTTCACCATGTTGGCCAGGCTGGTCTCAAAATCCTGACCTCAAGTGTTCCGCCTGCCTCAGCCTCCCAAACTGGTGGGATTACAGGCGTGAGCCACTGTGCCTGGCCCTCACTATTTCTTTTTCTTTGGGAATAGGATACGTGTTTTGCAGTTTGTTTTCATTTTTTCTGCTTAGTCCTCTATTTTGGAGGACTTTTAGAGTTAAAAAATGATGACATTTCTGGGATTTCAGACCACACTGACAGATGCCTTGGTCTAACATATGCAGGAATGTTGAATGTTCTTGCACTGATTATTTTTCTTATTAAAGGATTTCATTCAGTCTTATTTTAATTTCTGATCCGGTAACATCTTCCTTTGTAAATTTTCATGTTGTTCGTTTAGGAGATTCTGTGAATCTTTGATGTACTTCATTATTTGACTGTTAACTCCAAAGATTATGATTTCTGCTTACAACCTTCTGATTGTAAACAAGCAGAATACTATGCCATTACTCAGTAGTTGGCTTTTACCAGTTTTAGTAGGCTTAAAACAGCAAGCAGTGTGGCCAGTGTTCCAGACAACAGTAACTATTTAAAATAGGAAAGGCAAAATTAACATTTATTACCAATTTGGCTGTTTGATGAAAATTGTTTAGTACCCACTTTTCCTTCCCTGGTACTAAAGTAGAAGATGAATAGGTGCTTCCATAGTTGATGATGACTAATGATTAAGATAATTATGCTAATGATAAAGGCAAATTTTTATCAAGGCAAGTGACAGCTACTATATAGAGTATTTCCTATGCATTATAGCATTTAATTTTCATACTCTTTTGCTTTTCCATCTATCAGATTTGCAGAGTTATTTTATTTGGTTATAATTTTGTGAGAGATCTGATAAATTAATCCACACATTTCCTGAAAACAATGTTTCTCAAGCTTGATAAATGAAAAGGGCCTCCTCATTGTTCAATTGAACAGTGAGAACACTTGGACACAGGAAGGGGAACATCACACACCGGGGCCTGTCGTCGGGTGGGGGGAGGGGGGAGGGAAAGCATTAGGAGATATACCTAATGTAAATGATGAGTTAATGGGTGCAGCACATGAAAATGGCACATGTATACATATGTAACAAACCTGCACATTTTGCACATGTACCCTAGAACTTAAAGTATAATTTAAAAAAAGGAAAAAAAACTGTATCTAAAATGTTAAAAAATTATTGAGCAATTATCATATGCAAGTCACTGTGCTAAAACCTTTATATGAATTAAATCATATAATCATCACAGTGATTATAAGGGGCATATATTATTTCCCCCAGATGTGAGTCTCTATCTAACAGATTAGAATATAAGTCTCAGTGAAGTAAAGTGCCTTGCTCAAGTACATCCAGCTAGCAAATAGTAAGGCCGGGATAAGAAAACAATCTGACTTTAAAGATTGTGCAACAAACAAGACATCAGCAGGTAACAAAATGTTAGTCTAGAAAAATAAAATAAAATAGTAATTGGTCTGGGAGGAAGCCTGAACTTGAAAGTGACATCTACCCTTGGTTCTGCTGTATGAATCTGAACAAATCATATCACTTATCTAAACTTGCTACATAAAGAAGGCTGGATTTTTGTGAGTCTATGAAAGGTACCTCATTCCATTTTAAAGCTTTGATGCTAGGGGCAGAATGGATTGCTAAAGAAGATGGTGTGATCTGGCTGCTAGTAATATCACAAATAACAACAGCTCGTATGATGAAATGATATTTGGAATTGACCACTGTGTTCAATTCTTACTTACCCTATCTCCCTTGGTAGGGTAAATAAGAAGAATTACCATTCTTTCTGTATTCCTCATCCCAAAGCAAGTTTTTAGATCAGAACCAGAGTACCGTATGAGAAATTCTTTGTTGTTCAATTTAAAGATCTGTGGTCAAGGTGTTAAGAGCAAGAGATCTGGTCCTTCCCTTGACTATCTGAAGGTTCCACAGTAAAGCAGATAGGCAGAGATAGAGTCTACAAAGGGAGAATGCTGACTCATTGGGAGCAAATGTCCTGCAGCTGCTAGTGCCAGGGAGCAGCACAAAGCCACGGAAGGGCTTTCTGGGATACCAGCCTTTTCTGTTTGAGAAAGCACTGTGCATCGCTTGGAAAATTAGATGACCCTTCTCACTGTAGCCTGATGAGGATGACCTGCTGACAATATCTAGATCATTGCCCATTGCCCAGCAACATGTCAGTTCCCTGTTTGTTCATCCCATGGAGACCTTTTCCACCCATTTTCAATAGTTCAGAGCACTCTTAAGCCTCTGGAATCGGGTGTGTGGCCCTGGAAATAGAAGGATGAGTCTTGCTAGGGCACAGAACTGGACCAGAGAAACTGAAGCTCTATTAGGAGCTCAGACACGGGTGGGACACACCTCCCACACTCCTGCTATCTAGCACTCTGTGCACTCATATTGTATGCATCCCTTGAGATGTATGTGATCCCATATGGACTCTGGACATACCTCTATCACAGCACTTTTTACTTTATGTGCTTTCTTCCCATAGAATGTGGGCTGCTTCAGAGAACTATTTGTGTCTTACTTCATGTTGTATCTGTAGAACTCAGTATAGTCACTAGAATAAAGGTGCTGAAAGAAAATAACAAAACTATAGAATGAGTGAATAAACTCTATTAATAGGATACTCTGTTAACAGATGAGGAAATTGAAGCCCAAAGAAGATGTGAATTGCCCCACAGTGGCTAATTTGAGTCAAAGAATGTCCAGAATCTCAAATATATGATTCCCTTTCCAATACTCATTTTTTGACACACTGTTAACTCAGTGTGTTAACAGTGAGGTCAGTTAAATTGTTCTAATTTATACTCTTATTTTTACTTCACAAGTTTCTCAATTCTGAAATATGGCAGAATTTGACAAGATTTTTTTTTAATGATTAGGCTGAACCCCATAATTTTTAGCCAAGAATTCTCGAAACCAGATGGAGAAAGCTGTTCAACAAAGATGAATAAAAAGATTTAAATAGTTAAAAAAAAAAAAGGGCCTCCTTTAGTTAGGAGTTAAATTATATTATGATAATTATAAACATGTAAAATATAAAACTAGTTAAGCCTTTACTATAATATATGGCTCATAAGTTTTAAAAGCAAAATAATTTTAAACACACCCAAAAAAACTAAAGACCCGTCCGGGCGTGGTGGCTCATGCCTGTAATCCTAGCACTTTGGGAGGCTGATGCGGGTGGATCACTTGAGGTCAGGAGTTGAAAACCAGCCTGACCAACATGGTGAAACCCATCTCTACTAAAAATACAAAACAAAAACTAAAGACCCATTAAAACTGGAATTAGAGAGTTAATTTAATGTCGTGGATAGTAATGTTTTATTAAAAATAACATTGCACAGTTATGCTGGTGGCTTCAGCATTCTCATGTATGCATGTGTCATGACAGCTGAGTTCCTCACTGCTTTCCTTATTCAAACTAGCTGAGGCCTTCATACAGCAAGGAATGGCCTCATTTGATCTTTGCTTGAGAAGTGAGTGTCATCCACATATTAAGTTCACCTTTACATGACTACTTTGTACCTCTTTGTTCATGTAAATACAAGTTGTCATTAAGTATTTTTGTTAACTTCAAAAATTATTATATGAATAAAAACCAAAAATTAATTTTAAAAATTCTTGCAGAGAATTTGTAGTCTCTCAGAATTTTTTGGGCAAATCTTCCTGCTTCCCACCACCTCTGACGTGCTAATGATATTAATACAATGTAAATAACAAGATAGTGAATGGCTAAACACTGTGCTGAGCCCTTTGTATGCATTATCTCATCGAATCTTGCAGCAACCCCAGGAGCAAGGTTGTCTGGTTAACACTTTTTTGCAGATAAGGCTAGTGGACCTCGGGCATATTAAGTAAATGCCTCCCAAGGTCACATGGCTAGTAGAATATCAAACTGATTTTGAACACAGATATTCTCACTCCAGAGCCTGTAACACCCCCACTAGTAGCTTGATTACTTTGTCAGTTCAATAAATGTGTTTAACATATCTGTTTACCAGGTACCAGTCCAAATGCTTCTCATACATCATCATCTTTACAATAATCTCAGCAGAGTAGATTCTATCATCTGCCTTTAGTAAGCTAAGAGGGCTCAAGGTCACCCTTTTAGTAACACTATCCCCCCACCTTAAGAGATGTAAAAATGTAAAGACTCATTGTAAGGGACAGTTTTAAAAGCAGAATTTAAAATAGTATCTTTATTTTCTATATCTTCAAGGTTTGATTTACAATTTGCAAGGAAAAAACAATCAACTAAGAGATCCTATCTTTATATTGATTTTTTAAAAATAGAAACTCAAAAAATGTCATTAGAACTTGAACCCGTTTAAGCTTTTTAAAGGCCCTCATTGTATGGGAACCTTGACAATGGATATGAAATAAATACCTTGTGAAATGAACTTCTCTACATTGAAAACATGTTGGGCCAGTAAATTTTTTGGCAAATTTATCGATGTAGTAAATATTTCATTTACTAATAGGGCTATTTGGAAGAAGATTTGTTTACACTAGAGAACTGAAGGAAATGTAATCCAAATTACTGGCATGATGATTCTCATTGGTATTCTTGCAGTATCCTCTGTATTATGTGCATCTATAAAATGATTATATTTTGAAAAAAAAAATTCTGTGCCACCGTCTATGTAATTTATGTGACATTATTGACAGTTGGTATTCTGACAGCTAAGACAGTAATAGGGATGCTAGATGAGTATGTATGTGTGAGTATATATGTGTGTATATAGATCTACACATACAATAAAGGTGTGTGTGTAACCCATGACTCCAACTAGGGTTTATATACTTTTGAACATTGATAGATTTTTATTTTGAACATATGTTGTCGCTTTCATGTTCAAATACTACTCTTTGCGTAAAGCAGAAATTATTGCTTTGTGTATAAACAACTAAGGTTATTTTGTTGATTACTTTTGTTTGAAAAATAAAGCATTGGAATAGGAAGTACATCATAAAGCTCAGAAAGCCTTCCTGTGTTTTATGTAAAAGTTGTATGGAAAATTTTTAGTTGGTTTTTAGTCTCTATTATTTGGACATGATGTTCTAACCTACTTTATTATTCAGAACTCTTAATTGGTTACTTGCTGCATTGTAGAGGATACAAGTGTTTAACAGAGTCCATGACCTGAAGGAACTAGTGGGACAGATAGTTAACAAGTGCATGATTACAGATGGTGGTAAGGAAAAGGACAGAGAACAACTATGCCAGGTGGGATCTTCCGGGTTGAGTAGGCCTGTCGAAGGGGATAGGAGGCACTGAAGAGGAAAGACAGAGCCACATGAATACAGGCGCTCCAGTGCAGGACAAGCACAGCACTGCTTAGAAGCTGGAAGGCATGTGGTATGGCGGTCACATAAGGCTAGTGTTGTGGACAGGTAGGTGATTAGGAAAGGGCTTTTTATGGCATATAAAGAAAATTCATCCAGGGTGCCTAGGAACACACCCATACCCAAGAGAGAGGTAGAAGAGACTGATAAGGAAAACGCACGAAAATGGGAGAGGAGAAGGAGAGAATGAGAACCTGATAGTTGGGGACAAGGTGCATGGGGAGAGGGAGTTTCAAGGCAGAGAGAATAAGTGATTCTCTGTCAAACATTGCTATGTTTTGACAAGAATTCTATAGAATCATTGACTTTAGTAATTAGGCTTAAGCTGTCATTGGTGACCTTATCAAGAGCAATGTCATTATCTCTATTGTAACTTGAGTTCCTAGGATCTTCGAAGAGTAATTGTATCATTAAAAGTCGCATAAACCTCGTCATTTTTTTCTGATGGAACTATCCTAGGCATATTATTGCTACCTTTAGGGTTAATAGTGTAATCCCTAAGTGTGAAAAGAAACCAAACTTGGGTTAGAAGGAAGCTCGAAGGGAGAGAAAGCATTACTCAAGCTACTGCAAGGAAATGGATAGTGGACATAGGCTCATCTAGAATACTTAAGTGACAGTATTTATCTTAAGTAGCTTAGAAACAAAATTACTGGGTTGCTGATTAAGAAAATGCATGCCAACTTGTCAGAATGCCAGTGGTTTGTTAATTATTTAGCAATAAAATAGGTTTAATTCTTTCCTGCTTTCTGGCTAATGGGGAGATGAGAAATGGAGGAAGGGGGAAAAGGTCTGACTTGTGCAGTCCTGGGA
The DNA here is from genome assembly GCF_000001405.40 of Homo sapiens. Lineage (NCBI taxonomy): Eukaryota > Metazoa > Chordata > Mammalia > Primates > Hominidae > Homo > Homo sapiens. Next base: position 28,071,511 of record NC_000018.10, on the reverse strand, counting down.
AGGCAAAAATCAGCCTTCTGTCCTCAGTGCTCTGATGATGGTGTGACAGTTACGGACAGAATGTCCCTCCCACTAGCCTTCTCTACTGCCTGCATTCACTTACCCTTTTCCTGCTTGACTTCCTGCTTCATCTCCAAGGAGCAGAGAGTGACCTTCTGACTAGTACGCACCTGCATTTTTGCTCAGCAGCACTTATTAGTCTGTCCCTTTAGGAACCGGCACATACGTATTTTCCCAACTCTTCCTCTTACTCAAAAGAAGGGGAAAAAGAGAGAGAGAAAGGGAGGGAGCAAAAATTGGCAGAAAACCGTGAAAGAAAATGAGTTTGACAGATTTTTCAGTTCTGGATGTCTGTCTTCCTGTTTCCTAAATCTGTCAGAAAAGCTAAGACCCTGCCCCAACAAAGAATAAAATCCCCAAGGCCACTCTCTGAAAAGAGGGGAGATACACATCATTCTTTCCCCAAATTATCAGAAGGAGATCCATGCAGGCAGAACCGAGACACAAATCATTATCTCCAAATTATTGGTATGAAATCATATCAATGCTTGGGGCTTTAAAATGGGTGGGCTGATGTGGAGAAGAAAAAAAATTGAAAAACAGAATGTCTCCTAAATAATAAATAAGTAAAATCGAATTGTAATTTAATTCGAATCCTACCACTGATGGATTGCTCATGATTCGTGGTGTGACATGATGTGTTGTTTACCATTTCCTGACATGCTGCCTTACTACCTCTTTGTCTCCCCTACATTTATCTTGTGACATTTAACTACTTGTTTACACTTTGTTGTCCCCAGTTACACCATGAGCTCTGTGAGGGCTGGGAGTGGGCATACTGCCTTCACAGTGCCCAACTCACAGCAGGTATTCCAGAAGGCTTTGTCGTCTGGTTTAGTGAAGCGTCCAGCCCAGGAATGGAGGACAGGCTAGTTGTATGTATTCCCTTCTCAGATGCATTAGCTTGGCAGTTTGGTCGGCATCCTCTCCCTGTCTCCTTTTTGTGTTGGTCGATTATAGTCTCATGCTACAGGAGACAACCTGGTGCCATGGAATGAGAGCATCTGATTTGGAATCAGTGACATACCAGTGCAAATCCCACCTCTGCTCCTTAGCAACTACTTTCTCAAGCTTTAGCAGCTAAAACAGGGATAATTATACCTATCTCATAGGGTTGTAATATGGTTCAGATGAGATAATAACTGTGAAAGCACTTTACAAATTATAAAGGTGGTAGTTGTAGTTGAACTTGTAAGGTGGAATAACAGTAGTTGAAAATACTATACTTTCTATGCAACTTTTTACTCTTGGCAAACTTCCTTATGTAGACAGGGTGGTATAACTATCAGTTTACCATATGTTTTCTTGACCTACAGAATTCCAGCTCTCTTCTAAGCCGTGTTCCCAAATCACATCCCAATTTTCACCCTATCTATGATTCTGTGAAGATTGGATTAACTGTCTGGTTAGTTGCCGTGTTTCCTAGTCTATTGATTCGCCTCTGCCTACTAGGCTTCTTATGGAGGTCGATACACTGGAGGCCTTAAAGTGGACTTTAACTTTATCACGTTATTTTGGTTGAGGGTTGGGAGGAGCCTACTTGCATTACATTTTTATGGCATTCTCAGGGAAATGGTACCTTGAGGGGAGTTTCTGATGGGGTGGAAGTTTAAACAACCAGTTCCCAAGATGCCTCCAGAAAAGTTGCAATGTCAGCTCTGAATGCAGCTCAGGGTCATTATGGTGGTGACTCCATCTCCCACATAAAATATGGTAGATGCCTTAATGTGTCCCGCATTCTGGTGGGGCAGCTAATTCTCTCAGTGTGTGCTTATAACACAGGTATCAAACAAGTCTGGGAGAGCCCAAGGACTGCATCCTGATAATATATAGATGAGATAGTAAATGTTCTCTTTTATTTTTAAGATCTGAGGGAGGAATGTTTAAGGTAATCCACCTGAAAAAGGCTAAGGTACCCTGGAAAGCAATGTTAATGTGAATTGGTTGTCACCAAGTCTGTTGGTTCTGGGTACTTGAAAGTTGGAATGAAACAAAACATGGGATTACTATTATAGAAAGACTTCAAAATGAGGAGGGTAGTTCCTCTGGAAGATAGAAATTTGTCATCCTTTGAGCCAGAGTGATAATGGCAAGTTCAGAATAAAATTGATTATTTTTTCCACTTACAGAATAATCATATAGACCTTTTTAGATTGTTGCCTCAAACAAATTTTGAAGAACCATGTCAAATTCTACATAAACAAACCAAGGAAAGGTTGGCATTAGTGTGATCACATTTCCAAAACTGAAAATACTGTCATATAAAGATAGGTGTAAAACTTTGTGCACAAGTTGTGAAATAATGTGCATCTTTACTTTGTCAAGTTTACTATAATTTTCAAAGTGGTTGAGATGAATTAATTTTCATATTCCACTTCATAGAGTAAACAGAAATACCTTTCATTCCTTGTTATGTTTAGTCTGGAATTAAGGGGGAACTCCAGGAATATGGCCCCTGTATAATATGTGACAACATTGTGTTTTTCTGTTTTCCAAAAATAGCAAAAGAGAAAGAATAAAGATGGTTTATTATGTGGTAGAGACTTGTCCTCTATGTAATCTAAGGTTTTTATGTTATTAAATAGATTGAAGATTGAATAGCTTTTCAAATGCACACTCCCTATCGGGTTGTATCTAAAATAGCATGGGATCTAATTCACCTTAATGAGTTAGTTCTTGACTCTGTATATCTTCTTCAGCAAGAAGGGATTTCATGTCAACCTTCTTAAAACCAAGTGTACTCTTAAATCTGCTAGCACTGCGTGATGGTTGCTAATGTTATTATTTTTATATGTGAACATCAAGTGTCAATAGTCTCGAACAAGGCTCAGTGAAGCTCTTTTGGTCATACTGTTAATACATCTTCCACTTTTAATACAGAATATCTGCATTATAAGCTGTATGAGTAAATTCAGTTTATTTTTAATTTGTTGATGTTTTGTACTAGCTAGGAACATTTATTCATGTATTCCATCTCAGAATGTTCAAAGTAGTGTTGATAGTGACATGAGTGTTTGTGTGTGTGTTTGTTAACTTAACCTTTGAGCTTCAGCAGTGCGTACTGACAAGTTCTTAGATTTAGACTGTTTGGCACCTTTGTATTTATATTTATAGATAGCCATTGTTCATGCTAATAATGTTGAGACCTTATAACTAGCAGCTCTGACATTTTTATTTCTTCTTTTACTGTTCACTTTCCAAGTCTGAAAAGCTGTTTGAAATGGTTTGGGGATCGGGGATCTTCTCTTTGCTCTTTCGCATCTACTCCTTGCTTCAGGAGGCTGATTTGTATGGACTCAGCGGTGGGATCCTCCCTTGTGTTTCGGAAGGATTTGCCAGTGAGAGCCTTGGCAGAATTGGAGGGAGGGAAGAGGGGAGGATCAGGATATTTATTATTCTGTTTTTCTCCCTATGGAGTGGTTTTACACTGGTGTCACTGTACTACATTTGGAGTTTTATTCAGCTTTATTTTGATAATTCTTACATTGCATTATAAACATCAGTTTCTAAATAGTTAAAACTTTACACTCAGAAATAGTCTTGTCTCATTATAACTAGATAATTTATCATTATAGAAATGAGAAAATTTGAGGCCCACATAAGATGATATACCTTACTTAAGAATATTAAAACTTGACCCTAAGGGACATTCAATACTTTTGACCATGGTCTTGAACACAAAGTAAATTATTTTACTTTGAGGAGATGGTGCTTTATATGCCTTGATTGGATGAATATTTTTAGTCAACAAAGTAAAACAAAATAAGAGATACTGTTTAAAAAAATGAATCAATTGGAAACAACCCAAATGCCCATCAGCTAATGAATGGATACATAAAATGCAGTATATCCATCTAATGGAATATTACTTAGTCATGAACAGGAATGAAGTACTGATACATCTACTACATGGATGAAACTTGAAAACACTGTGCTAAGTGAAAGAAGCTAATCACAAAGGACCACATATTGTATGATTCCATTTGTATGAAATGTTTAGGTAAATCTTATAGAGACAGAAGGTAGATTAGTAGTTGCCTAAGGTTGGGTGGTAGGGGATTGGGATTGGGGAGAGGGGTGAGTGGAATGGGAGATGACGGCTGTGAGGGGCAGAGTTTCTTTTCGGGCAAAGAAAACATTCTAAAATTGGTTGTGGTAATAGATGTACAGCTGTGAATATACTAAAAGCCATTGAATTATATACTTTAAATGAGTGAATTGTATATGTGAATTATCTGAATAAAGCTGTTAGTCAGTAACACTAGAAAATAAACCAAAAGTAAACAAAACCCAAAACACAAAAATATATATTTCATAATCTATATGAGCATGCAGATATTTACTTTCAGATTTTGTGAAGGTTTTTTTATAAGCTGCTAATTACCAGGAAGTATATAAATCCCTGCAGTCTATTTGTTAGTACATTTATAGAGTTTGTTTTCCCCTGTACGTTATGAAGTTTTGTTTTTATAGGTTTGTTTGTGAGGAGAAAGACCCAAATAGAAAACTAAATTTCTATATGTTCTTATTTTAGGGTTTTATTTTGAGTTTTACTTAAAATTTACTTTCGGTTTTTATCTTTTGTGAGTTTTGCCAATTCTTTCACATTGGAGGAGTATATACATAAATGATGCAAGAGTTGAGTCTAGTAAGTACTAAATGTGCTCATATTGTGGATTTCAAATTGTGACAATAACCTTTTTTTTTTTGTAATTTACAGATTAACTTTTTTCCATCTAATCCAGTGGTAAAACTTACCCTTTGTACAATTCAGATTCAGCTTGACTATAATAGAAATCATTATTCCAACAGTAGAGTTGTAGCAGCTTTTCAGTGGCACCTAATCTAAAAAGAGAATTAGTAAAATGGTTTTAATTACATGCTTGTCTGCTTGATAGGCAGTAAGAAAAGGAGAGTTTTGCCTTTGAAAAGTGAAAAGGGGTCTATTTGGAGAAGGGGGTTGTCAATACAATTCCATGCATTCCTATCAAGAATTATTCTGAAAATTAATTCTTAATGCATTAAACATAAGAGCCTTTGTTCGAACTCTTGTGCTAAAGGTGGCAACCTTAAAATCTAAAAATACTCTGATTAGACACCCAAGTTTTACTTTAATAATGTAAAATCAGTGTTTCTCTTTATGAAATATTTGCATTTTGAAGTTTATATGTAATTAATTTTGAAGGTACAATTATTTTATATTTAGTAAGTGTCTGCTTTGGCTAGTTTTTTTCTTCTTCCTGTGTGCAATTGAAATATTGTTTATTATTGTTTAGTTCAGTCCATTGTAATTTCAGATGCATGTTTTGTACTTACCAACAACTTTTCAAATGGTTATTATCAGAGAGCATTGTGACACAAATGAACACGCAAGTCGTAGAATGTGGCCAGCTCTTGAATATTTGATGCACAAATAGGGAGAATGACAGAATGCAGCCAGAAACCTGTCATCCCCCTAGCTCCACCTCCACTAGAAAGCTCCAGGATGCTTTCTTTGTCAGAATTGGTACATATCTGGGTGGATAATCCTCAAAGCCCAGGGAGAGTGCAATTTAATGTTGTGGTCTTCTTAGAACCCCTAGCATTTAAGTTTGGTGTTGCCAATAAGAAATAAAGGGTGCTGTATCACCTCATACCTAAGGGACTACTGAGATCTTCGTATACTTCTCAGATATCATTGGTTATGTTCTCCTGCAGAATTTAATATTGGAGAATTAGACAGGATGATAATGATGATAAAGATGACAATGAGAGAGGAAAAAAGGGATGATGTAACATTTCTTACAAAGTCAGGACTCTGGGCAAACAAGAAACCAATTCTACGGCTAGTTACCATGGATTTCCTTGAAGGTTGACAATGACTGGATTATCAGTGTAGCATTCCTGGCACTTGAGTTAGTGTCTGGGAATGTAGAGGAGTAATCCCTCTTCCATATTAGGAGATGGAAGCATATATTGTTGAAAAAGCAGTCCTTTTGAAAAATCTTTTTATTACAGTTGCTATAGAAGGGATTCTTGTTAACATGTAGTGAACCAAGTGCCGTTTTTGTTAATTACTTCTTTGGTAATTAAAATTCTGTTTTGGATACTCGTCCATCACCCTACCACTTGTATCCTGATATACGAGTGTTATGTTGTATAGGTTATCAGCTGTGATGCCTGATAGAGTTGGGACCCTAGCTTAGATCTTGGCTTAGATCTTGTCACATCTCTTAACAATGAAATGTCAACAGGGGATAAAAACCCTTGGTGAATGAGTTTCTGGCTCAGTTCCCAAGAGTTGCCCTTTATCAGAAGGACTGAAGAGTATTACAGTGAGCTACAAACTGGGATAGTTACTGTGAATCTAGAGTTTTTTAGTAGCCACTGAGCATGGCACTTGACTTGTACCACAGCTTCATTTGTGACTTCCTTGGGCATGAGAAATCTTATGATGGTAAGCAGCTTTGGGGAAGGAAAGGGAAAATTTATGGTCCTTGGAAAGGACAAGCTGAGAGAGGCAGGCTTATCATGAAGCTAGGGAAGTTCAAGGTTCAGGACCCTCACTTTCAGGCCCTGAGTAATGGGGTTTGCTGGAAATTATGTTAAGTGTCCTAGGAGGAGAGTAGAAGCAAGGTTGCAATTTGAAAACATTTCTGGTAAATTTTCTCAAGAGATCTCCGAAGAAGGGGACCTGATTCTCTCAAGGCTCCAGTAACATTGGTGATTTATTTTCTCATTTTAAGTGACTGTTCACTTTATAGTTCATACTTTTGTTAAATAGGGCTCCAGTTGTTTTTTTTTTTTAATTGGGGCTTTTTTGTTCGCATTTCTTTAAACCACCTCAGAACTGGGGGTAGGTGGCCAGTTCCATTCATCCCCATCATTCTGTTTTAGTCTCTATACCTATTTTATTTTTTATTTTTTCTTATTTTGCCACTCTTGTATTTCCTTTCTCCCCACTGGCTGGTATGACCCCATAGGCTTTGGCTGATGCCTCATGGAAAAATGAAGTTCAGGAAGCCAGTGAAAGAAAAGAGGATGCCAGGTGTGGTGGTACACACCTGTAGTCCTAGCTGCTTGGGAGGGTGAGGCAAGAGGGGATTGCTTGAGCCCAGGAGTTTCAGGGTGAGAGACTGCCTGGGCATCTAGCCTGGGTGACAGAGTGAGACCCTATCTCTTAAAAAAATAAACTGTTAATAAAATTTTTAAAAAGAGATGAGAAAAATTTCCCACTCCCCAGGGATTGCCTCCATACAGATACCATGTTTAGAGATGGGAGTCATTTTGAGACAGAAGAGAGAAAAATCTCTTTCCATCCCCACCTACCCCCCCCTCTTTTGAGGAATTCATAGTTTTAAGAGATTTCCAGATGTTTCTCATCCAGACATGTCTGGAGAAATAAATGAAGGACAGCATATATTTTAACTTGTTTTGGTTGTTAACGCCTTGCAGGCAGGCAATAAATATTCTATTACCTTTTCCTGTGTCTAAGTCGATCTTAAAGGTAGAATAAATTGGGGCTGGTTATTATTTGCAATATACTGTGCTGCTGGTGATTTTTGAAGATTACAGAATATAGACAGTAGCCAATAATATTTTGAAGTGGCTTGAAGAAGAAAATATAGAAAAGCCTGTTCATAACTTTCTGAAGCATGAAAGAGGATACTTTTGTCTACAAATCCCAGGATATGTAGTTTAAATGGTATGAAGTTTTACATACACAGTTATGCTGTCACATCTGTCCTAACCAAGAAAATTTGTCTCTGCAGACACCCTGCTGTAGATCATTACCGGGTTCAAACTTCACTTTATGGCTTCCTGAAGCTATGGGCCTCCTGCTGACATTTAGTTTTGCATGTTGATGAGAAAGGGAGCCCCTGTGAAAAGTTTTTATTAGGATGTGTTAATGATGCTTTAGTGCTCTACACAATGGCTGACAGAGATGGGCTGAAGTTGTGGGTGTGTGCCACTATAAATAACCTGCCAGAATTCCCTATTTTTCTTTGCTCCAGCTGAGAAAGACTTCCATAGCCTTCACAGAACAATTCCTCAAAGGAACCGTCTCTTCTCATTCCCTGAAACAGTGTGTTATTCTTCTGCCTTTAGTTAATCTACTTCCTGCATTGTTGGTTGTTGACTCCTCTACCCACTTTGTTTTGTTTTTAAACACCAATTGGTGAATATGTTCCAGTAGTAATGTGAAATGTTCAGTAAAATGGTTAAGCTTCAAGATACAAGAAAAGCAGTATAAGCATTTCTTTTGTCCCATAATAATTTTTTTTCCCAAATAGTTTTTAATGCAACAAATAGGATTTTACAAAGCTATATACTTTTATTATAAAAAAATCACCATAACAAAGACTTATGAGGACATACAGTGCTACTTATATCTAATGTTTAAGTAGCTACGTTTAAATTACTGCTTTTTAAAAATGCTATTATAACATAGTTTTAACAGTTTGGGAGCATATTAGGCTTTTATGAAATGTGTGTTTCTGAGACAGAGTCATGATCTGTCACCCAGGCTGGAGTGCAGTGGCGTGATCTCGGCTCTCTGCAACCTCCTCCTCCCAGGTGCAAGCAATTCTCCTGCCTCAGCCTCCGGAGTAGCTGGGACTCCAAGCATGTGCCACCACTCCCAGCTAATTTTTGTAGTTTTGGTAGAGAAGGGGTTTCACCATGTTGGCAGGCTGGTCTCAAACTCCTGACCTCAAGTCATCCGCTCGCCTTGGACTTCTAAAGTGCTGGGATTACAGGCATGAGCCACCACGCCTAGCCTGGACGGTGTATTTCTCAACTGGTGATAGTTCATTCCATTTTTCTTAATGTTGCATCATTAAAATTTGGAAAGTTTTAATATATGCAGTTGCCTGATTTTATGTTAGTGTGGTGAATATTTGCATCATGAACTCAGTTGCACAGCATGGATTACTTGACTCACAGAATAAGGGCTGTTATAAAAATAGTTTTATTGTTTTAAAAACACTTGGAAATAACAGTTTTCATCTATAGTATGCTATAAAAATAATGAAGACAGGACAGGCAAAACTCTATTATTGACTCCAGCTGAATATATTGGATTATAAATTCTACTTAATTAGTTGAAGAAGTTATATGTTTTCTGTTGGAAAATTGACAGATTGTTTCATTTATTGGACAAATTAATAAATATTTACCAGTAGTCTTTCCTATTGCATTATATTCTCTTTCTTTTGAAATAATTTTAGCCACTTTTCAATTTTTAAAAAGAGATAAATGGCTAGAAAAATATTAAATACCTCAAAAATTTATTGCAAAAAATAAGGCTGTTCATTGTATCTGTTTGTAAAACTTAAAGACTGGAGCAAACCAAATGATTTTGAACCAGGAATTGCTTGAATAGATTATGGTATATGTGGTACATCCATCTAAGGAAGTACTATGTGGCTGTCAAAAGGAATGAGGGCTGTGTACAAATTGCTGTGGAGAGATCTCTAGGTGATACGGTTTGGCCGTGTCCCTGCCCAAATCTCATCTTGAATTGTAGTTCCCATAACCCCCATGTGTCATGGGAGGGACCAGGTGGGAGGTAATTGAATCATGGGGCAGGTTTTTCCCTTGATATTCTCATGATAGTAAGTCTCATGAGATCTGATGGTTTTATAAAGGGGAGTTCCCCTGCACATGCTATCTTGCCTGCCGCCATGTAAGACATTCCTTCGCCTTCTGCCATGATTGTGAGTCCTCCCCAGCCATGTTGAACTGTGAGTCAATTAAACCTCTTCCCTTTAGACATTATCCAATTTTGAGTATGTTTTTATTAGCAGTGTGAGAACAGACTCATGTGCTAGGATAAAGTATTTGTTTGCTTTTGGGTTTTTTGAGACGGAGTCGTGCTCTGTGTCCCAGACTGGAGTGCAGTGGCACAATCTTGGCTCACTGCAACCACTCCCAAGTAGCTGAGGTTATAGGCACATGCCACCACGCTCGGCTGATTTTTGTATTTCTTTAGTAAAGATGGGGTTTCATCGTGTTGGCTAGGCTGGTCTCAAACTCCTGACCTCAAGTTGTCTATCTGTCTCGGCCTCCCAAAGTGCTTGATTTCAGGCATGAGCCACCATGCCCAGCCTAGGATAAAGTTTTAAGTGAAAACAGCACAGAAGAGGGAAGTACACTTAATAAACAATGCTTCCTGTTTGTGGAAAGGAGGGTGTTTTGTGGACTTGACTGTGGAAATGTGTACAAATTTTGCTTTAAGTTTAAAACAAAACCAAGATAATGAAGACAACTAGTAAAAGTACAATATATAAGTCCCAATGTAAATCATGTTGCTGGTATACATGGCCACACTGAGAAGAACCATTTTAAATGATGTTATGTCACAGAAATTTTAACTATATAGTACAACCTTAGTGGGATATACATTGAAGTTCAAAAAAAGGCAAAAGAAAGTTTAACTTGTCTCACAGTCATTTTTAGTGTTAGTGCTAGTTTTGGAAGAAACACAGAGGTGTAAGATTGGTATGATTAAGTAAAAAAATGAATTTGCATGAGAAGTAGCAAAATGATTTATTTTTTTAAAATGCTGATTTTGTTGATTTATCCTTTGGAAATGCCCGAAAACAATGAGTATCCAATAGCAGTGAATACCCTGAGGGTCCATACTGAGGTTCACCAGAAGGAGCCAGGGTTCTTTAAAGAAATGGCTGGTTCCATGTCCAAGGCAGGAAGTATATGAGATGACCTGGAATATCATGTTATCTTACAAGATTACTAGTCTTACCAAATGGTCTCCCAAAACTAAGCCAACTTAGTTACTAACAAGGTTACTAATTGAAGATGAGGAACAAAACCTATCCCATTTTGTTTATGGTTTTGAAAAAGATAAAGAGAAAGAATCAAGTGCTTGTTTTGCTTTTTCTAGAATGACTGTACTTTAGGGTAACTATATTAGATAGGCAGGTTCTTCTGTAAAGAAATACTGCAGTTAATAAGTAAAGAAGGGGCTAGGCGCAGTGGCTCATGCCTGTAATCTCAGGACTTTGGGAGGCTGAGCCAGGCAGATCATTTGAGTTCAGGAGCTCGAGACCAGCCTGACCAACATGGTGAAACCTCGTCTCTACTAAAAATATGAAAAATTAGCTGGGTATGGTAGCACGCGCCTGTAGTCCCAGCTACACGGAAGCTGAGGCAGGAGAATTGCTTGAACCTGGGAGGCAGAGAGTGCAGTGAACCGAGATTGTGCCACTACACTCCAGATTGGGCAAAAGAGTGAGACTCTGTCTCAAAAATAATAATAATGATGATGATAAGTAAAGGAGGAATTATAGAAATTTGCATCTCTTATTGAAATAGTGGATCTAAGTGATGATCATCAGTGACTAAAAGGAAGACTATCTGTTATGCGTTGTTATGTACTCCTGATAGGAACTTGTTTGCCAAAAAAAAAACCAGGGTCTGATCAAACTTCTAGATGTGCCAGCTTCTAAGTAATACAGAGTGCAGAGGATCATATTACATGAAATTAGAGAATTTGAATCTGCAAAATCTAGATCGCAGGGGAAAATGTAGGACAAATGATCCAGTTTCTTCCACAAAAAAGTTTGAAAGGAAAAAGAGGATGAAGAATACATAGATTAAAGAAGAGACCTATCAACCAATCTCATTGGAATCTGATTCAAACAAATGTGTATGTGTGTGTTCAGATATATAATATACATACATTTACACATATATGAAACATACATAAATATGCTTGCATATCTGCATACCTATGTGTATGTGTCAAAAGATAAAATCACAACAAATTTTATTCAAAGATCTTAACTGGCTTTTATTCACAATTCTAGAGTTGGGCAGCCCTCAGAACCAGAACAGGTTCGGAGAACTCTGGGGCTGCAACTTGGTCAGACAGTATTTATGGATAGAAAATGGAAGTTAGTTATAGAGTTTAATTGGTTATAATCTTATTTGAATTAGTTGGCTGCCTATGATTAACTAAAGCTCAGGGGCTGTTAACTATCTGAAACCCAGCTACTTGTCTCATGAGTATACTCCTAAGTTAATTAGTTTCCTTTAGCATGAATGACTCCATATTAGTTTGGTCTGTTGGACTAAGTACAGGAGCCTAGTCCAAATCAATGGTATTTCCCCCTTTTTGGTCAGGCTGTCACTTAGGTGAGAGTATGACCACAACTTAGGTCATCAGTGCTACTCTCAATTCTTATCATTTTACATTTCCAGTCTTAACCTGTTATTCATAAGTTACAGTGTCATCATGTTCATGCATTTCCTTGGGTTTTTGTCATTCCAACCAAAGAGACCATTTGGTGTTTGATGGTTGGTTATAGGCAAACATTTAAAACTTTTGAGAAAGTACAGCATACCCAGGGAGATTGCCATTATGACTCTCAGGAGGATAATACCAAGAGTTTGGAGTTAGTGCCTTAGCAAGGGCCCCCATAAATCAAACCAACTAAAATCAAACCAACTAAAATCAAATAGATAAGCTACATGAGGAGTTCACCTGTTTTAACCAAATAGCCTGTTTCTTTTAATTGTTTTGTAACCAAGTGTCTACAATACTTAAGATATTTATGCACAACAAAAAATACTAGCAACTGCACAGACTCCTACTTAGCCAATAAGCAATCTAGCGTTCCATGACTGGGCCAAATCAAAGCAGGAAGTGAAAATAAGTGGGTCTAGAAGTCCAAATCTATAAAACAGAACACTAAGAAAATTTAAATAAACAGTCGGATTAGGGATGTTGCTAATATTAACACTAAGTATACTAAGGAATCTCTGAGATCATAACAGATCCGACATTTCATACTGGTTATAAAGTTCTAAGTTCCAAGTGAAAAAAGTAGGCATAAACAAGGAAAAATTAAGAGGGATAAAAGTCACATTTTGATGAAGAGTTTTGTTCTGATTTCTTAGAAAACACCATCCAGGCTAAAATGTCATCTGTTCCTAGGGAAACTTTTCCCTAATCAGCTTTACCTTAAAGTCTTCAATAGGTATACAGTTGCGTGAGCCTGGAGGGGCCATTTTAACCTTGAACCAAGGCAAGGTCCTAAGCTTTACTGCAATATACGGGGAGAAGAACTCTATGGTCCCTCCCACTGGGATTCAAGAGCAGTCTCTCTCTCTGTCTCTCTCTGTCATGTCTTGTCCAAAAGATCCAGTCTTTGGGTTCCAGATCACCAAAGGTCAGATTGTCATCAATGGATTATGAAAGGCTTGTTTTAGCTATAAAAATATGCCTTGGTATCAAAGTTTATAAGAATGGGTGATACATGAGGTTTTACTGTTATTGTATTGGCTTTCCTGCATGTACTGCTTTGATCCAACCAGAGAACACTGTTACAAGAACATATTTACATCCCATTGAAATGGTAACTGAATGAAATACATGTGTAAATGGTCCATCAGATAGCAGAATTATATGACTTGAAGTTTTGATTATCTTCCCAAGATGATGGGTTTGAAAAACCAAACAGGGGTCACAAACCACCTTAGCAATTCTAGAACAATCACCAAACCAATATTTTTTCCATGACTTGTATTATTTTTTCTACTCCATGATGAGTGATGAAGTATAGAACTTTTAATAATGGAAACTTTAAGAACTCAAGACCAGGCAACTGTTCAGGTTCTTCATGAGCCTACACTTAATACTGGATTTATATCCTCTTAAATACCAACTTCGATTGTCCAATTCAGGTGCATTCGACTGCTTACTATTAATAAATAAGTTATCATAGGTAATTTGACCTTGATCAATCTAACAGTTTATTCAAATTTCTTTTTTTTTTTTTTGAGACAGAGTCTTGCCCTGTCACCCAGGCTGCAGTGCGGCAGCATGATCTTGGCTCACTGCAACTGCCGCCTCCCGGGTTCAAGCAATTCTCCTGCCTCGACTACCCAGTAGCTGGGATTACAGGTGCACACCACCATGCCCAGCTGATTTTTGTATTGCTTTAGTAGAGACAGGATTTCACCACATTGACCAGGCTGGTCTCAAACTTCTGACCCTGAGTGATCCGCCCACCTCAGCCTCCTGAAGTGTTGGGATTACAGGCGTGAGCCACCTTGCCTGGCCTCAAATTTCATTTCTTAGCAATTTCAGTACTTTTAGCATGAAATTTCAGTAATTTTAGCATGAAAGTCTGCCAAAGCATTTCCTTGGTATTTAAATAATTCTTGTTCTGCTTGATGTTCATTTAGCAGTTTTATAAAACAAATCAGTTTCTTCATTAGATTTCTGAGAATTCTTACCCAGTCCAATGATAGGTTCTTAAAATTATCAGAAACTTGTACTTGTCAGAGTTCTTTCCATGAACCTCCTTGAAGATGAAATATTTATACTTGCTCAGGAATGTACCAGAGTACATAACCATCTGTGAATGACAAGACTTCAAATGGTCCTGGTTAAAGATCTGATTAGAGCTCCTTAAAATAATGATGCCGTTGACAAGGAAATTTGGTTATTTCTGTGTCATACAATAATTCAACACAATAACCAAAATTATGGCTAACATCGGATTTCTAAGAATTTTATACAGTTTCTGGAACATACCAATAACATATCCATGCAAATATAATTCAAGGTTTAGAATCACTTTTATTTGACAGTGCTTCCCATATAACTTAATATATCAAATAACCTTAATTAGTTGAGTATATCTCTTTTACAAGAGGAGAGACACATTTTTGGAGGGTTTCAGGGACTCAATAGGAAAATTCCAGAGTTAATTCTAAGGCAAAAAGTCTTAATTTAGAATTTCCTTTTGGGAAGTTTGTTAGAATTTCCTTTTGGGAAGTTTGATCAAAGGTTTAAAACACTTGATCAAAATGGGATCACAGGTCACTGTGAAATAATAGTCGTTTATTTAGCCAGAGTGATCATTAAAGACTTCAAAGACAAATAAAGAAAGTTACATAATTGTAGGAAAAGTCTTATTTTTAATAGAGAGGACCCAGTTTTCTTACATAATCAAAGACCTAAGAAAGACAAAATGAAGCGCAAGGATTCATCGTGATAAAACATAGAATCTTTGTTTCCTAGGCCAATTACCTAAAAGATAAAAGCCTTTTACCATTTCCTGTTAAGAGCAAATAAATACTTCAAGAAAACCTATTTGTTTTGACAGAAAGGACCAAGTTCTAGTTTTGCATCAGTGTAGTTTTGATAGTAAAGTTCAATTTTTAGAAAGCCTTACAAATAATTCCATTCTAATTTTAGCCAGCTTGGTCATACCTAAAATTCCCTTCACAAAATCCATGTTCTACAAATCCTCCACAACCTTCTAATATCCTTTTCATCATTGGCCTTATACTTCTTTCTCATTTTGAAACAACCAGTCCTTTTAGGACAAAAATTACTCTTTTTCTCTTAAAAAAAAAAAAATCTTTTATACCTCATAGCTTCACTTACCAAAAACGTGTTTACTTTCCCCGAATATGGAGTCATTTGCCCTACTATTTCCAGTTTCAGTTACCATATAGTCATTAGAATATTTAACTCTTAGTAATCTTAATTTCTACTAAAAACCTAGGAAGTAAAGTAAAGCAGTTTTGAACTTTCTGTCATATAGTAACACTTTCTGTATACACATTTCAGAGTTTCTAACAACATATGGGGCTTCCCCATAGAAAAATATTTTTTCAACTAATAGACCCAAATATAATATATGTAGCTTCTTTGCACCATACAAAAACAGGATGCCGAAGTATATATATAGCAGTTAGTTTCAGTGTTTAAACATACTTAAAATTACTCAGACATTTCATAAATACTAATTAACATAGATTTAAATGTTTAAATTACTTTTTAAAGCCAATTAAAGCTCTTTATAAATTTTAGAAAAATATCACGCATATATAACATACAGACATATATAGATATACACAGCCATACAGACAGAAACGTATCCTAGAAATATCATTAAGATTTTTCATTTGCCAGTCTCCAAATAACTCTTCTTCACCCTTTACACTATCACTCTTTCAATTACCTGTTTCATTGCCCTAAGCAGTTGTTAGCTAGGTTGCTCACTGTAGTCAAATTTCAAGCCTAAATACCATTATTTTCTGAGACAAAGGCATAATAAGCCTAGTGATATGGATTGGCTGTGTCCCCACCCAAATCTCATCTTGAATTGTAGCTCCCATAATTCCCGCATGTTGTGGGAGGGACCTGGTGGGAGATAATTGAATTATGGAGGCAGTTTCCCCACACTGTTCTCATGGTGGTTAGTAAGTCTCGTGAGATCTGATGGTTTTGTAAGGGGAAACCCCTTTTGCTTGGCTCTCATTCTTGTCTGCCCCCATTTAAGACATGTCTTTTGCCTTTCACCATGATTTTGAGGCCTCCTCAGCCAAGTGGAACTGTGAGTCCAGTAAATAAAATGGTCCTAAGTGAGGCATGTTATATAAATTTAAGCGTTTGGCTTCTCCATTGTAAAAGTTTCTAGTGACTTAGCTCTCTCTGTCTTCTCAGTATAGAGAGGGAGACACACTTACAAATTGAGATTTCTTTATAGATATAAATTTTTCTTACAGAAGGGTCTTGAAATAACCAGCTGAAAATAATCCTTATGCCATAAATGCATTTTCTTCACCAAGAAAAAATTTAGGAGTATAGCAAAGATTATGACAAGAAAGAAATGGCAACAAAGGTTTGAGAGGAGGGATTTCAGTCAGCTGAAAGTTTCCCATTTTACAGGATCAAACAGGAAAAAACAAACAGAGTGCTAATTTGATGATTATTATCCTGGAAGTAAAGTCTTTCGGGGCTTCCATTAGTAGGGAAACAGTCCAGGTCATAGAGAATACATTCATCAAGTGGCTGGTGTAAAAGTGGACAATATCCTTTCTAATGGCCTGGCTGTTTACAATAAAGGCAGACATCTTGGGCACAGAGTTTTTTAGTTTGGAACATCATGGTTTTGGTTTAAAATGTGTGCAAGGAAGTTCTTTTGATTTCTGTAAGTGTTGTAGCTGTCAAGACATGCCCGTTTGCCTTTGGTAAGGAGGCAGTTTTTGATTTGTTTAATCTTTTAGCCTCTGTGTTCCAAACAAAAATGCATGTCATTGTTCCTGTGGGGTTCTGATCTTTTCTTTCCTAAGGAGCCCTACAAGTGAACAATTTTATCTAGGTTAGAACTTCACTGTGGCCAGTCTAACTATTTTTGGTAAGGTTTACCCATTTTGCTTAAAAATAAAAAAGGCACAGCTTCTGAGTCCATGGTTCTTATGCATGAAATTGGCTGGAGTTCTAGACTCCTTGGATCCAGATGATCCCAGGATTCCTTGTATTCTAGTAACCTTACCTACCTATGGAAGCCAGTCCACTTTTAATCTGACTCAGACACCTGACTCCTCCCTACAGGATCCAGTCCTGTTTTTGTCAAGACTTTCAAAGTTTGTGTGCTCTCTCACAGCACAGACTCACCCTTGGTACCTGACCCCAGGTTATGCAGCCTCCCATGGCACAAACTAACCCTGGATTCAGAAACCTAAAAGGTTAGGGGCTCGATGCAAAAAGAGCAGAGTCCAACCCAAGAGGAACTTAAAATTCTCGGGAGCCCGTAAGAAAGATAGAGGACTTCAAAAAAGATTCAGTGGTACCTCTCCTGCATTCCTCAAGGGATGTTTGGATTCACCATCAATGTCCTTCCAGTGCCACACTGGGCACCAATAGTCTTAAAAGACAAAAGACCAATAGTCTTAAAAAACAAATTTAGTATAAAGATGTTAATTCGTTTATATTTATGAATCTTGAAACGGGCAGCCCTCAGAACCAGAACGAACTCTGGGGCTGCAGCCTGTTCAGACAGTATTTACAGAAAGAAAACAGAAGTGAGGTATAGGACTTAATTGGTTATTTGAATCAGTTGGCTGCTTCCAGTGACTAGCTAAAGCTCAGCTGCTGTAACTAACCAAAACTCAGCGAGTTGTTACATGAGTGTACTCCTAAGTTCATTACTTTCATTTAGCATGAATAACCCCATCTTGGTTTGGTCTGTTGGGCCCTACAAATTTTATTTAACATGTGACAGGTAAATTACTCACTGGATGTTTGATAATCTTAATGAATTATAGTTATCTTCTTAAGCATAATAGGTTTTATAATCTTTAAAAGATATCTTTAAAAATGTCTAATACTTATTAAAAAATTAAGGTTTTACTAACTTGCCTGGTTATCTAAGAAGTCAGTGAATAATTTGCAGAGTTTGACGATTTTCAAACTCTACAATTACATGGTGGAATGGCTTGCTTGAGCTGACATAACACAATACCACAGGCTGCATGGCTTAAACAACAGAAATTTATTTCTCATAGTTCTAAAGGCTGGAAGTCTGAGATCAAGGTGCCAGCAGGTTTAGTTTCTTTGAAGGCTTCTTCTCCCCGATAGCCTTCTAGCTGTGTCCTCACATGGTCCTCCCTCTGTGCACATGCATGTCTGTGTCCAAAATTCGTCTTTTTATATGGACACCAGGCATATTGGATTAGGACCCCCCCATACGACCTCATTTTACCTTAATTACCTCTTTAAATGACTTATCTCCAAATATAGTCAGATTCTAAGGTACTGAGGAGTTAAGATTTTAATGCATGAATTTTAAGGGGACACATTCAGCCCATTACCCACAGAATATAATTTTCTAGTGATTTGAAGAGGGAGAGATTAATTTTTAAACTGTATAAAACAAGGCATCTTGTTTCAATGAACTGTTTCGTGATATTGAGCAGGTAGGCACACCTGAGAATGTCTGGCCACTTCGTCATGGCCTACATTTTCACTTCCAGTCCTTCGGTGGTTTGTATTTTGTTCCAATACTGTTTTCCTTTTAATTTTCCCCAATATTGATACTTGTGATGCACGTACCCATGTAACACTGAAGTTAAAGTACTATTTAATGATTTTCAAATACTTCTTTGCCGTCTTTGAAATTTCTCTCTCCCTTTCCAAACAAATACACATAAGACCTTATAGAGAGGTGAACCATAAAATATAGTAGCTTTTCATTTCAGAGTTTTCTTCTGTATACTCTTCAATGACAAAGGACACTGAGAAGTTAAAATTTATTTTTTCATTTGCTGTTACTACGGCTTAAATATAAACTAAAATTCAAGTAATAATTCCTTTTTCTTCATCTATTTAATTATAAGTTTGATACAGATATTGATACCATGTCTTCTTTCAGTTATACTTCCCTTACACAAATTACTTCCCATGTGGAATAAGTTGAAAATTGAAATTATGACTCTTCTAATTATTTTTCATTTCTTAATTTTTTGGAGGAAATGTACTCTAGAGCTGGGAAATACAAAGAATTGTCTTTGTAAAATATACAAGCTTGCTTTAACTTCATATATCGGATATCTCATAACAGTTATTCATTACGTTTGGGCTATAATGACATCGTTGTTGTTTTACAAAAGTGTCTGCATTTGTAGAGATGCATACAAATGGGATCTGGTATTTGCTGTAAAGTACTTATGCAACTGCAATAAAATGGATATATAAAACATGCGTGGCAGAATTCTGATAGCTATCCAACCTGGATGATTGGTATGAGTTTTTTGTACTTTTCTCTCTTTTTGTGTATTTTGCAATCATTCCCAGTAAAAATTAGTGCTATGACATAATTATCATTATTACGTAGTGATTTCGTAGTAAAAGATATAACAGTACACTTTAGCACATTCAGGAGTTTGATTCATGTAGTTTCCCTATAGATTTAGAGGCATTCTTAGCTGTCCTTATAGGATGTAGGTTGGAAAACTACTCATAAACACTCCAGGGCAAGACAGTTCTATAGTTGGTAAGAGACATATTTTGAGTAAGGTTAATTTACAGAAAAGGTTCTATTATCTTTAATAAAAATGTTTGACATTTAATATCTTAATTTTAAAAAGTTCAGCACTCCTGATAGAAATAAGAATGATTCTGACAAGGAGTCTGTCATCTTACATGGAAATCACTTTCTCTTACCTTATACACTGCATTTCCCAGGACAAGCAGACATTTTTAGTTGCAAGTCTAGTATTACAGACTGTAGAGATAACACCATCCTATTAATTATGCAGGGATTAGTTTGAAATCTATTTAGTATTTTCCCAAGGTCATTGTTACTTCTAATCATTGTATCTATTTTGTGGTATTACACTATCTTCAGGTTTTGAATGATTTTTGCCTAGTATCATGTTAGCTATACTTTAGTTTTCACTACTATAAAATAGAGAAATCCCGACTACCCTGAGGTACTAGGAAATATATCTGATAAAAGTGTAACAGAAATATTAACAATAATATAATACCTGGAAGGATTTAATCTCTTCATCAGTATCTTCTAAAAGCTACCTCAAGGAAAATGTTCATAGTTACCTATTTTTTACAATATGCATATGGATTAGAATTGAGAAGGAAAAATTGTTTGAGAGAATTAAATATTTTCTTTTCAGTTGGTAACATGGATTAGTTAGGAATATGCCTGGTTAAGGAAATACATATTTTTAAAAATAAAAGTCTGATTTTTCCTTTGTATAGTCCTTATCAAGACTGAATTATCTTAATGATCATGGATTAAAAGAAATAAGCTTTTTAAAAAGAATCTTCTTGAGCTAAAACTTATGACTATCTTAGGAATTTTCTAGGCTGTACTTCTCCTGTGCAAGAAGAGAGCTTTCAGGCATCCCCAGAGGCCTCTCCTTGTCAAGTGGACCATCTGGGGGTGGGAATGGGAGAGCTATTTCAGTGCTAGATGAGTCCCTGCAGAGCAACAAAAGTGAAAAAGGCATTATATCTCCTCTATGCAGCCTGCTGGTTTCCCCTTTAAACATTTTTAAATAGAAAAAAATCTTACTCTGAAATATGGTAAGTATTAAAGAAGCACCTTCTTGAAACCTAGAACTGCAGCCCATTAGCTGTGGGATCTGATAAACTGCCTAAACTCTGTGAGTCTTAATTTCCTCATCAGGAAAGGAGGATAATATTTACATTACAGGAATTTTTTTTAAGAATGAAATGAATAGAAAGTGACTGCTCTAGTGCCTGAGACATAGTATTTATTAAATGGCAGCAGCTACTTATGTGGGTGTAGAAGAGTCAGAAGGGGGTAAAACTAAAAGAAGGTCCAATTGTATAATACTAAGGCTTATAACTATATGCTATCAGCAATACTGCAATGTCTGTATTTTAATTTTACCCTATACCATTTAATTAAAAATGGGCTCTATTTGTGATGATGTGTTGTTGATATTGTTCTCAGTTAGCATTTGCCACAGTGATGCTGCATAACAAACCACCTCGGAACTCAGTGGCTTAAAACGACAATCACTCTTCTTGCTCCTGCATTTGTGAGCCAAGTGGGGCTCAGCTTATCCAGGCTGGGCTTAGATCCACGCTGCAGATTTGGTCTAGATCTGCTCCACATGCCTTCATCCTTAATTTGGTGGGTAGGCAGAACATGTTCTTTTGCATGGTGGTAGCATACTCCAAGAAGGCAGGCACATTTCAAGCATTTACTGATGTTATATCCACCAACATCCCAGTGGCCAAAGCAAGACATCTCACCACACTAAACATCAATGAAATGGGAAAGTATATTCTGCCAATAGTGGCAGTAAGAGGGTAGTGACTATTTGCTATGCAGTAATCTAAACTATTTAAATGATTATCATCATAATAATTATTAGTTGCATACGGGTTAAATTGCACCAAACATTTCTAACAGCAGTGACTAGGTCTGCAGGATGTGGCTGAGATTGTTGTTGTGGAGGTTGGTTGTCTTTTGACATGTAATGTGCATGTGGCCTTGCCATAGATACTATTCAGTGGTGAGTTAATCCATTTGCTTTGTTTCCTTATGATCAATATGCCGTTCATGATGTACAAATACATATAAGAATTATAAAGCACATTGTTGCTTCTCTGGTATCATTAATAATCTAGTCTAGCCGAGGATGTTTTCCACCCGTGTTATCAATCTGCTTTATTCGGTCTAAATTTCCTTTTAGTACTACCACAGTGTATATTTGTCCTGTTCATTTCGTCTCTGTGTGAAAGTTTCCTCTCTCGCAGAAGGTAGTGTTTCAGGAGCGTGTTTAGCATTGTAACACATGAATTGGAAATAGCCATATCGCAACCATCGGCAGTTATTTTGGCGCACATAGTACATGCCCATAGCACGTTTCTGTGTAGTCATCACAGAGGAAGCTTTTGAAATGCACTCACCTTTGCTGGTTGGATTTGCCATTTGCCACTTGTAAGTGCTTATTTTTTTAAACTTTTTCTTTTACCTCCACATGACCCCAAGCAAATCAATCAGAAGCCCTCTGCTTGAAAAGTTTTCCAATAGATGTCGTGACACCGCCAGAATCTTTAAAAAATAAAATCACTGTGTATTCCTCCAAATGTACAATAACTGGGAGTATCAGTTAGGTTCACGGAATGAAATAGAGCCTAAAGAGGAGTTTGTGGCTGCTCTAGGTTCATGCTGGAGTGCAGCAAATAGACCCACAAGGTTTGTCCTCCTGCTTGCATGCAGATGGTATTATCAGTTTTCTTTTCTTTTCTTTTTTCATGCAGAAGTGGGTGGAGAGGGCTGTTTCAGCTGCCATTGATGAAAATCAAACTCCCAATGTCTGATGGCAGGCTGCTATTTCACGCTCTGCTGTTTCTGTTTCAACAGAAATTTTGTTTGTTGTTTTTGCTGGCAGTGTTTGCCTGTTCTGAAGTAAAGGCACTGCTGCATTTAGTTACGGGATCAGCATTCTTTGTTTACATTCAAATTTGTGTCATGGTTATGGTGCTTCAGATTTATTGAAAAGAAACACCTTCATGAAAGCTGGGGAATAGCATTTTGAATAGCATTGTAGTCCTGACGAAATGCCAAAACTTTAATGCCAGTCTCTCCGTGCCCACTTTGTATGCTTTGGGAGCATTTGACCCATATCAAAAACGTATCGAATACAGTTATTCTTTATAACAACCAGAATCATTATTTATCGCCCTTGTGAGGTACATTTTTGCAGAGTTGTTTCTGTATACACATTTAATATAGTAAGATCTCTGCCTATAATTTCAAATGAAAAGCAGATAGTTGAAGCAAAACTGTAATGGAAAAGTTTACTGTAGCTCCCCTCCCTTTTAATATTTAGCATTAAACACTAAATGGAGGTAAAAACATACCACAATTCAAACTTACCAATAAACCTAGAACTTATCTTGAAACCTAGAACTGCAGCCCATTAGCTGTGGGATCTGATAAATTGCTTAACCTCTGTGAGGCTTAATTTCCTCATCAGGAAAGGAGGATAATATTTATATTACAGGAATTGTTTTAAGAATCGAATAGAAAGTGACTGCTCTAGTGCCTGAGACATTGTATTTATTAAATGGCAGCAGATCCCTGCTAATAAGATCTCTGCCCATAATTTCAAATGAAAAGCAGATAGATAAAGCAAAACTGTAATGAAGAAGTTTACTGTAGCTCCCCTCCCTTTTAATATTTAGCATTAAATATTAAAACATTAAATAGAGGCAAAAACATATCACAATTCAAACTTACCAAGGTTTCATTCTTTTTTTTTTTTTTTTTTTTTTTTGAGATGGAGTCTCCCTCTGTTGTTCAGGCTGGAGTGCAGTGGCCCGATCTCGGCTCACTGCAAGCTCCGCCTTCCGGGTTCACGCCATTCTCCTGCCTCAGCCTCCCGAGTAGCTGGGACTACAGGCACCCGCCACCACGCCCGGCTAATTTTTTTTTATGTTTAGTAGAGAAGGGGTTTCACCGTGTTAGCCAGGATGGTCTCGATCTCCTGACCTCGTGATCCACCCACCTCGGCCTCCCAAAGTGCCGGGATTACAGGCGTGAGCCACCGCGCCCGGCCAGTTTCATTCTTTATATGGAAGCAATCTCTTTATGTCAGTCTCAAATCTTACGAGATCAGAACTTGAAAGATCAAATGAACACTCTGCTTTTTCCTGTTCTGATACCTACTGAAGTGAAATCTAGCACAGCTTTATAGGGCAGGTTGCTTCCTTTGTTTTAAAAGGATAAAATCGTTAAGTATGGCCGTCTGTTGGCTGAGTGCTTGACAGGCGAAACATAACCTCTGTCCTTAAGATATCTTCAGATGTAAAATGAAGAGTATTTTGATATTTTTTCTTGCTTAGCCTTGAATATTGAGGGCCAAGACTATGATAGATATCTAATTTTAATCAGTATCTCATTTCTTTTTGGCTTCTAGCAAGCTTCTAGGTATTTAAATCTCTTGGTGCTTTTTTGTAACTTAGTTGCTTCTCTACAGCTAAAAATCTGCTTCCTATGGAAGTGACGGTAATTTGTTTGTGAACTGCCTGGAGCCTGGCAGATTACAAAGCTGTAGAAGATCTGAAGTGTAAAGGAATCCCTCTAGGAATCACATCAAATACATCCATTTGGTTTTCAGCACATTCCAGTAATGTATAATTCTTGAAATTCATAGAATCTCTATTTTCCAACTCTCCACTAGATTTCACAAAGGTAATATTGCATACCTGCCTTAAGGCTGCTTTAGAGGAAGAAATTTACTTCCAGTTAATCAGTCATGGCTTCTGTCACTTTTATCCATTACTCCAATTGAACATCAGTGAAATCTGAAAAGCAAAATTATGTTTTTGCTCAGAGCAAAGTTCATTAGAAAGTCCCCCACATTTTTTAAAGGACTATTTATAAAAGTTAAAATAAGTAGCACATCTAAATGTCTATAAAATGGTCACTGATTCCATTTACTTATTTAATTGACTAGGCTAAATCTTGACAACTTACATAGATTTTATTCAGGTCTGTGACAAAATTTCATAGAAGACTTGTTACACAGGATGCATTCTATAAATTTGCAGAGCATTTTTCTCAGCACTGAGTCTTGTAACTTAATTTGATTCAGTAATATATGATTTTTCTCTAAATTATGACTTTTGTTTATATTCTTTCCCACCCAAAGCATCACTTTATGCCAAAAAATTCTTACTTTTTGGGTTTCTGACCACATCTTTGCATTTATTCTCAAGTTTTTATTATAGCATAACTATCAACATTTTTAAAGAAATAATTCTCTGTTTTAATGAGCTTGTTAAAATATTCTTCCAATATATTCTTATCCTCCAGATTTTTTCTAAAAGTTTAGTTACCTACTAAGGAAGTTATGTGTAAATGTATTGAAGTGCCTACATTTCCTAATAATAAAGGAGAAGATCACAAAGTACTAGATAACAATAGCTTTTTTTCTGGTGCTGCTCTGTAATGCACCGTATTTAAATTATTTAGACTGTGAAGCCTTTCTGTTTCTCAAATTGTCATTTAAGGGTCAAACGCCATCTTATAGAAAGGAATGCTTGACTCAGCCCCCTTTGGAATGATGCATCAGCTTTATCACATACTTGACTACCTTAAATAAGGCATCCTGCACAACTCTGATGGAGTGTTTTCTTAATGAGCAGAAATCATAAAGATGAACAGTTACTGTATTCAGTATCATTGTCGGTCCAGTGATAGTCACTGAGCTGAATGTCTACAGACTCCAGAAAATAACCTGAACTTTACTGTTAATTATTCAGTTCTCTCAGTTGTCTTTTTCTGCTTTCTACCTTTATTCATTCAGCAGGCAGATCTCAAGAGCCTGTTTTGTGCCGGGCTCTGAGCTGAGCACCAGAGCTTCTAAAGGAAGCTTCGGTTTGGGAAAATATGTAAACAGGCATGTGAAATTCAGCTTTGAGTGCTGTGATGGAAGCATTTAAAGAGTACAGTTGAAGCACACATGTGGGGGAGGGCTTTGTCTGCTGGGACGTCATAAAGGAAATGACCCTTAAAAGATGAGTAGCCACTGGCCCAGGTGCTTAAGTAAGAGTGTTCCACTCAGATAGGCTAGCATGAGCAAGGCAGAAGCCTGAAACAGTTGGATGTGTTCCAGAAACTGTAAGCAATTGAATACAATGGAAATGAAGTTCATTTACAAGACCATGATGAGAGAATTGACTTTTAGGCTGTGGCCACATTGTTGAAGGACATGTGTAACACTCAAAGGAGTAGGTCTTTCTTTTCTAATCAATGGAGAGCTATTTATAAGTTTAAACCTGATAAGCTTTGGGTTTTACAAAGACTTATTCATCAGCTGTTGGGAGGGTAAATTTGGTGAGTACAACAAGGACAAACTAGCTCAGTTAGGAAGCTATTACTAGAGGCCTCATAAGAGGTTTAGAGAATCTATGTGCCTGGGAGAAGTGGAGAGGATATAACCTTTATCCTTAGAGGTAAAGTCTAGAGGGCTTGAAGACCAGTTGGATGAGGAAGAACTATAAGATTATCATACTTAACGGCTGAGGTACTGGTAGATGGTGAGCGGTGTAGGAGAACCCAGGCTCAGAGGAATGTGGGTGTTAATTTTTCTTTTTGAATTTGGAATTTGAGGTCTATCTACCTGAAAATTTCATGTAGCTACTTAGATCTATTGCTCTGAATAGCAAGAAAGTTCTGGGATAGAGATAATGAATTTAAGTCATAATGAAATATAATGAATCTCATTTATAGAAAACATTCTATGTGCCAGGACCTGTTTACACACACACACACACACACACACACACACGATGTTATATATTATCTTTTTAAAATCTTCAGTATAATTCTAGGAACAAGATATTATCTTCATTTTTTTTTTGACAAGTAACTAAGGCTTAGAGAAGTTGAAAACATGTGCAAGCTTCCACATCTAATAATTAGCAGGCCCATCATTGAACCATTGAACCCAAACATACTGTTAAAATAATGTTCACTGTGTTTTCCATTATTATTTTTAATAGTGTTTTAGAATGGGAAGCAAGGCATGTATGCACTTCGCATGTCATTGAGTAGATAGGCCTGGATTTGAAAGCCTATAGAAGTGTCATAACAGAGAATATTGGAATATTTATAGTCTTAATTTTATCTTATTGACAGTAGGAAGCATTGAAAGTTTTTAGCAAGATGAATAGAAAAGGGGAATGGATCAGTGGGAGGGGGTGTGATAGTATTCTTTTGGATGGAAGTAACAGAACCCAGTTTAAGCAAAAGGAATTGTTTACTGGAAGAATATACCAGGAAAACCTTGGAGAAACAATGTAAGGGGTTAACAGGCAAAATGTGAACAGTTTCTAGAATTCCACCTCCAGGGTACAGCCAGCAAATTAGCGCAGCTGCCAACTGGTTCTTGTCTTTATTTACCTCTGTTCAAATGTCCAAGAGGCTAGCAGGGCGTGGTGGCCCATGCCTGTAATCCTGACACTCTGGGAGGCTGAGGCGGGTGGATCACTTGAGATCAGGAGTTAAAGACCAGCCTGGCCAACATGGTGAAAACCTATCTCTACTAAAAATATAAAAATCAGCTGGGCGTGGTGGCAGGTGCCTGTAATCCCAGCTACTCAGGAGGCTGAGGCAGGAGAATCGCTTGAACCCGGGAGGCAGAGGTTGCAGTGAGCTGAGATCATGCCACTGCACTGTAGCCTGAGTGACAGAGCAAGAGAAGTACTCTGTCTCCAAAAAAAAAAAAAAAAAAAAAAAAAAAAAAAAATCCGAGATTCTGAGAAAGATGAGACTGAGATGAGTGGCCCAGCCTGAGGATGGCCACTCACAGCTAAAGCAGTCTGCTGTGATCATTCACTTGTAACACAACATCTCCAGCTCCTTTAGGTCTTTTGTTCAACTCTTGACCTTAGAAAATCATTTTCTTCTTTCTTTACTTGTTAACTCAGAATGAGACTTTTCAAAGAGGATGATAATAAGAATAGTGCTGGTGGGGAATTTATTTCAAGAGGAAAAACCATAAAGTTTGGAGTGAAATTAGATGTAATGGAAGAAAACTCAGTGCCATCAGCCACTAGGGGTCTAGTTTAAGTGTCCTTAAAGCTCATAAGTCCCCATCAACTACTTCAAATCAAACCTGTTTATATATATATATATATATATTTATATATATATATATATATATATATATATATATTTATTTATATCAGTAATTTTTAGGGTACAGGTGGTTTTTGGTTATATGGATAAGTTCTTTAGTAGTGATTTCTGAGATTTTGGTGTACCTGTCACCCAAGCAGTGTACACTGTACCCAGTGTGTAACCTTTTATCCTTCACCCGCCTCCCACCCTTCCCCGTGAGTCCCCAAAGTCCATTATATTAATATTATTCTTATGCCTTTGTATCCTCATAGCTTAGCTCCCGCTTATAAGTGAGAACATATGATATTTGGTTTTCTATTCCTGAGTTACCTCACTTAGAATAATGGCCTCCAGCTCCATCCAAGTTGCTGCAAAGGCCATTATTTTGTTCCGTTTTATGACTGAGTAGTATTCCATGGTGTATATATATATCACAGCCAACAAATAGTTGATTTCTTTTTAACTATATGCTGATGATAATTCTTGCTTTAATATTGGCAACAACTGACTGGCAGTGCCAGAAACAGAAGCAAATCTCTTCTTGACTGATTGAATACAAATAAAATTTGCAAATAGTTTTTATTATGATCCATATCTTCGATTTTCAAATATCAACATTATGTTTCCTTAGTAGGAAGGAGCTTTGTTATTCCTTCCATCCCTGTATGAGGCCTAGTTTCCAGCTAGAAGCATTTACTCTGATTTTTATTATTCTTTTTCTTTGCTGGAAAAGACGAGATCCTAAATTTATAGACTTCAAACAGAAGGAATGCTAACATTGTACTTTTAAATCCTTAATTTCCTGTAGTAACTTGTTCTTATCGATGCAAATCTTGCTTTAATTTTTCATAAACTTGTGTGTGTGTATATTTTTATGGTTTCTCTTTTGTTCACTGCAGTATCCCTAGGGCCCCTAACAGTGCCTGGAACATAATAGGTACCCAGTAAGTGCTTGTTGAATGAATGAATAATTTTATAAGGTATGTTAAAGTGAGACAACTTGTCTCCTTGTTTTCAACATGAAAATTAGAACAGAATTTATCAAACTTCAAGATTTGTAAATATTTTGGGAGTATAATACCAAGACCATCACTGTATATACACCAGCCATAATACCATTCTGTAAAGAGTGGATTTAAACATCAGACAGATCACCTTAAATGTCATCTGAGTCAGATTGATAACGCAATTACCAAAGAACTTTTAAACTGGAATGCTACTAAAGTAATAAAACGTTATTTCCCTAATTCCAATGCTATCTTATTGGGTATTTTAAAAGTAGAAAAACTTGTCTATGAATAAGCAAAATAAATGGTTCTAGTTATATAATAATACTAACAATTTTAAGTTTCTTACATTTATATTAAAATTAAGACTAGAATGTACTAGTAAAATAGAAAAAATACATAGTGTAAATGAAAAGTGCTTATTAGCAGTTCGGCATTTCAGATGTACCAATTACAACTTTCATACTTGCTGTTTTTATGGTGATGATTACCCTCTTAATATATGACTGTTTCTCAGTGGTGTCTACAGTGGGCATAGTAAAAATTAAGGACTGCTATTTAAGGGGCTGGGCATTAATTTGTTTCTTTAATAAATAAATTATATTTAAATGAAATCAGGGTAAAATTCTTAGGTAATTGGAATTATTTATTGTAATGGTATACTTTTACATGTTTATGTTATTGTAGACTGTAAAGTTGTTTATAAGGTACAAGAAAATATTGATACTGTAGGAATGTTGAATAGTGGCAGCACTTAGGTAGAACATAAGTCCTCTAAGAATTCAGGAATAGGTATAAAAACAATGTTGAGGCAGGCCCATACTGCCTGCACTGCTTCTTAATTCTGTTAAGAATGATTCGTCTGAAAGAAGGAAGGAATCACTAGGCTAATTCTACCCTAATCTCTTTGAGTCTGCTAACAGTGTTGCGTGCACTGCTGTGGCATTTTTTCCTGTTGTCATGGACACTTATCCGTTAAAAACACAGTTGCCTGCTGACTGTTCATCTTTGCACATTGCCTGGTGAGGCTTGAGTGTGATTTCGGGCTTTGATTAAAGTAGAAAGTATTCAGTAGAAATCCATTCTTTTTATTTTATATAAAATGCCGTATGTGATTACAATGAGAAAATAATTGAATTCTGTTTGTTTTGTGCTTGTTTTCAGCAAAGCCAAAAACATTTATGTAGCCCTGGTCCCCATGTATACCTTATTTCTAAGTAAAATGTTTTTCACTTCAGAAAACCAGTTTTGTAAACATGCCAATTAAAAGTGATTGTTTGAAGAATGTATCAAATGATAAAGATTTCATTATTTTCTAAATTTATAATCTAGTGCTGCTCCTAAGGAAAATACATTTTTTTCATAAAGTTACTAATTCATGGTTTATGTTTTTCTCTCAATGTATACTCATTGTGGACCCCTCCCCAGTAACTGAAAGCCAGTGTGATTTTTTGAAGAACCATACCAGGATTTGGAATCACAGAGTGATGTTCAAACATTCTTAGTTCCACCACTGTGTCATCCTGGGTCTGGTACTTTATCTCCTTATGACTCAGGAATTTTTTTATTTCTAAAGTAACATCTACCTTTTAGAGTTCTTAGGATAAAATGAGATTATCTGTGGAGTGTGTCTGGCATAAACATCCAGTCAGTGAATCAAAGATCTTTCCATGTGAGAATAATAAACTAGAATACTTGGTATTTGTTGTGCTCTCACTACACTGTGAGTCTCCAGTAAGCTGGGATGGGAGTCACCCATTTGGTATTCTGTGTATAATATTTTTGTTGCACTTAGTAGGGCAATATTTGCTATATAAGGGTTTGTAGAATTCTACATTGAAGCTTGGCTGGAATGTGTTTTTTCAGCATCTACTTTATATTGTTTGCTCTGCTCTCTGCATCTGTTATTTTTCCAGCAGTTGCCATTTTTGCTGCCTGTGGTTAATTTTGCTCTGAACATTTCTGTTAACAGGAGGTAAACCTAAAGGTTTTTGTGTTGACTGCAGATTGTTGGAACATAATTTTTATCAGGATGCTGACCTAAGAAAATTAACATTGTCTGTTCATGGAATTTTACCTACTTGGAAGTGACTTAATTACTTTGCTGATGTGATGGAACTCGCTCCACTGGCATACAGTTTTTGGAGTACTGCCATGTCAGGAATTATAATTGGCCTTCTGCTTATATGAAGGCAGTTTTGCATCATTTAACGTGCTTCATAGCTATAAGTTAGGAGTACTATTACTATCTTGATCATACAAGAATTCTGGGGTGGTTCTCTTTAATAAGAGTAGTATTTTGGCTGTAAAGTGAGTGGTTAGGACCCCAGCATGCCACACACTTGTTTGGATTCGCTCTGAGGCCCTGTGCACAAATGCTCAATCAACTTTCAGTAAGTGTCATTGCCTCTAACTAAACAAATAGTTATTCATTCGTCAGTAGCACCATTTTAAGATACGATCATAATACAAACTATTTGCAAATTTTATTTGTGTTCAGTTAGTCAAAATGAGATGTGCTTCTGATTTTGGCATTGCCGGTCAGTTGTTGCCAATATTAAAGCATGCATTGTCATCAGCATATAGTTAAAAGGAAATAACTGTTGGTTGGTTATGTAATACTCTCTTTTTCTTGAGCCATAAATGTTGACCAACCTTTGCTTTCTTGTGTTTATACTAATCACTGTAAAATATCAAGATCTGTTTTATAAACCACACAGAACTCCAAATTGTGTGGAATTGCCTAACCCTACAACTTTTAAAATTGGAGGAAAAGTATCCTTACAAATTAGTGGTAAGGAGAATTTGACAAAAAAAACACACGATACAGACTGTGAAATCCTGACTTGGCACTGATAGAGCAGAAAATAGGTAATTATAACAACCCATAAAGTAAGTGTGAGCTAGAAACCTATCATTATTTATAGTTCATTTGGTCCCTAATAATGGCAGTTTATTCTGTCTGACAGTTGTGGGACCTAGGGGCAAGTTGCTTAATCTCCCTGAGCCATAATTAATTCATTTATAAAATGGAAATGTGAGTTGCTGCCTACTCAGCCTGGAGTTCCAAGGATCAGATATGATCCTGTATGCGAAATCAGTGAAATATCAATACCAGTCTCCCAAGTCCAAGAGAAGACTGGAACTAGCATGGAAGGAATGCAGCCAGCCAATCAGAGTTCCTGTGTAGCACCCTGCCCTGACCTCAAACACAGGACGTCCTGTGAGTCATGTATCCTTGCCCTTCCCTATGCCGCGCAATCCTGAGACGTCAGAAATGTGGATTCATGCAAGGAGCTAAGCAGTAGGTTATGGACTTGCTAGCTTCCAATAGCTGTGGAAAGGAGAGAAATGAAGGGACTTTGCATGACATTAGACCCAGTCAGGTGGCAGGGCATTAAACAAGGAACTAAGAGTATGAAGGAAGACACATAAAGTTCACTATCCTGTGTACAATCCCAGAGATGAGATGTGGATCCTTCAATTATCATTAATACATTCAAAGATTTTTAAGTCCACAAGAAATTGCCAAATCTTCACAGGAGTTCCAGAAGCTGTAAAGTATTTTGCATTCAGTAGGTACTCAAATGTTGTTGTGATGACAGTAATTTGCACCAGCAGTCGTGCTCTTAAAAAATTTAGTTTTGTGAGTTTTACGTTTGAAAAAGGTGGTAGCAAATTAGAATGTGGTGCAGAGGAAACACACAAATTATCAAAGATCCATGAGTAAAGAAACTAATAAATTCAATAAGGAGAAAACACGAAACAAGGCTGACATCAGTACATTTTGTAAAATACCTTTTTGAAGAGATGTCTGCATACAAGATGGCTATCAGATGTTTTCTGTCAATAAGACAAGTAAACAAGATAATCTATGACTTTCTACCTGAGAGATTTCACTTGATTCCTGGGACTTCAACTGCACAAAAAATGCATGCATTGGTTCCTATAATTGAACTGGGGAAGCTCCTGCAGAGTAAGGCCTTTGGGGTAGTTTATGAGTCCTTTATAGCACTCAGAACAGGCACATTTCATACACACACATAGACACACACACACACACACACACACACACACACACACACACTTGAGACAAGGTCTCACTGTCACCCAGGCTGGAGTGCAGTGATGCAATCACAGCTCACTGTAGCCTCCACCTCCCAGGCTAAAGGAATCCTCCCACTTCAGCCTCCTGAGTAGCTGGGAATACAGGTGTGCGCCACCATGCCTGGCTAATTTTTGTATTTTTGGTAGATACGGAGTTTTGCCATATTGCCCAGGCTGGTCTCGAACTCCTGGGCTCAAGTAATTGCCTGCTTTGGCCTCCCAAATTGCTGGGACTATAGGTCTGAGCCACTGCACCCAGCCCTCATATATATTTTTAATGCTAAATTAAATCAGCAGTTCTGAAAAACAGTCTTTCATAAAACTGTTTCCTCCTTGAGGTTTAACCTGTTTCTATTCTTTTCCCAAGTCAACAAGATTCAAAACATTGGCATCCTTTTTTGACTCCTTACTTCCCTTCAATTACCGTTTTCTATGCCCACATACTATTAGCTACCCATTCCTGTGGATTCTTTCTTCATCATCTTTTTTTATATGTTTCTTCTTTTGAGATTCCTGTTCCCATTACTCTGGCTAGATCTCTAGTTCATGTTCAAACAATAACCTCTTGAGAGCTTTGCTAGCCTTTAGGTTTTCATTTGTAATTTCAGCCTGTATATTTAAGTTGAGTCGTTTGTCCCAAAACATTACTTCCCCCTCTCAAAAATGTTTGACACTTGTCTACCAAGTTTTTGTAAGTTTGCCCATATCCAATTTACAGATTTTTTTTCTTGTATGAATTCCTTATTTTAAGCAGTGGTTAGCTTTGCTTTCCCTTGGAGGTGTCATTGCCTCCTTTCTTCTGCTCTGGGTTATTTCTGCAACTTACTGGAACTCGCTTCTTCCCAGTCTCACCTCTCAGAATCCTAAGGTTCAGCATTGTCTCAAAGTATTTCTGTAAGTTTTCTCGCTGCTTCCCACAATATTCTTATGCTGTATCAAACACCTTAGCATATGGTGTGAACTAGAAAGTTGATTGTTAAAAGGGGGATGTTTAAAAACAAGACATCTGACAATCCATTGTTAAAAGTAGCTCTGCCTTCATGCTGGCAACCTATCTGAATCCTCAGAAAGTTTCATGGTGTGTAAAAATCTGGGAGAAGAAGCACTCTTTGGGAATCTTGTATCTACCCATTAGCAAAATTATGTATAGGCATGGTTTGCACTTAGAGCATCTTTCATTTTACATAAAATGCATTTCTTTATTTATGAGATTTTGTATTTTAACAAGTACTCCCAGATAACACTTTTTTTGACATTTAATCTTGGATTCATACCCAATTTAGGATATGAAACCAACTCCTTACAAATCTTAATTATGTTGTAAGCACTTTGAGTGCTACTGAGTATGCAAAGCATATATATTATTGACTTTTCACCCAAGTTCCTTCTTTAGAGAAAGCTGGGACAGCTATAGATGTTTTTACTGAACAGATTGCTAAATGACAAGTGATGGATTGTTACTAGCTGAAAACACTAGATAGAAAATGCATCTAAGACAACCAAAAGGGAAAGATTTTTCCAAACAGAAGTGCTGTTTTACCCCCTTAAAGTTTATTCTTACGTTGTATTTTGTTTTGCAAACAGACAAAAGGACCAGTAGAGCTCAGGAAGGTTTTGTGTTGTGCCCAAGGTTGGGGGCAAGAATTTGAAAGGGATCAGTGAATCAGATGTAATAAGGGCTCTGTTTGAGCCACCCAATCTCTGTTTTGCTGACGGTCAGTATTCCAGTTATAAAAAGCTGCATCGGCATTTCCGTCAGCTCAAAAGAACTTTATCCCTGCTTTCATTCTGACATACCTATTATGACTTTGTTCACTAAGCAGAAGGAATTATGGGAAATGGAAACTTGATGGCATGTTTTTATTAAGGCGTTATGTGTGTATCTTCACTGAGAAATTAAAGAACCAAGCAGAATTGTATGTTTTCCTTTCAGGTAACAAAAATTGCCTTATTCATTCCATAACATGGTGATTTAGTTAACTTGGAAAACAAAGTAACATAAAATGAGAAGACTTATGTACAAAGTACATTTTATATTTTAAACAAGGAATTTAATGCTTATGTGAATTTCTGTTAACCTAAAATCAAACTAAAACATAATCACAGAAAACTGCAAATGTATTTTATGGGGGTGGGATGGTGATGATTTAAAAAAATGAATGTTACAAAAGCTGTATTTCACTCTTGTCTTCTCTAGAGTTGTAGGCTTAGAGAGTTGTACATCTGTATTTCAAAACAAGAGATACATTTTCAAATCTAGCTGATAATACTTAACAACAAACTGTATTTGCACCTTTTATTATAGCAGACATTCTT
Source organism: Homo sapiens (assembly GCF_000001405.40). Lineage (NCBI taxonomy): Eukaryota > Metazoa > Chordata > Mammalia > Primates > Hominidae > Homo > Homo sapiens. The sequence goes on along the minus strand of NC_000018.10, from coordinate 28,036,086 downwards.
CTGCAAACTGCAGGCAAATTAACATTTACAAGCCAAATATTTTTTGTGGTAAAGTTTATACTTTCTGTGATACTCTATTTAATTATGTTATATAAATGTCAACTTCAGCTTTTAAATTTCTTAACCTAATTTCCCTAATCCCCACTAAGTAGATCTTCATCTTAATTCATATAATTTACTAGAGAAATTCTTAGATACAGGTGTGTCTTCCTTGCTGGTGAAATACATGCCCAATTCACTTTTATATTTTCAACTCGCTCACAGTGCCTGCCTTGTAATGAGACATACATATTCAGGCATGGAATGGACAAAGACAAGAGACTCTCATGCAGCTATGACAAAGAACTTTATACAATGAAAAACATTATTAATAGCTCTTTAAATTTTAATGCAGAGGTTTTTATTTTCATAAGTCTCTCATTTATTATAAGTGGAATTAACCTGTATTTAGTTGTCTAATAAATGTCATTTGTGTTACATACGTCTCCTTTTTTGTATCTACGCAGAGCTTAGTAAATTTTCCTAAAAATAAAGTTAAACAAGATGAATATGAGTCATCCTTAAATGAGAGGTCTCTGTTAACATAAAGTAACTTTGAAAGTCTGAAAAATGAAGGTTAACCTCATTAATTTTGTAAAAATTCGCCAAACATCAAGGGGTTTGAAAACACCAAGAGAAACAATAAGATATTCAGCAAAGTTGCTTGTTTTAAATTCTAAACTGTAGTCCCTGAAAAGAATTATCAAAAGGTAGTATGTGCATGTAAAATAGGCTATTAAAGCAAATGACTCTGAACCTGAGAGAAGGAATGCTGCTCATTAGAAACCAAAACTTGGAGTGGAATGTCTGTGTATGGCCATTATGATAAGAAAACTGAATAAAGAATGAGTTTATTTTATTAGAAACTTTCAAAAAGAAAGTATGTCATGTAAAGTTAAAGAAGAGCCTTTTCTGGTTTTCTTGCCACATATCTCCTAAGGAACTTTGTAGGTCTTCAGTTAATCTTTCCTGAGGAGCATTTATCCTACCAAAATGATAAACTCGAGAGAAATAATGGATTGCGTCCTTAGTTGTCTTGAAAGCTTAATTTTCTTTTCCAGAGTTACACCTGTTTTGTATTCCTTATTAGGTAGTTCCAAAAAACTATTTTAAAGAATTGTGCTCTAAAGAGTTTTCCCATTACCATTTGACATCCATTACTTTTAGAGGGGATGAGATATAGAATTTGGAACTTGAAGTACGGGTAGTATTGTTTGAACTTCAAGGATTTATACTCATTGTAACACCGTAGTTTTGAAATGACTGAAATCTGTTTCATGCAAAAAAAGGTGACTGGTCTATTCTAGGGAGTTGTGTTTCGTGTTTCAAAAGCTTGAGTTTTGTTTTTGTTTTTGTTTTTTTTTATTGTGGTTGTTGTTTTCTTTTTGTGATGACATACGAACTTTAGCAAAAGAAAAACACCTAGATTATAAATTAAAATTCATTAAGGCCTATGTAATTTTTTAACGTATTGGAAGGAAAAATGACAACTGAATAATTGCTATGATTTTTATCTGCAGCAATTGCTGCTCTTTCATCTGTAGTTCCTGGAATGTGATATTTGGATTTTAACTTTGCTTTGGGATATATAACTGTTTAAAAACCAGAAAAAAAATATATTTAAAACAATTTTATCCCTGTAGGTTTTCGCCTTTGCTTTTTTTCTTAGAAAAACCATTGTATTTTTCATAATGACTGCTCAGCATGAACAAAAGCAAACAGAACTTGAGCAGAGCTTTCACTGGTGATATTCACTCGGGTACTTGTTAAGATATCAAATCTGAGACTATAGCGTATGCATGGTTTTAGTGCCGTATGAGATATTAGCAGAGTAGTCATCTAGTGAGAGTCCCTCATATTACAGCTGAAGAAATGAAGATCCAAAGCTGTTGAGAGATTATTATCAGCGCAACCACGACCATAACTCGGTTTACTGGCTTTTAGTTCATTGCTCTTTTTATTTTTTTTCACCAAACCAGAAAGAATTGATAAAAAAATGATTATCAATGTAATTTCTTCCAATTTAAAGAAAAGTATAGTATATCAGACTAATCGAGAGTATGGCTCAATTGAGTATAAAATGATAGTGGCTTATTGAAGATTGCTTGTAAAATACATAAGACTACCATTGGCCTTTTTAATACAAGCATTTTTTTAGTATCTTTTAGCATTTATTAATAATTCATCTCATTAGATAGTGAGGTTACTTCTGTACTGTACTCCAAATTAAAGTGCATATTTAGTGCCCCTGTTGGCTGGACTATAATTTATACAAGGCATGACTGTAATAGAATGAATCTGATTTTTCTGTGTGACTTGTGGAATGAATCCTATTTCTTTATAATCACATCTTGTATATTATATTGTGTATTTTTGAATGATGCCTGTGTTTCAAAAGTGCCACTAATGGTCTTCCTCATATTAATATGTCAAACCAATGGGATCAGAAAATGGGGAAATTCTAAGCCTTTGTACAAAACCTACAATGGAATTTAAATTTTAACACTTAATCCTGCTGTCAGATACATCTGTTACACACACACATACATACACATACACACACACACAGAGCACCTAAATTCAGTGAACCAATTCGTGTGCATCAGTAATTAGATCTTTAGTTTGTGCCTCTGTTGACATTTCTCCCTTCAGACTAATGGATTTCAGTCTACCTAGAGACTGTTTTTCTCAATAAAAGACATTAGTCCATAAAAATCCCTCCCTACAAAAATAATACATCCTAAAACCTTGCCGAACAAATTTGCCCTTGAAAAAATACTTCCCAAATACTAATCATTGACAAAGGCATTGAGGGAAGAACTGCTGTGCTGATCCAGACACCACCCTTTCTCTACATATTGATATCTCTGTGAATGTACCATCACTGCCTGGCGTCCATGCCCCTGTTTATTCCGAAGCTGCCATCTTTTGTCTATACCCTACTGGGATTATGTTTATTCTTTGGTGCTCAGATCACAAGCCACCTGCCATTTCCATTGAATCTTCAGTTATTTCCCTTTCTCCCTTGAAATGTAATTATTAAGCACTTTAGTTTTGCCCATTATGTTACTTATTTTTAAGCCCTTTCCCCCTAAATTTAAACTCTTAGAGATCAGGGACCTTGCCATGTCTATCTCTATACTCACTGTAAATGGTAGATTAGGAATCATGTAGTTCATTTTCGTTGAGTGTGGGGCAGTTCAACAAGAAATGGAAATTTCCCTTGGTGCTAAAATGGAATGGGTGCTTCCCAGGACGCCCCAAAGAGCTTTGGGCATCAGTACCACCCACCACTTTCAATGTGACCAGGAAACTTACACTCTGTGACCTTTTGTTTTGCTACTTGTAAAGGTGGGAAGCCATTGTCTAAACAGCAAATAAATTTTTTAAAAGTACTTAAAGGATTTGAATCATTATAGATGATATCCAAATGAGATATTTTATCACAAACATTCTGAACTCATGACTTAGAAACAGTAGTAATGAGAGTAATATTTGATTACTTATCCTGTTCAGAGTATAGCACTGTATGCTACACTTTTATATTTACATAGATGAATTCACACATATGTAAAAAACATGTTAATGTAATATTGTTCCCAGTGCTGTTGGATATGAGGAAGTGGGTGCAATCTTTACCTTTGTCTTTGTTTTCTTATGTTATGAATCATTCAACACACATTCTCGTTGAAGCAGGGTTATAATTGATGGTTCAGATGCTGAGCCCACAAATTTCTTTGTGCCTAGTCCCCAGTTTTGAGAGGATGTAATACATATATGAATGAACCGTGGCTCAACACCAGACTGTTGTTGTTGGTTTTGTATATTATTACTGAGAAGCTAGTTGGAATTTGTTCATTCTTTGTGCAAGAAATTCCAGCGCTGTTTGAGAGGGAGTGTGATACATAGTCAGAGCTCAGACTGTAGGTGATCTGGGGCATCTTGGCCATAGCTACATGTTATGGTTAGTAGACCAATAACTACACTGCAACATCAAAACACTTTTATCTGCCACTTCTCCACTTTTTTAGATTTTATTGAAGAGAGTACTATACTACACCCCTCCCCTAGGCAGTTTGTGATTCACATCACTCATTTCTAGTAAAACCAGCTGAAAAATAAAACAAGGTCTCATGTTCCTTTTATTCATTATCTGATTTGACTGGACAAGTCGGCTCTGATCACCCATTGAACAGCAGTGTCACTTAAAGAAAAAGGAAGAAAGTTAGAAAAACTAAGGAAAAATAGCTTTAGCTATGAAATCTATAAAAGACAAAAATGAGCCTAATCTCTTATTTTTAACATGGATTTCGTCTCCTGCCTGGCTTTCCAAGTTCTCGTGATTCCCCTTTTCCTCTGTTCTTTCCTCTTCCTTCTCGTCCATTGTTCAGTATTTCAAATATACAAACAAGGCCCTGAAGCAGGACCCAATTTAGCTTGTTGGAGGAATCACAAGAAAACATATGTAACTGTAGAGACCCAGTGAGCTAGGAGAAGAGGAAAGAAGGATGAGGTTAAAGGGCCAGGGGCTTTGTTAAGGATTTTGTTCTGTGTGTAGTAGGAACCTTTTGAACATGATCCAGTTTGTTTTTCAAAGGCCACCGTAGATGTTGTGAAGAGTGGAAGTAGGAGATCAGTTAGAGTCTTCTATCTATGACTTATGCTGGATAATGACTGATGGTAAGATGTTAGCTGTGGAGGTGATGAGAATTGGTCGTCTTGATGATATATTTTGGAAGTGGAGCTGTTAGAACTTGCAAATAGATTACATTTAGGTAAGACAAGAGTTAAGCTCAACTCCTAGACTTGTAGCCTGAGCATTTGGGTGGAGGGTGAAACTACAATGGAGTTGGTTGTACAGGAGGAGGGTGAACCCAGAGTTGGCTTTCACATCTCTGTAGTTTGAGTTGCTTATTAGATTTCCAAGTGGAGATGGCAAGCAGGCAGTTAGATGTAGGATACTAGATCTCAGTGGAGTGGTCACGGTTTAGACATATATATTCAAGATTCATCTTGGTACAGGTGGTTTTTAAAACCTTAAGATTGGTTAAAATTACCTAGCATGAAAATATGGATCAGGGAAGGTCATGAGCTAAGCCTTAAGGCACTGAAGGAGATGGAGAGGGAGTCATCAATGGGATGGGGGAAACCAGAAGAGTACCCAAGGGAATTAATTTCCTTTGCAGTGTGTTAGGTTCTGGTTATTGATTTTTTTGTTGGCTTTCTTAAGCACTAGATTTTTTTATGTGTAATAATTTGGGAATTTCAGGCTCACTATGAATAAGATTTTTGTTTTCATCTCTCTTTCATTCTGCCTTTGCTCAAGCCCAGCCTCAGCCCCAGCCCGAGCCCCATTCTTTGGAGTCAAGTGGCATCCTAGCTGCTGTACCAGCTTCCTGTCACCTTCATGTTCCTTTACCCTGCAAAGGCTGAACTTCCACTTGTCCTCCACTTGTTCCCTATCCAGGCAGCAATTTATACTGGTTCATTTATGGTCCACTATCTTGTTTTTGATCCTGGCCAGGTTTTTTCTTTTGTTGTTGTTGTTTGTTTGTTTTTACTTTTACATCTGATTATTATTGCTGTGTATTTGAACAAGGTGATAGTTCTGCAGTGTGGACCTATTGTGCCATGCCATGCTCTCCAGAAGTCTTCATACCTCATTTCTATATGTCCTTGGTTTTATATCCCTACATTTTTTTAAAAAAGTCCTTTTTTTAGACAAAAAATTTACACTTAATACTTTTTCATTATTCCTGTTTAGGTGCGTGTTTTTTTCTGTCATTGTCCCAATTATCCACATCTGTTGTTTTTCTTCACTTTTATGCTTATGGAAGTCAAATGTCTACTGTAAGTTAGTTTTCCAAAAAAAATAGGATTTTTAACATATTATCTTGAAACATTAATAATGCCAGGGCTTTTAGGCAAAGGATGTAATTCAGACTAGTCTGCTTATTGCATCTATTTATCAGGACATTATAAGAATATTATTTTAGCCTAACTCGATTTGTTTTAGCTAATACATACAGATTGAGAAATGTAAATGGGGAGCAAATAATACGTGCACAGGATGCTTGCCTGGACATCATCTTAGTTAATGTAATGGAAATCCTTTAATACATGTTTATATATTTACACAGGGAGAATTAAATGTGAAAATTCTTTACCTCTGAAAAATTTAAAATACCTTGACCCTTTACAAGTACACCTAACAGCTGGACTAAGAGTGTGTAGCAGCATTTGGGAGGGGTCTGTGTGGAATTCTCCTAGGCAGAACCCTAGAGCAGCCGTGCACCTAAGATGTTTTCCAGATAAAACACGTGATGTGGAGCTGGAGCATACCTGAGATGGCCATCCTGTTACAGTGTATGGCAATTAATCCTGTTCACTTTGGTGTAATTAATGAGAATGGTGAAATAGAAGTGTAATCATTTCTGCAAGAGGAAATGTCAGCCCATTAATGAGAATAAGGATTATTATTGTCAGTTGAAGCAGTAACTATTCAGATTGCTGAGTTGGTGTGTTCACATAGGTAAGTGTTCATTTCAGGGTATAACAAAGAGAGGGAACATTTTTCAAGAGGATTAAAAAAAAAACCAATGATGGCATTTTGACATGACTGCAGTTGTGGACACTAATAAAAATTTAGTAAGCATAAAATGTAATTTCTAAATAAAAATAACTGGCATTTTAAGAGTCTTACCCAAAGTCAGACATTTTTACATGTATATAAAATTAAGTAACCTTTAAATTGCCTTTTATTATTGTTATGTTACTACATTAAAAGTGGAATCCATTTCTTATTATGTGCCATATACTACTTGTGCTTGTTTTCTTTGTGGCTCTGTATGTTAGACCTGAGTGAGTTGAACTGAGTCTGAGAAATACTACCTATCCCTTTAGATTGTTGGAAGAATATCTTCCCTACTAGAGCAGCTTTCTAGGGTTTATGCAATAATTCTTTGAAAAGTTGGAAAGTAGTGAACTGAGATAATCATAAAAAGATGCATTGGGAAGCCATGATTTTTTCCTGGTTACATGATAATATTTCACAAATAATAAGGCATCAGTGAACTTATATTAGAATTTATTGATTGTTTTTAGTACTTAAATTCTATTGGCAGCTTAAAGATTTCATGTCATTGCTTTGAATATCTTCATTGCCTTTGTGAAAGCATAGGATTATTGCTGAAATTTTCATGGAATTCTGTATATGTTAAATACTTAATACACATCAGGTTGCCAATGTTCAGAAAATGTAAGTAGCCTTTAGAAATAATGGGGTTTGGATATTTCTTTTGTTAAATTCTTATAGTTTACTTGAATAGTACAGCTTTTCAGCTTACAAAGTTCTTTCCAGCAGCTAGTGATCTTTTTGTTCAATTTGCAGTAAATATTGGGAATTCACATTTTAAACTATCAGTTATGTATTATGATGGTAAATTTTCAAGACCTGTTTTTTATATATATTATTTCTTCATGTATGATCCTGACCTTTTTCTCCTAAAGAATAAGCACTTCTTAAATTGTATTAAGTATTTAGGATGAAATCTTATCCTTTTGTTTGTTCTGTAACTTTACTGTCAGCAAATGATTTGGGGTTTAGTAGTTTAATAGCCCAGTGGACTTTAATTTTAGTTAGTGTGGTATCACATCATACCAGTGGGGCTAGTGTGCTTAATGCACATCATGTTCTATGAACCTCTTTTTTTAAATTCAAGTTTCACAAAACAGTAACGTACTTTTGTTCTTTGGGCTACCTGTATCTTAGTAAGTTGGTTACTCAGGGGACACATTTGTTCTCAATGGTTTCTGTAGCACATTTTGAGGCCACATTGTGGAAATTCATTGAGAAACAGGTTTAATTTAGTTTAGGTTTTTTTTTCTTTTAGAGTGTTATCTTTGAAAATGCCAATTAGCAAAATGTCTGTTATGAGTAAAATTCATGTTGAAACTCTTCTTTTTCTTTCAAAGTTAACAAAAACCTGTTTTAAAAATTAGGAATTAGATTTCTTTCTTTGTTGACATAAGTAACCAGAAATATGGAGCTAACTAAATTACATCAAATTTCAGAGACTAATAATGATACAGTTGGGAAAAGGGAGCTTCTACGCCACCTGTACTCTGAAAGACTAATTTAATTAGAGGTAGTGATATTTCAGTGTAATTTGTTAATGGGTACATTCTGCAAAAAAAAAAAACAAAACAAAACTGCCTAAGCACTGATAATTTTATATATTTTTAGCTGGATTCTGTCAAAAGAAAGAGTTTTCATTGAAATATTTCGTAGCATAGAGATGCCTGGAGGAAGAATATCAATGAAGTGAAGAACAGCTTAAAAACTTTTGAGTTATTAGAATGTATACAAGGGAGAACACAATAATCTTGCTGCTTTCCCAGTAGTTTAATATATAAAATTGTATGCATAGCATTACTAGACTACTGAAAGCTAAATTTTATATTTTTGATACCATAATTATTTTTCTATATCATCCCTACTGCTGTTTTGATTTTTTTTCAGTTTTGTATTAAAGAAGAATAACATAGCACGTTATTTCTTTCTTTTATTTGTGGCAACTTGTATATGTTAGTTAAATATGACATGACTTTTCCTGGAAAGGAAATGAAATAGCAGCTCCTAATAGACTTTGTAATATTTTGGGGAACATTATAATAAAAACTTTTTGGTAGGGAAATATCAATACTTGTAGTAATTTGAAAATTTTTTTTTTTGAACTTAACCTACAACAAGTTTGATTCTGATTTATTTCATTTTTATAGACCTTTTGTCCTAATTTTACTGTCTTGTTGTAGGTCACTCAAGCTGAGGCCTTATTAGACACGATGGGCTAGGATGTGCCACACTAACAGTTACCACCAGTTTTCTGTGTTTAACACAAAAACCGATATTCATGCTAAGTCCATTGTAGATATGGATGACTCTCAGGGCAGTTCTCCATGGGGGTGGTTCACTCATCCTGTGGGCTTGATCTTGTATTACCTCCAGCTGGCCCGTTCTTTCATAATTACCAGAAAGAATGACCACTGCAGGGGAGGAGGGCATCAACTTTTAAATGCTTCTGCTGTAAAGTGATATGTGTCCCTTCTACCTGCTGATTCTGTTGAACATGTCGTCATGCTTAATGTCAAGGGAGATGAGAAGTGTAATCTTTCTGAATATCTAGGAAGGGGAGAAAAACTGAAGATATTTCTGAGCATCACTAATGCTTACATTTGTCTTAATATTTAGCAGCATGGCAAGTAGATCCATGTGTCTGAGCTAGAATGCCATGAATGGAATACAGGTATGCTACAGATACTCACTGCAACTGTTTTTTAGTTTTTAATGTGGCTGCTAGAATTGATGAAATAACATACATGGCTGACATTGTTTTTCTGTTGGACAGCATTTGCCCTCCAGGCCATCAGCAGGTAGCTCCTTGGGCTGAGGAAGAATAATTTCCAGGTATCAAGAGAATGATCTCTAGGAGAGTGGTGGTGATGTCAGGCTATGGTTGTTCTAGCAAGGACTTGGCCTGCCTACCCTTGATACCTCTGTCATTCTGGTGTGATCCCTGGAAGGCTGTCTATAATTATACCTACTCCCCACGTCTGCTACCATGTTCAAAAGACATTAACCAAGATTTCTCAGCCTGTTCAAGCCACCATCATGTTTTGATCCAAATAGCCTTTACATTATTGATAGACTAGAAGGAAAGTTTGGTAATGGAGAGTAAAAGGACAATAGTGGGAAAAGATTTTGGCTAGAACTTCAGTGGTCTCATTTGATGGGCAAATCAGTGCCTTAGTTTTATCACCTGGCCTCCCAGGGGGAAGTAGAAGAATCAAAAGAAAATGACATTATTTTGTTGAAATGCTACATGGCACAAACAAAGCATGGCTGAAGACTAGACCAGGGCTACATGAATTTGGCTTCTTCTCTATGATTTAAAGTTTCACAGACAAATTCTGGTTTCTAGCTTTTCATAAAGCATTGACTGGCCCACAATACTTATTGGTGACTTCATAGCCACTAGAATCCATGCCCCCCATGAATGATTAAGATATTAATTAGGTAATATAATAATGATCCCATCAAATTAGAATTCATGTGCCCTTGGGCTTTTTTATAGTGTTAAAAATGTGAAGACTTTTTACAATAAAATATATAAAAATTAATTCACAACAGTTAAAATAATATTTGAAGGGATAATATTCAAAATCGTATATGCACTACTAAATATATACTACATTGTTATTTGCCATAGCTACCCTATGTTATAATAGAACCACGAAACTCATTCTTCCTAACTCATAAATATTTAAAGTGATGGCTATGGTAATTACCCTGATTTGATCACTGTAGTACATGTACATGTATCAAAACACCACACTGTACCCTATAAGTATGTATAATTATGTGTCAATTAAAATTAATAAAAATAATAATATTTACTCTTATGGCTTGCTCTGAAAACTTACTGCAATTGCAAACGCTTATTATTTTTATTATTATTATTATTTTTTTTCTGGAGACAGTCTCGCTCTGTCACCCAGGTTGGAGTTCAGTGGTGTGATCTCGGCTCACTGCAACCTCCACCTCCCAGATTCAAGCAATTCTCCTGCCTCAGCCTCCTGAGTAGCTGGGACTACAGGTGTACACCGCCACGCCTGGCTAATTTTTTGTATTTTAGTAGAAACTGGGTTTCACCATATTGCCCAGGCTGGTCTCGAACTCCTGAGTTTAGGCAACCCTCCTGCCTCAGCCTGCCAAAGTGCTAGGATTAAAGGCGTGAGCCACTGCGCCCAGCCTATTATTTTCTGTTATTTTTCTGAATAAGACTTGTGTAGACCCATTGCAAGAGAGGTCTCCTGCATAACACTTCCCCAGATCATCTCCCTGACCAAGACCTCACTCATGGAGCAACCACCACAAAATTTCCCAACTTTCCCACCAAAATTCTTCAGTTAATCTCATCACAATTTTAATACCAATGTGTTTATCCTCAGTGAAGATTTTATGCAAGTATTTGTTTTTCACTATTCTAAAATAGAAGTTATATAAATTTTATCATTTACTGTTTTAGTGTGGTATCAGAAAATTATTAATTTTGTAAATTTTCTTAATTGCTTATTCTGTCTTCCCTCCCTTTTTCTTTTTACTCTTTCTTTGCTTTCATTTCTTTTTTCTTTCTGATTGGATTTCAAGGTTAACAATTAGTCAAAAGTCTTATTATTGATGGAAATCAATAATTAATTTTGTGTGTTTTAGAATTAAAGTGTTTATATTATGTTTAAGATACACATTTTTAGAAAAAAACTCCTTTCAATTAAATTAGTTGATTTCTCTGGACACTAAATTACTAAAGAGAACAGTAAGTTCCAGAAACTGATGGTTTTCAAAATATATTTTGGTTATCTAGGAATGTAGAAAATGATTATATTGTATATATTTTTAACTTTTAATTACTAAATTAAATTCTAATTTAGATTGCTGTATGTTTAATTTTGAAGCTTTTTATTCGCTTTATTTTAAAGCATTTAAAATGCAGATAGTCTTAACTATATATTTTAAATACATATACTTACTTTATATTATTTATATATATACTTTATATTATTAACAAATAGATTTTCTAGATTTGTACATGCCTACAATCTGTTTTGTCTTAAGATTTCATTTCTACATATGTTTATTTTCCCAACACAAAGGATATTTTGAGAATAAATGCTGAAAACCTCTGAGCATCACTAGAATCCACCCCTCAAATTATTAAGATAATTGGGCAATATAATGATGATTCTCTTAAATTGGAATTCATGTGCCATTATAATTATTCTCACACATGGAGTAAACATTTCATTTGCATGCAAAAGTGATGAAGTGAAGCTACTTGCATGACACATTTTTGTGGCAGTCTACCCCAAAACAGCCATCTTAGACGTAAGTAGTTTTGAATTCTCTTACACAAAAAGTAAGAATCCTTCTTTATGAGATTATATACAGCACTATATGATCAAGTTTTAAAAGCCATCTTTTACAAGGTTTCACATATAATACTAAGCCAAAGTGCTTCCCTGTTATATGGAATTTCTTATTTTACCAGCCTATATGTTCACTATCAGTAGTAGACTGGAAACAAATGAAGCAGAAGAAATAGAAAAGGAGCCGTGTTAGCATAATGCTATCAGAACAGGCAGTGAGGGCATGTCACACATCGTAGTGACAACGTTAATCAAATAGATTATTAAATTTAAAAAGTTATTGTATATTGATGACGTTAAGACATTAGTATAATTGCTAATAGACTTTTTAGAATCCTTGAAGATCATTATTTATTCTGAGCAAATCAAAACAAACTTCTGTAGATTATGTATGCAGGGAGGCAAATAAATATTCATATTTCATGTTTTAAAATATTCATATTGGCCAGGTGCAGTTGGTCTGTAATCCCAACACTTTGGGAGGCCAAGGCAGGTGGATCACTTGATCCCAGGAGTTTGAGACCACCCTGGCCAACATGGTAAAACCCTGTCCTACTAAAAAATAACAAAAATTAGCTGGGCATGGTGGTGCACGCCTGTACTCCCAGCTACTTGGGAGGCTGAAGCAAGAGAATCACTTGAGCCTGGCAGGCAAAGGTTGCAGTGAGCCAACATCACCCCACTGCATTCCAGCCTGGGTGACAAAGCAAGACTCTGTCTCAAAATGAAATAAAATAATTCATATTCATACATGAGGCTGGTGCTCTGGCCCTAGTGGCATGAAGCTATAAAGGCTATAGATGATATGAAGGTGTAAACATCAAGAGTTTCATCTGAGATGAGTTTTACTCACATAGCAGCTCTTGTACATAAAAGTTTGCTTATAAATCGTGATTCCATATAAGGTCATATATGAAAATATGAATCTAAATAAATCGCTAGAGCTTTATTCAAAGATAAGGGATTAGATTATCACATTTACTGATATTTGCCAATGTGTACACAAGCTGTCTAAAAAGATACCTTTTTTCAAGAGTTAATTAAAAAAATACATTGTGTGTTTAAATATTACTCTCTTTAGATTTGTTGAAGGAGAGTTATTCACTTGAAAAAAGATAGCTTGCTTACCAGACATTTTGGAGCACCTGAATGAACTTAATTGAAAATTGCAAAGGCCATATAAAAATATTACACACACAGAGTTTATAGATATAAAGCAAAAGTTAAACTTTCAAAAAAGGATAAAAATGATTCACTTGTGTTATTGGTGTTATATTGAAAACCTAAAAAAAGTATTAAAACTATTAGAGCAATCCCTGTGAATGTTTGAAACTCATTATTTTGAAGTACTTAATAGGAAAAATTTTGAAAAACATTTGCATTTCCAAAGGACTTTCCACATTACATTTGTCTTTGTAAGTAAAGGAAGGACCATGAACTTTAATAAATTTAGCCCTCATGGCTCATGACAAGAAAGAACTTTCTATTATTTGGAGAAAAAGTGGTAAATACTCTACTGCCCTTTACTCCCACTAACTCTTGTTAATAAAGTTTTCGTTGATAGTAATTAAGAATTTGATATTTCAATCAGGAGACATACAAAGGTATTTTGTGAACACAAGGTCAAATTTATCATTAAAGATTTAAAAAATATTTCAGTTGGAAATTTTATGCATATTAGTTTATATATTCCCTAATACTCTGTATTTGTTTTCTTATCATAATTATATGCTATAAAGAAAATGGAATGACTTTTTTCACCAAGCTCTGTATAGACATTCTCAACCTGTCTGTAAAACTGTCCTGTTGTACATGTGTGGAAAGGATTGGTAAGCCCTGACATGGCAACTAAATTATTCTAGAAAAAAAAAATCATTCCTGTATGAAATTTAGAAAGGAACTATTGTGGCAAAATGTTACCTAAGCAGATTTTTTTTCAGATTTATGAGCAAATTCGTTATGTGGTGACCATTCTCCATTGGAATATATATGTAAAAACACTGTGAAACACTTACTGTTGTGGCAGTTTCTCCCTACCTTCCTCCCTCCTAATGCCTTCATTAATTGAAATCTCATTCATTAATAAATACTGCTCTGTGGCTGTGGAAAAGAAACTTTTGTTAACACTGTGAAACTATTTCTATTTTCTCAATGCCTTTGAAAATAGCAATTAGTATGGAAAAAAATAAAAAGTCAAAGATACTTAGACATGAAAATATTTGAGTGTTCTCATATAATTGTTTCTAAATATGGTATAATGTTTACTTGAGCAAAAATTAGAAACCATATGTGAGTATTTCCACATTTTCATTCATTTGGTTTATGTAGTGCTGTTAAATGCTAATACATTTAATATATAAGATCTGTGGTTTCTTGTTAATATTTTATAAGGATATTATGGTTTTATGGTTAACATCATTTTGAGGTATTACCTTCAGAGCAAAAAATTTCTTTAAAATAATTATTTCCCTGGTGATTAATTTTATGTTCATCATGTTCACACAGTTTTATGTGGGCTAGAACACAATAACTACATCTGATATATGTAAACTATGCAATATCTCTAATAATAAATTTGTTGTTTAATAGTATGATTTTTTTTGCCATAATCATTTAATCGTGTATAGACTTAATTAATCCAGAGGATCAAGCCTGTTCTTTCAGTTGTCTAAGGAAGCGTATTTTCTTTTTTCCCATGTTATGATATTCTGGAGTTTCTACTTGAGATTATCTGAGCATAAGAAAATTTAATGTTGATGGAAGGAAGGTTGTTCTCTCAGGAAAAGATGTTCAAGCCAAATTTTAAAATCGTTTTTGAAATGAAATTTTAACTGTTTATATGTGTCTGTTAAAATAGCATAACTTTCATTAAATATCAACTCAGTATATTCATACTTAGGATAATTACATAAAGGTATTGATTCGATTATATTATCCAACTCTGACTAATACCAGCTTGAGGCAATTCAATGGAAGTCATGTTTGTGAGAGATTGGGGATATTGACAACGAGACAACCATCCATTCCTTTAAGTTATATCTGATAATTAGCATGTTTAACCATCATCTCTAAGAAATGTTATACTTTTTCAACTTAATAAACTTTACTTCTTGGACCAGTTTTATATTAGCAGAAATACAGAGTTTCATATATCTCTCCCAGTACTTGGTTTCTCTGTTGGTAACATCCTGCATTAGTGTGGTATATTTGTTACAATTGACAAATAAATAACAATGCATTATTATTAACTAAAGTTTCTAGTTTGCAATACGGTTCATTCTTTGTGTTACACAGCTCTATGGATTTTGCCAAAAACATGGTGTTATGTATCTACCATCATAGCATCATACAGAATAGTTTCACTCCTAAACGTGTATTTTAAGATAAATTTGTCATCATCTCTTCTTGAAAGCCCATATATTAAAAATAATAAAACTGCTTCATATTTTGAAAAATAAAAGTTGAAAATCTTGTTCATTATGGTACTCAGAGTTCTGTACCTGCCATTCATAAGGAAAATGTTTTAATAACAGAAATAGGTTGGCTCCAGTGGACTATGTATTTCTCCTTACAGCAGTCAAATGTCCATGATATTAGCCTTATTTTCATCATCAAAGTTTAATTTTTGAAGCTAATTTAAATAAAGCACGTCCCATGTATATCTTCTCCCTTTCACATCGTTTCTATGTACTATTTTTATTTTTAAGCCTTAAAGTCTTTTTGAAAGGCTATGAACTAAAAAATATATAACTTATAAATTAAGTATATATTACTGGTATACCTAAGATTCTGTAACTTAACAGTTTTCCACTTTTTTCCTATTAACTTTTAAGTTTGTGTAAAATAAACAACTTGAGTAAGTTTTAGTGTTTGTTCCTAGAGCAGAGGTGAATCTTGTCAAATTCAAGAAGATATTCCTAGCTGCATCTAAGTCATAGGTGAACCAGACAACAGGCAATAAACCTTGACCAGTGGATGATAAATGGAATTCACATGTTATCCATTGAAATTTGAAAGCTTTTTAATTTGTGTGACTTGCAAATAATAAAATATGATTCACATGGAAGAAGCATATAATCATGAGCCAGGTACCATACATGGATTGCTCCAAAACCACAGGATCAAGTCAGGACTAATATTTCATCAAGGAGAACTTTTTCAGTTGACTTAGTTTTATCTAAGATATTGACCCAACTGATTAAATATACAAAGGGAATTGTGTAATACACCACATTCCATAGAGCCTGAATAATGCCAAAAGATTTTGTGTATTTTAATATTTGAGCAAATGAGAATTAGCACCTGTTTTTAAAACTCTGAAAATCGTAATAACAGATATATTAAACCAATTCATATTGGTCATAGGTTAGGGGCAGAGGTGATAGAAAAACCAATTGACTTTAAATGACTGACCTTTATACAATTTCTTCTAAAGTGTTTTCTCTAGTGTCAGACTCTCTTAGGTCAACCTCTTCTCATTCATAGGATGTGCAGTAAGTGACTTTTTGCAAATGCGTTTTTTGCAAAGTCCTCCTTCTTTCCTCCCTCAAGCACTGTGACACCTGAATCCAAATAAGTAACAGTACAACATTAATAGAATAAGTGCCAGTGACTATGAAATCCCCGCTTCTGTCTGTCAAACCCTTATCCTACCTTTGTTTCTCTTTTTCTTTTCTTTTTTCTTTTCTCTTTCTTTCCTTCCTTCCTGCCTTCCCTCCTTCCTTCCTTTCTTCTTTCTTCATTTCTTGTTTTCTTTCTTTTCAAAAAATTACAATAGGTTTTTGGGGGAACAGGTGGTGTTTGGTTCCATGAATAAGTTTTTTAGTGGTGATTTCTGAGATTTGGATGCACCCATCACCCGAGCAGTGTACAATGTACCCAGTGTGTAGTCTTTCATTCCTCACCCTGCTCCCACCCTTTCCCTGAGTCTCCAAAGTCCATTGCATCATTTACACCTTTGCATTCTCACAGCTTAGCTCCCACTTATGAGCGAGAACATAGGGTTTAGTTTTCCATTCCTGAAGTTACATCACTTTGAATAATGGTCTCCAGTTCCACCCAGGTTGCTGCAGATGTCATTAGTTTGTTCCTTTTTATGGCTGAGTAGTATCCCGTGGTGTGCATATAAATATATAAATAAATATATATATACACACACATATATATGTACATATATATATATATATATAAACGTGTGTGCAAGTATCTTTTTCATATAATGACTTCTTTTCCTCTGGGTAGATACTCAGAAGTGGATTTGCTGGATCACATAGTAGATCTACTTTTAGTTTTTTAAGGAATTACCACACTCCTTTTCATAGTCATTATACTAGTTTCCATTCCTACCAGCAGTGTAAAAGTGTTCCCTTTTCACCACATCCATGCCAACATCTATTATTTTTTTTATTATGGCCATTCTTACAGAGTGAGGTGGTATTACATTGTGGTTTTGACTTACCTTTCCCTGATAATTAGTGATGTTGAGCATTTTTTCATACATTTCTGTTCCATTGGTCTATATGCCTATTTTAATACCAGTCATGCTTTTTTGGTGACTGTGGACTTATAGTATAGTTTGAGGTCAAGTAATGTAATACCTCCAGATTTGTTCATTTTGCTTAGTCTTGCTTTGGCTATGTAGGCTCTTTTTTGGTCCCATGTGAATTTTAGTATTGGTTTTTCCAGTTCTGTGAAGAATAATGGTGGCATTTTGATGGGAATTGCATTGAATTTGTAGATTGCTTTTAGCAGTATGGTCATTGGTCATTTTCACGATATCGATTCCACCCATCCATGAGCATGGTATGTGTTTCCATTTGTTTGTGTCATCTGTGATTTTTTTCAGCAGTGTTTTGTAGTTTTCCTTACAGCAGTCTGTTGCCTCCTTTTTTTTTTTTTTGTAGCTATTGTAAAAGGGGGTGAGTTCTTGATTTGATTCTCAGCTTGGTCACTGTTGGTGTATAACAGAACTACTGATTTGTGTACATTAATTTTGTATCCTGAAACATTGCTGAATTTACTAGTTCTAGGAGCTTTTGGGATGAGTTAGAGTTTTCTAGGTACAATCATGTCTTCAGCAAACAGCGACAGTTTGACTTCCTCTTTATCAATTTGGATGGGCTTTATTTCTTTCTCTTGTCTGATTGCTCCGGCTAGGACTTCCAGTACTGTGTTGAATAGAAGTGGTGAAAGTGAGCATCCTTGTCTTGTTCCAGTGTTCAGGGGGAATGCTTTCAACTTTTCCCCATTCAATATAATGTTAGCTGTGGGTTTGTCATAGATGGCTTTTATTACCTTAAGGTATGTCCCTTCTATGCCAATTTTGCTGAGGGTTTTAATCATAAAGGGATGCCAGATTTTTAAGGTCACACCTTAAGGAACTAGAGAAACAAGAACAAACCAAACACAAACCCAGCAGAAGAAAAGAAATAACCAAGGTCAGAGCACAACTATATGCAGTTGAAACCAAAAAAGATACAAAAGATAAATGAAACAAAAAGCTGGTTATTTGAAAGATAAGTAAAACTAGTAGACCGTTAACGAGATTAACCAAGAAAAGAAGAGAGAATATCCAAATAAGCTCAATTAGAAACGAAACGGGAGATACTACAACCAATACCACAGAAGTACAAAAGATCATTCAAGACTACTATGAACACCTTTACATGCTTAAACAATGAAATATACAGGAGACGGATAAATTCCTGGAAGTATACAACCCTCCTAGATTAAACCAGGAAGAAATAGAAACTCTGAACAGACCAATAACAAACAGCAAGATTGAAGTAGTAATTTAAAAGTTGCCAAGAAAAAAAATTCAAGGACCAGACAGATTCACAGTTGAATTTTATCAAACATTCAAAGAATTGGTACCAACCCTATTGACACTATTCCACAAGATAGAGAAACAGAGAATTCCTCCTAAATCATTCTGTGAAGCCGGTATCACCCTAACCAGGAAGGGACATAAGAACAACAACAAAAAACTACAACAGAGCAATGATGAACATAGATGCAAAAATCATCAATAAAATACTAGCTATAACAGAATACAATAGCATAGCAAAAAGATAATCCACCATGATCAAGTGGGTTTCATATCAGGAATGCAGGAATGGTTTAACATCTGCAAGTCAATAAATGTGATACACCATATAAACAGAATTAAAAACAAAAAATAACATGATCATCTCAATAGACACAGAAAAAGATTTCTTTTTAATGCGCTATTTACTGTGGTACTCTCAGAGGTCTAAATTTGGCATTATTCTCTTCGTATGCATTTTTCAGATCTTTTTGTTAATTTTATTGTTTTATATTAAAGCTTTAGATATGAGTGACTTATGTAATGAGTTTAGATTCTTTTGCACTTTTGTATGGGAGTAAACCGCTGGAAATCAAACAGCCATGTGCATAGATGACTTGAAGTTTTCATCCTCATCTGCAGAACAGAAACAATGATTCCCACCTCAGGAGTCATTTTTAAGGTTAACATGTGACATAATCTGAAGTGTCTTTTTCAGTGCCTGGCATTCCATAAGTATTAATTCATTTTCTTCTACTACCAACAACCTAATAAAAAGTAGAATTTTTTGAAGTCCCTGGGTTTTGTTTGTTCATTTGTTTGTGTTGCTAGATGTTACTATAGTAGGCTGTGTGTACTTCTAAGGTTCCCATCTGTTTCCTACTTTTTGAAAAAGTTGTAAGATATTAGTGGATATTTAATGAGCACTTATACTGTTCCTGTGACCATCAAGTGTCCTAAGAAACAAAAGAAGCAATACTTAACTCTCATGAAGCCAAAGTGAGTTTATAGTCTGCTTAGGGAGAGAAGATCCACTCATATGAAATTATTAATAACCATCATTATAACTATTATTATTATAAACATAAAGTATCAGTGTGTTTCAGTGGACAGGAAATACAAATAAAAATAAAAAATTTAGAGCAGTTCCAAATGAGGGCATAGGCCGAAATCTTGTGAAAGGCATCATGGTCGACTCTTCCCCCAAAGTGATGACCTGGCCCTAGGGCTTTGGTATGGAAAATGGGAGTGTCCCAGATAAGAATTTGAGCCTGTGGGGTGGAGCAGCACGAGGTAGGGGATGACTGCAGCCTCTCTCGCCAGGCAGTATATGTTTTAGAAAGTGGTGTAAGTAAAACTGAAGAGACCAGGTGACCCAAGAATTAAGAGAGCATTGTACTCTAGGTTAAAGATCTGACATATAATGTTACAGATTTTAAGCAGGGAGGAGAAAATCACAGCAGGTGTCTAGTCTAGCAGTGGGCATGCCATGACCAGGAACTGGGAAGACTACCCAGGAGGCTTATGTAACAGTCCAGGTGTTTATGGATGACAATTAATAATACTAGAGTGATCACAGTTAACAAAAAAGTGTGCAGAAGAGTATGTAATTTTTCTATTCCAGATTATGTTTTTAAGGACCATGAATCCCTCTTGTAATATAAAAAAGTACTTTTTATACAAAAATATGGCAAAAGTCTCGTTTTGATTTATCAGCAGGGATCCAAAAAACAATTTTACATTTCATTTTTTGTCTTTAATGAAAGATGAGCAGTAGATGGCATTGTTCTGTAGAAAAGATTCCCATTTTTCACTTTTAAATCATGGGGCATGGAAGATGGAGTAATTAAATATCTTTTGGGATACTTCTACTCCAAAGACAAACATTTTGACTTAACATCATTTAGTTTGAGATATACTTTTATTTTCACTTTGAAATGATTGAAATATGAAAGATAATATAGATGGCATTATGTGGAAAATAATATATTCAGTAGTTAAAGTATTTTATGACTTCTATCAAGGATTTTATGGTTACTAAGGGAAATAAGCATGCCTGTTATTTAGATGTGGCTGTGTGCACGTCTCAGTGAATTTATTCTAATGACAGCAGAAGAACTGTCAGCAGCTTATATGTGCAGTGGGAGGGTTCATAAACACTTTACTTAGATCCTTGAGAAATGCACAAGGTGTATTTGATTATATTTTGTAATATGTCGCTATTAATTACACTCCAAAGAGTATCCTATGTAATTATAGCCAGAACATAACATCAGACGTTTACAGAAATAAAAAAATCATTTTTTATTTGATCCCTTTACTTGCTATTCCCATAGAATTTTTCTTCAGAAAGAACAATTAAGGACTTTAAAGGAATAATCTTCCTTAGAGAATATTTTTGTTTTTATTATTTTATTACATCTTGAATTTGTCTAGTTCTACACAAGTTCATGGTTTAATTTTTGTTTTATTACCTGTTGAGACAAGCTGTCATAGCATTTAAGACAGCAGTAGTTGTTTTTTTTTTAAGTGTGAAGTCATTGCATGTATGATAGAGATAAGACACATTTTTGAATTCTTCTACTCTTGTCATCATTTTTTTAATTTAAAATTTCTTTTGGGATACACCTTTATTTTTATTTGTTTAAAATTTTTTAAATATGTTACTGCTTAATGGAAGTACTGTAAGCACTAAGAGGAATAGAAATTTGTAAATTATTTACCTGTTAATTACCATAAGGTCTTACAATTCTAGAGCATAGTAAACATTCAACATTAATAAATGCATTGCTTTCTTCCTGTAAGCATTTGTTCCGAAATTATGTATTAAGACTGTGTGCCAGAAAGTATGCAGGGTATGCAGGATAACTAAGAACATTTGCCCCAAACTGCCTCTTCCAAGCAGTGTCAGACATGACTAAGAAACTGAGGTAGCAGAGCTCAGATCACTACATGAAGACTGAGAAAAAGGGGGTTTGTTCTGCTTTGAGTGACTTTAGACCTGGGACTGAAGAGTGAGTGGAAGTTTGTAATAGGGTGGGAGGAAATACCAGTGAAAGGTGTCAGGGTGAAAAGCAGGTGCACCTGAGGACCCAGTGTCCAGGAAGTATGAAAAGAAGGGGAAAGCTTTGGAAGAAGGAAATGCTAGGGCACAGCTCAGAACTACCATCTGGCATTTCATAGTATGAAAATGCTTTTGATATAATAAAATAAAAATAAAACTTCTGTGTTTCATGCTACTGTATTTTTATCCTTTAACCTAAGCAGGATATAGGTTTAAGTATTAGGGGTTTTTTTTTGCCTTTTTGGTATAATTATAATAACTGACCTATTTCTTATCTTTTACAGTGAAGTTTAGCAACTGCAATGGAAAAAGAAAAGTACAATATGAGAGCAGTGAGCCTGCAGATTTTAAGGTGGATGAAGATGGCATGGTGTATGCCGTGAGAAGCTTTCCACTCTCTTCTGAGCATGCCAAGTTCCTGATATATGCCCAAGACAAAGAGACCCAGGAAAAGTGGCAAGTGGCAGTAAAATTGAGCCTGAAGCCAACCTTAACTGAGGAGTCAGTGAAGGTATAGTATCCGAATATGGCTTTAGGGCTGGTTAAAAATCAGCTTTATACAGTTTGAACTAAATATATGCTTTGCTTCAGACCACATTAATGGATGGCCACTATTTGCATTTGTATCAACTTTGGTCATTTTAATAATATTTTGTTGTGTTTGTAATCTCTTAAGATACGTAGACTAAATATATTTTAAGCAACTAGAAATTGTATTTTAAAGATTTGTTTATACTTTGAGATTTATAATTTAAGTTAGAAGCAGTTTGTTTTAAATTTCTTAGAAGTTTTACAAGCTGTTAAATAAAACCACAAAATAAACAATTCTTTACAAGATGTCATCAGTCAGATTTATTAGATGAGAAGTACAGATTTAAAGTAGTAACAGGAAAACATTTCTGGCAATGAGTATTGGGTTTTTGTCTTGTCCCTTAATAATCCAGTTGGGGGGTATGAATTATTTATACTACCAACATGACTTTTTAGGAATGATATACTCCCTCTGGTGGAAGCTGCTGTGAGCCAAGATAAAATAAATGAGGTACATTTCCAACAGAGTGCCATTCAGTTCAATTCAACAAATATTTATTGAGCACTTAATTTGTATAAGTCATTGTTCGGAATTTTAAATAAAATACAGTAACTTCAGTAACGTTATGATAATATTTTCTGAATATTTTAGTTTTTTGAGTTAATTCAAAACAAATATGATGGGACACACCCATATATTCTGAAGTCCATGAACTATGGAACTATGACTACTACTTTTTTTATGCTTATTTTACTGTGAGAGGTAAAAACAGACACATTCATTTCTGGTATTTAATTGTAAATGTGATATACATACCCACAATCAAACATGAATAATATATCAGAGGAAAATATATCATTTTTCTCTTATTTCAGTGTTGTGGTTTTATTATGTGAAATTTAATTTGTTAATCTATTAACTGTTGAGGGAAGTCATGTCATTGGGTAATATAAAGTGAAAACCCAGTAACTAATGGAGTGAAAAGATGCTTTTGTTGTTGATTTGCTGTGTTCCAGCAAACTAGCTTGGATATTTGCACTGAAGCAGCAAGGGCTAATGGCTAAAATGTCTACAGATAGAGGAAGAAACAGAAGAAAATGTTGACATCCAGCAGAGATTAATACCTAATGTGCAAAGTGGGTCATCTGCAGCATCCATCATGGCTGACATAGGTTTAGAATAATTACAGCATTAATTCTGTGGGATATAATAGGGTCATAAATATTTGAGACATTCCTTAGCAGTATGTATTAAACTTCTCTTGGAATTCAAATTATATTTTAGCACATCAAGATCTAAATTTAATGTACAGTAGCACATTACCTGAACTGTGGTTTAAACTAATGAGAAATATATAAAAGGGTACTATTAAATTTTGCTCAATATTAACTGCTATCTAAAAAGGTTTATAGAAACTGCAAATAGTTTACACAGCTGTGCCATATAATAAATTGTTTAGAATTCAATTTTTCAGATACACAGTATAACCCAAAAATTTTATGGTATTTTTCTGTTATTTTAATAGGGGGCCAGGGAAAAGGGCCTCCAGACTTATTTTTTGTTCATAATAAACTGTGATTCCTATGCTTTCAGGTATTCAATAATATTGATGTACTTTCAGAAAATGTGTTTCCTAGTACTCAGGAATGTCTTCTATTTTAATGTAAAGGAGTCAGCAGAAGTTGAAGAAATAGTGTTCCCAAGACAATTCAGTAAGCACAGTGGCCACCTACAAAGGCAGAAGAGAGACTGGGTCATCCCTCCAATCAACTTGCCAGAAAACTCCAGGGGACCTTTTCCTCAAGAGCTTGTCAGGGTAAGGTGGCACAATTTTAACTGTTTTCATACCACAAGACAAATGTATGTTAAAAATATTTCTGTCTATTTTTTTTACAAAGTAGAATTTATGACATGTATATACTAAAAGTGTTTTTCTATAAAGATAGAATTTCTGTAGTGTTGTAGAAAGCCTCTTCTCATTTTCTTTGTTACCTTTTGGATTATTTATAAGTAGAGCTCACTTGTAGGTCCTGCACACTGTGGATTAGAAAGCTTGTTCAGTTTGTGACTACACAAGCCCTAAAGCCAACACATATTCCCAACCATACCATTTCCACTCTCATAACACACACACCCCTAAACTTCCCTGTCTGAAAGCTGGGCTCTCTGTGATGATCTTTGCCCTCTACAGATGGTTTTTGGGCCACAGAAAAAATAAAGGGCAATCATTGTTAAAAATGCCAGCACCAAATGCATTTGAGAGTTTTTTAAAGAAAAGAATGACCTCTGATACCATTAACAGAATCCCCAGGGCAGTGTAAAATCATAGGCTTTCAAATCTGAGGAGTAAGTTTTTTTTTTTTAGTTATTTACTCTAGATACATACCATCAGCTACAGAAAAAAAATGCAGATATTTTTGCATTTTAATAAACTTAACCCATTATTTATTACAAAAGTATAGTAAGACAAGGCTGCTGTATTCCCACTTATTAAAATGTAAATGTTTCTGTATATGATTATTTTAGCATTCTAACACATACTTACTGAAAGCCTTTTTTTTAAAATAAGCCGCTTTAAAATATGTTGTATATTCTGTCCTAATGTACATTATAATTCACTTTAACAAAGAATGTAACTCTAAATTAAGATACTGTCTCTTTTTCTACTTTAATGAAGTTTGAGAGAAAAGGGAATTTTGCTTTAACTTAAAAAAAAAAAAAACAGGCAGGGCACCTGTAATCCCAGCACTTTGGAAGGCTGAGGTGGGCAGATCACGAGGTCAGGAGATCAAGACCATCCTGACTAACACGATGAAACCCCGTCTGTACTAAAATACAGAAAAAAATAGCTGGGCGTGGTGCTACTCGGGAGGCTGAGGCAGGAGAATGGCATGAACCCGGGAGGTGGAGCTTGCAGTGAGCCGAGATCATGCTACTGCACTCCAGCCTGGACGACAGAGTGAGACTCCTTCCCCCCCCGCAAAAAAAAAAAACCTAGATTTTATTGATGGATTAAGTATAAGTACCTAATACATAAGGATCTCTTATTTTTCTCTGTACCTGCCTCCCTTCGTCCCCTTCCATAGCCTGTTCTGTCTCCTGTGACTGCTCATACATTGACTTAATTTTCTTGAGAGTAGTTGTATTTGGAGAAGGCAGTGAGCCTATAATGATATAATGTTTGCGAGCATAAAAATATATTTTAAAATGCTTTCTTTTGTGCTTTATTATTAATGAAAATTTCAGGTGTCACTTAAAATGATACGGAAAGCTTTGGTGCGCAATGAACAGTGTTAGTACAATGCAAGTACAGAAGTCTGACATTCAGGGTCAACCATAACTGTATTAGAGTTCCATTTGAGTATATTTCACACTATGGATAGACAATTAATTCTTGTTGTTACTGATGCAAAAAGGTAAATAATGTTTATTTTAATGAAATTGGACAGCTCTTACTATGTTAAATCGTCTAACCTAGAAACTCCCAGGACAGAGTTTGATTGTTTAAAAACTCTCACTTGTAGATTTGGAACTTTTGCACTGCTCCTAGTGAGTTTTCTTTTAGATGTTAATGTTGCCTCCAGTCTTTCTGGTGATAGATGACATCTCTTTTGAAGCCTGTCACTGAGAAGCAGAGGAAGAACAGGCACTAGGAGAGTTTCAGTGATTTTCTGGGGAGAGATGGTATAAGTTTGTAGCTGAAAAAGGGCATGAAGTGTGATGTGCCCCATCTCTGATAATGAGCTCATTTAGTCTCTCACTTAATGTCATTGTTTTCTTGATCCTCAGATCAGGTCTGATAGAGATAAAAACCTTTCACTGCGGTACAGTGTAACTGGGCCAGGAGCTGACCAGCCTCCAACTGGTATCTTCATTATCAACCCCATCTCGGGTCAGCTGTCGGTGACAAAGCCCCTGGATCGCGAGCAGATAGCCCGGTTTCATGTAAGATTCCAACCAGCTGATAATTCTGTGTATTAACAGTTCTAAATGTCTGCAGAGTTTACCATTGCCTCTTATATCAGTCTGAAAGCCTCAATACTGAGAGTTTTAAGAATTGTATCTGTAGTCTTTTGGTTTATTTTAATAATGTTATTGTTTTTATAGAATTGATAAATGCCCTCATAGAAAAACAAATAGTGCCCACAACAAAGAAAGAAGGAAGTGAAATTGCCTAAAATCTCATTACTCTTTACATATTGATACTTGCTTTCAGATATGTGGTTAAGAATCTGTAAGAACAAATTTATATGAATGGAGTCAAATCTGTTACATGTAAAATATATAGAGGTCACAGCATTGTTAATGAATGCATAGTATTCTAATCAAAGTGAATCCCCTATTCCTTTCTTATTTTGAATTTTCTTTGGGATTTCTTATTGCTAAGAACCTTTTGTCTAATTAGGAATGTTAGTGCTTGGTTTGTCCTACATTTTCTCCTTTTGTTTATTTCTAACATTGTCAATAATTTTCCCATAGTATAACATCGTTTTTACACTGCAAAATTCATTTTTAAAAATTTTATCATACATTCTGTCTTTCCAGAGATGTTGATAAAGGCCTTCCCTACTCCAGGATGCCAGTCTCCCCAGTTTTACTCCAGGATACCAATCTCCCCAGTTCCCCAAATTTTTGTTGTATTTACTTTTTACATTTGAATTTTTAACCTCTGCAGAGTTATTTTAATAAAAGGAGAGACCCACTTTGTTTTTCCTTTATGACTAGCTACTTGTCCCAACAGCATATATTGAATTAGTTTCCCCATTGATCCATCATCTACACTTAATCACTAAAACTTTCATCCCACATGTGCATGGATGTGTTTCCAGACTCTTATTTTGCCCACTGATACATTTGTTGAATTCTTGTACTTTTACCAACTTTTAAAATTACTGAAGTTTTTTCTTTTTTTTTTTTATATTATACTTTAAGTTCTAGGGTACATGTGCACAACGTGCAGGTTTGTCACATGTATACATGTGCCATGTTGGTGTGCTGCACCCATCAACTCATCATTTACATTAGGTATTTCTCCTAATGCTATCCTTCCCCCCTCATCCCACCCCACGACAGGCCCCAGTGTGTGATGTTCTCCACCCTGTGTCTAAGTGTTCTCATTGTTCAGTTCCCACCTATGAATGAGAACAATTATTGAAGTTTTTAAACTTCAATAGATTCACCTAGATCTAACAGACAAATAAGCATATGAGAAATTTAAAATGTCTTATGCACTGAGTATTGCTCTATACTTTCTCTTCCCAAAGACCTTGATTTCTTCATCATTCCATTTTTTAATATCATTGGAGGAATAGGTTATTCTAATGCTTTCCATATAGTTCTGAAACATAGGAAAAGAAGTAAAACTTCCAAACGTCTCACAAAGACAACATAGCATTAATAAGGAAACTTATTTTTAGATAGCACACAATATACCTGCCTCTACTTAGACTAATTTCTAATTTATGAATATAAATAAGATCAATTTAAAATTCTTAAGGATCTCTTCTTATAGGAATTCTCGCTTTCTGAATTCCTGTGGTTAAAACTCAGGAAATGAGTATATTCAGGTCAATTTTGGGGTAAATTATTGCTAAGTGCTTGCTACTTGCACATTAAAAGAGCAATACCAGTCGGGTGTGGTGGCTCACGCCCGGAATCCTAGCAATTTGGGAGGCCAAGGCTGGTGGCTCACTTGAGGTCAGGAGTTCCAGACCAGCCTGGCCAACATGGTGAAACCCTGTCTATACTAAAAATAAAAAATAAAATTATCTGCCTGCAGTGGTGCACGCCTGTAATCCCAGCTACTCAAGAGGCTGAGGTGGGAGAATCACTTGAACCTGGGAGGCAGAGGTTGCAGTTAAGCCGAGATCGTGCCAATGCACTCTTACCCTCCAGCCTGGGTGACAGAGCAAGACTGCATCTCACAAAAAAAACAAAAACAAAAAAACCCATAACAGAACAGAATTAATTGTAAAATTGAAAGTATTAAGGTTCAGTATTCAGATTCAATATATAAGTATAATTGTTTTAGTATTAAGAATCTATTAATGTAATGTAAGATATTAAATAAGCCAAGGGAAAAAAAAGAATTATCTCTATAGGTATTGAATGGCAGTATTAAAATTTACATTGTTTTTATGTGTTTAAATAACCTCTGAATTTAAAAAAGGATATGTTGAAGCTTTTTTTAATTTGATAGAGTGTATCCAGCAGCAACCAATGGCAAGCATCAGACTTAACATGAAAACTAGAAGCATTCCAGTCCAAAAGAAACAATTAAAGGAGCACTAAACAGCCATTGGAAAGAATGAAATGAATCTATTCTAGAGGAAAGGATTTTGATATTCTGCCAAGTGTAGCCAAATGAATATTTTTGTTTAAAAAGAAAAATAAGATAAAGTTTCTAGAAGAATACCTATAAAACTGAGAACTGGGCTGGGGAGAGGAACAGCTATCGTATATACTCGTATATATATATATATATATATATATATATTTTTTTTTTATGGAGTCTCACTCTGTTGCCCAGGCTGGAGTGCAGTGGCATGATCTCAGCTCACCGCAGCTGCCGCCTCCCAGGTTCAAGCAATTCTCCTGCCTCAGCCTCTGAGTAGCTGGGATTACAGGCACCCAGCTAATTTTTTGTATTTTTAGTAGAGACAGGTTTTCACCATGTTGGCCAGGCTGATCTCGAACTCCTGACCTCAAGTGATTCACCTGCTTCAGCCTCCCAAAGTTCTGAGATTACAGGCATGAGCTACTCACTGTGCCCAGCCATATACTAGTATATTTTTAATGTTTGTGAATGACTTTTACAATTAAGGAAAAGAAAAAAACTAGTGTCAAAATTTCCTATGTACACTTCTTTCTAGATTATTTTCTGTTGCCTTGATCTCTATCACTACTTTGTGCTACTTCCACTTCTTTTTTTTTTTTTTTTTTTTGAGACAGAGTCCCACTCTGTCACCCAGGCTGGAGTGCACTGGCACAATCTCGGCTCACTGCAACCTCGGGTTCAAGTGATTCTCTTGCCTCAGCCTCCCAAGTAGCTGGGCTTACAGACATATGCCACCAGGCCCAGCTAATTTTTTTTTTTTTGTATTTTTAGTAGAGACGGGGTTTCGCCATGTTGGCCAGGCTGGTCTCAAACTCCTGACCTCAGGTGATCCGCCCTCCTTGGCCTCCCAATGTGCTGGGATTACAGGCGTGAGCCACCGTGCCTGGCCTACTTTCACATTTTTAATTACCTTAAGTCTGTCTTCTCTACTGGTTTAGGGAAGGGATTTTGGAGCTGGACACAACTGGTTTTGGATCTAAGTCCTGTCAGCAGAGACAGCAGTGACCTTCATAAATTTCCTAGTCTTTCTGAGGCTCAATTTCATCTTCAAATGCTGAAAATTTCTGCCTCACTCTTTTGTACGTGAATTAAAGGAGTTAAAATCCATTGTGCTCTGAGAACAATGCCTAGCATATAGTAAATGATGGCTTTTTGCTACTATATCTATCCTAATTATATGGACTTGGTGTAACTTAAATTTTGATGGGAAGAACCGCTTTTGTTTTTCAGCTGTGAGTTTATTCTTGCTATTTTTGTAGCCTTATGATGATGTATTTATCTTCTCACAGACATAAATCTGTTAAATAGTTGTTTTCTAATTACTTTTGCAGTTGAGGGCACATGCAGTAGATATTAATGGAAATCAAGTGGAGAACCCCATTGACATTGTCATCAATGTTATTGACATGAATGACAACAGACCTGAGTTCTTACACCAGGTTTGGAATGGGACAGTTCCTGAGGGATCAAAGCCTGGTAAGTTTAAAGATAATAATTTGAAGATGACTTGAGGAAAGTATGGTGTAACCAGCCCTGTTATATGAGCAAGAAATGGAGAAATCATATGAGGCTTTTTGGATCCTTTTCTTTCATTCATAATGCTTTTGGGAAAGAAGGAAGGTAACTTAGGGAAAAACCAATTGAAGAGAGAAAAACAAAAAAAAAATCCTTCTTATTACTCATACTGATTTTTCCCACCTTTGAAAAAATATGCACTACAGTATTTGATTCTGTCCTGTGGAATACATAGGATCCTTTCGTTCTGCTTTAGTTGATACAGCCAATGCATCTTGAAAGTGAGCCCCAGAAGACGAGAGGCTTTCTGTTTATCAAGTACAGATGTGACTGTATGAGACGTAGCAGCAATTTAACACAGTGAGAAAGCCTTAAAGATACTTGACGTTCCTGGGACTAGGTGGCGAAGTCATAGCGAAAGCATGGAAGGGGCTTAGTAACATCTGTGATTGCTGCCCTCTAGCTCCACAGGACAGTTATTTT
The DNA here is from genome assembly GCF_000001405.40 of Homo sapiens. Taxonomy (NCBI): domain Eukaryota; kingdom Metazoa; phylum Chordata; class Mammalia; order Primates; family Hominidae; genus Homo; species Homo sapiens. Next base: position 28,005,326 of record NC_000018.10, on the reverse strand, counting down.
CAGGGTGGCCAGCGTGTCCCCTGCAGTTCTATCCCTTCAACCAGCAAAATGGAAAATGCCCTGGCCTAGAAATAGCACTTGTGGAAAGCCACTCATGATTGTAAAGTGGTATTTGACTAAGATTTTAGATTCTCGTATTAAAAATATGACACACTTCAGTCACAGTAGAAAAGCCAGGCCGCTAGAAAACCAGTGGACAAGACAATCAGTTGGTATAGGGATGGTAAAAGTAAGTGTTTGACCAGGCTTCCTGAGATGGCGTGGTGTTCAGAGAGATTTAATTAGCTATTGTATTTTTGTTTTGTATTTTTAAAAGCCTCAGCATTTAAAATTGTGCTGCATAATACCTTTGTCATTGACACCAGTTTATGCAACTCCCTTATGCATAAGTCAGTTTATAGATATAACCAACTATGCCTCAAACACATACATTTTCTTGGTCCAAGTGCATATCTCTGCCTCTTCAGAAAAGATGTAGGGGTAGGGTGGGGGCAGCTGGAGGGAGACCAGGGGCTGTGCAGGAAGTTCAGCCATCTGTGACTCCTTCTAAGTCACATCGTCAGAGTAGCTTTCTTCAGTATTTTAAAATACAGTAAAATTAAAGCAAATTCAGCATTTCCTTACTAAAACACAAGTCTTAGACAAATCTTCCAAAGAAAACAAACATTGGGCTTTTGGGACTGTGGAAATTTTTTTATATTATTTTCTTTTTTTTCTCTATTATTTCCAACTTTACAAGAATAGTTTCACAAAAATTGTTTAAAATGTGCCACTAAAGCTATATTTATGATGCATTTTACCATGAATTTCCATATGAGCCACCCATAAATAAAAGACTGTCAGCTATTGCTAGAAGTAGACATATTGTGAGTATATTTCTTGTGGTTCTTCTATAAGTTTGAAAACATCCTTCTAGGCAAGATTTGTGATGAATTTTGAGCTAAACTGCGTTGTGATCTATATTTTGGCTCACACTTCTGAAAGATACCTTTTTATTCTGATGATTTATTCATTCATTCAGCAAATGTTTATAAAGCATATGCTGTGTGGTAAGCCTTGTTCTGACACTGTGGATACAGTGGTGACAAGCTAGTTCCTGCCCTGTTGGAGCTTAAATTGTAGTAGGGGAGAGAAATAAAAAACATGCAAACAAGGAAGTACACACTGAAGGTTTTGAAAAAATAAGGGTGTAGGGATGACACATAATCAAAATAGGTAAATCGTTTAAAGGGACAAGTTCTGAAATGAGATTTGAATAATATTACCAAAGCACAGTTAGTTCAGAACCCAAGGTATACCATGGAGAGAGAATACCCAATGTAAACAGGCTGTAAGGTAGAACTGAACTTGAGTATTCAAAAGGAAGGTAGACTGGAGATAAACATTTCATAATTCAGTCCTTAAATGGATCCCACAGAACAAACCACTCTAAACAGTAACTACTTCTCACTCTACTTCTAAATTACAGAGTGTCTAGCTAGTTTGAACTAATTCGATACAAAGGCTTTGAAGATTTCTTTTCCAAAATATCTAATAAATTGAAGTCTCTAAGTTGGTTCCAATGTTCTTTTAATCACTGAGGAAATAATGAACCACGATGCCAAATCTCTATGCAATGTACCAAAACAGCAGTGCATGAAATGGTTCCTTATGACCTGAGGAAATGGAGTGTGCTGCTTTCTGCACACAGCCTACATTCGGAAAGTGACTCAGGCACTGGGGAGAATCATACTCAGCATGTTATTTTAGACATCATTGCATAACGGAAGAAAAGATGACAGAGGGAAGAATCAGCGGCAATAAATTACTTTTCTAATGGTATCTGTATTACCCATTATTTGCATTTTATATAAATTAAGGTCTAAAATGAACCTTTTTGGAATCATAAAGTGAATTTATCTTCTAAGTTATGGAAAAATTGAGTTTTTATAAATATGTATGTTGTATAATTTTTCATTCAAAGATCCAGACCAGGTTTTATCTTTTTTGAAATAAGTACTGTTCTTATGAGTAGCATTTTTAATCAAGTCTAAATGACTTTAAATATTTGTTTTTAAAAAGTGAAAATAAGACATATCAAAACAATAAATATACCTTCTATTTTGGGGTCCCTGGAATGAAGGGTAACCATTCATTTTCCATGTACACTGTCTCTAGGAACATATGTGATGACCGTAACAGCAATTGATGCTGACGATCCCAATGCCCTCAATGGGATGTTGAGGTACAGAATCGTGTCTCAGGCTCCAAGCACCCCTTCACCCAACATGTTTACAATCAACAATGAGACTGGTGACATCATCACAGTGGCAGCTGGACTTGATCGAGAAGTAAGCCAACCAAAAACTCTATTTGTGTTTGTTTTTAATCTTAAAGGTGCACAATATCATATCACATACATTTTATCTCCACATCACAATATACTCACAGTGTTATTCAAATGCTAATCGTTTTCATTAAGTAATCTGTTGTATATTTTTCTGCAGAGCTTCAAATTGGTTAAATGATGTATATATACTGGATAAATCAATGCTAGCCTATGTAGTTTTTAATGTGACACTGACTAAGCAATATTCTCTGGTATCTAATTTTTAAAATTTTTAACATTTCCTCATTTTCCTTTATAGTCAAAGGTTTTTGTGAGGAATTAAAAATCACAGCCAAATAATTTGCACACAAACTTAGGATAATTGTTAATGCTTGTGTTATTAAAAGGCTGCAAATAACATGTATGTGATTTGGTTTTTTGTAGCCCTTGTGAATAGTCTGACATAGTATATAGTAGATTATCTTCTTTATTAGAACTAGCCCCTTAACTCTATGATTAATTTACTTAAAAGATTTAAGCAGTAGTAACTGCATTAATTCTACCCACAAGTATTTAAAGTTAGAAATACAAAGAAACACATTTCTGAAATAACATTTAGTTGAAAATGTATGCAATGTTGAAGGCATTGAAATACTATGCAGTATCACAGTCTGAGATGGAATGGGTACTTCTTTTAATTCCCAGTGGGCCATCTCAGTGTTACAGGCCTCGACCCACTGTGCTCCTACATACCCCTGTGTTTTTGTACATGTGATCCCCTTGGCCAGGCATGCCTTGCACCTTTATCTTGATCTTGGATCTTCTAGTTCTTCCGGTTCTGATTCAAGCACTGCTCATATTCTTTCCTGAAAACCCCACTCCTGGTGAAACTTTTTCATCCTTTCTCGATTCTGTCCTGACTATTTTCTTACAGACTCTCAAGGTCATTATTTTGACCACATGTAATCATTGTTTGAGTGAAATATCAAAGCGCCAACTCATAGGGAGATCTGTGCTTTGTAGATTTCTGGCTGAGCCAGCTTTTACTGTAATGAGACTTAGATTATGTATGTCAAAAGGAGACATTATACCCACTGCAATAAAATATCATTGACAAGGATTTTAGAAGTTCGTGTTTTTTGACACTTTATTTGCTATAGAAGCATTCATTTGAATTGAATAGAAGAAAACATTACTATTGCAATTGTTCACACAAAATAGTGCTAGAGGCACTACAATAAAGTAATATGAGCCAATAAAGATTAGTTTATTCTGAGCTGAGAGCCTTACTTAGGAGTTAGTGTATGCCTATGACATTGTACCTATTGACTTGTAGGCATCAACAGTTCTTTTTCTAGAAATGATTTGCATCAGAGATTGTTGGACTCAGTTTAGTTTCTTAAGTAGTACTTTTAGTTCAGTAACATGTGTATATTTTCACCTCTTCATTGCTATATGAAATACTATTTTTATATGCCGATAAACTCAGCATGAATGCCATAATTTATTAGAGAATATGGGGTAATTTTCAGTATTCTTTCTTCAGTGCCAGGTTGCTCATATACCAAGTAGATTTAGTTCATTTCATAATCCTAATATTTCTCTTTCATTCACATTGTCATTGTGAGATACAGAAATGAGACTTCATCCTGTTTTCATATGGTAATATTCCTATCTCATTTAGACTGGATGTTTTATGGAAAGAAAGAGGCATGGAAAATTAAAGATACTTTTTACTAAAACAGACCAACCATGTTTAAAAATCAGACTGTATTTCGTTTAGAGGATGAAAGCCTGACGTGAGGCCATAATTGTCATTAAGTTTATCTTCCAGTGGATAGAGAAGCTGTTCACTACCCCTTGATTAAACTAATGTGGAAATGGATTTGAAACTATAGAATTATGGGTTAGATACAGTATGAGAAATAGCTTCTTGACAGTGAAATTATTAAACACAACAATGAGTTACTAGGGAAAATTATGGAAAACCTTCCTTTTCTGAAAGTCATTTAACATAGAAAAAATGCATCTATCTCGGATGGTTTATGATAATTCTTCCTGAGGCCAGGGATAAATTACTTTGACTTTTTCAGGCCTCGTGCAGACTTGAAATTCTTTTATTTCTATTAGAATTCACAGTTTCCTTTCTGTCAAAAGTAATGTGTGTTCTCGTGCTCTCAGGATGTATGACACCTTTAAGTGATTGAACTCCTAATCATTGAAATGCTTAGTGAGATTCAGCTTTTTATTTTTGTTTAATCTTCAGGTTTTAAAAATTTAGTTTTAATTCTTCAGCTTCTCCAGACCTAAAGGTGTATTTGCCACATTACCCAGTCTTCAGCATTTGTTCCCATCTGTCCTCTTGTGACATTACTTGCTGGTAGTATTCCTGGCCTTTCCATTTCATGTCCATTTTCTGCCCTTTTTGTGCAGGACTGTCAAAGACTCACCCCTGCTCCCCCCAGGTTTGAACTCTGGCTCTGCTTAGTATGGGCTGTTTGACTTTCAGTGTATTAACCTGAAACCTCAGCTCCTGCATCCATAAATGGGGATAATAGTATTACCTACCTCATGGGACAGTTTTAAGAATTATGTAACATGACACATAAAGCATTCAGGCCAGGCACGGTGGCTCATACCTGTAATCACAGCATTTTGGGAGGTTGAGGTGGGTGGATGGCTTGAGCCCAGAAGTTCAAGACCTGCCTGGACAACATGGCGAAACCCCATCTCTACAAAAAATACAAAAATTAGCTGGCATGGTGGTGTGCACCTGTAGTCCCAGCCACTTGGGAGGCTGAGCGGGAGAATCACCTGAGCCTGGGAGGTCAAGGCTGCAGTGAGCCGTGATTGCACCACTGCACTGCAGCCTGAGTGGCAGAGTGAGACCCTCTGTATTAGTCTGTTCTCACACTGCTATAAAGAAATACCTGAGACTGGATAATTTATAAAGAAAAGAGGTTTAATTGGCTCACAGTTCCGCATGGCTGGGGAGGCCTCAGGAAGCCTACAATCATGGCAGAAGGCACCTCTTCACAGGGCGGAAGGAGAGAAATGAAGAGTGCAAGCAGGGGAAATGCCAGACGCTTATAAAACCATCAGATCTTGTGAGACTCATGCATTATCATGAGAACAGTATGGGGGAAACTGCCCCCATGATTCAGTTACCTCCACCCGGTTCCGCCCTTGACACATGGGTATTATGAGGATTACAATTCAAGGTGAGATTTGGGTGGGGACACAGAGCCAAACCATATCACCCTGTCTCAAAAAAAATGTATATATATATACACAAACACACACACATATATACATATATATACACACACACACATATATATATGTATATATGTATATATATATAAATTTAAAAGCGTTTTAAAAGGCATTCAGCACAGTGCCTAATAAATCTGAGCTATTGTTTTCCCCACTGCCATCATGAATAGCAACAGCAGCATCTCCTGGTTGAGCACTATCTATCACCTTTACTCCTCTTCATAAGATGAAAGAAATACTTCCTGTTTTCCAAACCTAATAATCTTTCTGTTTGTGCCTTCAACTCCTAGTTCCATCCTGAAGGGGTGTTCTCCTGTTTTCTGTTGTCTTCAATCTTCCTTCCTCTACAGGTTGCTTCATAATCTACAAACCTGCTGGGTCTCCACTGTGGTAGCATAGCTCTCCATGCCCTATAGGATGAAGTTAGAGCTTTTTAATAGTGCATTCCAGACCCTCTGTGACCTTGGCCCCAAAACCCTCCTTAACCTAACCCCCCAGAATTACTTGCCTTTCACATACAAATGATGCCCAACCACTCATTGAACCACACACAGTCCTTGTGCAAATAGGAAGTTTTCTATTCTTCTGTTCCCGTTTCCTCTGCCTAAATATTGTTCTCCTACATAACAGGCTAATCCTTACCCTCTGAGAGCCAGTTCTCAATCCCTTCTCTGATCACCCACAGTAGTCTCTGCATACCTCTATATAGACTGTGTTACACAGAAAGTATATCTGGATTCCCATTCTCAACATCCAGTGGGGCAGATATTCCTTGTCTCATTACCCTGAACATGAATTGTAAAGAAATGTTTAAGTTACTATACTTTACCTGAGTTCCACACCAGTCTTCTCCAAGGGGCACCCAGCACTCAAGGCAGGCAGATCAGTTGAGCCTAGGAGTTTGAGACCAGCCTGGGCCACATGGCGAAACCCTGTCTCTACTAAAAATACAAAAAATTAGCCAGGCGTGGTGGTGCATGCCTGTAATCCCAGCTATTCAGGAGGCTAAGGTAAGAGGATCACCTGTCACCTGAGTCTGGGTGGTCAAGGCTGCAGTGAGCCATAATCGTGCCACTGCAGTCCAGCCTGTGTGACAGAATGAGACCCTGTCTCAAGAACAAACAAGCAAAAAATACTTCCACTCCTTCCTTGTCCACTTGAAGTCCGGCTTTCCACCTGCTTCCCCCGCTTGACCTGTGCACATGCTGCATGTGTGCAGTACTCTTACCATCTTAGAGGGCACTCACGTAGTGGATTGGTTAACGGTACAGATTCTTGACCATACCTGAGTTCAAGTCTATTATCTGCCTCTTATGGCTGGGTGTCCATGGCAAGCTCCTTTACCTTCCTAAGCCCATTTCCTCATCTGTAAAATGGGGTTTCAAAACCCCACCTGCCTCATAGGATTATTGTGAGGACTAACTGAAATAATGCATAGTGCATAGCACTGTGCTGGGCACATAGTGCTCAAACTCAATAAAAGTTGTTTTTTGTTTTTAAATCAAGGCCCTTGGAACAGTGCCAGCATGTAATATGTATACAAAAGAAAGACCACATTTATAAGGTAGATGGTACTTTTAGTCCCATTTCACAGATGAGGGAAGTGGGGCTTAGCAGTTAAGAATTTGAACAGAGTTGGCCAGGAGTGGTGGCTCACACCTGTAATCCCAGCACTTTGGGAGGCCAAGGTGGGCGGATCACGAGGTCAGGAGATGGAGACCATCCTGGCTAACACGGTGAAACCCCATCCCTACTAAAAATACAAAAAATTAGCCAGGCGTGGTTGCGGGCGCCTGTAGTCCCAGCTACTCGGGAGGCTGAGGCAGGAGAATGGCGTGAACCCGGGAGGCAGAGCTTGCAGTGAGCCGAGATTGTGCCACTGCACTCCAGCCTGGGCGACAGAGTGAGACTCAGTCTCAAAAAAAAAAAGAATTTGAACAGAGTCACAAATCTATACTTCCCTCCTAAGTTTCGGTGACATTGTTATTCAACTCTCTGTCCCCAACCCAATTTATCTAGAGGCAAATCTGTCATCTCCTGAAACCCGTGATTTATGATGAATTTCCTATTTCACGTGACCAGGACCTTCTCCTCAGTCTCCCAAGGTCATCGTTTAATTGCCTTTCCCATGCCCTGCTGTCCCTCTACCTGCAATCTGTTTAGTCATCAAGTTCTTCTCTTTTTACTCAAAGTAATGACATTAAAAGTAATGGCAAAAACTGCAGTTACTTTTGCACCAACCTGATAGTTGGTATGCACTATTGAAGGTTCTTCATATTACTTCTTCCTACCATTTCTAGACTTGCACTCATGCATTTGGTGGCTCTATATGGTCCTGTGATCCTTTACTCTCTGCCTCCATCACTTAGTGAAAGCAAGGCTGTATCTCGTTTTGGTCACTGTTTTACCCAAGTAAATACTCCATTGCCTGGCATTTTGAAGACATTTCATTAAATGTCTGCTGTATGAATGACTGAATGTTCTCACCTCCTCATTCACTGATGTCACTCAGTGTTTCAAAATTGTGCTGCACGTGCATAAGATTTTAATTGGTAAATGCTGAGAAGCCTCTAGGACAGCAAGCGGACACAGCCTTTCACGTGCTACTTCATCAAGTAGAGACTGCCAGAATCCAAGAATTTCATCATGTTTATTTTTTACTGTCATATTTATGATAACTGATGCTAGCTTTCCATTTATGGGACTTTTACAATAAATTAAGCTTTAAAAAGGGAAATTAATGTCAATATAAATAGGAAGTGACTCATAGTATGAGGAAATGTTAGAATTGGGACTACTGTGCATGAATCACTGTGGTTTTGGGAAAAGGTGAGCTAGTTTATGCTCCCAGTATGGGTTTTAAGAAGTAAATTATAGCTATCCATGTGAATAGAAGATGGCTTTTTCTTTACCTGAGATAAGATCATGCAAAACCCAAGGTTTCTTATGCATTCACCCATCCATCCACCAAGTCAGAAGCATTTGTGGAATTCTTACTCTGAGTCAGGCACTGTGCCATATATGCCAGTGGCACAAGCATCAACAAAGCAAGGGCCCTTGGGACACGTGTGTGTGTGTCTGTGTCTCTGTATGCACACACATGCACAGTGAGGCAGATACAGACATACGACTGATAACAGCCATATAAACTATAAACAGTGATGGGGTGTGTTGTAAGGGCTCTGTCCTGAGGACACAAACAGCTCTTCCTCAAGAACTTTCAGAAGTCGTCTCCAAAGTGACTTGTAAGCTGCATGTTAGCCAGGCTTGGAATGAAGGGAATGGTATTCTAGGCAAGGGTTTCTCAGCCAGGACACTATGACATTTTTACTTGGTTATGAGGCCTGTCTTGTGCATCATAGGCTGTTTAGCAGCATCCTTGGCCTCTACCCATTAGATGTCGGTACTGAGTTTGGTTGTCACAACTAAGGAGTGCTTAGTTGTAACAACCCAAAATGTTCACTCTGTGTAACATCCACTTGTCTAGGCAGAGGAGAATGCCAAATGGAATGACACAGGATCATGACAGGGCATTTGAAGATAAATGCAAAACAGCTCCAGGTGTGGGGTAAGCGAATGGGAGGAATCACTTTTGTAAAATAGGCGAGTTTCGGAGAGGGAAGGATTGACAGCAAGCAGATGATTTTGGATTTTATTCCATATAGAGCAGGAAGGGAGGAGAAGTTTTCAAGCAGAATCCCCTTGATCAGCTGAGGTACTATGAGAGTGGGAAGTCGAACACTTAACGGAATCTAAATGTCAGTCATTCACAGCCAGATGCCCAATGACCAAATTAGGCAAGAAGCTCTAAGCAGTTCAGTTGTCTAAAACACAGGCTATCAAGCCTTCCTTACTAAATATAAGAATGTTTTAGCAATCTGGCATTTGAAAATGGAGATGACATTATTTACTATTTACCAAGTGGAATTTTTTTTTTATTTGAAGAGATATTGTACTTTGGAAATAACAAGTGTCCTTTTGTAATTTAAAATTTCCAGACTAGCTTGCAGCAATAAGAAATTTCAAGTATTAGCTACTAATTCCAATATTGCAGATCAATGGAAAATTATTGGATGTATTATGCTTACATAATTCTAAAGATTTTTGTAGACTAGACATTAGGAAATAACTATACTTTCATGTAATACCTATGTGAGTTAACTTCTTAAGAAATAAGCTTCCTTTTTTTCTCTCTTTTTGAGAATGTTCATCTGTTTCTGCAAATAGCAGCTAACAAAACTGACATTTCAAAAGTCATAAAAGTTTTTATTTTCATGGTTTTCAGCTGGGAGGCTGAACTGAATGTCCTGCGAAATTCTCTCACTAACCATGAAAGCATTAAGCTGAAGTGACACTTCTAATTGGGGAAGGAAAGCAACTGAAGAAGTATTATAGCCTATGTTAACATTTTTTTTTTTTTTTTTTTTTTGAGATGGAGTCTCATTCTGTCGCCCAGGCTGGAGCACAGTGGCACGATCTCGGCTCACTGCAACCTCCGCCTCCTGGGTTCACGTGATTTTCCTGCCTCAGCCTCCCGAGTAGCTGGGATTTCAGGCGCCCACCACCACGCCTGGCTAATTTTTTGTGTATTTTTAATAGAGACGGGGTTTCACTATGTTGGCCAGACTAGTCTTGAACTCCTGACCTCATGATCCGCCTGCCTCGACCTCCCAAAGTGCTGAGATTACAGGCGTGAGCCACCGCACCTAGCCCTTAGCCTATGTTAACATTATAGTGAGGTACTGTGGGTTAAGAAAAAATTAAATGACTCAACCAACATTATTTCTTACTGCGTGTGTGTTTTTTAATTCAAAATAGTGTAACATTTTCTCTTTTTGGAAGACAAAAAATAACTGAAATAAATAACTGCTAGAGATTGGCATTTGGGTGGACAGACAGAGACTTAGAATCTAGTGTGGGCGGTTTGGCTTTCCTTCCTACTCCTTTCTTTTCTTTGCCCCTCCCCCTGACAACTAAATCAAAAGCTACAATTTGTGTGTGTTCTATCTAAGCTCCAGAAATCCCTTAAGAATGGCCATTCATAATGTTAGCTATATTTAGAAACAGGGAAAACTGCACTTTGCAGTGACAGTTTATTTTTGTATGTAGCGGATTTTGTTGTTCAGAATGTTTTAACATTTATGAAAATGATCACTGTTTTTGATCTATCTGCAAATTTCCACAGAGATTCCAAATGATTTTAGATATTGTTTAAAGTTAGGTTTTCCTAATATAAAACTTACTCAGCAAATGCCTGACTTCTCAATCTCAGCATTTTCTCTTAGATATATTATAGCTTAATTTGGCTCTTTTAAAACAGTCAACCTGGAATTTGAAAGTAGTGGATGCCTGTCTAATAATAATCATCTACATGTAAATGTATCAATATTTATATCCATTGTAGGTCTGTGCTTAAAGCAGTGGACACAATGAGTGTTATACCCAAATCCTAATCCATTGAATATGCAGTTATCAAATATATGCCCTGTTAGAAGACTATGGAAATAAACGGAAACCCTTCAAGTTTTGACTTTGTTTAAGAATACTGTATATCTCTTCTATATGGTTTTGAATCATATGTATCAATAGAATTTAAGGGGAAATATTGCATCTACCCTGTAATAATAGAATATATGTAAGAACATATAAAAGGAAAGCTTATATACTTTGTGAATTATGTATGTGTTCTTCTCCCTGTCTTGAGATTCTTCATTGTTTTTAGTATCCTAAACTGGGTAGAAATTAACATAGAAGAAAGTAAATACGAACCAAATGACTTGAATGCTTGATCACAATCTCGTGAAGTGAAGAAAGGCAAAAGTTGGAACCAGATGGAGGTTTCAGCTTAGCTGTGAATTTCACACATCTGCAGTGCATTCCTTTCTGCCAGTAGAGGTGAATATACACAGTTAAATCTCTCTAGACAAGGACCAGACCTGTGCTTCATAAGTTAAAGGAAACTCCACTTGCGAAATTTCAAGTCATGTTAATCAGAATGAATGATGCCATGCTCTCCTTGCATTATAAAGAGCCGTTTACAGAACAACTGTTATGTCTTCTTGAGGAATTAGTTTCATTTAAGTTCTTATCTTTATGTCTTTTTAGAAAGTGCAACAGTATACGTTAATAATTCAAGCTACAGACATGGAAGGCAATCCCACATATGGCCTTTCAAACACAGCCACGGCCGTCATCACAGTGACAGATGTCAATGACAATCCTCCAGAGTTTACTGCCATGACGGTGAGTACAGCCTGTCACTCACACAACTTTGGGTCTGTAGTTCGTTACTGAGAAGGTTGGTCATGAATAATAAATGTGTTAAATAGAGGTGGAACTTGCTTCACCTAATAGTAGCATGGCTGCTAACTCGGACATTTCTGTCATCAGGGCCTTACGTGAGGCATCCAAGTAATTTGTTTCTTCGTAGTCTTCAAGTCCACTGTTAAAGTTGTTAAAATAAGCTGCCTGGAAAACACGTCCTAAAAAGACTGTGCTGTTACAACAAAATGCTTATGAATATTTTCAGGTGCATGAGCTGCATGACTGATTTATGCTACTTTGTCAGCATATAATTATCCATATCTGGAGTAAAATCATTTTGCACAGACAAGTTCTTTCCCCCACCCCACCATAATCACCCAGAGACTCACAAATGGATGCTGATTTTAATATTAATGAAACTGTAAGGTAATTTGGAAAAAAATTGGACTACTGAAAAATGTTACAGTATTTTTAAAGTCAGACATAAATGCTGTGATTACCTGCATTATCAGTCTCCTCATTTAGTGTAGATAATAAAAATCTAATGGGGCAGTAAAATCGGACGGTGTGGTCATCAAGACAAGTTGTCCTTCAGTGGTCCATGCCCCTCCTCTGACTGAGGTTTGTCTTTCTCGCAGTTTTATGGTGAAGTTCCTGAGAACAGGGTAGACATCATAGTAGCTAATCTAACTGTGACCGATAAGGATCAACCCCATACACCAGCCTGGAACGCAGTGTACAGAATCAGTGGCGGAGATCCTACTGGACGGTTCGCCATCCAGACCGACCCAAACAGCAACGACGGGTTAGTCACCGTGGTCAAAGTAAGTGTTCCTCGGGCCACTGATCTCTCCAACAGCTGCTCAGCAAGGACCAATATATGTCCCCCACTCATTGTTTTGCAATGGAAACTTAGGACGTTTTTCTTTCAGACATCTCCAGATGTGGGTCTGATATATATTTGGGAGGTTATATCTTACTGTTTAATTTATGCTGAGGCTAAGGCCAACATCAGTACTCTCACATCATCACTGATGTGAGGGTTTTTGAATGAGTTTTATGATGAGAGTTTTGTGAGAGTTTTTGAATGAGAGTTTTGAGTGAGAGTTTTGATGATTGTTTTTGAATCAGTTTGGACAGTTTTTACCAATCTGAGGATAGGACTGGCCTGAACAACATTAACTGTTAGTGTAGTTGATATATTCATGATATATCACATTCTGAAATTTTGATCACCATTGATAGCTATTAAGAATGATGCCTCACAGCTGCTATTTTCATGTCTACAGCTATTAGAATATTGGCAGATAGTGAACAAACCAGAAAAGCCATAGAAGAAAAATGTAATGAGTAGGCAAGAAGAAAGCCTGCATTTTAGAAAGCTCTTGCATTTGCATGGCTGTTTTTAAATGCTATTTCCGAGACGTTAAGAAATGTATTCTTCTGATCTTATGGTCAAAAAGGAACCAAACAAAACAGTTGCATGCTAGAAGCCAAGGGGATGTTCTTCAAGAATAATAAATGCGTAGCTATAATGGAAAAGCCTGTTAAAGTGAACATCCCTTCCTTTTAGCCACCCAGTAAAGAGATTTACTTCTTTGCCTCCCACTTAAGCACTCTTGATTTGTAAGTGAACCTAAATATTGACCTTACATAGAAAGATGTGCTAAAGTGCCAGTTGCCAATAATTATGCAGATGCGGGAGTAGAATAGAATGGGAATGGAAACTCTCAGAAGGAACATAGTGATCAAAAGCACCAACTTGAGTCTGCTGTCTGTGTTAGAGTCCCAGCTCTGCTCCTGATATCTGTGTGATCATGGCCAACTATTTAACCACTGTAAATTCTAGGTTTCTTATGCAGAAAGGGGCTGATAACAGTATGTTAGTCATAGTGTTCTGAGAGATAAATGAGCTTCATACACATTAAAGGACTTTGAACTGTGCATATACCCCTTAGCATAAATGTTACATCAGGGGAAGGTTTCGTGTGGCTAGTGAAATCACTCTAAATATTGCAGTCTTAACTTTCTGGCTTTTTTTCTGTCTTGCTTAAAATACTAGAGAAAGGAATGTTGAATTGGGGATTTAGAGAGAAAAAAAGATGTGTTTGAAGATTTTTAAAAGGTGGTCTAGGGTACGAAACTGGTGCAGTTTCTGCTGATAATGAAGCTTTCTTATGAGCGTCACCTCTCGATCATTCTTAGGCTACCAATTATGAGCCTAAGAGATCTTAATGCTCTTGTTTTTCCTGTTATTACTGCACAGTAATGCTTATTTGCACATCCATTCGCAGGTGAACAAGGAAAATTAAGAGTGAATGTCCAGTCTAGTCATTTGACTCCTGGTAATATTTCTAGTGACAGCAAGATTCAGTGAACTTTGGAAGTTAGTATTTACATGAAGGGTTATTTGTGCATTGCATTTATCTAGAGTGTTTTTCTTAAATTTGGGGGTTTTACAGACCAATAAAATATCCAGAAATATTCCAGAAGACAGCAGAGTTTTAGTTTGCTAAGAGGAAAAGAAAAATATCTTCCACCTACCAACAGTATTATTTTTAAAAGGTGTGTGTGCGATTATGTATACATGTTTGTACTGCAAAATGTGTACTTCAAATTATGAAAGGTACTTTTAAATCAAATAAGTTTAGCTGTATTTAAAAATTACATTTTCTGATTTTTGGTTTGTTTTCTTCAATTCATCATAGACTGGTGAAAGCTTTCCTGGGTGAGGAGTGATCTTTGTACTAATGTTTGAGAGTATACATTTAGACCATCATGTTCTCACTTGACTTTATATTATTTAGTATTTTTAGTCAACAATGCTATTCTTAAGAATAATCAAGTTTTTAGATGTACCTAAATAAATAAATCTGTGCAGTAATCATGTGCACTGTTTTGTGAACATAAATCTTTTAAGTACTCAAGATTTATAATTAGGTTAAATTGGGATAAATATTTTGATAAGTGACCATGCTAATGCATGTTTTCCAGAAACTTGAGAGGAACCTTGTTATGTAGTGAATGAAGAAATTAATTTTTTGGAAATGGAGTTGATAGAGGAATAAACTACAGAATGCAAGCATTCTTATTTCCTGCAAAAATATGGCTTCCCTTTTATTTTCCAGCCAATCGACTTTGAAACAAATAGGATGTTTGTCCTTACTGTTGCTGCAGAAAATCAAGTGCCATTAGCCAAGGGAATTCAGCACCCCCCTCAGTCAACTGCAACCGTGTCTGTTACAGTTATTGACGTAAATGAAAACCCTTATTTTGCCCCCAATCCTAAGATCATTCGCCAAGAAGAAGGGCTTCATGCCGGTACCATGTTGACAACATTCACTGCTCAGGACCCAGATCGATATATGCAGCAAAATATTAGGTATGAAATGCTGTTTGTAGTGTTTTTGTAGCTTACTTATGTTCTATGCTGTGCATAAAATTTATCTAATTCACTATTTGAGTAGAAATTTTCATTGCAATCAAAACTACTTATTAAAAGATAATTTAAAATTCTTTGAATTTTCTTCTCAGTAAGTCAATGACTATATTAGATATAAATAGATATCTGTATCCATATTAAAATGGATTTACTATTTGAAGAAAAAGCTGTTCTTGTTTCTCTGTATCTGCCATTTTTACTTAAAAAATACTTTAAAATTATTTAGCCTGTGCCTTTATGCCAAACATCACAAAAAGGTTCCGCAGGGAACTTTCAGAGGCTTATAACATTTATCTCTCCTCCATGCATCATGAAGGAAAGAAAGCTTATGCCAAAACCAGGATCTAAGAGTTAATTATTTTCATTCCTTACCTGTACAGTAGTTATTGGACTTATGAAACCTATCTGTAAAGATTTCCAAACTCAGCAAAATGTAATTTATCCTTTCTGATGAGGGAGTGGATGGTTGCCAGAGCACACCCCATGCGACTGTTCTCCAAAGCTGGTGATGATCATTTTTAAAATGAACTTATATTTCATTAAACTTCTTACAGAACTGCTGCTAAAAGATAACTTTCTATTGTTATCTTTTATTAAATGTTAAATGTTCTCCATTTCTCTATTCACTGAAATCAAGATAACTATTAATAAATAGCCAGTTAATAGATGTATTGAAATCCTACAACTTGTACCTTTCCAAACATAGCATACCTTTTCCAATCCAACTGGTTATCTAATCTTTAAAAGTTAATCCCCACTCCAAATTTTAAAAAGGAATTTAAGCTGATAAATCTGCCAATTCAGACTCAAGACTGTAGGACTTTCTTTGCAAAGGTATAGATCTGAGGCTTGGCCCAGTGTGAAAGATTCAAGTAGGAATGGGATTATGGTGGTCTCTCCAGTGTGGCTTCATGTTGGCCATGATAAAGTGTTAAAATGTTTTAGGAGTGTTCTGTGATGCAGTATTCAATTTCTATTATAATTTCTCTTAACTCCTGTACATTGAGACTACTGCTTATCTAGAAACTATATTCAAGCTATTTTACCTGAACCATTGATATCTGTTGAAGTGGACAAGAACCTAAAATGATAACTTTCCAATCTGCTTTAGCCCACATTAGGGAGACTGTGCACCTAGTCTTGTCCCTCAGACACCTGTAGAATGTTTCCTACATGCCTGACCAAACACAACCTTTATGTGCCTCCCAATACCACTGTCACAAAAATACTTTTTCCTGTTAAAGCTGTATGTCCAGCCATCATCTACAGAAATGCAAGTTAATGAGCCAGTTGCATTTGGAACTAAACCTGTAAAATATGTTTTTTTAAAGTTTCATAAAAAGAAATTAAACTTCACTTTCATTTTGTAGATACACTAAATTATCTGATCCTGCCAATTGGCTAAAAATAGATCCTGTGAATGGACAAATAACTACAATTGCTGTTTTGGACCGAGAATCACCAAATGTGAAAAACAATATATATAATGCTACTTTCCTTGCTTCTGACAATGGTATGTTCGCTGTTTTTTCTTGTATGTTGATGAAAGACAGTAGATCCTCATCATGCATGCTCAGGAATTAAAGTTTTCTACAAAACTCAATTGCCTGGAAAACTGACTTTTATAATTCCGAGGTCCAGCTTTTATTTATCATTTCAGACAGGTGTTCTGGAACATCCTTCACTGTCTTTGCAATGACTGTTCTCGATGTCCATCCATCGTTCATGTAGACATACCTTTGTTATCTTATTGTCCTGTCACATGTTGATGCCTTAAGTCCATCCTCAGTGGCCCTAGACACTGGGTTTTTTCAGTGGCTCTTTTTATATGTCTTCTAGTCACTCTGTTGCCTTTCATATGTGCATCTCTATCAGTCTTCCTTTTTATAATTCTCTGCCTCTGTCTGCCATGGGCTAGGAAACTTAATTTTGTGCATAAATTGAGATAAGTGAGTAGTGAGCTTCAGGGTATGGGTTTTAGAATACATATGTAGCACCTTTTTTTCCTTTCTGAGTCTCTGCTGGTTTCTCATTGGTTAAGATTAATAGATAAGGACTTTTTTCAGATATGTAATATAAAGGGGACTTTTGTAAACCTGATGAGGGGCTTATTTTGCTTCGTTAGCTCTCAGTACGATGTGTGTTTCAGACTTCAAGCTCTGGAGTTCTACAGGACCCCCAGGTGCAGACTCCGGCTTTCCCACTTTGAATCTGTGGGATTGCCATGAGGTTTTAAATATATCTGTTTCCTTTTTTTGTTAAATAGATACGTATCAGCACCTAACTCAGTGTTTTAACTAAAATGTAATGACTTCTACATATATATGAAGCATTTGAAACAGTGGCTGACACGAACTAACCACTCAACTAAGTATTCCTATTGCGTATTAATAGTTTCAAAACTGAACCACAACTATATTTTAAAATATTTTCAGTATTAAACTATGAATATGAATGTTGGTACTTAATAAAAAATAGCAGGCTTCAATTTGGTGGTTGAAGTTGGTGTTTGCAATTTTCAAATTGTAAAATATTTTGCATTACTAAAATAAGACATATCAATACTTTAAGAATAATGTCAGTGAACCTTTCTAAATCTGTATACTAAGATTTAATGAGATTACTATCTGTAGAAAATCTATGTAGTGACCAACCAAAGAAATATTTCTTATCCTTTTTAATATGGGACCTCTTGTTTAAATATTTAGTGTTGGAACTTTGTAGGAATAGCTTTTGCCATTGTACATCAAAGCATGTCATTAGTACCTGTTTTATGCTTTTTTGCCATAAACCGTGGCTTTCTTCTACAGTGGTACTGAAAGTAATGCATCTTGAATCATTATGTTAAGATCTAAAGAGCCATAAAATTATATGTATGTATGTATGTATGTATATTGGTTGTGAGTTACAACCAGATTTCTCATTCACCAGGAAGGATTGTTTTCTAATTGAAAGGGCTTTTGATAAGAGAGAGAAGTGACCTGTTATAATGTATGTAGCTGTGATGCTTTGCAATTGCACTTTCCTTTAAGCCACAAGGCTAGACTTGGAGCCCCAGCTCTGTTCGTTAATGATTAGTCAAGCTCTTATACTCTGTATGCCTTAGTTTCATTATTGATAAATTGTTTCACTACCTACATATTCTATATAGTTGTTATAAAAGTATAGTAATATTAAATGTGATAGTAAATTTCGAAGTCCCTCAAACTGTTGAGTATCATAGTGGTCATGGTGGTGTTGGAATATTGTAACAGCCACTATACCCTTCCAGTTCAACTCTCCCTGCTCTTAGAACCATCATATTCCTCATAGAAGTTGGTAAACATTCCTCCTTATTCCCTCCCCAGGATTGTGTATGTATGTGCACCTTCCTAGTTGCATGACCTTTGGCAGGTCGCTTAAGTCTCTGGTCTTCAGTGTACAGCATTATTTATAAAATATTCATAAACATATTATATATTTGTGTGTGTGTGAATATTTACAATGTAGCAGAAGCAAATCACCAGATTAAATTATCACACAAAGTGGTGGAGACAGCATTTTATTATAGTGGAATGAGAATGGGTTTGAGGTCAGGCCGACCAATATTTAGTAGCAACTCCACCACTTACAAGAGTGTGTGGCCATGAGCAGTTTACAGACTCAGGTTCATCTGTGTAAACCTGTGTCATAGGATTACAATCAAAGAGTGTACATAGAGCAGCCTAATATGATCTCAAGCAGGTAGTTGGTTGGTTAGTAAATATCATTTCTCTTCTGCATGATGTTCCTTCCTGAGTTGAGGTCTGTGGTTCTGTATCACTTGTCTGTAGACTGTTGCGTTAAGTCAAAGCTGTGTTAGAGCGTTAAAAGCATTCTTATGTTCTTTCATGCATATGTCTTGGTTCTCCATAAAAAGAATAGTGTCAACAGGATCACGAGCCCTGTGTTTGCATCTCCAACACTCCTCACAGTGCCTGGAGGAGCATGGTCTACGCAAGCCCTGAATAATGGGCAGGAGGGGCAGGGAGGGTACGGGATTCCATCACAGGGGCATTCTTCGTCACCTTGCTCAGCTCCTGCAGAGCAGCAGTGGCAGCTCAGGGTCATTCTAGCAGGGAAGCAAGAAGGGGCTTTGTTCTGGAAACGGTCTGCCCAGATGCCATAGCAACTATGTTTTTCCAAGGTTACACAGTTAAAAGGGCCAGAAGGTTAGAAGCTTTGAGAATTTCACCATAATTGAGGCTCATTGGAGAGAACTGTTCAGCATCATTTGTGATTTTTCTCTCTTTTCAGGAATTCCTCCTATGAGTGGAACAGGAACGCTGCAGATCTATTTACTTGATATTAATGACAATGCCCCTCAAGTGTTACCTCAAGAGGCAGAGACTTGCGAAACTCCAGACCCCAATTCAATTAATATTACAGCACTTGATTATGACATTGATCCAAATGCTGGACCATTTGCTTTTGATCTTCCTTTATCTCCAGTGACTATTAAGAGAAATTGGACCATCACTCGGCTTAATGGTAAGAACAGGTTAATTATTTGAATATATGTGCAGTTGAGAGATTTTGAAGCCTGGCATGAAAAGTTAATTTTATGTGCTTCATAATCTTCTCATTATACATATTTTAAAAGCTACTTAAAGTTTAAGTAAGATATTAAAGGCCTTTACGGCCAAAAAAGTATTTAGAATGCAGCATAGTTGTAATCCGCTTTATGTGTACTATTAGGTAGTAAATACATCCTGAACAATGCTATGTGTTTTTTTATCGCTTTAAGTATTACCTATCAAACTATGTTTTTCCTTTTTCATATAGGTGATTTTGCTCAGCTTAATTTAAAGATAAAATTTCTTGAAGCTGGTATCTATGAAGTTCCCATCATAATCACAGATTCGGGTAATCCTCCCAAATCAAATATTTCCATCCTGCGTGTGAAGGTTTGCCAGTGTGACTCCAACGGGGACTGCACAGATGTGGACAGGATTGTGGGTGCGGGGCTTGGCACCGGTGCCATCATTGCCATCCTGCTCTGCATCATCATCCTGCTTAGTGAGTACTTTTATTGTCTTTTAGATTTCAGTTCTCTTGGCTTCTAGGATGTTCAGCAAAGTCATGTGTTGCTATTGCCTGGCAAAGTAGTCTAACAACCCTTTGACCTTTCAGCATTTCCTCGCCAATCATATATGGGTCGACCAAGTCCACTTTAGAATGAAAAAACCCCAGAGCATTGTTTCAAGCACTTGATGTTTGCAACAAGCTGCCTCAGCATGCCTCTTCCTTGCCCTCTTACCCTTTCTCATGCTTATTGCTTAGGGAGCTGTAGTAAACGCTTTTCATAGAAAAACATTAAACAATCCCAAGTTTGAGCACTTTTCTTATGATTTGAGTATGAATTTATGGCACGTAGTTGATGATTTAGGAAAATAAGTATATTGCTTTCCTTCACCTTCCTTCATATAAAGCACAGTCAGCAACGTGCTCCAGTCATGCGAGGATCAAGGTATTTGTTTCTGAAGGGCTGTGTAGAAGAGTGAGAGATTGTACTTCACATACAGGACATTTGATAATAGAAATGATTACACAGCTCAGTAGATTGTCTGTCTTTAGAGTAAGTGTAGATTAAGGAATTGCTTCTTTTTAAGGTACTTTGCAATCTTTGGTTCAATGGAATGCAAAAAATTAACCACTGGAAAGTACTTTAGGAACCACTTCTAAGCATGCAGGTTAAAAGAATAAATTGCCTGGGCCCTGTGTTTTATTGTGAATAGCAGCAGGACTTAGTTTATTGTGCGATCATGCTATGCACCAATCACTTTCTTGAAAATGTTGGCCATTTCTTTTATGTTTTCTCCATTTACAAGTGTTCTGGTAATTTAGAATTCTGTCCCTTTATTCTAAGCAATTACTATAGAAGTCTAAGCATTTTTTACTTCCTGTGTGGAGACTACTTTGGCTATAATTTGAAACCTGCATGCTATACTAATAATCCACTTGCTAGATTTAGCCCTGGAACAATAGCAAATGAGATCATGTTATCTGGCTTTAAAAGGAGGATATTTACTTTTATGGCCAATAATAAAAATGTGCTCCAATAGGAGTCATTAAATCTTTTGCTTCAGGATGTAAACTGATACCCCCAGATTTTAGATAGAATTTGTTCCTAGATGTGCACCTAGGGATATGTTTCCATTTCAACTGAAATGTGGCATAGATGCCAATGTTATCAAGAAAGACTTAGGCATGATGGATTATGGCAATGAAGAAGTAACTGACATTTTGAAGGAAACTGAATTGGTGCTGATTTTAACATCAACTCACTGGAAAATTTATGGTTCTAGACCTGGCGCAAAGTGTAAAACATGAAAGTCTAATATTATTTCAGTGTTCAAAGGAATCCCCTAGCTTTCTTAGCTGAAACATGCACCGGCCTCTGGGAGTCAAAACCTCAAGATCTGATTCCTGACTTAGTTCCAATTTACTACCCAGGTCATCTGGGCAAGCTTTGTCCTCCTGGATAAGTGTTTTCTTCTGTGAATTTCGGAGTGTAATGATGACTGACCAACCGAAATAACACAGCAAGTAACACCTTACTGCTGTTTTGTGTCTCTAGAATTTACAAGGCCCTATGAAGGGCAACTATCCTCTAGCAAGCCAAAGGGAAGATAGAAAAAGTTACTGTCCCCATATATGGATGGTAAAACTGAGAACAAGGATGATCACCTCTCAAGTGAGTTTGCAGAGGGCACCAGGGATGGGAGCCCAGGCCTTCATACTCTAAACCCAGTGCTTTAGCTTGCTTTGTCTTGTCTCTCTTAATGTGAGGCCAGAAATAGATAGTAGAGTGAAAGACGCATTTCAGGCCTTCAGTTCATATAAGTATAAATTATTAGTACTGAATACTGTGACTAAATAGGCCAGGCTTTAAAAATGACAATATTATGTATTTTTACTATTTTTCTACCTAGTCCTTGTGCTGATGTTTGTGGTATGGATGAAACGCCGGGATAAAGAACGCCAGGCCAAACAACTTTTAATTGATCCAGAAGATGATGTAAGAGATAATATTTTAAAATATGATGAAGAAGGTGGAGGAGAAGAAGACCAGGTGAGCAGTGCTTTAAATCTTTAAAAATAAATTTTATGATCGTATAAATTTAATAGTGGGAAGTGTTAATACATCAGTAAGAAAATGGTATCAGGTTTCCCTCCTGTTATCAGTCATTTGGTAAATTGTTTCCTATGTGTGTTGAATATTTCTCAAATTTTTTTTCAAAGTACCAAATGTCATTGTATTTATTTTGTAAAAAAAAAAAAAACACCTTGTTTCAAAGGCTTTAAACCCAATTCTAGTTATATCTGTGTAATGATAAATATACTTTACAGTTTCTCTTCACTGGATATCCAAAATATATTAAAAGCATCTTCTACTTTGGGATCTGGATAATTATATGTATGGTAGAAAAACCACTAAGACTATTTATTCCCCAAGTATTTACCAAGGAAATCCAATATTTCAGGCACTATTTTAATCCCTGAAGATACCTCCATGGGCAGAGTTAACAAATATCTATCCTTAAGAGTCTTACATTCTTGTGAAATATTTGAAGTTAGAGTTAACATCTAGTTCATCTTTGTATTTATAGTGTCTGTCATAGTTCCTGGCTTGAGGTGGTTATTCAATAGATGTCAGAATCTCCTTCTGGCCATTAACTAATGTGAACCTATATCACTATGTGCGTATGGGATTGCATACCTCTTCAAGGATGAGAATGACCATAAATGGAAAACAAAAATCTCCATCTGCTCTGAAGCAACATTTTCAATGTTATCATAGCAAACATCTGTAAGCTCTATACTACATGTCAGGCATTCTGTTAAGTACATTAGGTGCTGCTCTCTCTTAAATCCTTGAAACTTGTGATACTAGTACTGTGAACATCTCCACTTTTGTGGTATAAAACCAAGTTAAGGATGGTTAGATTCTACAAAATCATGCACTTAGGAAGTAATAGATGCAGAGTTTGCATTCAGGTTTCTCTGAATTCACAGGCTAAACTATTCTGATACAGTTTCTCTTGAAATTATATGGGCGATATTAATGTAATCCATGAGAAATCACTATGACAGGTAATTCTTAGATACATTTGATAGTTATCTGATTTCTACTGGCTAATGCAAATGTCGGGGATAACAGTCTGAAAGAGAACCCAGGATTCTTTGGTTTTGCATCAGTATCAGTAAGTTAAAATGTACTCTCTTAAGTATATATGCAGATATTATTGATAAGCCTGCTAATTGAATAAAAGCAAATTTTCATGAACATATTTTTCCCTTGCTTCACTCCTTTGAGGAAATGATATATCACTTTTCATTTTACAAAGCACATTTACATCCATTATTGTATAAACTTTGTGGCAGCCCCTTAGAGTTTTCCATTTTACATTTGAAAAAAGTTGCATGATTTACTTTCAGAGTTTGTAACCCACAGAGCCAGGACTCAAGGCCTCATGTTCTGATTCCAGGTTCCATGCTTGGTTTACAATACCCCAGCTCTCTCATTTAGAAGAGATGCATATTTAAAGTACGTTGAAAACTTGACTCATGTGTAAAGCTGTTTTGAATACTGCCTAATTAAAGTGGCTCTATAAATATACCTTAGGGTGTTTTGCTTATAAATGTCTCTGAATATTAAAATTCATGTTTGGCTTAATTCTTTAATTAATCTATCCTTTCACTTTCCTAGGCTATTTTCAAGATCAACAAACATATTGATCACATTCTCTCATAAATCGTCTACTTCCAGTATTTTATTTTTTGTGTAATTTTGCATACTTTACAAAGGCATAAACCTAAAACCCAGCTCAATTAGGCTTCAGTAAAAGTAGTAATAACTGTAAGACCACCGGTAGTAACTGGATGCTGCCCAAAATTGGAGGCTCAGAGGCAAGAACCAAGAAAATTCTCGTATAGGGACTGGACCGTGGGGTATTTAATGTCACCTAATCTGAATCTTCCTCTCCTTTCCCCACCAGTCCAATAAATTGTTTAATATGGCCGTATTGTTATAGTTATGTTAGGAAAGACTTATTTTATTTGTTGACTTTATCCACTTAGATTGATGCTTGAGATTAAGTGGTAAAACTCATCTATTGTAAGATTTGTTAAAATAATATCATAAATCTACAACTTCCTCTTTACCTAATCTCTGAAGCTTGTTGGCTTTTGGCTTTTGGGGTTTTTTTTTTTTTTTTTTTGACCCCAGCCAAACTCTTGGACATAAATGTGCTTCATATCTACTTCCCCACGAGTCCAAAGATTTTTCTGGAATTCTATCTGTATCGTACTCTGGGGCTAATTTTTTTAATTTGGTACCAATCTTCCTGTGGTATCTTTTTGTAGCCTCTGGGTTCTTTGATAGCATATTAGTCTAGACCAAGAGCTTCCGTGATTTCTCCATGCAGTTCTCATTCTAGACAGTTGTGACAAAATTATATAATGGGGTTTTTATGCATCTAATTTTTAACCTCATAACAGAATAAAATATGTGATGTAGGAGTGCCACACCAAGGCTCTTTCTCCTCTATCTCTAAACTGGTTCATGAAATCCATTCACTTATCCTCATTTCCAAGGCCTCTACCTTCACTTACCTCCATCCTACAACAGATTCCTAAACGGTGTCTTGTCTGTGCTTTAACATCCCAATCCACCTTTTGGAACTTCTTCCTTAGCATGACAGCTCTTCAGCGCTGCACCCAACCTTTGGTTTACCCCCTCATACACTAGGTAAAGGCCCATGAGAAAGCGTCAGTGGTGGGTGCAGACTCCCTGAGGATGTGAATTCATCCAGCCTGTTGACTCACGGTGACTTAAGTTTCCTTCAAAGTTTGGGTGATTTATCCTTACGGTTTTTAAAGGCAGAGTTCTGTCTTCCTCCTCTCACTCTTCCTTCAGGGATAAAAGCAGCTGTGGATCTTCTCCTAGAAAGGGCTTGTCTGATTCTATATTTTCATTCAGTTAGGCTTTATTTTGTTCTCTGCTATCTTATGGTTTCAAAAAGCTTTGATTGGGAACTTAGCTGGTTTGTTCTTGGCATTAGAGTTTGAATAATGGTCTCATGACTTTATCCCAACCAGAAGCAGATGCTTTCTGTAGGGTTAAGAGTGTAACTACAACTCACACCAACAAAGAACATTTCCAGCACCCTAGAAGCTTCCCTTATACCCACAAACAGGTGGTTTGCCCTCTGTCCAAAGTAACCACTCTTTTTTATTTCTGTCACCATAGATTAGCACCCCCTGTTTTTGACTTTTATGTAAATGGATATCAAACAGTCGGCACTCTGTGCATCTGGCTTCTATTACTCAACATTGTACCTGTGAGATTCATGTGTAGAAGTCGTTCATTTTTGTCACTGCTGAATAGTATTCTGTTGGAAGAATTAACTACATTTTATGTATCCATCCTACTTCACTTGGGCACTTGAGGTTTTCCAGTTGGGTTATTATGAATAAAACTGTTATGAACATTTGTGTGCATATGTTCTGGTGCATTTTCTGGTGTGTGCACAGGAGTTGAATGTCTGAGCCACAGAGTGTGCATATGTGCAGCTCGACTACAGTCCTGTACGTTTTCCAAAGTGATCATACAATTGACACCTCCCTTCCCCACTGTGGTACATGAAAGTCCCAATTGCTCCACATCCTCTTCCTCAATTAGCACTTGGATTTTTTTCAGTCTTTTAAAATTTAGGCCACATTGATGATGTATGTCTCATTATTTAATTGGGATATTCCTGCCTACGGTTTTACCCTTTTGATATGTTATTTCATGACGTTTGTTTAGCCTGTTTGTCTACTTTTCTATTGGGTTGCCTGTCTTTTTCTTACTGACTTGTAGGAGGTCCTTATAGATTATAGATATGTGTTCCTTGTTAGATAAATATATTGTAAATATATTCTCTCATTCTATAGCTTTTTTATTCTCTTAATGGGTCTTTAGGTGAACAGAAGTTTTTTTATTATTTTTTATGTTGTCCAGTTTATCATTTTTTTTCCATTATGGTTAGTGCTCATGTTTCTATTTAAAAATTTTGAGTGGGGCACAGTGGTTCATACCTATAATCCCAGGACTTTGGGAGGCTAAAGCAGGAGGATTACTTAAGCCTAGGAGTTCAAGACCAGCCTGGGCAACATAGTAAGACCACATCTCTTAAAAAAAAAAATTGTTAATTAACCAGGCATGGTAGCTCATACCTATAGTCCCAGCTACTTGGGAGGCTGAGATAGGAGGACTGCTTGAGCCTGGGAGGTCGAGGCCGCAGTGAGCTGTGATTATGTCACTGCACTCCAGAGTCTGGGCCACAGAGACCCTGACTCAGAAAAATAATAATAATGAGAAAATAAAATGTCTACCCCAAGGTAATGAATCCCCCCCCCCAACTACATATATTATTTTCTTGAAGCTATATTGTTTTACCTATCATATTAAGTCCATAATTTATCTGTAATGGATTTTTCATTTGGTTAAGACATGGGTCAGGACTTCTTCATGTTCTTTATGAATATCCAGCACCCCTTGGTAAAAAGATGATGTTTACCACTGCATTGCGGTGCTACATTGCCATAAAGCAGGTGATATGTGTGTGCGGCTTTGTGGGTTAGCTTCCTGCTGTTCTATGCGGTACTACCTGTTCTGTCTGTTCTTGAGTCAATCCCATGTTGTTTCGATTACTGTAGCTTTCTAGTGTCTTGAAACCAATAGGGTAAGTTTTCTGACTATATTCTGCAAAGTTTGTTTGTTTTTAGATTTTTGGTGGATTCTGTTTTACTTTTTCTTTAAGAAAAATAAACCATTTATCTTATTTTTTAAGTGTACTTACTACAAGTACTCCACTTTCTAAATAGATGTTCTTACTTTAAATCTTAAAATCATGGTCAGTTCCTGAGAAGTTCAGCGGTATGAAATACACTGGGTTCTATTTTCCATAATTTACATGTGGCTGCCTGTTAGAAATTCTGTTTCTTTGTAGTGTGAAGTAAGAATTTTTGGCAATGGAATCTAATTCATAATTTTTATGAAGATACTCTCTTTCTACAATAATAGGCCTTGGAAATGGGACTGGTGCCATGCTGTGTTCTGGACAAGTTTTCATTGATCTTTATTATCCATTGCTTTTTTTTTATGGAGCCTGTGTGTACCTTCAGGTGTGAATGGCTGGTGATGACGAGGTGCTGGTCTGATCTGCTTCATGTCTTAGCTGGACAGTCTTAAAGAATAATTTTTGCTGTTTCTGAATAGTATTCCATTGTAAACTGAACCACATGTTGTTTATTGAGCTTTAAAAGTTGTGTAGATCTCAGAGATCAGTTTAAGTATTTGCTGGATGCCAGGTAATGACTGTGTTTACAGCAAGGCAGGTCTGTACAGCAGTCTCCAGAAAATTAGCCTGAAACTGGCTCAGCTGAGATTCCTATTCTTCCTGCCAAGACAAAGTATCCATACCAGCAGCTAACTGATTACAAAGAAAACAAAGCAAAGTAGTCTTTTACAAGGGTAGTTCTTATCTTACCTGTCTTTGATTGGAGTCTCTGTCTGTATAAGTTCTATGTCAAGGTACAGGTTGCTAATTTCTTTAACAAAATAACTAAGAGGTGCCTAAGGGGGTAAAATGGGAAAAAGAAAAAAAAAGAAACAACTACTCCGATATCTTTTTTCTTACCTTGTGTATAACAGAGATTTATTAGAGTTCGTGGATCTTCTGCTGTGGCTTAGATTGTCAGGAGGCTAGGTTGGGCCCATATTTGAAACTAGCATTAGATGTGTTCTGTTGAGAGTGTTATCTCCACACAGGGCTGTTAGCGGTTGAACAGACACTTTTAGTATATCTAGTCTCTTTTCAGAGAGTGAAGTTCTTTCTTTATCTCTTTCACTGCTAACAGCAGGGCTTTTTTTGCTGGTTAGTAAGGCATGTTTAATTACCCTCATTAGTAAATGTCCTTCAGTGCCCTTTTGGCCAATGGGGTTGGTTGCAGATACGGTATCGCTTTCAATGATCTTTGTATCAAGTTCTTTCCATATCAGCGTCACTAATAAAATCAGGGTGAATGTACAATATAGCCGATATCTCACTTTCCCTGGGACCATCCCCTTTCAGCCCCAGGATAGGAAAGAGAAACTGTTAGCCTTCTGCTTTTTAAGGCTTAGACTTAATTACAAACATTTATCAAGTGTGTATAAATGGTGCTCAGTCAGTGGTGCTCACTTTAAACCTCTCCCTACATCACCTGACACAATGCAGTTTCATTCTCTATACTAATAGCAAAAGCTGTTATTTGGTGTACCCTGTGTTAGGCACTGTACTAAGTACATTATTTCGTTATTGAAATATACATTAGTTCATTTGTCCTTCACAATAGTCCAGTAAAATAGGCGTATATTGTTAGAAAGTAGCAAAGTGAAGATTAAATCTTTGTCTGCCTCAGTGCAAAGAAAATGGTGTCTATCATATCTTATACCATCCTTTACAAAGCTCATGTTCAACCAGGCAACTAAAATACTGCCTTTTGGAATGCCATGCGAATTTGTCAGAAGGCTCTCCCATCCTTGAAGCAGAACTGGAACATCCAGCAGCTTCCTGTGCTTTCAGAATTTGACTTGAAACATTAACCATCCCAAGGCCTTGGGCTGCTGTGAGAACTCATAATCTATGAAAAGAGGTACTGCTATTCATCTTGGCTGGGGTCACAAATGATAATTGATAGAAACTGGAACCCTTCAGACCATGAGTTCTGGTTCAAGGAGCAATGCCAGCCTCAAGGTGATAAAGGCAGGAGGCAGAGAAGCTCTAGGCAGACAGGGACGGGTCCTTGTCAAAGCCCCACCTTAAAGCTGAAACGCCTGGAACCTATGGCCCAAAGTGAGTACTTCTGTCCCTGTTTGCCTGCTCTCTCATGATTGGTTCCTTCTGAATAATGTCTTTTTACCAATCAAATGTTACCTTTTCCAAAACTACCTATGGCCTGCCCTGCCCCCGATTCTGTCCCTATAAGGACCCCAGACTCAGCCGGTAGAAGAGAGAAGCAGCTGGATGTCAGAGAGAGGCATTTGATTGCAGAGGAGAGGGGCAGAGAGGTGACTTGACTTCAGGGGAGAGCGACCTGCCCTTCCCATCCCCTTTCCAGCTCCCCTCTCTGCTGAGAGCTGCTTTCATTGCTCAATAAAATTCTCCACATTCACCATCCTTCAGTTTGTCCACATGACCTCATTCTTCTTGGGTACCAGACAAGAATTCAAGACCCACCAAGTGTGGGTACCCAAAAGGCTGTCACACGGACCTCTTGCCCACACTGGCAGGGGGCAGCCACCCCATGCAACAAGGCAAATGGCCCACTGAGCTGATAACACACTGCTGTCTGCGGACAGCAGAGCTATGAGAGCATTGTAACACGCCCTCTGGGGCCTTGGGGTGGCAGGCACCCCACCTAGACGCCACCACAGGGCCTGCACGGAGTTTGCTTCTGCCAGTGCCAAAGTGGCCGGCTGGTTCCCGTGCTCACTCACCTGTGCGCTCCCTCCCACAAGGAATTGGCTCAGCAGGCTGAGTAAATGGGGCACCCCTGTCACCAGTCCCACAAAGAGGTCAAGAAAATGTCCTGCATCAAAGGGATGAGGACTTTTCTGTCAGGCAGAGTTAACTTGTGAGAGACTGAAGCTGATGCTGGGCAAAGGAGGTTGTGACAGTAAGGCTACGTGGCTGTGGAAAGATTCCACATCAGTTTTCTCTTGATCACTCTTGGGTTCTTGGCCCTTGTGATCCACCATGTCTCAGATCTTTCTTCTCATACTCAAGTCTGTTGCTGACTGGAGCATGACAATTGGCTCCGTTTTCTTCTCAGTCTCTCCAGGTAAGGCCCAGCACCCCTTAGGCTCAGAGAACACTATATAGGTTTCCCATTCCAGGACTGAGAACACTCTGCCTGAATTCTGAAATGTGTTTTTTTAAGTTTTAAAGACTGACTGACACCTGGTTCATTGGGGTGTTTTGTTTTTTGTTTTTTGTTTGATCTGAGATGGTTCTGAAATCACAAAGAAAGTAGTTCAGTCTGTTCAGGCTGCTATAACAAAATTTCATAAACTGTGTAGCTTATAAACAAGACAAATTTATTTCTTACAGTTCTAGATCCTGGGAAGTCCAAGATCAAGGCACCAGCAGATCAGTGTCTGGTGAGAGCTTACTCTGTGCTTCATATAAGGCGCCTTTCTTGCTGTGTCCTCATACAATGAAAGGAGCAAACAACCTCCCTTGGTATTCTTTATAACGGCACTAATCCCACTCATGAAGTGTCCACCCTCATGACCTAATCACTTCGTAAAGGCCCCACTTCTTAATACTATTGTATTGGGAATTCAGGTTCAGCATGTGACTTTAGTGGGGGACACAGACATTCAGAGCGTAGCAATACCTCATACCAACCCCTGTGTTTTGGGGGACATGTCTGGAAGATGGATTCTGTGTCACTTTAAAGTAGCATTTTATAAACTGAGAATCTGTTCACACGTAGTCCATGACTATGTTTTCTTGAGCTTGCAGAATTAAAAATGGAAAATATTCACATAAAATTCTTGTTTCCTAATCCTTTCAAAAAGCAGAAAGATCTGGAAACATGGCCTGCATTCTGACATGACAGTTGTTGGGAACTAAACAGAGATTTTCCCTCTTTAAGCAGGACAAGCATGTTCCAGTATTTTTATTCTTTGTACCAGACCAGCTTTCTTGATATATGTTATCAGCCCATTCTTCATAGATACTTATTTTGCAGGCCCTGATTGAATTATACAGTAATAAGTAAGTCTTAGATTAACAAAAACAGGTTTGTACAAAGAGGAGGTGATTTTCTAAGACAGTTTTATATTGCTTAAATGAGAGAGAAAAAAAGAGAGAGAGAAGTAGCCACACAAATATGTTTAGCCAAAGGTATTAGTTAAAATAGGCTAGCCGCTGTAACAGACTCTAAAATTTCAGTGACCTAAGTCTAGTTGAAAATGTATTTATTGGTTTCTTAACATTAACTGGGTTTCAGGTCGTGGGCATTTGGGATGGAGAAAGGAGGTCTGCTTCTCTCTACACAGTCATTCAGGGACCTAAGCGCCAAAGACTCTCCCATCTTTCACATGTGACTTCTAGGATCACCCTACCCTTAAATCCATGCAATCACTACATGACAACAGGGCATGGAGGATGATTTTTGGGAGATTTTTATGGGCCAGGCCTAGAAGTGGCACACATCCCTTCCACTCCTAATTCCCTGGGAAATAACCTTCAGTGTGTCTAGAAAGAAAAATAAATGGTTTAAGTGATCAGCTGGAAGTCTTAACAAACCCAGGTTAGGTACTTGAATTTAGAGAATGTTTTTGGAGATTGTATGAGAACCCTTTTTACCTCACCCACAATGGGTTGCACTGTTCTGACCAATCCAGGTATGTCATAGGGAAGTAGGTCCCTTGGCACAGAGGAGATACAGTAGGCACAGCTCATGAAATACAACACTGTATAGGCATGAGAAACGGAATGTAAGGTTCACCAAAAACAAGGGAAAGCAGCTTTCCTTTATCTGAAGAAAGCTTCTAGTACTTTCTGTGATACTAAAGTCTTCTAGATCAGGATCCAGCACTGGCACATGTAAGAAATCACATACAATTTCATGATAAAGGGAATTATAATAGAAGTGCCTCTTAGTGGCCTAGGTTTTCAGAACCCAGAAGACCTAGATATAATTACCATATGAGTGTCCACTGACTTTTTTTCAATGAAGTTGATTTTTTTATGTGAGTTGTGGAAATTAGTTTCAATATTGATGTAGATGAGATCCCTAGAGTCTTGGTGACACAGAAAGCACATTCCGCCAAGTCCAAGTGCCTGAGATGGGGTAAGAACCCACAGTTCCTATGACCTGGGGTTTGGCTTTTAGGATTGCGAACTTCAAGGGTTGACAATTCAGTTTGTTCTCTCATTACCCCTCCACTTTGCATTTTGAACTGCCTATACTTGCACACCTGTACCACACTCTCACACTTTTTTAACGTAGTCCATTTCTTCACCTAATTCTGTTTAGCCATCAAGATTCATCTCAAGACATCTTGTCTTAGAGTCCCAGGCTAAATCAAGTTTCTCTGCTCTGTGCCCCCACAGCATTCCCAGTCTACCTCTATTTTGAGCTTTTATGTCCACTCTTGGTCCTGACCTTAAGCTCTGTAAGGCAAGGACTTGTCATACTTATTTTTTATTTCAGTATCTAGGACAGTTGGCACCTGGCAACACTCATAGAATGTTAGTTGAACTGCTGTGGGCCCTCTTCCTGAATTTCTAACTTAGTTTGCAACTCTATCTGTGACTTAATTGAACCAGTATACTCCCGATAACTTCACTGTCATCCTTAGAGATCTCTGATGTCTTCAGGAAATGATGATAGCATTCATAAATGCTAGCATTGTTGCATATTTGTTCTGTGTCAGGCACTGTGCTACTCTCTTAGTTTGCATGTCCTTTATAATGTTCCTGATGACTCCATGAAATGGACACTGCTGTTAGTCCGTTTTCAAACCTAGGTCTATGTGACTCGAGAGTTCAGGCTCTCATGCACTGTGATAGAGGTCATATGATAGATATTTTATTTAGTCTCACTGGTCTGTAGCAGGCAGGAGGTGTTACTGGCTTGGACCAGTATGGCTAGGCTCATAGCCACAGCTTATTAGATGACCACTGGTAATATGACTTTAGAAGACATAAGGGTAATCAATTGATTAAGCTTGCAGAATTGGACCCATTTTGACATTAACAAAGTTAAAATCTGGAGAAGCAATCTAAGCAGCCAAGTTATTAAAAAAAAATCTGAGTATACAGTCTGGAGCTAAATCTAAAGTCCAGGCAAGATGCCTAGACAGAAGGATGGGGGCACAGGTACAAGAAAGCCACTTGAGAACAAACCCGCCACTTTTCTGAGTCAAGAAATCTCTTCTTGAGCCAGGGGATCTCTGTGGACTTCTGCCAGTCTCGGGAACCAGACCTAATGTGGGCAATCAAGCCCAACTATCGGACTTTAAGTGTTAGAGAATGAAGCTGTATAATCTAACTATGGTATATTTGATTGCTTGAAATAATCGCTTTATAAATTTATTCTGCCTTTTAAGCAAACTTAACAGATGGCTGAATCTGGACATAACTGTGGAGACCACTTTCAACACTTTTATTGTTGGCTAAAGCATGCTTTGTTAATGATGTTCCCAAGTTATTCATTCATTTTTACCAACCTGCAAACACTGTTATATATTAGTTATTGAAAGATTCTGATTTCACAAAAGGAAAGTTTCACTAGGGATTGGGTTAGCACATTGTCATTCCCTTTTTGCATGCTATTCTCAAAACACTCGTGGCCAGGGTACACATTAGTGGGCTGTAAAAGCATGTGTTCTGAACTGGTCAGTGCCCATCCCCTCCCAGTTATTAAATACTTTCACTGTGCATATGATTTGCATATGACTTTTCCTTCATCATTCCTGTCACTTCATGCAAGTGACACAGTATTTTAGATAAGTCATCTTAATATTTATTCTTCCTGGCTGATTACAAATTTTCTATATTTCGTTTTAGGGAAATGGAAAGTTATTGATATTCTACTAATAACAATGATAAAGATTTGAATACCAAGTATGTATTAGTACTATGCAAAAAAAAAAAAAAAAAGAACTGACATGCAAAAATGCTATAGGCCAGTGTTCTAGCAGCTACCAAATCCACCAGCTACCTTTTTTTTTTTGAGATGGAGTCTCGCTCTGTTGCCCAGGCTGGAGTGCAGTGGTGTGATCTTGGCTTACTGCAACCTCTGCCTCCCAGGTTCAAGCAATTCTCCTGCCTCAGCCTCTTGAGTAGCTGGGATTACAGGCGTGTGCCACGACGCCCAGCTAATTTTTGTATTTTTAGTAGAGACGGGGTTTCACCATGTTGGTCAGGCTGGTCTGGAACTCCTGACCTCGTGATCCATCCTCCTTGGCCTCCCAAAGTACTGGGATTACAGGCGTAAGCCACCGCGCCCAGCCTACACATAGACTTCTGCCTCAGCCTCCCACCTATTTTTATAAATAAAGTTTACTGGAGCATGGCCATGCACCATGCCCATTGATGCCCATTTTTTATGTGTTATCTATGACTACTTTTATGCTGCAGCAACAGCAGAGTTGAAACATCGTGACATGGACTATCTGGCCCCCAAATCCAAACATATTAATATTTACTATCTAGACCCTACAGGAAAAGATTGTTGAACATTGTTATAGACGGATTTAATCAATGGAATTCTCATTGGCTTTTTTGTCTAAAAGTTGAATACTATTAAGGTTAGCATGGGAAGTTTATGTAATCTGCTCAAGGTCACACAGTTAAAATATGATGGAGCCAGGATTTGAATCAAGGATTTTAAAAAATCAAATACTTGGCTCCCTTTGCAGTATTTACTTTATGTGTACATTTATCCTAAAACAAATAATATTCTTTAGGACATTTCAAAATGATGTGTCATAAACTAGGGAAGGATTTTGATGCTCTGCCACCATATTCTCAACCAAATTACCTATTTTTATGTTTTCTCTGAGATGAATTAATAGGTCATGCTGAGATAGAGTGGCTTTGATCTTTATCCAAGTGGTCACATTTTTTGTTTTTTGCAAGAAGAAATTGGAACTCGAGGTGAAAACATGGAACCCAACATGCATTTAGATGGCTATACTTTTGTCTCCCAAGACAGACAGTGGCTTGGAAGGGTTAAGAAATGTGTTTCTCTTTATAGGAATGTAACTGGATTGCATCAAAACAACGGGAAATTATTTCATATTTCCAGTGCTCCATCTTTCTGAAGCCCTGTTCCTCTGCATATCTGCATCCTCCCTTCTTCCAACAGTACTTCCTTCATAGCTTCTGACATCTTCACTTTCCGTATTTTTTGTAACTTTAAATATTATATTTTCATTATTTTAATTTTTTTATTATTATTTTGTTGAGACAGAATTTCACTGTTGTCGCCCAGGCTGGAGTGCAATGGCACGATCTTGGCTCACTGCAACCTCTGCCTCCCAGGTTCTAGCGATTCTCCTGCCTCAGCCTCCTGAGTAGCTGGGACTACAGGCACCTAATTTTTGTATTTTTAGTAGAGACAGGGTTGCACCATGTTGGCCAGCTGGTCTCCAACTCCTGACCTCAAGTGATCCACCCGCCTCGGCCTCCCAAAGAGCTGGGATTACAGGCGTGAGCCGCCGCACCCGGCCAAGCTGAGCTGCCGTACCTGGCCAAACTTTCATTATTTTAAAATATGTCCTTTTAAAAGACATTAGAGTAAAGGCTCAGTGTTGTTAGTAACCGAGTCTGTTTCCCAAGAGAGACCCCTCTTATGAAAGAATTTGTGGAATCAAGTCTAATTGAAGTGTGTATATGCCACATTTTCCTAAAAGAATAAGCCATAATTTTGTAACGGGAAATAAGTTGTGATAGGATTTCAACAGTCACAGTTTCTAAAATAGAAGTGTAATTTTACATCAAAGAGTGAACCTATAGCTCATTCATAATTCTGAAAACAGGTAGCATGTTAAAGGAAACTGACATGTCAGCATTAACAGTAAGCCACAGGGGCAGAAACAATGACTGTTCCCTTTTAGTGGGGACTCAGTCCTCTCCCTTGTGGGAAGTAGAAAACTGGCTACCAGTAAGATTAAAATGTATAGTATATGAAGAGAGAGAACAGAGATCCTTCATCTGTATACTGAAAGTCCCCAAGTTATTTTATTTGTATTAGGTTTATGGTTCAATCCAGAAAAAGCTTTTAGCAAATTTTTTGTTGGTGGGGGGGCTGTGATAATCCATGGAATCTACTTAGTTTTCCACATCGTTTCACCTGTGAAGATAGTTACCGTCATAACGATATTTCACTGGGGAAGAAAATCAGGTCGTAATGTAATTTACATAAAGCTTGCACGGGTATATTTGACTTACTTGTCAGCAGTTGTTTGGTAATATGTTGACACCTTATCACTATTTTATTCAATTATTTTAATGCCGGGAGCTATAGAGGGTGAGATAATAGTGTTCTTCTCTCCCACCTTCCATTTCTTTTTGTGTCTGAAGTTTCTTGCCTGTGCCGCAGTCAGCTTTTTTCCAGATATTTTTTTTCCTTCAGAATTTTGTCCATTTACTTCCATGTGAGTATTTTAATTTCTCTCAGTCACTCAGTCTTGAAACATTTTTAATGTTTACCTTATCTATATGGGGATTTTAAAGTCATTTGCCTTTGCAGCTATAAAAGGAAAATGTTCCACTTGAACCAGCCCATGCCTAAGAGATAGCAAAACTGTTGTGTTTCATCACTGGTTCTAACCAGTGGAGGCTGATAAAGGCCCGTGAACTTTAAGTGTCCACCCCTCTCCTCCATGTGTCAGACTCTTATTTGACCTAAGTGAGGATTCCTTCCTGCCTAAACAACAGT
Source organism: Homo sapiens (assembly GCF_000001405.40). NCBI lineage: Eukaryota > Metazoa > Chordata > Mammalia > Primates > Hominidae > Homo > Homo sapiens. The sequence goes on along the minus strand of NC_000018.10, from coordinate 27,968,523 downwards.
TAGTCTTATTTTAACCAACTGTGCACAGACCGAAGAACTCATTTGTTCTATGCAGAGTGCTAGTGCCCAGTGACTGATTAGTGGAACCATCTTAAACTCCCCCCTCCAGCACTTCAAACCCCAGATGTTTTCCCCCTCAGTAAACTCTTTCGTGCATTTCTTCACTGGCAAGTGACAAAAAGATGCAGCTTTTTGATTATTTATTTTGCTTGCCCTGGTGGGCTCTGTGTTATCTTTTGACGTGCTTAAGTGAGTCTGTGACCTTGGTCAAATCATTAACCTCCCTGAGCTGTGGTAATCAATAGAGTGGGAACAATAACACCCACTTAGAAGGGTTTTTGTTTGTATTAATGCAATACCACATGAGAAAGCACCTAATGTAATTCTTGACAGATGATGAGCACCAGATAAAGGTTGCTTGCTTGCTTTCTTGCTCTCTGACCTGAAAATGGCATCTGGCACCCAGTAGACATTCCATAAATACTGGTGGAATGGTAAATGAGTGAGTGTTTGCATTACTCCCTGAAATGGGTTGACTATACAATTCTGTAGATTCTACATGCAATGTAGTTTTTGGAAGTATTTGCCTGGGATTCCAGAATTTCAATTTATACTGATGCAACATTTTATTTTATTGTAGCATAACCAAATGCTCTGAGTTAAACTCGTTGTATCATTTTCCAAACTAATTATAAATCATTGCAAGTCATGCTAACTTCTTACTAACTCCCCCAGAACTATATCGCCCTTAAGACATTTTAAATCATAGACCAAAAAAAAATTTAAGTTACTTGCAGTGTTAATATTCTCAAAACCCAAATTCCATGCCTACTTTTAATGATGATTGCCAATTAACACATATTCCAAACATTAAAATGAAGTAAAAAAGAGATTTTCCTTGGCCTTTGTTTGAAAATTGAATTTCTTTGGGAAGTTAACATTGTAAAGGTTGGCAATCATAAGAGAATTTTCGGACCCACTCTTTGAGTTTTAGGAGCCAAATAAAGATGTCTTTTTGGATTGTTTATAATCTTCAGGAGTAAGGCCATGAACCCAATGACGTTGAGAAGATTTTTGGTCTTTGTAATTCTCTTTATAATTCTCATCCTACATGTTGTCATTTGTGTGTTTATGTACATCATTATGGGATTGTAAAGATGTATAATTAGGGAGCGTTTTTTATCAAAAGGTCTAAAATTAGACTCTCAGTTCAGGACTTTTGCCATACAACACAGATAGACGTCAACAGAAGAGCCCACCCTGTGGCCGGAGGATACTTCCACACGCTGCCTGCCATCATCAGATTTTTATGTCCCATATTTGCAGTAGATAAGGAGAAGCCATCACAGAGACACTCTAAGCCATGTATTTTAACCTTGTGTCTAACTTCCTGTAAACCAGTGATTTTTTGCCTCTTTGTGGACACCATCACCGTGGAGGAATTTAACAGGCTTCCATCATTATGGGGTGATTCACCATGGCAATGATTCTCAGCAATGGGACCAGGAGGTCTTTCTCTCCCGTCTCATCATAAATTATTACTATAGTGTATAATGTGATCCAAGTCACATTTCTTGAATTAGCTGCTCCTTTGATATCTGGCATAAGTATCATCACTGAGATTATGTTCAACACTTTTTTTTTAGTGGGAACTTTCTATAAGCCTGAAACATTGATGGTCCAAAGGTCTAAGCAAGACCACCGAAGTTTTAAGACTCTTCCTGCTCTCTGGTTCTTAAGATAGTAGGAAAAAGCTATCAAAAGAAAGATAAAGAACTGTAAATTATTTGCTATTATGTAAGTATGTTATATACACATTCATCTATGAAGCAGGTTAGGAGGCTATCCTTTCCTTGTCCAGAGGGGACAACTGCTCTCAGCTGTAGCAAATTGTTGTCAGAATGTAAGATCTCTTTTGCCAGATCTTGTTATTCTCAGGTGAGATACACCTATGTCTAAATGTTGGTGACCTATTTGAATATATTTAAAAGTCTGCTAGCCAATCAAAATGCAATTTTATTTGCAGCCTCTGGATACAGTTGGAGTTATAGAAGAAGTCAGAGTAGAATGGCTCTTCCCAGATAGGGAGTAGCATGAGCAAAGCCCACATGCCTCTTTTATCTCCAGTTATATGAACGAAATTCCTCTATATTCTTATATTTGTCACCCTGAGCTATTATGTAATATATCCAGGAGTATCAAAGAATATGTCACCAGGTAAAAGACAGTGCTTAAACATAAGATTCAATTACCTTTTTGTGTGTAATTTAGACTTCTAATAAAACATTTTTCACCCTTAGGGTAAAAACATTTATTCACTGTCATCAATATACTTGCCATCTATTTTCCCCCATTTTAAGGACAGCTTTGGTAATTGAATAAGAATGCATACTTATTCATAGTTCACCCCACTCTGTTGTGCTTGGTAGTTATACAATTAAACATGGCCTGGAAAAAACATATTTTATTTTTTAGTGTGAAAGCATTAAAATTTCTCTGAATAAATCTTTTTTTTTTTTTTTTTTTTTTTTTTCCTTTTAGACAGAGTCTTTCTGTCGCCCGGGCTGGAGTACAGTGATGCGATCTTGTCTCACTGCAACTTTCACCTCCCGAGTTCAAGCGATTCTCCTGCCTCAGCCTCCCAAATAAATATCTGGGACTACAGGCGCCCACCACCACATCCGGCTGATTTTTGTATTTTTTAGTAGAGATGGGGTTTCACCATATTGGCCAGGCTGGTCTTGAACTCCTGACCTTATGATCTACCCGCCTTGGCCTCCCAAAGTGCAGGGGACTAAATCCCTCTTTTTGTCGTGTATAGCATTTTAACAGTTCAAGGACTTTCACATCTGTTGCATCATTGAGGGCCTTTTCTGAGATATTCCGTAAATAACTCAAATTCTATAAAATTGAAAATGGAGCACATTTGTGCAAGATCAAGGTGTTTTTTCTCAAGTTTTGTATGGATGATTTGAAATACTCCATCTTGACAAGAGAAAGCAGCATTCTGATGCCTTTGCTCCTGCTGTGGACTCTCCCAAAATGGCGCTTTGTCGCCAGCCCATAGATGGTTCAGAGCTAAAGCTGATTTCCCCCTGAACATTTTATAGTTTGTGATACACCAAATGTACATCCCACTCTGGCGGGTTCGAAGTCTCTATACCTACCTCGCTTTCCGCATCACATTGCACACACCTAAGAGGAGGAGCTTTTCCATCAGCGTATGTATGTGAGTGCCTTCACCTGCCAGCTGAAGTTCTTGATAAGGAAATATTCAGGGAGAGTGTTGCCAGGATCAGAGTATCTCAATTAGCATAAATTTTAAATCAGGTGCTATGAAGTCAGACACTCATGGTTTTGATTCTCATTTTAGTCATATACTAGCTGTGTGACCTTGGGCAAGTTACTCAACCTGTTTCTCCACCTAAAGAGATGATGATAAAACATTTTTCATGGGTTTCTTAGGCACCATTGATAGTGAGAAAACACTTATCAAGAGTCTGGTATAGTGCCTGACCCACAGTGAGTATGAAGTTACTGACCTTTTCCTTCCCTTTGTCTCCTTGTTATTTTAAGCATTCCTCACATTCCTGTCCCTCCAAGCTCAAGCTCGTTTATCTAGTTCCTTACCTTTAAATCCAACCTTGTAACTCAGTCTTGATTTACTCATAGATGATTGTGAAGAGAGCCAGGCTTTGGAATCTAATACACTTGGAGTCAGAATCCTTTTCTTAATAGATCTGGGACCATATGCGACTTACTTGGGTTATTTGAAACTCAGTTTTCTCATCTCTTAAGTGGGGATAATAAAACTTAGTATCACATGTACTAAGAGGATCAAATGAGTGAACATATGTAAGACACCTAGACCATTGCCAAAACATGGTAAACGTTAAACAACTGTCGAATAAATCAAAATCACTCTAGAGATAACTGCAAAAGGTTTTAAAAGCTAGTTTCAGACAGAGAGATGAAGCCTGAACTAAGAAAAGCATAACTACATCTATGCTTGCTGCAAATGTCAGTTTTGAATTGAAAGAATGTTGGGTAAGCTTGGGGATATGATATTTTGTATCACCAGAATTCAGAGGTTTGAATACTACCAACTATTTGCCCAAACCTTAAATGTGGATTATTTCCACATTGTAGTCTCTTTCTTTATACATTCCTGTCCAGATGTCTGAGCTAAAAATAGTTCTGAGGGCCCAACCTATGGCCAGAGCATCCTTCTTCACAAGTTGTACTTTGCCTCTCTGAAAGCGGACAGATTGTTTTTCCAGGACATTCCCACAGGGCAGCATTGGAAGAAAATCCACCCTCTCTCTGGTCTACCACCACTAAACCAGAGGTCAGCAAACTTTTCCTCAGTAGGGCCAGATAGTAAATAATTTAGGTTTTGTGGGCCACATATATTCCCTGTAGCACATTTTTCTTTGTCGTTTGTATTTTAAGTAACTTTTTAAAAATGTAAAAGCTAATCTTAGAGAAAAATAGGCCATAGGTCACACTGGGCCCAGAGATCATAGTTTTCTGACCTCTGCTCTAGAGTTTAGAAGGGAGAGAGAGAAGGAAGAAGGGTGGCTTGAAACCTTCATGAACTAATGCCTTCCTTTAGGGAAAAGGAAGAATAACCACCCTCGTTTTAAAAAAATATTAAAGACATGAAGTTAGCACCTTTGCTTGTATGGTACAACTATATTGTCTAGTCGGTTTTTTAGTTGTTTTATAGTGAGACCTCATCACACTGCTGTTTTTCATTGGAAACTGATGAGGAACATTGTAAAGCAGATGGAGCACAGACTGTAGAAATGAAAAGCACAGAAGAAAGAGCTGTGTGAAAGAAATATTTAATCATAACATGAAAAACTCATAGTGGCAACTTTTCCATTATGTTAAATTTTCCTCATTTCTATGTGTTCTGAGTATGTGCTTAAAAAGCGAGGTTGTAATTTTCTATCTTTGTGCCCATCTCCCATCGGTTTTTGATTTTGTCTTTTTGCAGGACTATGACTTGAGCCAGCTGCAGCAGCCTGACACTGTGGAGCCTGATGCCATCAAGCCTGTGGGAATCCGACGAATGGATGAAAGACCCATCCACGCCGAGCCCCAGTATCCGGTCCGATCTGCAGCCCCACACCCTGGAGACATTGGGGACTTCATTAATGAGGTACAGAGAGACACTCGTTTTCTCTATAAGAGTTTTCATTTCATGCTAATGGTTAGATCTCTGTAGGCCACAAATTGCTTGGAATACAGCTATATAGTTCACTAAAACATACTTGTGTTTCTGAAGTTCATCTTGTGTGAAAGCAAATGTGGCTTCATTAACAACAAATGTAATTGCTTTGATCAACCAAAAAGAGATCTATCAATTAAGATTCTGCATTTGTAAAATGACATACATCATATATTATCAGAATTAGTCACACTGTCTCCGAGAAGGATTTTTTTTCCTAGATTACAAGTAATAAATAGACTAACAATATTATAGTGCATTCTAATTTCATTTATTAGCATTAATAAATGTAGCAGTAGTTCACTTTAATTTTCCTCACACTGTACCCTTTGAATCCCACAAATCGTGAGAATTCAGTGCCTGCCCAATGACTCCATCAAAAGAGATTAGTTGGAAGAGCTAAATTAAATATTATGTAAGTGATTTAAGGACTTGTCTAGTTGAGGAGTTTTAAGAGCTTCTGTAAAAGGAAGCTATTTCTCTGTTGCATATAACAGATATGATTTTCACTGTCAAAATTATTATGACATTCTTTATTACTGACCAAGAGTTCTGTTACATTTAAGTTTTGAAGTTCAATGATTTGTGCTGCTGCTTCTGATCATGTCTGTAGTCTTACTGTAATTCTTTTGAATTTGTATTGTGAATGTAAGAGAACACTACATATTGATGTTGACTGTGAATATATGGCAGAACTCCTGTTTTCTGGTCATATCATTGGTGTCTCCAAGATCAGAATAGGTCTCAGTGCATTACAAAGTGGAATGCATCTGTTGGATATGGCCTTCAGTCATAGGCTGATAAGACTCTTGTATCCTGGGCTTCCTCAAAATTCATATAATATTAAACATAATCTACATTAGGTTTTTAGATATACTTATTGCTTGTAGAAAAAGTTTTAAAACAAAATTGGAATAGTTGCCTGTCTCTATAACTATCCATTACTGTCTGTTCCTAAAATATATGCTGCCTTTCTGAACATATGTATTCATTTCTGCTAAATAGGTAATAAGGTTAATTTGTAGTTGACATGATTTAAAAACACATGGAAAGCAAAAACAACAGAATGCCAGTAACTCCCTTTATCCACAGAAATATGTCCTGACTTTGCCAGCTCTTAGTTATATATAGATCCAGTTAGGAGAATTTGCAGAAATTTATACATATATGCCTAGATCTTTTAGAAAAATGTAAGAGTGCCTGATGATTTTATTTCTAATTTCATGTTTGTCATCATAAGAAATTGTTGAGTTATTCTGATGGTTGTCAATTCAAGTTATAGTGAATCTTCTGACTGTAGGTTTAGGAACTGGACCTTACAATTTTTTTTTAATTTTTTTTGGTTTTTGTAGAGACAGGGTCTCACCAGCCTGTTTCCCAGGCTGGTCTTGAATTCTTGGGCTCAAATGATCCTCCTGCCTCAGACTCCCAATGTGCTGGGATTACAGGCCTGAGCCACTGTGCCCAGCTGGAACCATACTTTTTTGAAGCCAGAATTCTAGCTTAAGTATAATTTAACAAATCCTTACTAAATATTTCTGCCTGTCCCTGAAGTACCAGTGTTCTGTGGATTTCATTCCATCCCTGATACTCTTCTTTTCTCAGTGCTAAAGATCAAACAAACAGTAAGGTTTATTTATAAAGGCTATTCCTCATCTGATTCCTGCCTTCTTCTACCCCTCACGTCCCCACATTCCCTTTCTGTGCTGCAGCCCCACTGAACTATTTGCAGTTCCTCAAAAGCATCAACACTTTTGAATATACTGTAACTTCGGCAAAGCCCTTAACCTAATTGTCCATCTGCAGGACTGCCACTTCGCCTTCAGGATTCAGCCAAAACATTTCTCTGTGAGGCCTTCCTTGATGCCTGTGGGAAGGGATAACAAGTTGCCCCTCGGGTCATAGCCCTCACCAGCTGGGGTGTAACTGTCAGTATTTCTTTCTCCCACTCAGTATGTGAGTTATCTCCAGGACAAGCGCTATTTCTTGTTCATGTTTTTATAACTTAAACATCTAGTATGTTACCTAGCTCTTAGATTTTTGTCATTTTCAGGCATTCAAGTATGCACCCTGGCAAATGTGTAGGGCATGATGCTATTGGGCACCACCCACTTTACATCTGATTGAGATTCAATGGATACTGAGTCTAGAGCCTTTCATCCTACTTGTCAGATTACATTCAAATTCTGAGTTTATGTTTGAGTGTGTGTTTGTTTGTGTGTGTGTGTCTATGTCTATGGTCATTGATTTTTTTTTTGTTCTTTTTTTAACAATGACTATCTCTTCTTCAGTAGACATCTAGTCAATAAGTTTCACTTACCCAACCCTTCTCGGCCACAGTAGGAGTTACAGTAGGAATTTCCATTTGGAATTTTCTTTCTCCTAAACAGTGCTCAGGTATACAGTTTATTATGGCTGGAGACCATTAACAAACAGGTATGATTACTTATATGAAAAACCGTCTTCCAAACAACTGACTGCAAATTGACTTCCAGAATACAATCTCTTCCTAATTTGAAGATTATCTGCATATGTGAAAAATGTCTCATTGTGAAACCATCTTGAGCTCAATGTAAGATCATCCATTCAGCAAATCACTATTGAACATCCATGTGTGTAACATAACTGTGCAAGTAATATATAGATAAAAGCATAAATTAGACATCGATTCTCTTTGTGTGTATACCCTACTTTGTTGCTAGCACGATATTTGTGCAATGCAAATGTGCCAGTATCCGAAGCCTTATTTGCCAGGCATAGGAGGCCATTTGTGTCTGGTTCTTATTTGGCTTTCCAACTTCATCTCAAGGCCCTCACCACCCAGCATCTTGCAGGCTATCTACAGAGAACTCTACTTGTCATTTACAATCTCAGCTTACAATTTCATGCTGGTGCCCATCTACAAGATGTTCTTCCTGTCTAGAATTCCTTTCCCATTTTTCTAGCGTTGGGTGAAATTCATTAAGTATTTACCAACCCAGGAAGGGTCAGGCATACAGAGTATGGGTTAGACACCATCCACTGGCATCCCATGGTACCCAGAACTCACCTCCCTCAGATCACAGATCCCATGGTTCCATCCTGCCTCCCCCTGATCCATGTTCCAGGGGAGGGGAGACAGGCTTCTCCCTGGAGGGGCCAGTATGGGGCACAGTGATTTGGTGAACCAAGTGAATGGATGAAAGGATCCAATTTGGAAATTATTCTGAAAATGGCAACTAAATCCACGAGTGTGTGTTTGTGTGTGTGTGTGTGTGTGTGTGTGTGTTTTAAGAGACAGGGTCTCTCTCTGTTGCTCAGGCTGGAGTGCAGTGGCACAATCATAACAAACTGCAGCCTCAGCCTCCTGGGGTCAAGCCATCCTCCATCCTCAACCTTCCAAAGCGCTGGGATTACAGGTGTGAGCCACCACACCTGGCCTAAATCCATGAATTCGAATATAATTACAAGATAGAGAAATGTGAAGGAGAGGAGCAATCAAATATCTTCAGCTAGAAATGCCCCTAGAGTTGGAGACAGAAAATCTAAGGAGGTAGGTATAATAGAAAACAATCAAAACGATAGTTTTAAGGAGATGATGGTCAGTTCTGTGGGACTTTTAAGGGAGATGAAAGTCTAATGTAAGTCAGAAGGCCTAAGCCAGTAATAACTCTCCAAAATACCATCTAGACTCTTTCATCCAAGATAACTGTTAAGACTTGTTCAGTGTCTTCATTTACTGGACAGACAAAAATGAATACTTACTTGTAGAGTTTTAAAACAGTTGAAAGCACCTAGAAAGAAAGAAAAGCACATTTTATAAAAATATTTAAAAGGCACACAAATTTATTTATCTGCAGGTCTTATTTGATTTAGCAGAGCACCAAATGTTCCAAAGGAAGAATAATATAGTGGTGATTATAATTGGAGTGCTTTTATAGATGTAAGGAATAAGAAAGCTCATGAGAACATTTTCTAGTTTGTTTATTTAAATAAGGAATGAATGTTGCCTTGAATCTCAAAAATGATAACTTATTTCCAGTCTGGTAGGCAGAGTAAAATAAGTCACATGTTTTTGAATTTCAACTGAGAGTTTCATTCTGTTTTGAATTTTTAAACATGACCTTCAGGGAGTGAAAAGTTCAAACAAATTCATTTAATCTCAGCCCAACAGTTAGATATTAATATACCTCCAATAATTTTACTAATACTAATCCTGTGTATTTCTTTGTAAAAAGAAATAAACTTCTTTATATATATACGTGTATTTTTCTGTTTTCACGCTGCTATGAAAAACTGCCAAGCCTGAGTGATTTACAAAGGAAAGAGGTTTAATCAACTCACATTTCCACAGGGCTGGGAAAGCCTCAGGAAACTTACAATCTTGCCAGAAGGGAAGGCAAACACATTCTTCTTCACATGGCAGCAGGAGAGAGAAGTACTGAGCAAAGGGAGAAAAGCCCCTTACAAAACCATCAGATCTCATGAGAACGCACTATCGTGAGAGCGGCAGCATAGGGGTAACCGTCCCCATGATTCAATTACCTCCCACCGGGTCCCTCTCACAACCTGTGGGGATTATGGGAAATATGGAACTACAATTCAAGATGAGATTTGGGTGGGGACAAAGTCAAACCGTATCATTGTGTGTGCACACACGCACATATACACATATATCACATATACACATATATACATATATAAATATACACTTATTTATATATGTGTATATACAAATATACACATATATAAATATACACGTATTTATATATGTGTATATACAAATATACACATATATACATATATAAATATGTATATTTGTAGATACAAACATACATATATAAAGAGATTTTTATTATGTGTGTATATATGTATTCATTAGTATATGAAGTATATTTCTCTACTCAAAAGTATAAAAACCAAGTGAATAATTCTGTTAAAAGACCACCTTTTCATTAATATTGTTTAAAACTTATGGAAGCTTCTTACAACTTGCTTGAAACTACTAAAGTTTAAAATGCTTGTCTTTTTCTCCTATTAATTAATTTTAATTTCTGTTTTTTAAAATATCTCATTATGGTCTTATAGAAGTTGGGCATTTGTGTAAGTTCAAATCTAGCCATCCCACCTAACAGCTCTGTTACCTTGTTACAAGGTCAAGATCCTTGCCTTTAACCTTTTCAGTTTTCTTATTTGTAAAATGGGAATAGTAATAGAACCTCCTTTTAAGATTGCGTGAGAACTAAACGAGATTATCTTTGTAATGTGCTTCATATAGTGCTTGTCACATAGTAAAAATCTCTTAATTATTATTGGTGTCATATTAGTAACTATTACAGGTAAATTACCTTTTAGGAGTAAAAGATTTTCTGCTGTTCTCTAATTGTAAGAAAACAATTAAAATCCACTCCTTCTGCATCAAAAATTGCTTTAAGTAAAATGAAATTCCCAGAAAGAGGGGTAGTAATGTTGGCCTTGATATGTTCAGTTCTACTGTAATGTAAGTATGGTGTACTTTTATATCCACATATGTCTTAAATCTAGATTCTAGCTGTTTCTGAAAGGAATGGATATAAATATGAAGAGGATGCTGAGCAGGAAAAACTACGCCCAGGACAACAATGCATAGTTACCTTATAGAATACCTGTTGAATGTCAGGCAGTGTGTTGGACAGTGAGATGTGAATACAAAACAGCCTCTGTAGAAAGGGATGTCACAATCTAGTGTCATCCAAACAAGATGATAAAAGTAGATGAGGCCGGGCACAGCAGCTCACACCTGTAATCCCAGCACTTTGGGAGGCTCAGGCAGGCAGATCGCTTGAGCCTAGGAGTTTGAGACCGACTTCAGCAACCTGATAAAAAAACCCTCTATACAAAAAAAAACAAAAATTAGCCGAGCATGGTGGCAGGCATCTGTAGTCCTAGCTACTCTGGAGGCTGAGGTGGGAGGATCACCTGAGCCCAGGAAGGTCAAGGCTGCAGTGAGCCATGATTGTGCCACTGCACTACAGTCTGGAGTACAGAGTGAGACCCTGTCTCTAAAAATAAAAAATAAAAAAGTAGAAGGGACCAGAGAGACCACAGGAATGACTCCTAAGTCATGGTTGGGGAAAAAAGATCTGTGCAGTCGAAGTGATATTTTTAATGAGCTTTTGGATGGATGGATGGATGGGATGGATGGATATTAATCAGATAAAAAATATAAGAAGTATAATTCTAAAAAAAATGAATAAACAACATAGAAGTGCACAAGAACATGATGCTTTGGGGTTTGGGGGGATTCCCTTTGGGGGTGCATAATTCAGTCGTGGTTGCTGGAGCTGAGAATAGCTGAAACAGAAAAGGTGGGTAAACAGTCTTGGTTCACTGAATGCTTTCTAAAGAGTTTTACTGTATGCTGTAGGTTACCCAACAGCAGGCATTTGAGTTAACACCTTCCAGTTTTTTCCCTCTCTGTGTACTTCTTGTTATTTTCTTAAACTGTTCATCAATTTTTAAGTTAATTTTCTTAAATAATTGTTTTAAAGTGTTCATGCACCAATTAAAAATCATTTTGCCCATTGTCGGGGGAACTCTTTCATTTGGAAGGAGTCATAGAGAGCAGTCAGAGGTCTTACTTGCGGGAGTGATATCAAATAACGTTTGAGACAGAAACCAATAGTTTGTAGGAAAGAAGCTGGAACAGTGCTGGAGACAGGCGAAGACCAGTTAGGCAGGCTTTTTCTCTGGTCCAGGCAAGATATAATGATGACCTCCACTAAAGCAGTGGCACTAGGACTGTAGAAGACAGAATGTAAAGGAAACAGTAAGACCTCTTTTCTTTTACATCCCTCATGTGTTCCTCGCTGGATAATGTGGGTTTTTATCCTCATAAAAGCATGTCTCCGCCCATAAAGCCTGGGATCAGAAGTCTATAAATACAAGCTCAGCAAGAATTCAGCCAGAGCCAAGCTCTCTCACTCTGCAGAGAAGCCTCAGTCTTTAGAAGACAGTTCAGCTTTATCCAGAATTCAAGATCTACCTCTCCAGGAAAGGTGGAACAAGAGGATACTTTGCTAAATTTAGTCAAACCTAGAGAAACACAGGCGTTTAGTTTGTAAATTTGGTAACAGTACATCCTGTGAAATAATGTTCATATCCAAGAATAAAGGAATCCCATAAGGGAGAACCAGAAGGTTCTGTTGCCCACTGGATTTCTTCTGTACATTCACTCAGATTTCGTGCCTGTTACTGTCAGTTTCTTAGGACTTCAGTGCGATCTTTTTAGAATTACCAAAATATTACCAAGAGTTTATATAATACCTCGTTCAGAAGAGTCATATTTTATTCTCAGATAAAAATCAGTGCTATCCAAATGGAAGGGATTTAAAGTACTTAACCTGCATAGAAAGCTGGCTTGTCTAAGAACTCTTGAAAAGTTCAGTGATTTTGCCCTTTTGTAATTATTAAAACATAAGGCAATGTGCCGTGCTCTAGCATAGCACAGTGGTCTCTCTCTAATGGATTTTATGGCCTTAACCTCTTTAAAAAAAAAAAAAAAAAAACAGAAATAAAGAAAACAGAGATTTGTAAACTACCAGGATGATCAGAAAGCCAGGGCAGGAGCTAAAAAATAAAGAAAATAATATTTTTTAGACTCTCAATAGTGGATATGGGAGTTGATTATCACAAGCATTATATTTATTTTAAGGAATTGAATTAGGTGGCTTAGTCATTTGATGAAGAGTCCTGGGGTCCGTGAACACACCAGGGAAGACCAGACCCCTTCTTGTGTTTATTCCCTGGACATAGTAAACACAGGCCATCCCTTTTTTCTCCTCCAAATTCAGACACACTTGAGGCCTTGCCATTGACCCTTTCGGGCTAATTTGAGTCTTTTTTTTTTTTTTTAACTTGTCATTCTCTTTTTCTTTCTTTTTCTTTTTTTTTTTTTTTTACTATTATACTTTAAATTCTGAGATACATGTGCGGAATGTGCAGGTTTATTACATAGGTATACACGTGCCATGGTGGTTTGCTGCATCCATCAACCCATCATCTACATTAGGTATTTCTCCTAATGCTATCCCTAATTTGAGTCTTGACCTCTCCATATTTCCAGTTTGGTGTTGACATCATAAGGATTGGGCCAGGGCTCTGTGTGTATTTTCGCTTAATAATTAAATTGTGGTAAAGCAGATGACCTGAACAAAGTGATCTTAGCCATTGTCTCTGTTGTCTGTATTATAAAGCAATTGTCATAATGAAAATTTAATATTTGTTTTCAGGGACCCATTCTCCTTATCAGGAATTTCCCTGATTTTTCTTGTTTTTTCTTCAGATCCTTCTTGGGCCTACTTGTATGACCCCAAGTCAGACAATGCTGAACTAAGGCAATCCGCTGTTGGTTAAATTTGCAGTTGCTAGATCTTGTAGGGAAGAGGAGTGTAGGCTAATATGTGAATATTAACTCCACGAGGGCAGCCATTGGATCTAGCTCATTAGTAGCTGTGTCTCTACCAGTTAGCAGAATACATTGCAATAATATTAATAGATAATCAACAAATACATCTTGAATCTAATGAATAAACACAAACAAAATGAATGAAGGTGCATTCTTCGGCTTTTGTTAGCTAAGGTACCAATCACTGACCACTCCAAAATATTGCTGCTTATAATAATGAAGGTTTACTTCTTACTTAAGTTGTAAGTCAGCTGTAGTCTGTCAGTGACTCAGTTCCTGATCCATATGTCGTCTTCGTTTCAGGATCCAGGCAGATAAACTTCCCATCTGGAGCAGGCCATTCTCCTGGCAGAGGGGGAAAGGGGGATTAGTGGAAGGGTGGAAACACATTAGATAGAGTTCTTGAAGCGGGTACTTTTCACAGCTACTTACATTGCATTGGCCAAAGCCAGTCAGACAGCCAAGCCTTACAGTGTGGTTGGGAAAGTAAACCCTGACCCCAGAGAGGCTCTGTGGGAGTGTGGGTGTGTGTTCTGCCTTCAGAAAAAGAGCAGTGAATCACTGAGGGCAGTAACACAATCTACCACAGAAGGGAGTTACAAGTTTTGAGAAATTGTAGGTTGTGGTTCTCAGTCTTAGCAGAATTGCCTTGTAGCTTAGTCTAAAAATAAGATAAAATCCTATCTAAAGTTATTTATGTTGTATATATCAAAGTATTTTGCTGAAACCTGCTTTATTTTATTTTACACAGGCTTTTCTGGAGTATAAACAGTATAAAATGACATGACGAAAAGTAGTAAAGTACTGCTAAATTTCATGGATTGTTAGTAAAGAGGTACCTGGAGATGAGAAAACTGGTCATGTGTACTTTTTTCTCTGATTTTTGACGTGAGTCAAGCAGCTGCCATTTTGTTTCTTAAAATATATCTTCATCGTTTCTTATTTTTTCAAATCCCAAGGCAGGACATTTTTCTCAAAACTTAAATTTTTTAAAAATACTAACTAATATTCATTGAGCTCTACATGTGCCAGTCACTGTGGTGAGACCTCGGGTCCCTTTATTGCATTTGGTCTTTATAATAGTCCTATTATTATGATTACAGTTGTAGATGAGGTTAAGCGGAGGTCCCACAGCTAGTACTGGGGAGAGCTAAGGTGTCATCTCACAGTCTGATCTCTTAACCACTACACCATACTGATTCTGACCTTAATTTTTTTGCTCTTCTTCCCTGTTTCTCCTTTGTAACCTTGAAAGGATAGGTGAACACATGCTCATAAAAACCCATGTATGCGCTCATAAAATGCATGTGTATTGGCAGGCTTGATCTCTCAAGGGTAGGACTGTCTGTGACACATCTTAGATAGGTGAGGCCATATAAGCCAACTAGCATTTGACAAGTAGAGTGTGGAAAAAGCAAACGATTGTTTGGAGACTAATGTTAGTGTATCTAGGAGTACTAGAATGGAATTGGGGGAAAAAATTAAGTAGAAAATATACCAGAGGACCTAATACTAAATCCTTAGAAGTTTTGCAGAGCATAGAGACTCTAATTGTATATTAAAAAGCATCTGCTTACAAAAGTTACAAATATAGATAGTAGTTATTTCCTTGTTTCTTTTTTCTTAAAATTCTTTATAAGAACCAGATAACGCATGTTATTTTAGATTGACAGGAGTCCTCCTCTTTTCAATATTTATACCGTGTACAGATATTGGATTATGACATTTCTAGGATTTTTTGGAAGTTAGAAGATACCCTATTTTTTAAAATACCAGTTTACAATTAATTAATTCCACATTTTATGCTATGTTAGTCACATAAATGATTTTCTGAGTACCTCCCTTTATGTAGTAATCACATCTGACCTGTCTTCAGTCTTCCTTTGATGTCCTTCCAAAATGAGGTCAAATACAATGCTACTTTCTCTTTGAACTCCTAGCTCTTAATGCTGATGTGAATTTTTTTCCCCCACAACCTGATGGCTTTTGCTTTGACTTCATAGTTTTGTCACTTGTCATTTGCTTCACACAGTAGTAATACCTGTTATGCTAGACTGTAAGCCTGTGGAGGGACATGGACCACATGGTACTCATTT
Source organism: Homo sapiens (assembly GCF_000001405.40). Lineage (NCBI taxonomy): Eukaryota > Metazoa > Chordata > Mammalia > Primates > Hominidae > Homo > Homo sapiens. The sequence goes on along the minus strand of NC_000018.10, from coordinate 27,952,766 downwards.
GTGTGTCTCTTGTATTTCAGTGAGGTGCTTTTTTTAAATTTAATCTAGCAATGCTGCTCTATATATTATGTTATTTAAGATCCTTTCTTCTCTGCCTCAAGCAGGGCCATTCATTTCTGCCACCTGTCCAACTTATTACCCAGTTAACCCCCTCCCTTCATAAGCCTTGGCCTCCCTGAGCTTGACTGCTTAGGGTTGTTTCTTTGCACCGGAAAGATATAAGTTAATTTTTGTCCAACTTTCAAATGGTTATATCTCCCTTTTCCATGTGTTGAAAATATGGTATGTAAATGGAAATTTACAAACAAGTGTTTGTTTGATCCCGTGAATTCATTAGGATCTGCTTGTGGTTTTGTAAAGTGTAACCCTCTCTTAATTCTTTCATTCTTTGTGTTTCCAAATTGCAGGGCCTTAAAGCGGCTGACAATGACCCCACAGCTCCACCATATGACTCCCTGTTAGTGTTTGACTATGAAGGCAGTGGCTCCACTGCTGGGTCCTTGAGCTCCCTTAATTCCTCAAGTAGTGGTGGTGAGCAGGACTATGATTACCTGAACGACTGGGGGCCACGGTTCAAGAAACTTGCTGACATGTATGGTGGAGGTGATGACTGAACTTCAGGGTGAACTTGGTTTTTGGACAAGTACAAACAATTTCAACTGATATTCCCAAAAAGCATTCAGAAGCTAGGCTTTAACTTTGTAGTCTACTAGCACAGTGCTTGCTGGAGGCTTTGGCATAGGCTGCAAACCAATTTGGGCTCAGAGGGAATATCAGTGATCCATACTGTTTGGAAAAACACTGAGCTCAGTTACACTTGAATTTTACAGTACAGAAGCACTGGGATTTTATGTGCCTTTTTGTACCTTTTTCAGATTGGAATTAGTTTTCTGTTTAAGGCTTTAATGGTACTGATTTCTGAAACGATAAGTAAAAGACAAAATATTTTGTGGTGGGAGCAGTAAGTTAAACCATGATATGCTTCAACACGCTTTTGTTACATTGCATTTGCTTTTATTAAAATACAAAATTAAACAAACAAAAAAACTCATGGAGCGATTTTATTATCTTGGGGGATGAGACCATGAGATTGGAAAATGTACATTACTTCTAGTTTTAGACTTTAGTTTGTTTTTTTTTTTTTCACTAAAATCTTAAAACTTACTCAGCTGGTTGCAAATAAAGGGAGTTTTCATATCACCAATTTGTAGCAAAATTGAATTTTTTCATAAACTAGAATGTTAGACACATTTTGGTCTTAATCCATGTACACTTTTTTATTTCTGTATTTTTCCACTTCACTGTAAAAATAGTATGTGTACATAATGTTTTATTGGCATAGTCTATGGAGAAGTGCAGAAACTTCAGAACATGTGTATGTATTATTTGGACTATGGATTCAGGTTTTTTGCATGTTTATATCTTTCGTTATGGATAAAGTATTTACAAAACAGTGACATTTGATTCAATTGTTGAGCTGTAGTTAGAATACTCAATTTTTAATTTTTTTAATTTTTTTATTTTTTATTTTCTTTTTGGTTTGGGGAGGGAGAAAAGTTCTTAGCACAAATGTTTTACATAATTTGTACCAAAAAAAAAAAAAAAGGAAAGGAAAGAAAGGGGTGGCCTGACACTGGTGGCACTACTAAGTGTGTGTTTTTTTAAAAAAAAAATGGAAAAAAAAAAGCTTTTAAACTGGAGAGACTTCTGACAACAGCTTTGCCTCTGTATTGTGTACCAGAATATAAATGATACACCTCTGACCCCAGCGTTCTGAATAAAATGCTAATTTTGGATCTGGTGACTGGTTTGAACTTTTTCTTTTCTACTTGAGCTGCTTTGAATGTTGCAAAAATCCCAAGTACTGGGAACAACAGTACAAAAAGTATGTATTTGTTCTTGCACTATTCACCATTGAAACGCGTAGCATGGCAACCATGTACGGTGTGCAGCAGAGAGAATCATTTTGGACCTTCCCATCATCATAGAAGAAAAACATCAAGTGATTCAGGAATAGACCCTACTGGTGGTGATAGAAAAATCACATCCTTTACCTTCAGTGAACTTCGGTGTTAATTCTTAATATAACTCATGTTTTAATTTGTTTCTGCTCAAGTTAATTGTTCTGTTGACTGACAGGCCTTTCCCATTAGAGCCACCACCATAAGGGAAACTTCAGTAAAGTGGGTTATAGGACTGAACCTGGAAACTGCAGTGGACACCTGGAATTCTTGTGCAATTCATTGAAGCCATCGTTTTATGTACTTAGTGAAACACACTTAGATTTGACTGGCCTTTATCCATTGACTTGATCATTTGCTTCAGTTTGATATAGTAATGGTTGCAGAGGGCAACAAAAGGAAACAGTCTTGCTAAATTTTGTAAAATTGTTTATGTATCTTACTATGATTCATTCTGAATTTTAAGAGGCAAAGGAATTCTCCACTTGTATTTATCTGTTTGTTTCTTAATCATCACACCATATAGTCTTATACTGTACACATTGAAAACACTTATATAATATACCTCCTCTAACTATATTTTTTGCTTAACATAAAGGTTATTTTATATTAGACCGTGAAATTTACTTTTCTATTGATTCACTTTGTAGGCAATACTTTCTTGTTACTTTTCTAATCATTAAATGCCAGAGCTTGCCTCTGGGAATTTCCATAATGAAACTTTTACTAAATTTGCTAATCGGAATAGTCTTTTCTAAAATTGATTCTTAGACTGTGCCTCCATGCTGTTGTACATCCAAATGAAACTATATTTTCAGATTCACACATCATAACACTTAATGCTCACACCATTTAGATAAACACTGTTTAAATGATTTTCTTATGGTTGATGTACAATTCACAGGCCATATCTAGTGTGTATATGTATAAACTTTAAGTGTTTGTAAGGTTTTATATATATACACAATAAATATAAATATTAATTTTTGTAGGCATAATAAACAACTATTTTCTTTGTAAAAACATTCTTTTTATATTAAAAAAACTAGGAAACTAATAAAAAATGGAAACCCGCTGCCATGCTACAGAAGGAACTTCTGTTTAGCTGGTTGATCTAGTTTCTAGTCCTTCCAAAAAGCATTTTTACACACACATGTCCATAATGATTTTCTTTTGTTTTTATGAAAATGAGATTGTACATTATGTATTATTCTGTAAGTTGCCTTTTTTCACTGAGTGTATCTTGGTAATTTTTCCATATTAGTATATATGTACACCTACCTCTTTTTAACTGCTACATATTATTCCATAATATGAACATAATAGTTTTATTGAACCATTTCCTAATTAATTTGTTGTTCCCAATTTTTTTGCTATTAAAAACAATGCCACAGTAAACATCCTTGTGCATGTCTCTTTGCATGGGAATATTTTTCTAGTACTAGTAGAGTCTTGGAGATGGAATTGCTGGATTAAAGAATGTGGAGATAAGTTAAATATGGCTGAAATAATAAATGTTTTAGCATGCTTAAAAGTGCCTTTTAGCTGAAAGAAGACAAGGCTTTCTAAAAGCCAGTAACTTCCTCCTCTGGCAAAAGGATTTTGTGCAGCTCAAAATAGTAACCACAAAATGTAAGACAATCCAGCCAGGGCCGCCTTCTTTTTTCTTTGGAAGTTAGCTTTTGAGTCAGGCCACAATACTAGTTTAAAGTATTCTGTAAAATGACTGTAACCATGTGACGTACTAAAACCTGAAAACTATACATTTATCAACATGGTTTATGGATCCCATCCAGAAACATGTTTTTCTAGGCCATTCCTGGTAATTTGGATCTCTTCTGCAATATTGCTAATAAAAAAACATGCATACAGAGTGTTAGTACCCCTTTGAAATGGTTATTTTCAATGATAAAAGTATGTGTAGTTTAAATTTTAGTAAGACGTTGCCAAATTTCTCTAAAAACTATGCCAATGTACACTCCTACCAGCCTGTGTACAAAAATATATTTACACTCATCCTCAACAGTCCTGGACATCACACACATTTAAAAGTTTTGCCATTATGATAGGCAACAAAAGATACCTCATGTTAACAATTAGACTTTTCTGATTACTAATGAGGGGATTGGAGATTTTTTTCTTATGCTCATTAGCCATTTGTGTTTCTTTGAATTACGTATTTTATTTTCCCTGTTGAGTTATTTGTGTTTTTCTAATTAGAGCTTATATGCATTTTTTCATGATCTTTTGCTAATCTAGTAAATTTTCTTACAGAAATGTATAGCAAGTTTCATTTTTATGTGGTTCTCACTATGTTTGACTAGATTTTTGAGAAGGTCTTAACACCTTTAAATTATAAGATGATTATTCTGTATTGTTCCCATTATTTTGCATTTATCTCTTTAATCCACCTAGAAATGATTTTGTGTGATGCAGAAATCTAACTTTCTAAAACATTTCTAGATAAAGGTCTGTTTTCCAAACACTACTTGTTAAAAACTTCAGTCTAAACCCAACCATGTGGAATGCATTCTTTGCCATATACACACTTATATCACATACACTTATATCACTTATATCTGTTTTCCAAACACCACTTGTTAAAAACTTCAATATAAACCCAACCATGTGGAATGCATTCTTTACCGTATACACACTTATATCAAAGTTATATCACTTATATCTGTTTTCCAAACACCGCTTGTTAAAAACTTCAGTATAAACCCAACCATGTGGAATGCATTCTTTACCGTATACACACTTATATCAAAGTTATATCACTTATATCTGTTTTCCAAACACCGCTTGTTAAAAACTTCAATATAAACCCAACCATGTGGAATGCATTCTTTACCGTATACACACTTATATCAAAGTTATATCACTTATATCTGTTTTCCAAACACTACTTGTTAAAAACTTCAATATAAACCCAACCATGTGGAATGCATTCTTTACCGTATACACACTTATATCACATACACTTATATCACATATACTTACATCACATATACTTATATCACATATACTTATATCACATATACTTACATCATATACACTTATATCACATATGCTTACATCACATACTTATATCACATATACTTACATCATATACACTTATATCACATATACTTATATCACATATACTTATATCACATACTTACATCACAGTTGTCATATAAGCATGTGTTTGTTTCCGGATCTTCTATTCCATTGACCTTTAAATTCCTGTACAATACTCAATTTTTACACTAAATTATCAGTTCTGAAGAAGCCTCTTAAAATTTCTTACGTTCTTTTTTTCGCATTTTCTCTTGTGCATAAATTGTAGAATTATTTTGTGAAGTTCCATAACAAATTTTATTCAAAATTTGATTGAATTGTGAAAAGCTAACAGTTTCATTTACTATTCTATCCAATACTATAATATTCTCACTTTTCACATTGTATATACTTTCATGGAATTTCACTAAACATCTCATTTTATTACACTCTAATAATTTTCATTGCTATTATGAGTGGGCTCTACTTTTTATAGCATTTTTTCTAGTGATACTTTACTGCTCTGTTGGAGATTTATCAACTTTTATTTCTCCTGTTACTGTCTTATTTTACTGTTGTATTACTTTTAATAGCTTTTTGGCGATTCTCTTGGATTTTCCTGACAAACAATCATAACGGCAATTAATGACAGTTTTTTCCCTTTTCCAAGATGAATAGTATTTTTTTTTTCTGTACCATTAGTAGCAGTGATCATTACAAGCATTGTTTTATTATTCCTGACTATAATAGGAAGGCTTTGTATGTTTCACGATTATGCATAGCATTTAGTATAGATACCAGTTTATACTTCACTTACCTTGAAATTTTGTATGTACATGTTGAATTTTATAACACTTTCTTCATCTACATAGATGATTGTGTATTAGCCCATTAATAAGAGTGAATTACATCATTAATGCCATTAGATTTTCTAATATTGAATTGAACTTTCCTGGAATAAACCTACTTGGTCATAATGTTATTCTTTTAATGGGTTGATATATTTTATTTGCTGCTATATTACTCAGGAATTTTAAGTTATATGTGGTTATCTTATACTTTGTTTTTTCAATATTTTGCTCAACGTTAGTCTTAGGCTTATGCTAGCCTACAATAAGTAATTAGGAAGATTGCCATTTTTCCTATGCTCTGGATTATATACATCACAATGAACTCTCCATTAAAAATGCTCAAATTCTCCTACAATTTTATCATTTTGGGGATAGGTTTTCTTCAGTAGGAATAGGTATAATTCTGATATTGCACTTATTTTTGAACATGTTTCACAATTTACATTTTCCTGAAAAGTCTCTTGCAGAATCTAGCTTTTAAAAAATGTATCAATAGAAAATTCCATACAGTATTATCTTCATAAAATCTGTATCATACCTTAGGTTATGTTTTCTTTCTCCCTTTTTTCTTTTTTACTTTTTTCTTCATCAGGGTAGTCAAATATTATTATTCTATTAAGAGAACCAGCTTTATATTTATCGATACAGAATATTTATTCATTTGGTTATTGGGTACACATTTCTCCAAGCCTATTAATTTGTTTTTCAGATACTAATGTTTTACTTCCATTTGGTTTATCAGTTCTTGAAAGGGATTTATTAACATTTCCCATGAGCTTTTTGGATGTATTTCCAGACCATGATGATATGTGCTTAAAACTTGGATTGTAACTTTTACCAGTCCTTGCTCAGTAACTTTCAGTACCTTCAGTTCTAAATTCCACATTATTCCATATTAATATAGCCATACCTGCTTTCTTTTGCTGATTTTTTGTTTGTTTAGCCAAATATGTGTGTGATTTTAGTCTGATGTAGCATGTCCATCTCTTCATTGTTAATAACTTGAATAATTTTTCCTTCTACATTTTAAACAACATGTATGTCCTAAAACTTTCATTTCAATGCCATTTTCAAACAGACACTGTAACAGTGGATTGGTAAAACATCAGTCCAGACAATGATTTGATTTTTGCAGTTTACCTCCTTTTAAGCCAATAACAATCCTGCATTTTGAGTTGTGACCTCAATAAACTAGGCTCTCACTGGTTGTTCCCACAGCTCTTCAGGGTATCTCCAGGTCACCAGCGTGTTAATGGACCCTGATGGTATTAAAAAGAAGAGACATTCAACAACCAGGCTCCTTTTCCCTCTCATGTTTACCGCATTGTAGCTTTATGTTTTGATTTAAAAGTTTTTTCCTTACTGGGGGGAGAAAGTATCATTTTTCATATTCAAAGGAAAAGTTGGAAGACTAACTCATAAGGAAAACTGGAAGACCTTAGAGTTCATGTGATCCTGAACTGTCACTTTTTTGACTCATACAAGATGACTTTGAGATCATACAAATATAAACTACCTGACAGTTATTATCACCATATCCTTAGCAACAACAAGCAAACAGCAAAAAAAAAAAAAAAAAAAAAAAAAAATCTTCCTTCCTGGAAAGTATCAGTTGATTGACCCCCATTATGAAAGGACTCAGAGGGGAGAAAGCAAGAGCACTTCTCTTTTTTTTCATGCAGCAAATTCAGTCTTACGGGTCTTGCTTTTTCATTGATCGTCAGTACTTCTGTAAGGTTTGTAGTAAGAACTCACACATCACCATTTTTTCTGCTTCTTAGCCTAATTAAGCACTGGGTGGGTGGAAAAAGATGATGCTACAGCAGCTAAAACAAGTTTGAGAGAGATTATTTGTATATTTAAAGCAATTCCAGTACCTTCAATTTCTAGTACAACAAATGGATATGCTAACGATAGGTACAACTTAAAATCTGAGAATATATATTTTATGATTGTTTTAGCAAAAACTAAGCCTACATGAGAATTACAGTTTTTTTAGACAGGGTCTTGCTGTGGCACCCAATCTGGAGTGCGGTGGCATGATCATAGCTCACTGCAGCCGCCTCAAACTTCTTGGGCTCAAGACATCCTCATACCTCAGGCTCCTGAGTAGCTGGGACTAGGGTGTGCCTGGCCTTTTTTTTTTTTTTTTTTTTTTAGAAAGGAAGTCTCACTATGTTGCCAAAGCTGGTCTTGAACTCCTAGCCTGAAGTGATCCTCCACTTCAGCCTCTCAAATCACTGGGATTACATGCAACATGAGCCACCACACCTGACCTGATATTTTAAGTGCCCACTCTTGGATGAGGAGGCAGAAGGAGGAGAAGAGGTGAAGCCTGTTGATTAGAACATGTTTGTGAATCAGAAACATGATGGGAGACAGACATCCTTTGAGGTATTCTGTTACTGTAAGCCAACATATATTTGATATATTAGATTCATTTAATCAGGTTTTAAACTTTGGACATGCTGACCTCGAGTAATTCAAAAAAGTATTCATATATTCAGGAATTCAGGAATTAATGGCTAACTTAATTATGAAATGGATGTCAGCTTCTACAGTAATTTACTTGATCTTTCTCTGCAACTAAGGAACATTGAATAAAAAACTGCAAGTTTAAGAATGTTGACCTTTATCTTGTAGGTTAATACATATATATTTATCAGTGACAGCTTATTTTTCTAGTTTCTACTTTGTGAGAAAGGTAGTTTGCATATTGAAATTTTAGAGTTTGCTGCTTTTTTCTAATAGTTTTTTATTATATATGGTAAAGACATTTTGTTAACATCCGTGGTCAGCAGCAAAACATTGAATGAGAATATTTTTATTTTCATTTTAAATCGCTTTTATATTCAGAGGCTGATACTATTGTAATAATTTTTTTGTTTCATTTTCTCCTGTTTTATCTCCATCTTAATCTTTAGGTATCTAAAAAAGCATCAACCACCACAGACTGACGGAAATGTTTTCCTTTTGTCCCACAGTTTTTTCACCTGGAATACCTAGTTTCATACCACTGCACTAGTAACTCTGCAACCTTTGGAATAAATAAAACTAAATCAAAGCCTCATCTCTTCAGGCCTCATGTGAACAATATAAATTAAAGTGGACCTCTTTTGTGGTTGTAGAAAACATGGCCTCAGAGACTGCGTTGAACCAAAACTATGGCCAGTCTTGTGTAAACCCCTACACAGAAACCCATCCAACAACATGGATGGATTTTATTAATACTGAGTTCTTTCCAGGTGCATAGATACTGGGCTGTGGACTTGGCATATTAATTCATTTAATATTTATAGTAATTACTTCATCACGTCTTATAGACTCATCATTACTTCCCACATTTTAACAATTCTAAGATCAAGAAGCTGCATACAGTTAATAGCGTTACCCCAGCAAGGTGCTGTAGTTGTGTGAAAACTTTACGTTGATGCTTTTTGGTAACATCAGTAAAGCACTAGCATCAGAGTGTCTGAGTCTATGAAATACATATTAAGGTATATAAGGTCACTTTTATTTTTCCTGATTTCTTGAGATGGAGAAGCTCTATTAGGAGAAGTTATGTGGCTTGTCCACTGACACTGAGCTAGTCAGTGGCAGAGCCATGATTTATTAAGCCCAACTGTCTAGCTCCAGAGCTCACACTTACTTATCTCTAGAAGACACTGAGTGAAAAGACAGAGGGCTGAGTGAATAAAAGAAAGAGTGGCTCTTTTGCATAGTACCACGTGTGTATTAGTTGAACCACATAGGATCGCCATTTTGGGGTGTTCAGATAGTCAAATATTTATATACCTAAATTAAATCTTTAATTTAGTTCATTCTAAACTCTACGAATGAATCACATAATTTACAAGGAACCATAATACCCTGTGAAACACAAGCATAGAAGTGTGGGTGTGTGGTGGGGAAGGAGATGAATGGGAGACCTCAGGACAAGAGGAAACTTTTAGAAAACATAATGGTTTATTATACTCACTAAGTTCCTTGACTGCTTGCACCAAGACTGACACATTCCTAGCGTTCTTACTCATCAGTCTCTCCAGGGCCTAGAAAGCTGCCAGGCGCACTCACACAGCCACTATGGACAATCTCGTTCATACACAAAACAAGACCTACCTACCATCTCTGGCCGACATGTTTCATTTTCCAGTTGTAAGCTGAACAATTTTGGAAATCAAAGTAACATTTCCGGGCTCTGGGGGAACATGTAGTCTGCTAGCAGAAACTCATTTTCTTCTCCACTAAGAAAGATGAATCTTTTCTTCTGTTTCTTTATGCAGCATAGCTTGGATAAAAAACATTTGTTTTTCTAATATACTAACTCTTGGCCTTCCAGAGCACTGCAACATCCTCAAGTGCCTTGAGAAGAAATTAAACATGGCCAGAGGTACAGACTGGTATGATTCTCCCTAGGTTCAAATCCCACCTGTGCCCTTTAATGGCTGCATAACTTCAGATAATTTGTTCATTCTCTCTGTGTCCTTGTCTGTGGAATAGGGGACACCTGGAGCATTGTAACCACACCATTACAAGTTAGCTATTGTTATCTATTATTAGGAAGACATGTTCATGTTTATCTACCTACCTATAATTGTTACACTATAGCCTTTTATAATTTACAAAGAAAGAAAATGTTTCACTCTCAAAAAGCTTTTTAAGTTTCAGGTTATTCTCATATTTTTTCAAACATTATTTGAAAAGACTTCAGACAGAACTTCCATAAGAACTTTGTAATTCTAACATACATATTCTTTTTGCCCTTCCAGTATACACACTTATGTGGGTAAGAGAGTTTATCCTACCTCATAAAAAATAAAAAATCTAAGTTTTCTGCATTCCAGGTTTTGAACTTTTTACCATTATTAAAAGCAGCATTAAATATGTTTTATATAATTTATTTGGCCCTTATAGTCAAGTTTATGGAAGTAGAATTGTACTTGATTTCTGGTCCCAGTTTCCAGAATGCTTCAGCACCTGTTAACTTTGTTTCCTTAATTGCCAGCTCTGGAAGAATATCCAAGTACATCCAGGAAACTTGGAAACACAGAAATTCTGAAAATCGATTAAATTGCCTGGAAGTGATAGATCCTAAAGAGATCAAACTTTATTACTCTGGAGATTTTCCTTGTGGACTTTGGCATAAAAAGTGCAGATTTAATAACTCAGCTATGTTAGCAGAACCATCTATTTTAGCCTGGCTCACCTAATTCTATATCTACTTTCTAATATTTCCCTTCTTAATAGTATCATTCCTCTTAAACCCTTTGGCTGCATGTATAGGAATCTTTCAGAAATTAGGTCATCATGCAACATTAAACTTTAATAACTGGATATACAGGGCATAGAAGCAAATATATCTAATTGCTTTCGTTAATCAGAATCACATTCTTTACAAGAACTTAATACCAGTATCATCAAGTTTATGAAATCATTTAGCACAACTGAAGAATGTGAAATGAGACCATTGATGTGAAGGTATTTTATAAACTGGAAAAGGCTGTATAAATGTTAGGTTTTAAATATTAAATCAATAACTTGGAAAAATGGCATATGTATCATAAAAAAGGTGGGACTTGGCCAGGTACGGTGGCTCACACCTGTAATCCCAGCACTTTAGGAGGCCGAGACGGGCGGATCACGAGGTCAGGAGATCAAGACCATCCTGGCTAACACGGTGAAACCCCGTCTCTACTAAAAATACAAAAAATTAGCTGGGCGTGGTGGCGGGTGCCTGTAGTCCCAGCTGCTCGGGAGGCTGAGGCAGGAGAATGGCGTGAACCCGGGAGGCAGAGCTTGCAGTGAGCCAAGACAGCACCACTGCACTCCAGCCTGGGCGACAGAGCGAGACTCCTTCTCAAAAAAAAAAAAAAAAAAAAGGTGCTACTTAGATTGAAACCTCAGCTATGTATGTATGTATCTCTCCTACAAACTAAAAGCCAATACTTAGCTATCTCAGAATGTACTGATGGCACAACCCAGAGAAACAGGTCAGAGATGGAGCTATTCATTTGTTCTTTTGTTCCAGGATATGTTTGCTTGTTGATTTTGTTTTTCTTGCAGTTGCAATAATTTATTGTAATTATGACTTCTTAATGGTGAGACAAAATTATTAAATGGTGTGACAAACTGCTATTTTGTCCTTTGAAGGATACTGTCTTTTACTGTTTTTGCATGTTAAATTGATTCTTCTATTGTCAAACCTTATTTCTCACGTGACTAGTCCTCTAGGAAAGATGCAATATGTGAATAAATCATGTAGTGACCTTGAAGAATGGAGGAACTATAATGGGAGCCAAGGAGACTGAAGTCACTCATTAGTCTCAGGGTGGAAAAAACATGGCTCCTCAAATGAGCATAAAACAAAACTATTGTCCAAATAAAGCACAAGAAAAAGCTCCAAAGAGTTGGCAAGGGTTCTTTACAATAAGAGGCATCCAGGAAGGTGGAAGGACTTGATGGATAATGGTTGAGCTTATTGGCCAGTGATCCCTAAACTTACTACATATTAGAATTTCTAGGGACCTTTTGAAAATACTGCCTGGCTCCCACACCAATATACCCAAGACCACAGTCTGAGCAACTGAACCCGCCATGCAGGATTACCCAAGAGAAGAGCGAGTCTGGATTTGCCTAAAAGTATTGTTGGGGTCTCATCTGATTTAGACAGTTGGTAACCATATGGAGGAACACTAATTAAGAACCTGTCCCAGGATGGGCTCCAAAGGAAGCATACTGAGATTGAGATTAGCGTGCAGAAAGTTTATCATGAATAATTTAAGGATTTATGTTTGTGGAAAGAAAGGGAAAGAAGCCAGATTAGGTAGAGGGAGAAGTTGGGCTGCCATGAAGTGTCAACAAAGGTTCTCAACTGATACCTGAGGAAACTAGAAAACTATATTGGTCCTTCAGGGTGGTCCCAAATTGAAGCCCAAGGGTGGGGTTGCAGACACGCCTATATAGCCCAGTATAGATATGCCACTGGATGTGTGCAGCCCTAGGAAGGTTTTAGCCTTGGGAGGCAACCCTAGAAGAGGGCTGACAACTGAGGGCCATCTGCCAGCAGTACTATCAGAAATGGGAAAGCACATTTTTCAGTTTTCCAGAAGGTCCTGAGAGGCACACCATAGTGCATGCTTATTAATCTGTTTTTAACTTTGGTAACTTAGCCATTTAATGTTGCAGTATAGTAAAAACAAAATTAAACCACATAGTATAAGAACTCCCAGGAAGGAAGTCTTTGTCTAGGGAATGACTAGACAAAGAAGTCCTTGACTTATTGGGAATGAGGCAATGTGAAAAGAGGTGAGCTCAAGGGCCACATCTGCAACGCACAGGAAGAGTGTGGAGGTGAATGAAAGCAGTGATGCCTAAATAACAGCATGGGAAAGTTCGACATCAGGCCATTTTACACTCACTTTCAATGTGTCTGCAGTGCTGGATAAAAACCACCCCCTCCATTTCTACTATAAAGGTCACGTAGGAGGTTTTGGGGGTTTTGTTTTGCTGTTTCTCCTTTCGTGTGTTTCTAGTGCATTGTAGAAATCAGGTAGAGATTCAGCAGGAATATTAGTGCAGTGGGGAGTGACAGATTGAAATAGAAGTAATGTAGCTCTTAAGGACACCAAGACCCCAGGCTATCTGAAATTGCAGTTATTTTTATGACTCCCAGGGTTTACCCACAGTGATTAGTTCATCTATGGAAGAACATGTGTGCTTGATTTGGTAGCTGCAAGGAAGAAAACGTGGGGAAACTCACTAGGCCATCATGTAGAGCCAAATTGAGAGGAAGGAGCCCAGGAAATAAAAGACATGGGAAATGCAGAATGCATTCCCAAAAACACACAGGAAGAAAGAAAATTCATCTGATCCAGAAGGCCCACAAACATTCTCCTGACAGATAGAGATAGGTACTTTGTATAAACTTCTAGGGATATATTTTTAAAATGTGATAGCATTCTTTCTACCTAGACTGTAAATATTATACCATTTGAACATTTGAATTCCTTGCTAAAAATACTTTTGCTTTCCTTCGAATATCCCAATTTAGCAGGCACGATTTGCTTATACCTGCATGCTTCTATACCAGTTAATTGGCGTGTATTGTCTTAAATTCTGCTAGATTACACACACAGAAATTAAGCGATGCTATAACACTGTGCTGTTCAGTACTTGATGGTGAGGTGATTTAAAAAAAATGTAGAGGTTTCACTTTCTCAAGATAAGGGAAATATCTAGAACATAATCAAGTATAACTTACTAGAGTGAAAGGGTATAGTATAATTATTAATAATTCCTACTTAATAGTCACAAGTAGCATCTTTTAAAACTTGCTTTAATTTCAGTGCTCTCAAAAATGCTTTTGATTGAAAAAGATAATCCAAAGGTTGATTCATTTTGTTTTCCCATAACATTTTATCACCTTAAAATGTTGATGTCAGAGATAAGAATTATCTATTATAATTCACAATGATACAAGTGTATGAGGACAAACATGGTCTATAAATATGGATAATATATTCAAATTATATATTCAATTTATGAATACTATGTGGGTGGTTTTCAAAAGGTATGCTGTATAAGCCCATTCTCACATTGCCTATAAAGAAATACCTGAGACTGGGTAATTTATTAAGAAAACAAGTTTAACTGGTTCACGGTTCTGCAGGTTGTACAGGAAGCATAATGCTGGCATCTGTTTGGCTTCCGGGGAGGCCTCAGAAAACTTACAATCTTGGTGGAAGGCGAAGGGGGAGCCAGCACTTCACATGACCGGAGCACAAGGAAGAGAGAGATGGGGGCGGTGCCACACATTTTCAAACAAGCAGATCTCACAAGAACTCACTATCGCGAGGACAGCAAAAAGGGAGGTGATGTTAAGCCATGAGAAACCACCCCCACGATCCAATCACCTCCCACCAGACCCCACCTGCAGCATTGGAAATTACTTAATATTATATTTGTATGGAGACACATATTCAAACCATATCATATGCCTATATTTTTAAAGAAGTTAAAAAAATATTTTGGTGTTTTCAAAATTAAATAAAAACTTGCCTCACCATTCATAGCGGATGATTTTCTGACTATCTGGAGCTGCATAAAATCTTTCTGGAATGAAAAATAAATTATTGATTTTCTTGAGAACCTAAAATAATTGACCATTAGTTCAATTTATGTCGAAGAAAGCTTGAAATGTAGTTCCTACATCCTTGGCTCACTTATAATCCTACCATTGTGTTGTGCAGCTCACAGGCCTTTGAGAGAAATAGGGAAGAGAATTTAGAAAAGAAAGTTAGATTAGAAGATTGAGTGTGTAGGTTATTTTCATGTTATTCAGAGGTGCATATCAATGGTACCTGAGACCCTAAAATGGTGTATTAAAACGAACAAAGGGATAAATTAGCCTAATGTCATAACAATAACAATCTTTTATTTTGCACATGTTTTTGTTACTGATATGCTTTACAGAAATTATCTAATATGATCCAAACCTCAACCTGTCTTACCGGTGAGTAAACTAAGGTTCAAAAAGTATATATGTAAGTTGCCTAAAATCACATAGTAAATTACAGAGTTTGGAAAAAAAACTTAGTCATGTCTAATTCTACGATCCAGATTTTGAACCGCTACATTTTCTTTTAAATGTCTTTATTTTAATTATAATAAAATGTTCATAAAGATGGATTTTTACCTCTAATATAGCAAAATTTCAAACTTCAGTTGTAAATTTTGCATGTTTTGGTAAAATTTCAAGCTTTTAATGTATTTGAAAGTTGACCCCACAATTTCAATTCTGTTAATGTTCCCAGAAAAGAGAAATAAAATGAAATTTGAGGATGTTGGCTATCCTCATATGAAGTTTACTCATATTTTGAATATGAATGAATGTAACTATTTTGCTTGCACATCTTTTTACCAGCACATTCAGTTGGCATTACTAAAGTTTCCTTTTGAATTAGAATATCTCTAAAACTTGAGAGTGTTTTACTTTCATAACAAAATGCCAGTCTCCTACCTCAAGTTTTTTTGAGCCCAGGCAGAAATAACTGAAGTAATTCAAAAGGGAGGAGAGGGGCGGCACAGTGGCTCAGCCTGTAATGCCAATCCCAGCACTTTGGGAGCCAAGGCAGGAGGATCACTTGAGCCCAGGAGTTTGAGACCAGTCTGGACAACACAGTGGGACCCCATCTCTACAAAAAATAGCATAAAATAATTAGCAGAACATGATGACACATGTCTGAAGTCTCAGCTACTCAGGATGCTGAGGTGGGACAGTGGCTTGAGCCTGGGACATTGAGGCTGCAGGGAGCTGTGATAGCACCACTGCACTCTGGGCTGGGTGACAGAGTGAGATTCTGTCTTGGAGAAAACAAAAGGGAGGGAGGGGAAAACAGTATAAGAAAGAAAAATACATCAGCTATGAAAGTGTGAGTGAGAAATAGATGGTTTTACTTATTAAAAGGAATCTGTAGGTAGTCAGATTCACAGAATAAAGGATGCTGTGCAGTGTAGTGAAAGAGAAAGGTTTTCAGCCAGGAGCCCTGCATTTGTGTCCCAGAATCGTCAGTTACTCATGAATATGCACCATGGCATCCGCATCCTTATCTGTACAATGAGCATATAACAATGTCTGCTTGTCTATTTAATTTAAAAGGCTATTATGAGAGGCAAAAAGGAAAAGGTATATAAAAGACCTTTGTAGAATGTAAATGTATATAGATATTAATTTTGATCTTCTAACCTTGACTGATGGTTATCACAGCAATTGTTCATTAGTGTAAGTCTAAGCATTGAGTCTATCCCTTCAACTCTGTCTTCTATTGTCAAGAAGAAGTGAAATGAAAAACATAAAACCAAACACATCTGGACTTCCCTTGATGATCTATTTTCTGTCAATATTACAGTTGTGTTTATAGTGCAACAGAATAATATAGCAATTCACATAAATCAATGAGTGCAAGTTTTAGTGAAGCCTTCTTAAAAGGGCTTTGTTAAGTTTAATCCTTTAAATGTGAAATGAAAAAATAACTTGCTTTTTAATTCTTAAGAGACAAATTTAGTTGCATAAGAAACTATAATGAATAAAGAAAATGTATTTCACATTGTACTTTAGCCCAGAAAGATAGCCATTGAACAATAGAGACTGATTGGACATCTGTTGTGTGCCAAGCACCATGCTAAGCACAAGTCTATAAAGGTCATTAAGACTTGTAGTCTGCCCTCAAAGACTTTCTGGTCTAATGTAGAGATAAGTCATGTGGCCAGACACTACACAAGGCAGTACCATAGTGGAATGGACCCAATTCTACTGGAGCTATTGAAATGAATATCTGACTTCATCTGGCCTACCCCCTTGTCATGGTGATATGGTTTGGCTCTATGTCCCCACCCAAATCTCATGTCAAATTGTAATCCCCAGCGTTGGAAGTAGGCCTAGTGGGAGATGATTGTATCATGAGGGTGGTTTCCAGTGGTTTAGCACTATCCCCCTATGCTGTCTTGTGATAGAGTTCTCATAAGATCTGGTTATGTGAAAGTATGTAGCACCTCCCACTTCACTCTCTCTCTGTCTCTCCTTCCAGCCATGTGAACATGTGTCTGCTTCCCCTTTGCTTTCCTCTATAACTAGAAGTTTCCTGAGGCCTCCCCAGAAGCAGAAGCCTCTACAGCCTGAAGAACTGTGAGCCAATTAAGCCTCTTTTCTTTATCAATCACCCAGTCTCAGGTGTATCGTTATAGCAGTGTGAGAATGGACTAATACACATGGCAATACTTACTATGAGTGTGGAAGGCTAAGTTTCCCAAACCCAAGGGGGAAAAAAGGAACATTCACAAAGGGAACAGCATAATACAAAAACATCAAGGTGTGATCTCAAGGCATGTTCTGGGAATGGTCAAGTAAAGCACTGGAGGGTAGAGCAGCAAGGAATGAAGTTTGCTGGAAGTTGGGGCAGTTTCAGATCATACTCAGACCTGTGTAGTATGCTAAAGAATTTAGATTTTTATGTCTTGGGTTATAAAAAGCTGAGTAGGAATTTGAAATAAAGGAAAGATATCATCAATTGACATTCTTGAGTAGTCACAGTGGTAGTTCTATGGAGTCTGCCGGGCCCAAATAAAATCTTCCACTTGCTTCCAGTGCAGACACGACTCTGTTCCAGACTCTTGTACCAAATTAGTTAATTGATTAGTTAATTTAATTAATTACTGGTTCCAAAAATCCTGGGGTCAAGGACCAAAGAAAACACAGCTGTGTGACTATTTCATTGTATGTTAATATTAATAGGATGTTTCAATGCTTACAGAGATGATGTTTTATCTAATAAATGTATTATTAAAATTAGTATATTGCCCTTTAAGGGAGATGCTGGTTTAGAAAATAGCTGATCTTTAGGGCAAGAAAGGGATATCCTGCTAAAATAGAAAAAGTTCTCTGAAAGAAAATCCTGCAGTATCAAAGAGACAATAAACCACTCTGATTCTGATAGAGAAAGAAATCTATTCCTTGCAGTAATGGAACCTTCATTGGTTTGAAAAGAAATCTGTACCTCAAAGCAAAAATGGCACTCAGATTGCTCTCAGAATCATTTCAGAAGGCAATATGGAGTTAACTGACACAACCTACTGGCTAGTTTGACAGACATCGATACAGACAGCAGCATAAACGACCTAAAATGGAAGCCGACAGAACCAGGAAGGAAAACAGACCTTAGAATGACCATATGCATGTGAATGTGTGTGCTTCAGCACAACTGATATAAGTAAAGAAAATGGTATTAATAGAGGAATCATAATAGTATTTGGTGTATTTTATCCTACGTGTATTTGTTAGAATGAAAAGAATATAAACAGGCCAGTCATCTCACTATTTCACAGTTGTGAGAGAAAAACTGTATTTACTGGCTGATAACATATTTTCTTTCTTTAATTTATGTTATTTCAGTGAGACTGTTCACATGGATCTCAAATAAGCTCTTCAATCAAAGCTACCTAAAATTATCACCATTTGCTAATATACCATGGCCTTCAAGTCAACAAGTTCTGATAAATACTTATCGGGTTTGGAAAGTCTTAGTTAGGTATAATTTCAAATTTCTTAGAAAATATGCATTGAGGTGTCATGCCATTTTGTTTAAATCCCAAATACGTGAAGCTTGCTTTTCCTGAAACAATCATTGATTCATCAGTCAGTTTCATAGCTTAGTGACTTCGGGCATCCGAAACGGGTTAGAATTACAAGATGTTTAATCTCTCAAAGTAAAAGCCACAATGTTGGGCCTCAAGACTACTTTTCTTCTAACATAGTCAATATTTCTCTCTCTCCCTCCTTTTCTCTCTTTCTTTTTTTCCAACCTAAGAACTGGAATTAAGTATATTCAAACAGAGAGCTACTTATTGTAGCAAAATCATAATATTCAGGACATGCTATAGGGGTTCAGGAATAATACATATTATGATTTATATTGGTCATGTTGATGACTAAACAATTATTTCACAACATACCTATACATTTTATAGATGAATAGTTGAAAGTAAAGAGGACCTATTTCCATAAAGGCCGGAGTATATGATTTTGCTGAATATGCTCTTGAACCAAGATATTCTTTTGATTAAATAAATAAATTCCCTTTATATATGAAGTTGATCTTAGGTACAATAAGGAGGACATGCATTTTGGTTTGGTTTATTTAATATTACCATCAGTATACCTCCTGTTTAATGGTATGTGTTAATCCAAAAAAGAGATAAGACTTGAGATGCTGGCTTTTCATTTTTTTTCTACAGAAAACCTGGCCCATAGAGAGCTTACACCTATGACCTTGGCTTCGTGGGCACCATGATCTCAGCAATGCATCTATCATGCCTGCCTTTGGACCTAATGAGTATGAACCACATTACATCAGAGAAGAGTGCCAGGGTCAACAATTAATATTTTAGAGTTACAACTACATGTGAACCTATGTACTTGCATTTTCAGCAATATTGCAGCATAGTATTATTTATCTCTAAAATAAAAAATGCATGAATATATTATCTGGCTTCCTAGTAAATATGATTCCAAGTGGGCAAATATTATTAATATATCTGGATCATAAGCAGTAGGATTTAAAAGGCATGATTACAAGCCAAAGCCAAATCTAACTTTCCCTTAAATACAGCTCTAGATTTATTTGAATGATATTTAATTGATCATTGATAGATACTAAAAATTGATGAATAGAAGTGATCAACCTAATTTATCTCTTTGGTAAGTCAAAACTTCATATAATTAATATAAGAGTTAAAATCAAGGCATCTTGTATTGCTTTCAAAGGTCCTCCCACCATTTACATGGTTTACCACAGCAACAGCTATGTTTGTCTGACATGATTCAGCTTTCAGGCCAAAGTATATGCAGCTGATCCTAGTTTGACTCTGAAAATATGTAGTTGCAAGCAAGGCTTCAACTCTGTCATGCTCATCTCTTAATGAAGGCAACACGAACATGGAGTTATTCAATAGCCATTTTCCATCATATGAACTGAACAAAAAGAGCTGGTCTGCAACTGGAGACTCAGCAACTGCACAGAGACGCAGAAATGATAGGAGACAGCTGAGTTTTTCAAGGCAGGCAGTCCAGTGCCTCTTTCTCAGACATTCCTCAGTGCCAACCCCATTGCTGTGTATAGCTTACAAAAGAGAACTCTAAGTCCTTGCACTAAATTGGACTCTTTGCTTAAAACTATTCAGGTGATTTTTTTAAACCTATGACCACAGGAGTGCTAAGAAATATAAATAGGAACCAAGAAGTATTCAAGAGAAATCAAGAAAGGTTAATTGGTTCATAATCCCCAGAGTCTGGCATAGGAATTTCTTGCAAAATGAAAAGTAAATTTAATTTAAATGTTTGATTTATGTACATAATACCAGTCAACTGTCATAAAGGGATGGTAGAAAAGTTTCTAGTAAACATAGTCTCTCTTACATAAGAAAACCAAAAAATAAATATGTCATCTGACAAGGGAAAGTCAGATATTATGTTAACAGTTCACCCAAACGAAGGCATGTCAGTCTGCATGTGGGGCAGGTGGCATTAATTTCTTAGAATAAGCAGATTAAAATGAAATATAAATTTGATTCTGCTTCATTTGGGGAAGACGAGATAGTGCCTAGCTTGAAACAGAGGCACCATATGGAGATAAGCATAGGCAATGAGAAAGAGACGTGAAGAAGGCACTTTGCCAACTATTATGACTTTTAATCTGTTTGCCAATTGTGTCCTAGATACCTCTAAAGGCCTTACTTTTTTACCTCTGAGTTTTCAGGCTACAGCAAGAATATGAATATGTATAAAGGGGGATAAATGATTCAACTAAGATTTATTCTGTTAGCTAAAGAGAGCTAGAGCCAATTTCATATTTGCATTTTTATCACCACCTCTTTAAATAAGATTACATAAATTCAAAATTATCTAGTTGTTTTCCAAAACTTTTTTGCATCAAATTTTGAGTTAAATTTATATTTGAAATAATGAAAATCATTTTTCTGGGCCATTACTCTTTTATACTTATGGTATTTGGTAGAATCTTTACGTTTCTGTTTTTGTCATACTTTCTCAAAGAATATTGACCGTACAATGGATATTTTGATTTCTAAATTGAAGACTTGTGGTTGGTTAATGTCTACTCAGTGACATAGTAAGTAACTCAATGAGACATAGTAAGTTAACTGGTTCATACATCTAGCACAAATGGATCAAGTTTCATGTAACCAGAAAACACAATGAAATAGGACATCTTAATCCTTCAATTACTGTGAATAATTGAATTGACATTATATTTTGATATTTTTACATATTCATTAGATATACGTGTGATTTTCTGTCACTTTCTGGGCTGACATTGTTGAGAACTCATTAACAAACAAATATTGACCTTATGAACTGAATTTGAAAATGATACATGAAGAGTTACAAAGATGTTATCAATTTTCAAGATCTTTGCTTCAGGAAATTACATCTCAGCTCTTCACTCACTGTTATTTTTATAAACAAAAAGAAATGGTTATTGCTGGTATAATTATAGGATGCACTTCAGAGACTGATATTGTTGCACAGTGAATAAGGCACTACATAAATCAGAACTTTAGAAACAGGCAAGTTTGTCATGTTGCCTCAAGAGTACTTGTGGGCATAATGCCCTCTCCATGTGAACAACTCACTCCCATTATTGTTAACAATATTTTCTCATATAGGTATCTCAGAGAAGAAAACCATTTTCCTTTTATTGGTTGCCATTTCCATATTTCTGAGTGAGTGCCAGCTCTTTGCAGTTTAAAATAAAAATACTAATTTACATTTAACTAAAACACTGATTTAAATGTGTACAAATCTCCCCATAACAAAATGATGAGCTACTTAAGACTAACTATACTAGTTTTAATGTGAGAAAAACGATGATGCCTAATTTTGAAATGTTAGTGAATTATTGTTATTTAATTGCTCTTCATGAGCTCAGCAATAGTACCACTTCCCTATAACCAAGTAAAGAATATCTTATAAGCTGCAAAAATTTTTTACTGTATTTTTTATAAAAAGTAAACCTCAAATATTAAGCAACTGGTGACACGATAAACCAAAAAAACAAAGGTCCTATCATCTCCACTCAGGTCTTAGGACCTAAGGACCTAAGTACCTAAAAGAAATGAGATTGGTAGTGTCAAACCAATCCCTATTAGATATCAGCTAACATCAATATACCATTACACATAATTCACACGAAGAACAGCCAACTAAAAACAACTTGAGGATTGTTGTTTTGGGGACATAAATTGCTTCATCAGGTTCTTATGATTGAAAAAGATGATTTCTTCAAGTCAAAAGGAGTATTAATGACAGGCAAGTGCAACAGTTAAAAGGACAAAACAGAAGCTCACTGCAGTGATGGAGAAAAGAGAATATTTGCTGAAATTGGGGAGTATTTGTAAGCATAAAGAAAAATTGGATTTTAGGTAACTTGTCACTGGTAAAATGATGATGCATGATATGGCTGAAAGGCAAACACAAGGTATTGAAGGAGCAATGAGTTGGTAAAATAAAGGTATCAGAAATAAGTATGCAGAGGGATTATATTCTATACCCATAGAGTTTGTTCTTGATCACAAAAGCTAAGACTGTAAAATATCTTCAGCTTACTACTGCTTAAGTCACAATTTCTTCAACTGAGGAAATAATAATAATAACCATACATTTCTGTAGCATTGTTCTGAGTATTAGATGAGTTAATATAGGTGAAGCATTTTGGACAATGCCTCAAATATACAGTAAGAATTCAACAAATATAGCATGTGCTATTTTTATTATTATTATACTACTTCTTTATGAGAAAGAGAGAGCTTGGAAAATGACCACTTTCCACATGAGCAGCCCCTTACATTTATATCAAAAAGTGATAACATATTATACAACACTTCCAAGAGTGTATACGACTCACAATTTGAATGTATTGAATTACTTCTTTTTTTAAAGAAAGGCTTACTTCCCCTTTACTAAGAGTTAGGTAAATATCAATATCTAATCAAATTCAAAATTAAATATTTGTCTTTAAAAGTGTCCTTACAAGCAGTGGGTCATAGTGTGTCACTTCTCTCATATTCCTCAAAGCCTCCTGGAGAGGCCTACTGAAAATCTAAGCATTTTAACTTTGTAGGAAACAAACGGCTTTTTTGGGGGAGACAATAGCATCCTTTTATATTGCCAAAAATGATGCAAATATTTGCTCCTTTTGAAATCTGTTTTCAACAAACATTTTTGAATAAAATAACTGATCTGGGCACTAATGATAGGAAGATAAATAAGGCATGGCATATGGCATCAAGGAGTTTACAGTATATTTGGGGAAACGAGTGTATGAAACTACCTAAAATCGAAATTAGATATTGACAAGTGATTAGATCGAAGCAGAAATACATTGCTTCAGGAACACACAGTTGGGGTATCAGTCTCTGCTGGTCATGGATGGACAAAATTTTACAAAGAAAATGCTGTCTTATGGATATGAATGGGAGGATAATTGGAAATCAAGACTTGGATCACAGAAGAATGATAAAGTCTAAAGCTAAAGATTTAAAAGACATTAATATAGGAGATAATAGGGGTCAGTGGAGGTCATGGCTACAGATAAAATTACCCAAAGATATATTAGAAAACAAAGAATAAATCTAGACAGAATCCCTAATATCTGGTATAAATTGATTAATGGATCTTTGTCTTATTTCATGCAGAGGACCTGAGTGCATAATAAGGTTCATTTTGGCAGATTTCACTTTTGGTAACTGCAAAGTAGTTAATATAGGACTAACTTTCCTTTATATAATGATTCTAAACTATAGGCAACTATCAGCACTGGGGACAAATCAAAAGCAAGCAAAAACTGGAGAAGGATTGGTCTTTGAAAAAGAAGAGCACTAGGTGAGATTTTGTTTATGTAGCATTTTGCTTGAGGACACATCCAGTCCCATGCCTGGAGCCACTTAAGCATAAGCAGAAAGCCTTGGTCTTATTCAAGAAGTCAGAGGTTAGGAATCAGGACTGCCAGATGGTAGAATACTGAGAAGTCCCAGGTCAGAGGAACATGTCACAAAAATGTGTGAATAAACTTTGCTGATCTAAACATACACAGGGAGTCTCTAAAAGATTAACTAGAATTAAGAACTGGAAGAATGAGAGAAAGTTTTGTTTCAGCTATTGTTCATCACAGGAAGAAGGGAATTTAGAGTATAATAAATTGCTTGCTAGAACAAAAATAAATACATTCAGAAGAGTATAACAGAATCCAGAATCTCTACCACGTATCGTCCACAATGCTCAGTATATAATAACAAATTACTAGATATGCCCCCAAAACAGAAAAAATGTGTCACATAGCCCAGAAAAAAGCAATTAATAGTACTCAACTCTCACAGAAATGAGATATTGGAATTATTGAACAAGGACCTTAAAGTAGCTATTATAAATATGTTAATGTTTTTAAGGAAAAATGTGGAGTAATACATTAACAGATGGAAAGTATGAGAAAGAAGCAGATAGAAATTTTAGAATTAAAGATACAGTATCTGAAATAAAAAATGTCCTGATTGGCTTAATAGCATATTAGAGATGGTAGAAGAGTCAATACGCTTAAATATAAATCAATAGGGAGTATATAATTTGAAGAACAGAGAGAAAAAAATTTAAGAAGATTCTCCGTGGCATGTGGGACATCAAGTGGTCTAACATATATGTCACTGAAGTCCTAGAGAGGAGAGACAGAAAGGGTCAGGATATTTTCCAAGTTTTGTGAAATATGTAACTTGCAGATCCAGGAAACTCAGTGACCCCTAAGAAGTTTAAGAACATAAAATTGCACCTAGACACATTGTAATAAAACTTTTGAAAACCAACAATAAGGAGAAACATTTTGAAAACAGGTAGATTAAAATGACACATTGTATACAAAGATATAAATTAAGGTCAACTTTCCTTCAGGAACAATGTGAGCCAAAGACAATGGAACATCTTCAAACTGCAGAAAACTGCAATCTGGCAATCCAGAATTCTATATCCAGTTGAAATATTCTTTAAAAATGGAGGTTTCCACTTTAAGTTAAACAAAAGACCCTCTACCTACAGAAAAAGTATGGCTTGCTGAAGGCTTAGATGATCGTTAGCATTTTTTGCAATTAAATATTTTAAAATTAAAGTATGTACATTGATTTTTAGACATAATGTTACTACACACTTAATAGGCTACAGTATAACGTAAACACTATATTGATCATAGAGTTAAATGGAAAAGATAAAACTATGCATATTCTAGAAAGCAACATATGAGAATAGCTTTACAGTAGGCAGGAAAATACTTCTTAGATACAGAAAGCAATAACCACAAAAGGAAAAAAATGACAAGCAAGCTACATCAAAATTAAAATTTTCTACTCATCAGAAGATTGTGAAGAAAATGAATGGGCATACCAGCCCAGAAGAAAATATTTTCAAAATATGTGAACAAATAACTTGTACACAGAGTAGATAACTCTCACAACTCAATAATTAAATGACCAGAAAAAAATCCAAATGGGCAAAAATTATGAATAGACAATTCACAAAAGAGGACAGCCCTGGCTAGCCATATGCAGATAACTGAAACTGGACCCCTTCCTTACATCTTATACAAAAATTAACTCAAGATGGATTAAAAACTTCAATGTAAGACTAAAACCATAAAAACCCTAGAAGAAAACCTAGGCAATACCATTCGGGACATAGGCATGGGCAAAGACTTCATGACTAAAACACCAAAAGCAATGGCAACAAAAGCCAAAATTGACAAATGGGATCTAATTAAACTAACGAGCTTCTGCACAGCAAAATAAACTATCGTAAGTGTGAACAGGCAACATACAGAATGGGAGAAAAATTTTGCAATCTATCCATCTGACAAAGGGCTAATACCCAGAATCTACAAGGAACTTAATCAAATTTGCAAGAAAAAAACAACCCCATCAAAAAGTGGGTGAAGGATATTAACAGACACTTCTCAAAAGAAGACATTTATGCGGTCAACAAATATGAAAAAAAGCTCATCATTACTGGTCATTAGAGAAATGCAAATCAAAACCACAATGAGATACCATCTCACGCCAGTTAGAACAGCGATCATTAAAAAGTCAGGAAAAAACATGCTGGAGAGGATGTGGAGAAATAGGAATGCTTTTACACTGTTGGTGGGAGTGTAAATTAGTTCAACCATTGTGGAAGACAGTGTGGCGACTCCTCAAGGATCTAGAACTAGAAATACCATTTGACCCAGCAATCCCATTACTGAGTATATACCCAAAGGATTATAAATCATTCTACCATAAAGACACATGCACATGTATGTTTATTGCAGCACTGTTCACAATAGCAAAGACTTGGAACCAACCCAAATGCCCATCAATGATAGACTGGATAAAGAAAATGTGGCACATTTACATCATGGAATAGTACACAACCATAAAAAAGGATGAGTTCATATCCTTTGCAGGGATATGGATGAAGCTGAAAACTGTCATTCTCAGCAAACTAACACAAGAAGAGAAAACCAAACACTGCATGTTCTCACTCATAAGTGGGAGTTGAACAATGAAAACACATGGACACAGGGAGGGGGAACAGCACCCACCAGGGCCTGCCGGGGGTGGGGGGTTAGGGGAGGGATAATATTAGAAGAAATACCTAATGTAGATGATGGGGTGAAGGGTGCAGCACACCACCATGGCATGTGTATATCTATGTAAGAAACCTGCACGTTCTGCACATGTACCCAGAACTTAAAGTATAATAAAAATAGAAAAAAGAAAAAGAAAAAGAGGACAGCCAAATGGTGAAAAAACTAAAAGTAATAAAGGAGTTTTGTATTTAATTTCATTAGTCTTCAGGCAAATGAAAATGAAAACAATAATGGGATACTATTACATTTCTTTTAAAATAACTAACAATAATAAAACAAAATATTGAAAATGTTGGTGAGGATGTGGAGTAACTCAAAGTCTAATACATTGCTTGTGGGAATACAAAATGGTGCAGCTACTTTGGAAAACACTGTGGCAATTTCTCATAAACCTAAACATTCATTTCAACATAAAATCCAGAAATTATACTTCCATGTCTATGTCTACGTACATCTCTACATCTACTTCTATGTCCATGGCTGGCTATCTGTTTATAATCTGTCTTCCTACCTTGCTATCTAACAACATCTTTATATACATATGTGTGTATAATCACTTGTTACCTACAAAGAAAATATAGAAACTTTACAGTGGAGAAAGCTTGCAGACACCACCTTAACCAAGTGGTCAAAATTAACATTACCAATATTGGGACAACCTGAAGTCGTATGCTTCCTGACATGCTGCACCAGAAAAGATACAGCAGCCTCATTTTTGTAGTATTCCTGGCAAAAAAAAAAAAAAAGCATAACCTGTGCTTAATTACAAGAAAACATTAGACTAAGCCAAATGTGGAAGGATTTTTTGCAAAATAACTTTCCTGTATTCTTCAAACTATGAAGATCAAGAAGGACAAAGAAAGGCTGAGAAATAGCTCCACGTTAAAGGACACTCAAGGTGACATGATAACTATGTGCAACATGTGATCCTTGATTGGATTCTGGACTGGGGAAAATAGCTGTAAAGAACATTATTGGTACAATTGATGAAATTTAAGTATAAACTATTAATTATTTGTTCATATTGTATCAATATTAAATTTCCAGATTTTGATCATCTTACTGTGATTTAAAGTAAAAGAACGTCTTTTTGATGGGAAATTCACACTAAAGTATGTAGAAGTTAAAAGGCATGATGTCTCTAATTTACTCTCAAATGGTTAAAAAAACGTTTGTCAGTGAGAACACTTGGACACAGGAAGGGGAACATCACACACCGGGGCCTGTTGTGGGGTGGGGGGAGGGGGGAGGGATAGCATTAGGAGATATACCCAATGTAAATGACGAGTTAATGGGTGCCACACACCAACATGGCACATGTATACATATGTAACAAACCTGCACATTGTGCACATGTACCCTAGAACTTAAAGTATAATAAAAAAAAGAAAGATAATTGATGAATTGACTTTAAAAAAAAGTTCATATATGTACAGAGAAATGGAAGAACAAAGAGATGGTAAAGCAATTGGGATAAAATAAAAACCATTTTTAAAATCCACATAAACATTTATGGTTTTGCGTATACTAAACTTGCAAATTTTCTACAAGTTCGAAATTATAAAATGTTACCCCCAAAGTGAAATAAACATGGATTTTCATCTATCTTGTTTAGCCATCCATACCTTGCAGAAGACTGACTATAACAAATCCAAGAGAACATCATTATGGGACAAGGTAGTTCTTTCCCTTGAAGGGCAGTTGTAATAGTAAGTCTCTCCATTGATTCATTTACACATCTGTTTAATAAGCATGAAGTTAGGCTCTGGGAGTACAAAACGGAATGATATGCATTGTTTCCTACTGAACGGGGTGAGTGAATTGAATGAGCCAAGCCAGAAAACAGGCAATGAAAAAAAAATGTTTATAAGCACTAATAGAAAGGTAAGTAGAGGATATTGTAGGAGCAAATAGGAGTAACGAAGCCCTCTGTGAGGGTCTGCAAAGGTTACCCCAGGAAGAAACACCACAGCCAAAGCCTGAAGGACACAAAAGTGGGTAAGAGGATATGTACCAACAAGACAGATGGAGAGGAGGTGTGGTACTACAGGAAGAATTCAGGTAGGTGGAACAAGATGAGCAAAGGTAAGCAAAAATATGGCACATTTAGTGAACTGAAAATAGTTCCAAGCCCAGTCCCCGGAATCCCTAGGTTGTCGGAACATGCCAAAGTAGAAACTACTGTTGCCCTTGTTTGGCAGAGTAAAATAAGTCCATGCTCTGGAAAGATACTCTATAGTAGTCTGGGGTAGAGTCCACACCCTCTAATTTCACCATCTGCTCACCCTTAAAACAGTTCAGAGTACATCTCTATGAGGCCTTATTTCCTCCTTGTCCCTCATATCATTTCTGTAGCTATCTTTATCAAGACACATTACACTGTATTATAATTATTTGTTTCCTCACCAAATGCAAAGTCTCAAAGGTAGGAATTACAGTTCATTCATCTATGTTAGCAGCTCATAGCAGGGAACCTGGCCCACAGTAGGCACTCAACACCCAATACCAGTCTTTCCCTTACTCCATGCCCAGTGTATAAGTAAGTGACATATACAGTAAACACATTCCCCTGATCATTAAACAGCAGGCTGATTTTAGAATGTTCTGTCTTGTTTGTTCTCAAAAAACAATCAAAATATTTCAGAAACTCCAACCTGGCATCTCTGACACGTTTTGCAATGTGAGTGAACACAATGTTTTATTGTCCAACCATGTGTACCATTATTTTTTTCATTCAGAGAACGAGTTCACCAAAGTATACGCCACGCTGCCTTCAGGCATTCATGCCTAAGCGGCAGGAATTAATTGTGAGAATGTTCTGCCCAATTGATACCATGCTGTGGTTGCTCAATACTTATTTAAAATATCCACAAAACTTGCTTCTTTGCTTTGACATTTGAACCAGATATATAATGTTGGGCAAGTATTTTGATTCCCATACATCTACATGCCAAAGCTGAAAAATAAGGGACCTATTTTTCCCTCAGAAATGCTTCATGCCTGTATCAAAATACCAAGTTACCATGGTGATAGCTACTCTTGTAAATAGGGCAACTCTACCCCCCTATAGAAGCAAATGTAACACAAAAGGGAGGCAAAATAAGCTCTGAAATAGGGGACAAAAGAGCCTCGGGGAAAAATCTCCAAAGAGAACGAGATAAAGCCTGTTTCAGATAAAAGTCTTGGAAGGTGACAGGCATCCCCCATTGCTCCTCCTTAGAGACCATAGCATAAGCAGACAGGGGTAGGACCTTGAATATATGTGGCGAGGGGATTATGCAGTGCCCACACAGGGAGGTGGTGTTTGCTGAGCACAGAGAAACTGAAGTATTAATCATCACCATAATAACTAACATTCGCTGAGGGCCTATTCTGGGCCAAGCACCATGCTACAGGCTTTATGTGCACTAACTCATTCCACCCTCATAACACTTCCGTGAGGTAGATCGTAAGGCTATTAAGGAGACAGGCCGGAATTCCACGTCGTGCACTTAATCTCTTCACTGTACTGCCTGAAGAGTCATGAGAAAGGAATTTGAAACACCAAAGGGGGAGAAACTGGCTCTATCTTTATCTTTAGAATCAGAGTATGAAAAAGAAAGGAAGCTGATGATCAGAAAAATCAGGCCGGATCAGAGCTCCCGATCGCCCTAAGCACCGTCTAGTCCCGGGAATGGCCAGCCAGTCTGGATGGGAGAGGACACCCGCAGGGGAACCCCGGGAGCAAGTTATGGAGAAAACTCGCCGTCAGGGCAGGAGAGGAAAAGCTTCTGCCAACCGATTCTTTACTGAAACTGAGGGGTGTGTGCATATCATTTGTTTATTTGGGTGAAAGTAGCACTGGCTCTGCTCCTGTTGACTCTCAGCTATACGTCTTCTTTAGTGAACTTGTTAGCCATTTCATTTTAGTAAAATTTCAACAAATTAGTACCTTCAGGGGGATGACCTTGTGGCTTTCACGGCCATCTTCTTCACCTGTTTGAAGCAGTCTTGATTTCCTGCTGCCTCTAGGCTGCTGGCTGTGTGAAGAAAGGGGAAGCTTTCATAGGAAGCCTTCCACGCAGGCTAGAAGAAAGGTGGGAACTCAGGGCAGATTTTGGGAGATGGTGCTGAAAAAGGCGGGCCTACCGTGAGGCTCGGCCCCGCCCTGTGGCTGAGAGGACTCAGAAAAGAGCCCTAGCTTAGCAGAAACAGAATGGCTCTCAGAGACACATTCGGGACAGCAAACCTTAACCAGCCTTCAACGTTGTACTGCTAGGAATTATAAAGTGTTGTTTGTTAAAATGTCAATGCCATAACTTATGCAGACAAATGAATATTGTCCCTCAAGATAGGTTCTTTGGAAGTTTATATGCTCATTTTAACAAAGGTCCCATTGGTGCAAAGTCCTTCTTAAATGTCCTGTGGAGCAGTAGCAATCATTTGTAATCATGCCTCATGTTTAGCTCAGAATTCCATTAACCAGATTCAGCACCCATTTTAATCACTATACCAAATGCTACGTAACTTTCTTTTTGAAAATCAAACCCACTGTCAAAGAACTAAGGTTATTCTCTGAGGATTTTCCTGAATGTGTTGTAAGCTCTGAGTACAATTCCAAAAGAGGAACTCCAAAAGCATTTGATGAAGGGTCAGCATCAATGGGAAATGTGACCTCTAAAGAGGACTGCTTTAATGCAGTCTGTACTCACACGGGCGTGTATAATTTGGTAGACTTAAAAGCAATCAACTCTCTTGGAATAATGTCCTAAATAATGAAAACAATATAAAGCAAATTCATGGCTAATTGTACTTTTCTTGTGGAAGAGTTTTTTTGTGAGTTTGCTTTAATGCAAACTTTTCAATGGAGACTTTGCTTTTGGAAACCATATTATTGAAGAAAAAAACTTACAAAGAAAATTCAGACTTGCATTCATTCAAACTTGTGGAATTAAACATGTTTGCCTACATCAATCAGTATTAAATTCCTCAAGGAATAACTTCAGTGATAAAACTGTCATCAATTACTTTGATCCATGAACTCATGTGTAGTCATTTTCTAGGGACATCCAGAGCCATGAGCCATTGTGTTGCTCGTGGATATTCTGTGGTCCATTTTGTGCATTTAGTTATATGCACGTTGACTAAAATTGTGTGCATCTTATTTAAGCAATATGTTAGTTTTTTGAGAGTATCGCATTATCTACGAATGCTAATCATCTGGGAAGGAGTCTGAAATTTTAAGCATAATTAGTCAAAAGCAAAACTATGAGTCAATTACCAACACAAGTAATAAAAGTGAAATAAAATATGTTTTTCTTTATTATTACTGTTCCCCTGATATATATATATATACCCTGATATATATATACATATATATATACCCTGATATATATATACATATATATATACCCTGATATATATATACATATATATATACCCTGATATATATATACATATATATATATATATCATTCATTTCTTTATATATATATATAATTTTGGCTTTTC
Source organism: Homo sapiens (assembly GCF_000001405.40). Taxonomy (NCBI): domain Eukaryota; kingdom Metazoa; phylum Chordata; class Mammalia; order Primates; family Hominidae; genus Homo; species Homo sapiens. The sequence goes on along the minus strand of NC_000018.10, from coordinate 27,920,189 downwards.
TATAGTTCTTTGCTATTTGATATAAAAATTTTGATTGATAATAAGGCTTACCCATGGCAAATTTAACTGGATCAATATTTGCATGATTTAATTTTATCTTAATTGGGTATCTTGAGACTCACTGCAGGTTTTTTTTTTTTCTCAATATGTGCCAAGAAGTACTCTTTCCCATTTGTTCTTCTTAAGATTGTATCCACAGGCAGAAAAAAAAAAAAATCCAACTGCTCCCCTTTCTCCATTGATACCACACTCAGGATTAAACTGCATTATTGCCAAGGTTTTACTATGCTCAAATGCAAGCCAACTCACATTAGGAATCCCCAAAGGGAGGAATAAGTAAACCTAACACTTTAAATTGTAACATGGAAAGGTCTTTTTAGGAGTATTCTGATTTAATGCAATGCAATTTCAAATGGCTACAAATGAGCCTATTTCTAATGTAAACTCTTTATGTCAGAATCTCACATATTTGTATTTATTAAATCTATTCCATTGATTCAAAAATTATCAAATATATGGAAGATATAAAATAATCATGTTAACAATGAACATTCATGTATTCACAGCCATTCTAAAAACAGTTATATTAAAATTACCTTTGAAGCTTCCTGTGTGCCCCTCCCTAATCCAGTTCCCATGCTGTCACTCTCAAATGTCACCACTAGCCTATATTTTATGCTTATTATTCCTTCATGGTATCTAATAGTGTTACTGAAAATGTTGTGACCCTAAACATATGTATATATATTTTTTTCTTTTTTCTTTTTTTTTTTTTGAGACGGAGTCTCACTCTGTCCCCAGGCTGGAGTGCAGTGGTGCAATCTCGGCTCACTACAAGCTCTATCTCCCAGGTTCATGCCATTCTCCTGCCTCAGCCTCCGGAGTAGCTGGGACTACAGGCACCCGCCGCCACGCCCGGCTAATTTTTTTTTTTTTTTTGTATTTTTAGTAGAGACAGGGTTTCAGCATGTTAGCCAGGATGGTCTCGATCTCCTGACCTCGTGATCCGCCCACCTCGGCCTCCCAAAGTGCTGGGATTACAGGTGTGAGCCACCGCACCCGGCCTATTTTTTTTTAAAGTTTTTTATTTAGAAATGATTTTAGACTTACAGTGATGTTACAAAAATAATACAAAGAGCTCCTGTTTATAGTAGGATCTTAACCTAGCTTCCCCTAAAGTTACCGTCTTGTATAGTTCAGTTACCAAAACCAGGAAAATAGCATTAGAGAAATTCTACTAAACTGAACTACAGACCTTTCCGAATTTCATCATTTTTTTAAGTGGTGCACTTTTTAATTCTGTTCCTGATTCCAATTCAGAGGCATGAATTTCTTTTGAAGAGTACTGGTCAGTTATTCGGTAGGATATCTCTTCATTTTGATGTTTAAATATTTACTTATCATGAGATTGAGATTACTTTGGTAAGAATGCCACAGAAGTAATTTTGTTCATTATATCACAGGGGTTATGATGCCAGTATGTCTACTTACTTGGTTAAGGTGGTATCTGTCAGGTTCTCTAGTATTAACATAAAGTTACTATTTTTCCTTTGTAATTAGTAAATCTCCTTGGGAAGGCATTTTGAGACTATGAGAATATCTTGTTTTCCTCAAACTTTTACCCACTAATTTTTGCATCCATTGGTTAATCTTGCATGCAATAACACCTATTCAATGTGGTGTTTGACAAATGATACTCTTTCCATTCCCTTTGTTCTTCTACATTTACTAATTAGAATTCTTCTGTAAATCCTTTCTTCTTCTATACATGTATTTAATTATTTATATTAGTATTCACTCTGAATATTTATTTTATTCTATATATTCCAATGCATTGTTCATTGTTTTCTTCAAATTGTTCCAGTTTTGGTTATTAAGAGTTTCTTCAGGATGGCTTCTGTGTTCTTTTAACAAGCTCCCAACTCCCTTTCAGCAACTTCTTACCTTCTGGCACAGCAGGATGGTCCAGGTTGTTATCTTGTACATTTCTTGCTCAGTTGTGGAATCAATCATTTATCCAAGGAGTTTTGGTTCATTCTACTGAGGAATGATATTTGGATTTTGGAAACTAAAATCCAGATACTAGGTGTGTTCATTGCTTGGGATTGGTATTACTTCTAGGCAATAGACCCAAAAAACATGTGCACACACACACTCTCTCTCACACACACACACACACACAAAACCATTAGCTCATACTGATACTTCTGATTCCAGTCCAACACCACAGGGCTCATTCTAGTCTTCCCTCATTTCCTTATTAGTGGCTAATTTCTCTAAAAATGAAAAACCCGACTCTCGTTATTTATAATATATTTACCTATTTGTTTAATCCTAGTATAAACATAAATTATGAATTGTCAGTCCATACCTGAGAAGCGAATCTGTCAACAAAAGTAAAGTATTTGTGTACAATTCCATTTGTCATTAGTGTGACAGTATACCGTCAAAATACAGCTTTTATAAGTTACTTAGATTAATTGTCTTCTCTGCTCCCTTCAGTGAGGTAAAGTTGTTTATTTGTAGTACGGTTGGGTGCATTGGTTACTGTTTGTATTCCTCTTGGGTTTCCCAAATGCTGTATGATTTTAATTATCTGTTTGTTATTGGGGCATTTGAAACATGACTTTGAAGCTTAGAGTCAGGGCTACATAAATAGGGGACTTAGAGAAGTGTTACATCTTTCTCATGCTAGTCCAGCTCCACTTCCACTTCTTTGAACATCTTTCTCATTCGTCCCCCGTAGGTAATTTTCTTTTACGCACAAAAGCGGATTCATATATCTTTTCTTATATCCTCTGTTTTTACAGTTGAAGGATAGTATAGACATGTTTGTTTGTTTGTTTTGTACTTTGCTGTTTACACTTAGCAGTATAATCTGGAAATCACTTAATAGCAATACTCAGTGATCATTTGCATCCCTTTTACCACTGTATATTATTCCATTGAGTGGATGTACTGTAGTTTATTCAACCATACACTTAAGCGTGTACATTTAGATTGTTTCTAATATGTTGCAATTATAAACAATGCTGCAATCAATAACCTTGTGCATATGTATTTTTGTAGTGTTAGAGGTGTATCTTCAGGGTAGATTCAGCTAGAAAGTGATTGCTGGTTGAAAGGTAAATGTATACGTAGGTTGCCAAATTTCCCACCAGAAGGATTGTAGCAGTTTGCATTTCCATCAGCAATATATGAGAGTGCTTGTTTACCCACAGCTAGTCAACAGAATGTGTTGCCATACTTTTAATTTTTGCCAATTTGTTAAGTGAAATATGGTAGCTCAGTGTTGTCTAATTTGCATATCATTATGATCAAATTAACATTTTTCCATATGTTTCAGGGCTTTTTAATATTGTTTTGTGTGTGAATTGTTTATTTATGTCCTTTTCAGAGTTTTCTATCAGGATTTTGATCCTTTGTCCCTCAATTTGTAAGAGTTCTTAAATTACAGTCACGCATCATTTAACAACAGGAATACATTCTAAGTAATGCATCTTTAGGAGATTTTGTCATTATGTGAATATCATAGTGTGTACTTACACAAACCTAGATGATACATATAGCCTACTACAAACCTAGGGTACATAGTATAACCTATTGTTCCTAGGCTGCAAACCTGTATAGCATGTTACAGTTATGAATACTGTAGGCAATTGTAACTCAATGGTAAATATGAGTTTATCTAAACATACCTAAACATAGAAAAGGTACCTTAAAAATATGGTGTAAAAGATAAAAAATGGTACATCCGTATATTCACTTATCATGAATAAAGCTTGCAGGACTGGAAGTTGCTCTGGTTGAGTCAGTGAGTTAGCAGTGAGTGAATGTGAAGGTCTATGACGTTACTGTAGACTACTATAGATTTATAAACACTGTACACTTAGACTACACTAAATTTATATAAAATATTTTTTAATAATAAATTAACCTTAGCTTACTGTAACTTTTAAAATTTACAAACTTAATTTTTTAATTTTTTTGACTCTTTTGAAATAACATTTAGCTTAAAACACAAGCACATTGTACAGCTATACAAAAATATTTTTTATATCCGTATTCTACAATCTTTTTTCTATTGCATTTTTTTGAACTTTTTAAACCTTTTGGTTAAAAAATAAGACACAAACACACATTAGCCTAGGCCTACCCAGGGTCAGGATCATTAATATCACTGTTTTTCATCTCTACATCTTGTCCCACTGGAAGGTCTTCAGGGGCAAGAACACATATGGAGCTGTCGTCTCCTATGATAACAGTGCCTTCTTCTGTAATACCTCCTGAAGGATCTGCCTGAGCCTGTTTCACAGTTTAACTTTTTTTTTTATAAGTAGATGGTATACACTCTAAAATAATAGTAAATTATAATAAATACATAAACCAGTAACATAATTATTTATCATTATCTAGTATTATATACTGCACATAATTGTATGTGCTATACTTTTATATAGCTAACAGCACAGTGTGTTTGCTTTCAGTAGCATCACCACAAACAAAACAATAATGCACAAACATTAGCATCACCATAAACAAAAAAGTAATGCACACATACTGCTTACACTAGCATCGTCACAAACAAAAAGTAATGCATTGTGCTACAAGGTTATGATGGCCACCGTGTCACTAGGAAATAGAAATTTTTTAGCTCCTATAATCATATGGGACCACCATTGTTGACTGACATGTCATTATGTGGCACATGACTGTATTAGGGATTTAGCCCTCTGTATATATGTTGCAAATATTTTCTGCCAGTTATCACTTGTTTGTTGACTTCATTTCTGGTATTTTCTGTCATACAAAATTATAATTTTTATGGCCAAATTTATCATTTTCATTGCCTCTAGATTTGGAGTCATAGTTAAAAAGCCTTTATCTACACTGAAATTAGAGTAGGTTACTAGCTTACCCATGTTTCCTACTAGTATTTAAAGGGTTTATTTTACATGCAGATCCCTAAACCACTGAGTTTCCTTTGTGTATGGTGTGAAATATAGATCTACCTTCACCTTTTTCCAAGTGGCTAAATGGTTGTCTCAGCATCATTTATTATAAAGTCAATCTTTGTCCCAGTGATTTGAGATACCACCTTTATCATACATTGAATATACATATTTTTATATGTACGTGAGTCAATATCAGGGCTTTATATTTTATTCCACTGGTTTATTTATCTAGCCACACTCCAGTACCGCACTGATTTAATTAGTATCTTTATAATATGTTACAATGTCCAGTAGAGCTAATCTTCCTCATAGTTTTTATTTCTTGTGTTTTTCCAACTACTCTTGCATATATGTTTTTCCATATGAACTTTAGTATTATATTGACTTTTACTGTTGATTTTTTGTTTTGTTTTATGCAGGTACACTTCACTTATATATCTCTTTTGTGTACTATTCCGTTATAGAATATATCATAATTTACCTGTTTTATTGTTGATTGGCATTTAGAATCTTCCAAGTTTTTTATTATCATAACCTCAATATTTTGAACAATTTGGAGTATGCCGTTAATACTCCAAATGCAGGATTTTCTCTAAAGTATATATCTACAAGAAGAATTGTGGGACCATAGGATATAAATATCTTCAGCTTTTCTAGATAATACCAATTTCTTTTCCAAAGGAGCGATTTCAGTGTATTGCCAACATGTTTAACCATATAGAGTTTTCTTCCTATTGTTTTTATTACAGTTTCTAAAGTAATTTTATCATGTACTATTTTGTCCGTTGATGCCAGAGCCTGTAGTTATGCAGTAGACACTATGATTATTTACTAAACTGTGGTCAGCCTACCAATTCTTTGGAATTAATTGATACTAGCTTAAGTTGCTAAATATTTTGTATATTCTTTGAAAGGGACACATGCTGTTTTTTGTTGGGTGCAGCGTTGTATGCAAGAACATTAGGCCAAGTTTTTATTTAGTTATTTATTTTTTATTTTTATTTTTTTGAGACAGAGTCTTGCTCTGTTGCCTAGGCTGGAGTGCACTGGTGTGATCTCAGCTCACAGCAACCTCCACCTCCCAGGTTCAAGCAATTCTCCTGCTTCAGCCTCCCTAGTATCTGGGATTACAGGCACCCACCACCATGCCCAGCTAATTTTTGTATTTTTCTGTAGAGAAAGGGCTTTGTCAGACTGGTCTCGAACTCCAGACCTCGGTTGATCCACCCGCCTTGGCCTCCCAAAGTGCTCTTGGCCAGATCAAGTTTTTAAATTGTGGTTTTTGATTCTTCTATATCCTTATTAATATTTGGCCTTTTAAATCTACTCATTGCTGGGGGGCAGTACACTGAATATATCCTGTGATTGTGGATTTGTCTATTTCTCCTTATAGTTTTGTGAATTTTACTACATATATATATTTCATGGTTATGTTGTTTGACACATATAAGCTTACAGTTATTTAGCACTGAACATTGGACTCTTTGTAGTGACCTTCCTTATTGCTACTAATGATAATCTTCACTTTTAGAATGAAAACCTGGAGGTCGGCACTGTGCTTCAGAGGGATAGCCTGGCAAACTTTCTAGTTATAAATTGAGGAACAGACAATGGAGTTCTTAAAGCAGAGAAAGTGTCAGAAATCCCACTAGTTTTTCATCTCCTTTTTCTCCAGTCTTTCGCAGTTCAGATTCCAACCATTCTACAGTAGTAGCCACAGCAAAAATAAACCAGCAAGAGGAGATTATGAGAGCCCAAACTCTGAAAGAGGAAAAACTTCTAACAGTAAAGCTGCAGTTCCAAGATGATGAGGCCAAACTCTATTGCTTTTTTCTTTCTCTTTCTGTCTTCAATTGCTATAGTGAAATAGTGGAAACGTCAGATTTCTAGTCAGAGAACTAAATAGAAGAGCTTCAGGAAATCAAAGAGTACTGGATATATAGCAGAGGTGAAGAAGTTAGAGAAAACAACTCCACTTGTAAACTTTTGAACTCACTCCAATATAGGAATGAATGTTTTTGATACTAATTGGCATCCAAAGACTTTGAGAATGAATCTAAGAGATAAACCTCCAACCAGGACAAAGCGACTTGGGTGGCATGGATCTAGATAACACTGCAAAGGTTTTGAAAACTGAACTGATAATGGAACCATAGCCCACAGAAGGCTGGTGGAAACTTGCCTGTTGAACTGAATCAGGTAGTGCCTCTTAAAACAAAACATCAACATCCTCCATGGGATTTAAATGAGACCCGTAGTCTCAGAACATAATATTCAGGCTATCCTTGGCTACAATCTGGAAGTACTTGGCATAGCAAGAATTATGAAATTGCAACTTGTATGGGAAAAGACAAGTGATTCCGATGATGAGATGACATGATGTTTTAATTATCTGACAGATCTTCGAAACAAAACTTAAAAGAGAAACTTTTCACAACAAAATAGCAGATACAAGGAAGAATCAAATACAAATTTTAGAAATTAAAAACACAATAACTAGAAAGAAAAACTCACTGACTGGACTTAAATGAAAGTGACAGAGGAAAGATGGTGAACCTAAAGGTAAATGAATAGAAATTATCTAATTGGAAAACAGAAAAAAATAAGAGTTTCAGGGACCAACAAAAAGTCTAACACATGTGTCATCAGCATTGTAGAAAAAGGAGAATGAATGAGGTGCTAAAGGAAAATATTTGAAGAAACATTTGCCAAAAAGTTCTTAAATTTGGTGAAAGGCATATGCCTACAAATTGAAGAAGCTGAATTAGCCCCCAAAAAGAATAAAACTCAAATAATAATTCCCAGATGCACCATAATCAAATTTCTAAAAGTTAAACACAAAGAAAAAGATACTGAAAGAGGTTAGAAAAAAATAATAGAACACTCCACTTAATAGCAGAAAAATAAACTTTTCAATTTTACATAGAATATTCACCAAGGTGAACCATAAGCTGGGTCATAAATTAAATCTTTACATTTTTAGAAAAATTCAAATCATGCAAAGCATGTTCTCTGATCATACTAAAATAAAATTAAAAATAAATAACAGAAGAATAAGAGGAAAATCTCTAAAATGTATAAAGTAAACAATATACGGCTAAATAATCCACAGGCAAATGAAAGTCTCAAAAAAAATTTGAAACTATCTTGAACTGAATGAAAATAAAAATACAACATATGCAAATTTGTGGAATATAGCTTAAGCTGTGTTTAGAAAGAAATGTGTAGCATTATATGTTTAGATTAGAGAAGAAAATGAACTAAAATATATAATTTAGGTTTACACCTTAAGAAAGTAGAAAAGGAAGAGCAAAATAAATCCAAGTCAAGCAGAAAAAGGAAGAAACAGTTATCTATTAGAATAGATAATGAATAAATAGTAAAGAAATTGAACACAGAAAAAAAATAGAGCTAATCGATGAAACCAAAAGTTGGTTCTTTGAAAAGATCAATAAATGGCAGATCATGCTGAGTCACACATCACCCTTGTGGGTCTTTCTTAAAGACCTTGGCCCAAGCCTACTTCAGATGCTTGCTCTCAGGAAAGGCCAGTAGTTGTGGTAGTCCATGTGATTCTCTAAGTGGCTGCCTTCCATAGTGCAACATGATTTCTATTAGTGATTCTTAACCTTAGGTGCAATGCTTTCTTTTATAACATTATGTGCATCCTTTACTGTCATAAAATTAAGATATGGGTGGTATAAGTTACATGTGTTAGTCGTACAAAAATGAAACATAATGCTTAAAAGTAACATGGAAAAAAATGAATTAAAAATCTGTATATAATCTTTTCTTTAGGGGAAAAATTGACAAACCTCTAATAAATCAGAAGAGAGAGAGAGAAGATACAAATTACCAATATCAGTATTAAAGAAGGCATATCACCATATATCCTACAACATTAAAAGGACAATAAAAGTGTAATATAAACAAATCTACATACATAAATTTAACAACTTAGATGAACTGGATTCATTTCTTGAAACCATAAGCTACCAAAACTCCTTGTAGATGAAAGATAACCTAAATAAACTGAATAGTCCTTTGACACTTAAGAAAATTAAAGCCACAGTTGAAAACTTTCTGAAAAAGAAGTCTTATGTCCTAGATGGTTTCACAGGCAAATTATACAAAAAAAAAAAAAAGACGTCTCTTCCAGAAAATGCTAGGGGAGGAAACACTTCTCAATGCATTTTACAAGGTTAACATTACCCTGGTACCAAATCAGACAAAGATAGTACAAATAAAGAAATATTCCTCATGAACATTGATGCAAAAATCCTCAAAAACACTTGTAAATTTAATAACAGAAATATATAGAAATAACAATACACTATGGACAAATGACGATTATTCCAGGAATGCAAGGCTGGTTCAATATTAAAAAATGAATCAATGCAATGTATTATATTAGCAGTCTAAAGAAGAAACACCACGTTATCATATCAAATAATACACAAAAACTATTAGACAAAATTCAGCACCCACTCATGATAACAACTCTCAAGAAAAAACAAATGGAAGGTGCTATAGTTTGATTATTTTTGTTGCCTCCAAAATTCATGCTCAGTATTAGTCCCTTCCAAAATCCAATTGTGGCCAATGTGATACTTTAAGAAGTGAGGTCTTTAAGAGATGATTACACCATGAGTGCTCCTCCCTTATTCATGGTACTAAGACTCTTATAAAAGAGGTTTCGTGCAACATTCAGCGCTTCCGCCTTCTGCTATGTGAGGACACAGCAAAAAGACCCTCACCAGATGCTGGCATCTTTATCTTGGACTTCCCCACCTCCAAAACTGTGAGAAATAAATTTCTTTTCTTTATAAATTACCCAGTCTCAGGTATTCTGTTGTAGCAGCACAAATAGACTAAGTCAGAATGGTATTTCCTCCACCCAACAGAGAATATCTGAAAAAAAAAAAAAAACCTAGATTATTTTCTTATTATCTTTACAGATTCTTTTTATTATTATCTTACTCTGTCATGCAGTGGCATGATCATAGCTCACAGCAGCCTTGAACTCGTGAGCATTCCTCCTGCCTTAGTATCCTGTGAAGTTACGGTTACAGGCATGCCTTCATTGTAGGCTATTTTTTTTTTAATGTTTTGTAGAGATGGTCTTGCTTTGTTGCCAGGCTGGTCTTAAACCCCTGGCTTCAAGCAATCCTCCTGCATCAGCCTCCCAAAGTCTTGGGATTAACAGGGGTGAGCCACTGTGCCTGATCTCCTTATTTTTATTTTTATTTATTTGAAACAGAGTTTTGCACTGTCTTCCAGGCTGGAGTGCAACAGTGTGATCTCGGCTCACTGCAATCTCTGCCTCCTGGGTTCTCACAATTCTTCTGCTTCAACCTCCCAAGTAGCTGGAATTACAGGCACACACCACTATGTCCAGCTAATTTTTTGTATTTTTAGTAGAGGCAGCATTTCACTATGTTGGCCAGACTGGTCTCGAACTCCTGACCTCGTGATCCACTTGCCTCCCAAAGTGCTGAGATTATAGGCATGAGCCACCATGCCTGGCCAATCTCCTTATTTTTAATGGTGAAAGTCTAAATGTGTTCTTTCTAAAATTGGGACAAGGCAAGAATGTTCATACCACTACTAGTCAACATAATAATGAAAATCCTGACCAATGAAATAAGACAAGAAGAAAAAATGAATATCATACAGAGGGTTGCAAAGGGAGAAGTAATACTATCTCTATTTACAGATGGCATAATGGTCTTCATAGAAAATCTCAAGGAGTCTTCATAGAAAAATAGTATTAGGACTGGTAAGTAAGTTTTACAAGGTCTGTAAGAGAATGAAAAACAAGTTCCAAACTGGGAGATAATATTTGCAAATCACATATTTAACAAAAAGCTTGTATGCAGAATATAAAAAGAACTGCCAAACTCAACAAGAAAGCAAGAAAAATTAAAAAGACAACAAAGTTAAAAATGGAGAAAGAACTTGAAAAGAGGGTATGAGTTTGAGAAATAAGGACATGAAAAGGTGTTCAACATCATTAGCCACTACAGACATGCAAATTAAAACTATGATGGGATACAATTACACACTTAAGTAGCTAAGTTTAGTAGCTTAGTTTAAACTCAACTGAGTAATTTAGTTTATTATAGTAGCTAAAATAAACAATCCTGACAATACCAAGTGTTGGTAAAGGTACAGAGCAATTAAAACTCTCATACCTTACTGGTGAAAATGAAAAATGGTGTATCAACTTTGAAAAATACTTTGGAAGATTTTTATAGTTAAATATACACTACTTTATCCTATTCTTGGGTTTTTACTTGAGAAAAGTGAACTGATGTTCACACAAATGTTTATACCAGCTCTGTTAATAATTTCCCATAACTGGAATTAACCTCAATGTCCTTCCTTGGAAAAATGGGCCAACAAATTGTTCTATAGTCATATAATGTATGATACTGTGAAATATATATTTGTTCTTTCTTCCCATTTCCTGGCATACAGCTCCTAAAATTCTTGGAATCGCTAAAGTGATGAGTATCTTCCGTATGCTAAATAAGATGACTGATGATTGGAGGCCCCTTCTTTGCTTCAGGATGGGGCTGGTTGCCAGAAAGACCACAATATGATTAGCGCATTGGCACTTAGATTTTTATTGCCCAACTTCTGGGGAAGGGAGATGGGCTGAAGATTGGGTTGATTACCAATAGCCACTGATTGAATCAATCATGCCTACATAATGGAGCCTCTATAAAATCCCAAAAGTACTGGGTTCATGGAGCTTCTGGATAGCTGAACATGGAGATGGGCCAGGGGATGGTGTGCTTGGAGAAAGCATGGAAGCTCCATACCCTTTCTCCCATACCCTAAGTATCTCTTCCATCTAGCCGTTTATCTATATCATTTATAACACCCTGTATAATAACTGGGCCAACATAAGTGTTTCCCTAGGTTCTGTGAGCTGCTATAGCAAACTAATTGAAGCAAGGAGGGGATCATGGGAACCCAGATTTAAAGCTGGTGCGTTACAACTCTAAGTGATAATCTACTACTTGCAACTGGTATTTGAAGTGGGAGGTAGTCTTGTGGAACTGAGCCCTCAACCTGTGGGATCGACACTATCTCCAGGTAGAGAATGTCAGCATTGAATTGAAGGACAATCAGCTGGTGCTTGCTGATGAATTGCTCAGAGTGTAGGAAGAAATTTCAACACATCAGTGTCAGGAGTATTTATTGTGCTAAATTGTGTGAGTATAGAGTTGGAAAAACACTTTGGTTTTTCCTATATCCTTATAAAATGGCATATTGGTCAGCAATAACATAGGAGCTCACAATTGATACCCACAACAACTTGAATGAATTTCAAGAGCATTATGCTGAATTAAAAGGCCAGTTTCAAAAGCTTTTATATTATATAATTCCATGTGTATGACCTTCTTGAAAAGACAAAACTATAGTGTTGGAGAATAGATGAGAAGCTGGCAGGGTTAAGAGTTAGGAGCAGATATAGAAAGAATAGAAAGGGACATCCAAAGGGAGTTTTTGTGGTGATGGAACTGTCTTGTATCTTGTTTGTTGTAAGAATAACATGAATCTGTACATGTGTTAAAGTACAACTGTATATTAAAAGGAAAATAGTATACTTTGTTTTCTGTTGTTTAGAAGATTAGATTTATATACCCCTAAATTGGAATCCAAGTATTCATTAACTGGTGAAGGTATAAATCAAATGTGGCGTAACACTATATAAAATGCTATTTAGCAATAAAAAGCAAGAATCTACTAAAACATACTACAACACGAATGAACCTCAAAAACATGACACTATGTGAAAGAAGCAAGATGCCAAACAGAAGGTCCCCACCCAAATCTCAACTTGAATTGTACTCCCATAATTCCCACATGTTGTGGGAGGGACCCAGGGGGAGGTAGTTTAATCATGGGGGCGGGTCTTTCCTGAGCTATTCTCGTTATAGTGAATAAGTCTCATGGGTCTGATGGGTTTATCGGGAGTTTCCACTTTTGCTTCTTCCTCATTTTTCTCTTGCCGCCACCATGTAAGAAGTGCCTTTTGCCTCCCACCATGATTCTGAGGCCTCCCAAGCCATGTGGAACTATAAGTCCAATTAAACCTCTTTTTCTTCCCAGTCTCAGGTATGTCTTTATCAGCAGCATAAAAACTAATACAGTAAATTGGTACCATTAGAGTGGGGTGTTGCTGAAAAGATAGCCAAAAATGTGGAAGTGACTTTAGAACTGGGTAACAGGCAGAGGTTGGGACAGTTTAGAGGGCTTAGAAGACAGGAAAATGTGGGAAAGTTTGGGACCTCCTAGAGATTTGTCGAATGGCTTTGGCAAAAATGCTGATAGTCATATGAACAATAAGATCCAGGCTGAGGTGGTCTCAGATGGAGATGAGGAACTTGTTGGGAACTGGAGAAAAGGTAACTTTTGTTATGTTTTAGCAGAGAGACTGGTCGCATTTTGCCCCTGCCCTAGAGATTTGTGGAACTTTGAACTTGAGAGAAATGATTTAGGGTGTCTAGCAGAAGAAATTTCTAGGCAGAAAAGCATTCAAGAGGTGACTTGGGTGCTGTTAAAGGCATTCCATTTTAAAAGGGAAACAGAGCATAAAAGTTTGATAATTTGCAGCCTGATGATGCAGTAGAAAAGAAAAACCCATTTTTTGCGGAGAAATCCAAGCTGCTGCAGAAATCTACATATGTAGTAGCAAGGAGCCTAACGTTAATCCCCAAGACCATGGGGAAAATGTCTCCAGGTCACATCAGAGACCTTCACAGCAGCCCCTCCCATCACAGGCCTGGAGGCCCAGGAGGAAAAAGTGGTTTTGTGGGCTGGGCCCAGGGTTCCTGTGCTGTGTGCAGCCTAGGGACTTGTGCCCTGTTTCCCAGTCACTCTGGCCATGGCTGAAACAGGCCAATGTGTAGCTCAGGCTGTGGCTTCAGAGGGTAGAAGCCCCAAGCCTTGGCAGCTTTCATGTGGTATTGAGCCTGAGGGTGCACAGAAGTCAAGAAATGAGGTTTGGGAACCTCAGCCTAGATTTCAGAAGATGTATGGAAACACCTCAATGCCCAGGCAAAAGCTTGCTGCAGGGGCAGGGCACTCATGAAGAACCTCTGCTAGGGTAGTGAGGAAGGGAAATGTGGGGTTGGAGCCCCCACACAGAATCCCTACTGAGGCACCGCCTAATGGAGCTGTGAGAAGAGGGCCATCCTCCTCCAGACCCCAGAATGGTAGTTCCACCGACAGCTTGCACAGTGCGCCTGGAAAAGTCGCAGACACTCAATGCCAGCCTGTGAAAGCAGCTGGGAGGAAGGCTGTACCCTGCAAAGCCACAGGGGCAGAGGTGCCCAAGACCATGGGAACCCATCTCTTGCATCAGTGTGACCTGCATGTGAGACCTAGAGTCAAAGGAGATCATTTTGGAGCTTTAAAATTTGACAGCCCTGCTGTATTTCAGACTTGCATGGGCCCTGTAACCCCTTTGTTGTGGCCAATTTCTCCCATTTGGAACAGCTGTATTTACCCAATACCTGTACCCCCATTGTATTTAGGAAGTAATTAGCTTGCTTTTGATTTTACAGGCTCATAGATAGAAGGGACTTGCTGTGTCTCAGATGAGACTTTGGACTGTGGGCTTTTGGGTTAATGCTGAAATGAGTTAAGACTTTGGGGGACTGTAGGGAAGGCATGATTGGTTTTGAAATGTGAGAATATAAGATTTGGAGGGGCCAGGGGTGAAATGATACGGTTTGGCTGTGTTCCCACCCAAATCTCAACTTGAATTGTACTCCCATAATTCCCACATGTTGTGGGAAGGATCCAGAGGGAGGTAATTAAATCATGGGGGCCAGTCTTTCCCGTGCTATTCTCCTAATAGTGAATAAGTCTCATGAGATGTGATGGGTTTATCAGGGGTTTCCGCTTTTGCCTCTTCCTCATTTTTCTCTTGCCGCTGCCATGTAGGAAGTGCCTTTTACCTCCTGCCATGATTCTGAGGCCTCCCTAGACATGTGGAACTGTAAGTCCAATTAAACCTCTTTTTCTTTCCAGTCTTGGGTATGTCTTTATCAGCAGAATGAAAAATAATACACTATTTTATGATTCCATTTATACAAATGAGACTTTAGGTTTCACTTCCAACATGTAAAGACCTTGGAAGTCATCACACTTACCCTTACAACAGAAAAAAAAAAAAAAAAAACTGAACAAAAAAGATGACTTTTCCTAGATTTATCAGAAAACTGATGTTGCAGGGAAAATCTCCAATTTGACATTTGGAAAGACAGTCTCATCCAGAGAAATACAATCAAGGCCTTCTTATCTAACAGAAAGCTGCTGGAGCTGCCATAAGCTGGTAAAACCACTAAAAAAAAAAAACCATGATTTTGATAAATTGCTGGCAGTTGTAATAGTCAGGATTCTCCAGAGAAACAGAACCTACACACACACACACACACACACACACACACACACACACACACACACACAAAGGTAGTCTGGAGACAGGATTCCTTTCTCCTCGGCAGACCTCAATCATTCCTCCTAAAGCTTTCAACTGATTGGATGAGGTTCACACACACAGTGAAGAGTAATCTGTTTGTTTACAGTTTACTGATTTAAATGTTAATCACATCTAAAAATATACCTTTATAGCAACATTTCAACTAACATTTGAACAAACAACTGGGCGTCACAGCCTAGTCAAGTTGACACATAAAATTAACCATCACACTGAATGTGAAGTATTACGATGGTGAGAAACTCCTGGGAATCACTGTTTTAGGGATGCTCCACACTTTTTTTTGGCTTTTCCTCCAGGAACTCCACCAGATTCTCATGGTGAAGATCTGAAAAACATTGCCTCATGGTTCTGACAAAAATAGGAGAAGAATAATTGCTACGGATTGCATTCTGTCCCGCCTACTCCACTGCCACCAAATATGTATGTTGAAGCCCTGACCCTCAGTGGAGATGAGGCCTTCAGGAGGTCATCAGGATTAGATGATATCACGAAGGTAGAGCCCTTATGGTGAATCAGTGAAATTCTCAGAAGAGAAAGAGAGAGATAGCTCTGACTGTGCCACAGGAGGACACAGCAGGAAGATAGCTATCAGCAGGACAGAAGAGAGAACTCGCTAGGAATGGAATCAGCTGGCATCATCTTGATCTTGGGTTTTTTAGCCTCCAGAACCATGAGAAATAAATATCTGCTTTTTAAGCCACCCAGTCTGTGGTATTTTGTTATACCAGCTTGAGCAGACTGACACGGTAACCATTGTGAAATATGCTCAGCACCTTCATAAACAGGCTTATGCTCTAGAAACTAAGAGTCTTAACCGAGTTGGGTAAAGGTTATACAGGATCCTACTTCAACCCCCATTTGCACTCCTGTTTTATTTCATGGAAAAAACAAAAAACACAGTCAACAGAAGTCAGGGCTTCGAAGAAATAGATTGGGAATGCTGTGGCCAGAAAAGGAAGTAGAGGATGCAGAAAAAATTTTCCAAGGCGTAAGCTCACTAAAAGACTGAGATTAAATCATAGGATTGTAGAATGCTTCCCTTCCCCAACACCTGGTCATTACCCCAACAAGGCTCCAGGAAAATCACAGAAGACAGCTGAAAGAGCTGCAGGACACAGTTTCTCTCTGAAGATTAATATGTTGGGAAGCCCAAGGTCAAGAGGAAAGACAAAAAATAGGGTGCTAGAGAATCTGAAGACTCTGTCACCTGTAGTTACAGAAATTATTAAACATAGTGAGTACTGTAGCCAGGTTACTGTAAATCCTTACACTTAGGGCCTATATAACCTCAGATTTGTTACCCAGTAAAACATGTCCTGCTTTAAAAAATAATTACAAGGCATGCCAAAAGTCAAAAACAAAATGAAACAAAAGAAAAACCGTCTGAAGAGACAAAGCAATTGTTAAGAATAAGATTGGAATGTGGCATTGATATTGGAATTATCAGACAGAGTTAAAATAACTAGGATTAACATGTTAAAGTCTTTAATGAAGAAATAAGACAACATGCAAAAAGATGAGTAAGATTTTGAAACTTTAAAAAAGAACCAGAAGGAAATTCTAGCAAGCAAAACCCTAGTAAAAGAAATGAAGAGTGCCTTTAAGAGGCTCATCAGTAGACTTGACACTGCTAAAGACAGAACCCATGAGCTTGAAGAAGGTCAATAGAAGTGTCCCAAACGTCAATGCAGAGAGAAAAAAGAAAACAACAACAACAGAGCAGAACATCCAACAACTATTGGAACAGTTGCAAAAGGTGTACTATATGCAGAATTGGAATATCAGAATAAGAGACAGAGAATGGAGTGGAATAAATATTTGAAGCAATAAAGGCCAAAAGAATTCCAAAATTAATGGTAGACAAGAAGTCACAGATCCAGGAAACTCAGAATATCAGGCAGGATAAATAAGAAATAAAACACACCAAGGCATATGACATTCAAACTGCAGAAAGCCAAAGAGAAAGAGAAAATATGGTGGTGATGGTTGTACAACTCTATTAATTTACTAGATATCACTGAATTGTCTAATTAAAATGAGTGCATTTATGTTATGTAAATTCTACTTCAATAAAGCTGCTTAACAAATGAGTCAGTGACTCCGAGAAGCATTAAAAGTAAGTGCTGGTATCAGGTAGAAAAACATTTATCTACATCAAAGAATCATTCATATTTTTCCTAAGCAATCAAGACTCCCAAGAGGTAAGTTAAAAACAGAGGCCAAGTCCTTGCGAGGTTCTGGGACAGGTGGCTTACTGAGTAGAAATTCTTGACATCACTATGCGTTTTCTATTTGGTAACTTCTTTCATCTGCATGAGGCAATGTGAATAAATCAGCACTGTATCTGTTGCGTTCAACAGCCCAACTTTGAATCTGAGTGTGTCTCAACCATGGATTTTCTCTCATTTTCAATTTGCATGTGCATTTAACATTTACTTTTCTACCTGACTGACAAATATTTTTTGGCCCAACTTAAAAAAAAAAAAGATATTGGCAAACCATCACAGCATAGGGTTAGAAGCAAAGAAGGCAAGAGGCTACCAGGAAGATAGGCGTTCGACAGGACTCATCTCTCTGTTTAAAATGCACACACATTTTCTACTTCTAATCAGTGCTTTTTCCTCTCAAGAGAAAAAAACATAGCTTCCAGAGTGAAATAGCTTCACTGACATTTTCCCTTTGATGCAATGCTTATCTACTCCCCTCTGAAGGTTTCTCATTGGGTTTATTTGTCTTATGCTTTCAACAGTTTCTCATCTGATTATTGTTATTTGTACAGCCCTGAAGCCTTTTACTCTCCAAGGGTGGGTATCTATTGTTAAGGGTTTATTGCTTGAAAAGGACATGATTTTCAAAAAGACTTTTTTCCCCCACTGGTAATCAGCACACAAATGTATCGTTGCTTTAACCTTTGTTGCCATTGGAGAGGTTTTCATGTGGGTTTAGGTTCTTTAATCCTGTAATTAGCTAGAACAATTTTATTAAGGAAAAAAAAAAAGGCAGTGAGAGAGAAAAGAATACTGTTTTAGGAATGAGGAAATTCATTCCGGGTTTACTGTCCTTCTCTGTGTAATCCTGGCTGAGCAAATCATTTCTGGCAGTTTGGCATTACAGCACAAGTACCCATGAAGCATTTGGGGTTAACCTGATATGGTTTACATCCATGCAACAAAGCAAGTTATGCAGGAAAGAGTAACTGAAATGATTACATTCAAATTGATTTATTCCATTCAGACAAAAGGGGCAAAGGGCAAAGAGATTCTTATGATTTTGCTAAATTCTTCCTTAGGGGGCAGCGAGCCACTCTCCAAATGGCTGATGCATAGGCCTGCTTGCCATACTTTTAATGGTCTGCCCAGATAAACCCTGTTAGGTTCTGTCATGTTCACAGAAGAATGCGAATGGAAGATTTTCTTCTTCTTTTAATAATAGAAAAAAGAAATGGCATGGACAGAGTACTGGGTTCAATCAAGGAGTTACACTTAAGAGAGAAGTTCCTGCAAGAAAAAAAGGAAGAACTGTAAACTTCCTGAAGGGCTTCAGTAGCATTGATGTGTAGATAAAAAGACTGTCCTCAGGCTGTGAGCAACTTGATTCATTCATTTTATCTCCCCCTTTAGAGCTAATGTGTAAATCTTACCGATAGTGCAGGACTTAAAACCTAAGATTAAACATCCTCGCCACGCCCCTGGACCTACAGATGTGAAGCCAAAATCTTGTACTTTATCCAGCAAGTACACTTCTCTTGCATTTTTAAAACAAAGTGATTCGTGATATAATCCTTAGATTTGCTTTCATGGGATTTTTGAAGGCAGTCAATTTTAGTGAAATCTACTTAAAAAATGTAAGTTAGGTAAATAATGTAGCACGAAGTAGATGCCAAACAAAATGAACAACAACAAAACACAAAACAAAATGTCACAATTTCAAAGACAATTGTATAGAGGAATTTTATTTGGGCCTTTATTTTTAATAATTTCAAAGTACAGCTCCCAACTGTGTTATTGGGACAAGTTGCATCATCTTTTTGGGACTGAGTTTCTTCACCTTTAAAGTGGGCATAATAATTCCTAACTTTCTTGACTGTTAGGAATATTAAATTACTGAATATATTTAAATGCAAAGCATAGCGCCTAGCATATAAATTATAATCTTCACTTCTATTTTCTGTACCTTAATTTATTATACTGCAAACTGGAATTGTTTATATGACCTGCCTCACAAAATTATTGTGAGGGGAAGGCATGATAAATAATGGAAAAATATTGACAAAGTCATTACAGGACACACTGAGTATTACTAGATTGCTTGTATAATTTGAATTCTAGTAGTGTTTGAGCCTGGGGAGACCTTAAAATTTCTGCCATATGAAGATGGTGAATAGACAAGAAAACATTTGGCCAAGTTATTTCACGAGCCTGTTGGTAAAAGAGCCACAACAAATGGTGACACTAGTATTTCTAGTTCCCCCATGTGATCTGAGCATATGGACAAGCACTGGCTTTTTAAGCTGACCACACTTTAAAATCCTGGTTTAGTTTGTTTACCAAAGGGCACAATGTCAAAGACATACGGTCATTATGAGCCTTTCAAGAGAGATAGCAGTACCTCCCAGGGTGTGACCGTGTTTGTAAACATCACTGGGAGGGCCCATACAACAATTCCAGGCTAGTAAGATGAGCAAACAAGATTAAACAGGGAAGATATAAAACTGACTGTGGAAATTTTGAGGATAGCAAAACTGTTGTGTGTCCTTGGATAGGTCTTTCCTTTCCCAGTGAAGTCACTCTGAGCAGATTGCCCAATCACCAAATGGTATAGCAGATCTTAAAACCAGCCTGCAGATATTTGAGCATATCGCCTCTAACTTTTTCATCCCGTTGCATTCCTTCTTGTCAAAAACACTGCAGAATATCTGTGGCTTCTTATATAATTATATTGTTCAGTCAGTGTTTATTGTTCTTTTCCCACATGCTAGAAGGTGTGTGGTGCTAGATAGTTCCATCTGAGTTTCTCACCATGGGCTGCAATTTCCCTCAAATTTCAGATCATTACCTCATGTGCTTTTGTTGCTCAGGGTAATCTTTTAGGTATTCCTTAAACTCCATAAAAAGCAATTGTTAGAAGTTTTTGTTCTTTAATTAATCAAAGATGTTCCAGGCAATCAAACAGTATTCAGTATTCATAGAATGATATTGCACATATGTGCCATAAACTAGGAAAATAAATCTTAGTTAGACTTTATTACATGCAGTTAGTGCTTTCTGGGAAAATAATTAGTGGGTTGTATGTAGGACTATTTTTCTGTTTTGTTTCTTTTTAACAGTAGATTCTAGCTTTTGTTTTAAGCATAAAGTTGCTAATGAAACTATTCCTTACAGAACACATCTATTCTCTTTGTTGATCAATGATTTCAAATCATCTACTTTCTCAGTGTTAAGGTTCTTAGTCTATTCTGTGATGACCAAACCTTAAAGTACTATTTGTTATAGTAAATAGTCTCTCGTGATAGAGAGAAGTCAAAAGCTTTATAAACCCAAACTGTGACTCAAGTCTGTGTGAGATGCAGTAATAATTAGGAAAAGCTGGCTTGCTAAATTAGTACTAAACTCTCACAACAGGCACCAGTCAATAGTCCAGACATCTGATGAGTTTAGCAGAGGCCAAGGAGAAAATTAATCACAGGTTGTCTGTAACAAATTGCTAAAGTGTATTTATTTCGCAAAACCAAAGAATAAATGTTCTAAGAATATTTAAGATAAATAAAGAGGATTGGCAAATATTCACCAGATTATCTTATCATTTTTCTCTTTACTTTAGTTTTCATTAAATTGTGAGATTCTCCTTGTATCCTGTGTGTTTAAAAGAGCGTACGACATAGTAGAGGCTCCATAAAGGACCATTGAGTTAATGAGGGACAGCCCATCCTTACTCATAAAAAATATAATGCAGGGTTTCTTTTTGTAATTTATTATACTCATGTGTCCATCTTTGTCTGTGAAATAGGTATGTTGATGTGTATGTGTATGAAGACTAAATGTAGCCGTTCCTTTACTTCCAAAATATCTACAGACTACCTATGTTAATTGTGTGGGATACAGAAATAAATATGGTAGAATATTCAGTTTTCAAAGAGTAGGTAACTGATCTCTCTTCTAATGGCCAGGAAGATAGCAAAAAGAAATTAATTTCATGGTTAAAAACTTTAAAAGTTTCACTAAACTTTCAGAGTAGGTTTGCTAGGTAAAATACAGGACACTTATTTAAATTTGAATTTCAGATAAGCAATAAATAATTTTTAAAGGTAAGTATATCCCGCGCAGTATTTGGAGCATACCTATCCCAAATATGGTATTGTCTATCTGAATTTCAAATTGAACTAGTCATCCTGTATTTGTGTATATGTGTGCTCACTAAATGTGGCAACCCTACATTTTAGGCCACTTTTTACATAGCAGAATTGTTCAAATTGGTTTCCCATTTTGCACCTTGCACACTGTGAAGATGGGACAAGTTGTAAAATGCTTTAGACAGGAAGATAAATAGATAAGAACTCAGAAAAGCATCAGGAAGGAGAATAAGGCACCCTTGAATGATAATAATTAACCACAACAAATTATCTGTTCACAGTATGAGAACAGAAGTATTTATTCACTTGTTTGTTTGTGGGAGAGTGACACTTTTGAGAACCTGGGCTTTGAAGTCGGACAGGTCAGCTCTACAACCTAGGAGACTCTGGACAAGGATCTCAAGCTCTCGATGACTCAGTTTCTTACGTGACAAATGAGGACAAGTAGAGTAATACTGTATAGAGTTGTTTGGAAGATTAAATGAAATAGTACTCATAAAGTGATTAGCAGTGCTTGCTATATGACAAGTGCTCTCTGTATTATAGATTTACTCTTATCAACTATTACTGTTGAGGTGCAATAATCATCTATACTTTGTCTTTAGAGAAAAGCAGTTCCTGGCATCTAGAAGCTAGCTTGGCACTCACAGCTAGACCTTCCCCTGCTGAGTATAAACAATTTGACAGAGCACCAAGATCAGACAGAGCCACTCTGTGACCATGATGAATCAAGACAAAAATAAGACTGCCCCATAACCATAACTGAATGCAGACAAAAACATGAATATTAACCAAACATCAGAAATGACCTAACCCCATTCTATCCTGGTTCATATGAATGAGTATTCATTCCTTTCTTACAAATTACAACCTCACTCCAGTTTCCCCTCTTTCTGGGGAAGACACTAAGTTGCCCAAGCATGAACTCTAATCCTTTTTTTTTTTTTTTTTTTGAGATGGAGTCTCACTCTGTTGCCAGGCTGAAGTGCAGTGGCAAGATCCCGGCTCACTGCAACCTCCGCCTCCCAGGTTCAAGTGATTCTCCTGCCTCAGCCTCCTGAGTAGCTGGGAACCTACAGGTGTGTGCCACCACACCTAGCTAATTTTTGTATTTTCAGTAGAGACAGCATTTCACCGTGTTGGCCAGGATGGTCTCGATCTCTTGACCTCATGATCTGCCTGCCTTGGCCTCCCAAAGTGCTGGGATTACCGTGTGAGCCACCATGCCCGGCCGAACTCTAATCCTTCCTAATGCCATTTTACTGAGATGTCCTTGACCACATCCCCCTGCTCCTCACCCCCATAGTGTCCATCATACCCTATGATCCCTTACTGCAACAAACCATAAACTTAATATGTTCAACTAAAGGAGTGTTACTGGTGGTCTTTGGCTGGAGGGCATTGACAGAACCTTCCATCAGCACCTTCTTTCTCTTGTCTTTCTTGTCTTCAATGTTCAATGTTCTCCTTTTGTCTTCTCCAGTTTCCATCACTAAACTGTATCCTAAATATGCAGGTGTAATAAAAAATATCAGTGAAAGAATGATCATCATGTATTCATAACGTTAAATAAATACAACCAAAGGCCAGATGCTGGTAACTGGATGGCTGCATCTCAGTTTTAGATTAGCATTTCAGGTCTGATCATTTTCTAGGTCTTTCTCTATTTTAGTAAACAATCTTTTAAGAACATGAGAATGTATCCATACTGGCTCACATTTTCCTGTTTTCCAACAGAAAAGAATCCAATGATACAATACTGTAAAGAAAAACTTTTGTGGGTAACATTTGTGCTAGTTTTTCTTGGATGTAGTTTGAGAGAACAGTGATGATTGACACAGTAGGCCCTTGGCATCCGCAGGTTCCACATCCATGGATTCAACTAACTTGAATTGAAAATACTCAGAAAAAAAATTGTGTCTGGACTGAACATGTACAAACTTTTTTTCTTGGCATTATTCCCTAAACAATAGAATATAACAACAATTTACATAGCATTTATATTGTATTAGGTATTATAAGTAATCTAGAGATGACTTGAAGTACTTGGGAGGATGTGTGTAGGTTATATGCAAATATACCACATCATTTTATATCAAGAACTTGAGTATCCCTGGATTTTGGTATCTTCAGGTGTTCCTGGAACCAATCCTCCACAGATACCAAGCCCCAACTGCATATATGGGAAGCCAATGATACCTTCCACCCTTGAAAGCATATTCATCTCCAGGCTAATCTCTGGAGTGTGAATTCTGCTATGGACAGCAACCGTAATTGCTAGGACTCCTGGTGTCCCACATTCCTTTGATTTTCTCTTCTGTAGTTGGGAGCAAAAACATTTTCCTTTCTTGTTTGTTTTGGCTAAGTGAGAAAGCCCCTATTATTTTAGCTCCAAGCTTGGCAATATAAAACCCTGCCCAACCATCTCTGTAATCTCTGATATTAGAAGGTGCTGCGTACCAAAAATATCAGATCATTTTCCCAATTATATACATCTAACAGTAGAGAAAGTTAAAGAACTGGACTGGGGGACTGACTCAAAAATATGAGTATTAATATACTTTAAAAACTCCCTAGGTGATTTTTATTTGACCCAATTCCCAATCTCCCAGAAGCCTCTCCTTAGATGTGATATTCCCTCCCAATCACAGGAAAAGAGTACCTTAAAGAAGCCAAATTTAGGATCAACCTATGATCTACTATTTAATATTATTTGCAGCGCGAACCCTTAACAAATTTAGAGCTGAATCATGCGTTGACCTGAGCTGACCTAATTGCTTGTTCTGTTGTCTGCAATTCTGGGACATGGAATAGACCGAGGCTAAGCCCTGAATAGCAGTAGCAGATCTCACTGAAAATCTAATTTACGGGACAGCAATAGCGATGCTCCAGCTAAGGTTGCTGAGGCCACAGTGAACTAACCTCTATTTTTCATTCTCTAATCATTTCTCCAGAAAAATACATTTAGTTATATAATTTATCTTGCTTAGTTTGGGCTCAAAAATGAACTTGAGAGAGGAAAAACTGTAGTGAAATTCTGTATATTTTAAGTTATACTGCTGTGATCAGCAGAAGTTACTTTGCTTCAGAATATCCAACAGAATTTGCCTCAGAATAAATGTACATGACAGTGTATGTGACTTGATGTTTGCACCAGAATGAGGCCAGAATGGTGTTGACATCAAGTTATATTTGGATATCAAGTTTATATGGACATTGCAATGTGAACAGAGATGAATGATTAATGAAATTGTAATAATATATTTCTTGGCTACTGAATTGTTTAAAGCATGACATAGATATGATCTAATGAATCTTTCCCTCTACACTGAAAAGTAGATGAATAGTGAATGTTCTCTGCTTAATTTAATCGTGATGTCTTCAATACAGAGGCCACAAGTAATTTACTGAAGAGCACAGTATAATCATTGTACAGCCCAGTAGTTCAGCTTGGAATTTTTCCAAATGGGAAAGAAGGCCGACTTTAAAAATATATTTTTGTCACGGAATCACAACTTGGGCTTTAGGGTTGAATAGCTTGTGAGCTACTCAGAGGCAAGATGCAAGTCTTTGTGCCCAAGTACCTGTCATACTGTCAGATACTAGATAAAACTTCACACACGAAGACAACACAAACAAATAAACAATGACAAAATGAGATAGACCTTTGGCTTGCTGTTATCAACTCTGTTTCAAAAAGGAAGACCTAGAGATTCTTTATAATTCTTAGATTCCCTTAAAAAAATTGATAATCACTGGAGTAAAATACCAAGGTTCGAATGTGGAAGGAAATATTGTGAAGTTTTGACCAATCAGCAAAGTTTCAAATATGTCACATCTATTAAGTGGTAGTTAAAAACCACCTTTCAAGAAGCCTATCACAGACAGCCAGATAATTACATTTCCTGTGTTTATCTTTTACTCTTTTTGTGCAAATTATGACTTATAATTATTGTTTTAAACACTGTCTTTTAAAACACACAGGAAAAAAGGAATAAGCCAAAGATGTAGAAATTCTAGATTTTCTATGTAGCAGGTAGCTCCCTTTACCAGTGTTTTTTGTAACTGTATATAAATAAGATGTATAATATAATGCTGTGCTTATACACAGTGTAATGGTTACCATAGCCCAGCAAATGGACATGTCCAGTACTTCACATAGTTACTCATTTGTGTGTCTATGCATGTGTACGTGTGTAGTTAGAGCACCTAAAATCTACTCTGTGAGCAAATTTTCAGTATACAATATTATTACTCTAGTCTTCATGTTGTACATTAGATCTCTAGACTTATTCGTCCTACATAACTATAACTTTGTATCTTTTGACTTACATCTCCTTATTTTCTCTCCACCTCTCCACCCCTGGTAACCACTGACTATTCTCTGTTTCTGTATATTTGCCAGTTTTGTTTTTTAGATTTCACATAAAGGTGAGATCATGCAACATTTTTCTTTCTGTGCCTGGCCTATTTTACTTAGCATAATGTAATACAGATCCATTCACATTGTCACAAATGTCAGGATCTCGATTTTAGGCTGAATAATATTCATATATGTATATACATATACATACACATACATCCCCCTATAATTTTTAATCCATTCATCTGTTGATGTACACCTAGGTTGTTTCTCTGTCTCAGCTATTGTCAATAAAGCTGTGGTGAACATGAGAATGCAAATATCTCTACAAGATGCTATTTTCATCTTCCTTGGGTATACACCCAGTAGAGGACTTGCTAGATCTTAAGGTAGTTCTATTTTCAATTTTTTGAAGAACCTCCATACTGCTTTCCATAACAGTTACACTAATTTATATTCCCACCAACACTATATAAAGGTTCTTTTCTCCACACTGTTACCAACACTTGTTCTCTTTATTTTTTATAATAGTCATATTGACAGATGTGAGGTGATATCTTATAATGGTTTTGATTTGCATTTCCCTGATGATTAGTGAGGTTGAGTACATTTTCAGATACATATTGGCCATTTTTATGTCTTCTTTGGAGAAATGTCTATTCATATCTTTTGCCCACTTTTTATCTAATTTTTAGAATATTTAAAATTTTTTTCATTTTTTGCTATTGAGTTGTGTGTATTCCTTATATATTTTGGATACCCACTCCATATCAGATGTAGGATTTGCAACCATCTTTAGGCTGCCTTTTCATTTTTTTTATTATTTCCTTTGCTGAACAGAAAATTTTTCAGTTTGTAGTCCTACTTGTTTATTTTTGCTTTTGTTGCTCGATTTTTTGGTGTGATAGTCAAAAAATTATTGCCCAGAACAATGTTAAAGAGCTTTTCCCATGTTTTCTTCTAGGATTTTTATGGTTTCAGGTCTTGCATTTAGGTCTTTAATCCATTTTGAGTTGATTTTTGTGTGTGGTGTAAAATAAGGTTCCCATTTTATTCTTCGCATGTGGATATCTGGTTTTCCATACATCATTTATTGAAGAGACTATTCTTTCCCAACTGTGTCTTCTTGATGGGCTTGTTGAAAATTAGTTGACTGTATATGCTTGGGTTTATTTTTGGGTCCTCTATTCTGCTCCATGAGTCTATTTGTCTGTTATTATACCAATACCATAATATTTTGGTTACTACAGCTTTGTAGTATATTTTGAAATCAAGAAGTGTGGTGCCTCCGGCTGTGTTGTTCTTTTTCACGATTCCTCTATTTGGGGTTGTTGGTGGTTCAATACAAATTTTAGAATTTTTTTTCTGTGTTTATGAAGCATAGCTTTGGAATTTTTATAGAGATAATGTTGAATCTGAATATTGCTTTAGGTAGTACAAAAATTTTAACAATACTAATTCTCCCACTCCATGAATATGGAATATATTTTTTATTGGTATCTTCTTCAATTTCTTTCACCAATATTCTATACTTTTCTGTGAAGTAGTAACTAAAAATCTCCAACAACAACAAAAAGGGCCAGGACCAGAGGGCTTCATGGCTAAATTCTACCAAACATTCAAACAAGAATCAAATAAATCCCTCTTAAACTCTTCCAAAGAATAGAACCAGAAGAAATACTTTCAAACCCAATTTATTAGGTCAGTGTCACCCTGGTCCCAAAGCCTGACAAAGATACTGCAAGAAAAGAAACCTATAGGCCAATGTCTCTGATGAACATAGATGCAAAATTCTTCAGTGGAATACTTGCAAACTGAATTCAACAACACATCAAAAAGATTATGCATCATGACTAAGTTGACTTTATCTCTGAGATGCAAAGTTGATTTAACGTATGCAAACCAGTGTGATATATTACATTAACAAAGTGAAAAATAAAAACCACATGATCATCTCAATTGATGCAGAAAAAGCATTTGACAAAGTTCAACATTCTTTCTTGATTAAAAAACCTCTCACCAATTCGAGTATAGAATGAAATTTTGTCTACATAATAAAGATCAATTATGAAAAGTCCACAGATAACATCATAATCAATGGGGGAAAACCAATAGCTTTTCTT
Organism: Homo sapiens; assembly: GCF_000001405.40. NCBI lineage: Eukaryota > Metazoa > Chordata > Mammalia > Primates > Hominidae > Homo > Homo sapiens. Next base: position 27,891,877 of record NC_000018.10, on the reverse strand, counting down.
CTAAGATCTGCTACAAGGAAAGGTTGCCTACTCTCACCACTTCTATTCAACATAGTACTGGAAGTACTATCAAAAGCAATCAGACAAGGAAAAGAAATAAAAAGCACTCACACCAGAAATGAAAAACTAAAATTATTCCTATTTGCAGACAATATGATCCTATGTGTAGAAAACCCTAAAGACTCTACCAAAAAACTCTTAGAAGTAATAAATGAATTCAACCATTCATAGGATACAAATTTATAGTATACAAAATCAACATGAAAAAAGTTACATTTCTGTATACCAATAATAATCTGTCCAAAAATCAAGAAAAATATCCCATTTATGATAGCATCAAAACGAATAAAATACTAATTAATTTAACCAAGAAGATGGTTTGCTTTTTAAAACAGTAGAAAGTAGTAGGTCGCATTACAATGTTTCTGTCCATTGCTCATTTTTAGAACTTTATAAATATGGTAGTGATTATGCTGGTGAAAATGGAGGTGGCAAGGGGAAGAGAATATGCAGTAACTCCTTTAAAGCAAAGGTTATTTTCTGTAACAAAGAAAAAAATGGAAAGAGCTTCTTTGCCTTCCTATCTCCCAATTTGCCTTGTTGCTCCTCCTGCCCCCAGTAACTCCAATCCTCCACCCCAGTGCTTTTTTTATCTTTGGCCGCCATTTCCCCTTTCCTTTAACTATTCAATACCAGGGAAGACTCTGGTTCCCTAGTAACCTACATAAAGGATTACAATAGATCATGTTAGAATTAGATTAGTTTAGATTATACTTGAGCTTTCCATGTTTGAATATTTTGTTTATAACTTTACAAAACTCTAGAATATTAAATATATTTATTTCTGTCATAAATTACACATTAGTTTCTCAGTTGCAAAGGATTGATCTAGAATTGAGTCATTTTGGTGTTGAATATTTCTGTGGAACTGCTGAAGAAAATCTTAACCCATTGTTGTCATCTGGAGTCCTTTCAAGGTTAGCTTAGACCAACAGCCAGGGGAGGCATTGCCAGCCTGCTATTACTGCCGGTTGATAAATGGAGTTTGGCTCCATGAGGAAAGGCTGACACAGGGAAGAGGGGCTACAACATAGGATGTCAGGGTGCCAGACTCAAGGGAGGAATCTGGTGATGGTGCTTATGTATCACTGATCCCCATGCCTGGAATCATCTCATAGCAACAAGTAAATTCTAGAAAACGAAAACCCTAAGGGGCATATTTCTGAGACATCACTTGGTTAAGACATGTTTTTTTTTTCCCTGAATACTTATTGTACAGTTTCATTTTATTATTTAACCCTTATAATATTTAACTGCTTTAACTTTTGCTGCTTTTCTCACCAGAGTAGCCCTTAGCAATCCTGGACATAAGACCTTATTATGATGTCAAATGTAGTGTCTAAAATCTTGGAAGCACTAAAAAATAATAATTAAGAAAAATGATTAAAATGCCATCTATGGATATCACTGGCCTAGGTGTTTGATCTGCCTCTAGTTTGCTTGTCATTAATGCAATTAATATATTTGACACCAGTATGTGGTGGCACTTGTGCAAGAAGATAATGAAAGGAAAAAAAAAGTAAAGAACATCCACCTTATTCTCCACAGTTAGGTGATAAAGAGAAGAAAGAATAAAATAGTGAAACTGTGAGAACACTAAAGAGAAGCAATACTTTCTGCTTGCAAGCTGTCTTTGAAAATAAACTATTAACTCTGTCTAATTTCATAAATCTTTACGTATGCAATTGTGTGCCAGACTCTGTGCTAACTGTTGGGCTGTGAGGGTCAATAGAGCTTCCAGCAAGGTGCTCAGAGTCAAATAGGAAATGGACAGATACACAAGTGAATAGTCATAAATGGGGCACGAGACATCATGGCCCATCTTTAGAAACTATATGTAATTTACAATTTTTCTAAGGAATTCTAATACCTAAATGTTTTCAGAAATTTTAAATCATGCCATCTCTCCCAAGAAACAAGAAGTGATTGGAAATGTATGTATGGGCCAGAAGAAAGAGAACCTTGAATGTTGTGCAAAGGACATGGACTTTATCATTAAATTATTCTGTTTTTTTATGTAAGATAGATCATTGTTAGCATTAGAGTGACTGCAAAATATTCATCCATACCCCTATCATAAGACATGTATTACATAAGATGCGTTCTAACTCAAGTTTCTTTTGTTATATTCTAAGTTCCTTTGAGGTAATCCATATATCTTACCATACTTTGTTCATTGTGGGTGTTCAGTAAAGGCATTTTTAAACCTAAGTGTTTATTAACACAAATTATTTTGGAGGGAAACATATATTTAATGCGGCCAACTATTTCTGAATCAGTTGTTTTCAAAATAAGTAGGTATTTGCCATACACAGACATGTTTTTTTCTCTAAACCAATTGTTGCTGCAGACACAACCTTAATTGCAAGAATAAGCATTCCCTATAATCCTAAAACTACCAGTGAATAACAATTAGCATAAGTAATAAAAATGAATAGTTTGCTATTATTAGTTTCCTTTTCAATGGAATGTTTGGTGGCATGTTTATACAACATCCAGGGATAAAACCACCCTAAATTCCTTTATCCACTACAGGCCTTTATTTAATAAAGAATTCTAATACCTAAATGTTTTCGGAAACTTTAAATGATGCAGCTCCCTCTTTCATGATTTGAAAACTCTTATTTTGAAGCAGTCACGATTCAAGCAGTTAAAAATCAGGACCAGCTAATCTATTTTAAGTTGAATCCCTTAGGTAATCCGGGATGCTCAAATCTTGACCCAGACACTAGTTTAGCTGTTGGGCCACTTCTTAGATTCCCAGGGAATAAATGCAGCAAATGCACATGATATGGATCTATTATCTTTATTTTTATTTATTTGTTTGTTTATTTATTTAGAGACAGAGTTTTGCTCTTTTGCCCAGGCTGAAGTGAATTGGTGTGATATTGGCTCACTGCAACATCTGCTCCCTAGGTTCAAGCGACTCTCCTGCCTCACCCTCCCGAGTAGCTGGGATAATACAGTCCGGCTATAATATCCTGAGTAGCTGGGAAAAAATAGCCTGGCTAATTTTTGTATTTTTAGTAGAGACAGGGTTTTGCCATGTTGGCCATGCTGGTCTCGAACTCAGGTGATCCACCTGCCTCGGCCTCCCAAAGTGCTAGGATTACAGGCGAGAGCCACCACGCCTGGCCTTAGACGCATGATGTTCATGCTCACCTGGGTTTCAGCCCTGAATCCCTGGTTGGCTTCTCCTCCTCCTATGCTACTGAGCTCTGTTATTCTATGACTGTGGTACAAGAGTCTGTGAGTAGACTAGCCCATGCTTTCATTTCTCTGAAGCCTTCCCTGGTCCCACTCTGCTTTCTAAAAGCAGAGAGAGGTCCTACTATAGTAGCTACACATGGGATACAAGAAAGAGAAGAGAAGAGAGCCATATGAAGGAAGCAATTTTGCTTGAGTTATCCTAGTCCTGTGCTATTTATAATTTATTTCCTCCTCTAAAAGCTGTGATAACCCAAGTGTATGTTCTTGACATATAATCTTCTCTTAGAATGAGAGGAGTCTTTGATTAATCCTTAAGGAATGTGACCAACTCAAACCTACTGAGAATCCATGTCAGAGCTGGAAAGAACTTTGGAGCTAGTCTAGACCAGTGGTTCCCAACCTTGATTTTGCCCAGAAGCCCCTGAAGAAAGGAACACTTCACTGCATCGGTAACATCCAGTGACACTAGTGAAGGGATTCTTCACAGCAGAGCACAGGGAGGGACCTTACAGCATCTTGGTTATAAGGAAAATAGGTGGCTTGTAATTTTAAAAGATCACCTACCACCAAAGCTAAACAGGAAATTCTATTACTGCCTGGCATAGAACTGGCTGGGGTGGAAGGGCATTGGTGAATTATTGTTTTAAACAACCGTCTTTGTTTAGTTATGAGAAAACTGAGGCTCAGAAAGCTTAAGAGATTTTTTTTTCTCATCCCCCAGATAGTTAGTGACTGACTCAGCTCCAGACACTGTAAATCTTACCTCCTTAAATAATTTTATTACACTCTACTACATCTTCCTCAAATCCAGATTTTGTATAGAATTTTTCTGTGCCTAGTTAAAAATGAGAAAGAAAGCAAGAAGAAAGGAGGGTAGAAAAACAAGAAGGGATGGAAGGAAGGAGGAAGGGAGGATAAGAAGAGAGGGAGAGAGAGAGGGAAGGAAGGGAGGGAGGAGAGAGGGGAGGGAAAGAGGAGGGAGGGAGGAGACAGGGGAGGGAGGGAGGAGAGAAAGGAAGGAAGGGAGGGAGGGAGGGACAGAGGGAGGGAGGCAGGGAAGGAGGAGGGAGGCAGGGAGGGAGGAAAGGAAGGAAGGGAGGGAGTAAAGGAGGGAAGGAGGGAAGGAAGGAAGCACAATCACCAAAATACAAGGGAACAAACACAGAGGGCATGACCCAGAGTAGGCTGGTAGCAGAATGCAGGTTGCATAAGGTATTTCAGTGCTGTCATGCGATGACTGGGCTCTGAAAACAGACTGGAGGAGCTGGTAGATGAGCAACTCAAAACAGAATTACTTGGGAAAATTTTAATTCCACACTGATTTTGCAGGCAAGAAGAATGGCTTCTATTAGAGCAGGCTGTTATTTGTGGCAATTTGTTTGTTCCCTAGGAATTCTTTCTCCCAAGTGGTGACAACCCAATAGAGGACCAGAAAGACTCTTCACTTGTCGAAACCTGTCCCCTCAGAACTGTTGGAATTCCAAGGTCAGAGCTTGCCCCCCTCCCCCTTATTTCTTATTTCTGTTAAAATATAAACAGTACAGAGAAAGTACCCAAGAGAGGTTTTGATAGAAGCTGAGTGAGGAGATCAGTGGCTCCTGGCTTGGGGGTGGAATTACTAAGGCAACTTCCCTCTGAAGGTGGAAAGACTCTAGGAGAATTTTGTGGAGCTTGTGCACTGAAGATGAATGTGACATGTAGGACATTTCTGCTTAACTTTGAACCTGCTCTGACGGAGTTCTTGCCTTGTATTTCCTGCTAAGGTAGAAGATGATTCTTTTTCCGAAAAGTATAGAGAAACTGAAAAATAGTTTAGGTGAAAATACTTGAAACGATTTTTTGAGGGCACGAATAAGACACGCTTTCCAAATCAAATGTGTTCTTGAGTTTATTTATTCTAGGCCTATCCAAATACATCATTATGATTAACATTTATTGAGGACTATGTTTTTGTCACTCTGCAAAGTAGGTTATTTGAATTTTGTCCTTTTTTTGTGGGGGTGTTAGGGGATAGCAGGGTCCCCAGACATACACACAGGTATCCCCTTCCTTCTGCCGATGCAAGCATTTGCCTCTCATTTTATGTCCCACCCTGCCTCCATCTCTGGGATCTGGTGTGACTCACACTTGTATCCTGAATAAAACTATCCTCCCCTCTACCCCTTTCCATTCTTGTCCCCACCCCTCACCCCCAACTCTCTAAGCTTACCACAGGGAAATAATCATGTCCCAAGCTAGTGCTGATGAATTATCTTCCAATTATATGAATTTTGAGCAGTGGTCCCCAAGGGAATGAGGAACTAAAGCTAAATGGTCTCAACTAGGAAGCTAAAGGGTGGTCTGTGCTTCCTGCTTGTTGAGCCCTCCAAAGCTACCCTCGCACTTGGCCTTCTCAAGGTCTGATTGCTCTCTTTTCTTTTGACCCTCTGAGTCCCTGTAGATTACAATAAATTCTCTTTTTCTGGCTTAAATTAGTCTGATCCTATTCCTTTAAAGAGAAGAACGATTTTGCATATGCAATCTTGCAGGATTAGAGAGGTTATATAAAGTCACACAACCACTAAGATTTTTACAGAAATTACCTTTAAAGAGATAATTCTATTGTTCAGAGATGTCTCAGGTTATCTTTGTTTTTTAAAAATGTGGTCACTCTATCCTTTTATTCCTTTAGTTAAACCAACTCCAGTGCCAGAAATGGAAGGATTGCTTTTGGCTGCCTTGAGAAAATACTCTGATACTCATTTTAAGTATATATGTTGATATCTGGTGTAAAATCCTGTTTATCCTTTCTGGTGAACTCTAGGGTGACAAATATATGCTTAAAACGGGATTGTTTGCACTTGAAAGGGTTTTGCCTCACTTCTTCGGTATCCTCAAAACAACATTGCTTCTTTACCGCCCTGAAGTTAAACTTCAAGGCTACGCTTCTCATTTCCCTGCGTTTTTCTAAATAACATGCTTGGTTTGAAACAGGTCCTTAGGGTAGTGCGAAGGTTGGGTATACATATTGAAGAATGTGGTTGGCTAATTCTTCCATTTCTGTTACTGTGAATTAACAAATGTATTTCTGATTATGACTCTTAAATCAAAGGTGAATGCTGGAGAAATTAAATATCATTAATAATTCAGCAAGTAGAAAGTATAATTTTATCCTTTATAAAATGGCATGCTGACATTGCTATATTCAGGAAGGCTCATTAAAACAGGTACAATTAGAGTGTGAATTTAAGGGACTGTTATTATGTCTTTTTACCTTCAGAAAAGATACCTGGAATTCTTTCTTTCCCCCTTACAAAGAATGATATTTCTGATAATGGAAATAACAAAGATTCTGATAGAGATATAAAGTTAAACACATAACTCTGGAGATATTAAGTTCATTTTATGCTGGTTAGTTTGTCTGTAGAACACTGAAGATGTTGAGAAATACATTTCTTTCTTTCTTTTTTTATGAGCCAGGGTCTGGCTCTGTCGCCCAGGCTGGAGTGCAGTGGCCTAGCTCACTGCAACTTCCACCTCTCCTGGGCTCAAGTAATCCTCCCACTTCAGCCTCCCAAATACTTGGGACTACAGGTGTATTCCACCATGCCTGGCTAATTTTTTATTTATTTATTTATTTTTGTAGAGATGGAGTTTCATCATGTTGCCCAGGCTGGTCTTGAACTCCTGAGCTCATGTGACATCCACTTCGGCCTCCCAGAATGCCATGAGCCACGATGCCCAGACTATATCTATCTATCTATCTATCTATCTATCTATCTATCTATCTATCTATATTTTTTCTCCTAACAAATCTCCACTTAATGGCAAGTATAGTCAAAAGAAGCTCATAAAAAAATTTGCTGAATAGCCACCCTAATTCCCCTTTGTTTTTTTTCTGGAGAATTTTTGGCAAAGGGAACTATGGATTTAACTGAATAAATAAAGCATGGTAGTCCAGTGACTCCTACCCAATTTTTCTTTCACTGGATATACAATTATTTTCATTCGTTCCCCAAAGTCTCTGCTATTAAAAAGATGAGTGAACTGCAGATCGAAGCTTGTTAAAGGCATCTATAGCACAAAGAAAAGGAATAATTTCACTTTTCTGAGAACTATCGCATTGGTTCTAGAGTGAGTTTTATTTCATCATGAATATAATTTCAATTCAAAGAAAGTTAGGTAAAAGCAAATGACATTGTCGTGTTTAGAAATCTAGAGACAAATAAAACATCCAAAATGTATACTTAGATGTTATTCTCTCCATTTTGATAGAAGATAAACTTGGTAGTAGATTTCTTTATAGCAATTCAGAAATATTTCTTTCCTTTTGTCCCTTTACATTATAAAATATATAAAAAGGGATTCCAAAATACTTTTTGTGATAAGTTTTATTTTTTGGAGCCATTTTAGTTTCACAGTAAAATTGAACAGAAGGCACAGAGTTATCTCATATACCTCCTCCCCCTGTATATCCACAGACTTCCCTCACTATTGACATCCCACACTAGAGTGGTATATTTGTTACAATCTATGATCCTACCTTGACATGTCATTCTCACCCAAACTCCATAGTCTGAGTCAGGGCTCACTCTTAGAGTTCACAGTATATTTATAGAGTCATTATTTTCTTTTTCTAACCAAAAAGGATGCATTTCTTTGGCTAATCATTTTTAAAGAAATAAAACCATGTTTGGTTTAATAAATATTTATTCACTTCTTTGGATGAAAATCAAAGCATGAGAGAATTAAGTGTAAATGCAATGGATTATTTATGATCCTGAAAATGATTAATACTGAGAGTGGCTGCTGGTTGTCCAATACCACCATGTGCCAAGTACCTCCATGGTGCTCTTTCTGCATTCTCTCTCTTGATCCTTACAACCACCTTATGAGGATTATGGTCTTATGAGGAATATAAAGCTTAAAATGTGAGATGATAAAGCAGTTACTAAAGTCATGTGGTTTATAAGTCACAGTGAGGTTAAGAGGCAGGGACTCGACTCTGGACCAGATTGAAGACTAGCTGAAACAGGAGACGGTAAAAGTACCTTTCCATAAGACATTCCCACCAGGGCTATGTCAGTTTTCCATTGCCATGGCAAAGCCCAGAAGTTACTGCCCTTTTCCATGACAGCCGCCCAGAAGTACACCCCTTTTCTAGAAAATTCTGAATAACCTGCCCCTTCATTTGCATGCACTTAAAAGTAGGTATAAATATGACTGCAGACCTGCCTCTGAGCTGCTGCTCTGGGCACGCTGCCTATGGGGTAGCCCAGCTCTGCAAGGAGTGGTACCGCTGCTGCTGCTCTACGCTGCCACTCCTATCGAAGTTGCTGTCAAACACCACTGGCTAACCCTTGAATTCTTTCCTGGGTGAAGCTAAGAACCATCTAGGTTATGCCCCAGTTTGGAGGCTTGCCTGCCCTGCAACAAGAGGGCTGCATTTGATTCTGACTCTAGAGCCTGTTCTCTTAACTGCTAGACTATAGACTAGTTTGTGTTTAGCAGCATTTGCTTTATTTTTTCCAGTTTATTCTCCACCCTTGATAATTCTCTTCATTTCACAGACCCAGACTATAATAGATGGTCTAACATAGTGTCAGACAATATTCATTAAGTTTACTATGCTCCTAGCATTGTTTCAAAGGGTTTTATTATTCTTATTTAACAGATGGAGAACAAAGAAGTTACATAATATGGGTAAGGAGAAAAATAAGAAGGAAGCTGTTATGGGCTAATTGTGTTCCCCCAAAATTTATATGTTGAAGTCTACCCCCAATACCTCAGAATGTGATTGTATTTGAAGATTAGCCTCGCCAGGTACAGTGGCTCATGCCTGAAATTCCAGCACTTTGGGAAGGAAACAAAGGCAAGAGGATCACTTGAGGTCAGGAGTTTGAGACCAGGCAACACAGACAGATCCTATCTCTACACATTTGTTGTTTTAAATTAGCAGGGCACGGTAGTGTGTAGCCTGTAGTCCTGGCTACTCCGGAGGCTGAGGCAGGAGGGTCTCTCGAGCCCAGGAGTTTGAGGCTGCAGTAAGCCATGATCGCACCACTGCACTCCAGCCTGGGTGACAGAGCAAAACCTTGTCTCTTAAACAAATAGATAAATAAACAAAGATAAGGTCTTTGAAGAGGTAGTTAAGTTAAAAAGAGATCATTAGAGTGGGCCCTAATCCAATTTGACTGATGTTCTTCAAAGAAAAGGAAATTTGAACACAAAAACAGACAGAGGGAAGACCATGTCAAAACATGGAGAAGGTTACTATCTACAAGCCAAGGAGAGAGGCCTCAAAAGAAACCAACCAGCTTCATTGCTGACTTATAGCTTCCATAATTGTGAGAAAATATATTTCTGTTGTATAAGCCACCCAGTTTGTGGTATTTTGTTATGGTAGCCCTAGCAAATGAATATAGAAGCTGATAAAAAGATATTTGCAAGAATAGGGGGTTTGGGTAACCTGTGGAATAAGCTTATTCCACAATCCCTATGACTAGTGTTAATTGGATCTTATATCTAAATGCCGTAAGCTGAATTATTATCCCCAGATATGTTACATCTTCTGTGTTCCAAGTTCTTAAGACCCTCCAGTGGATGCCGAAAACCATGGATACCAACCCTTATGCATATTATGTTTTTTCCTATACATACATACCTACACTAAAGTTTAATTTGTAAATAAAGCACAGTAAGAGATTAACCACAATAACTAAAAATAAAATGAAATAATTATAATATACTGTAATATAAGTAAGTGAATTGAATGTGGCCTCTCTCTCTCAAAATATTTTATTTTACTGTATGCATGCTTCTTCTTGTGAGATGATAAAATGCCTGCATACTGAGGTGAATGACATAGCATAACATGACACAGGCATCGTGACACAGCGTTATGCTACTATGGACCTTTCGATAATATCTCAGGAAGAGCATCTGCTTCAGGTGATCTTGGATCATGTAGCCATGACATTTTCCATGGTTGGATGTTAGGAGAAAAGGGTATCCATGGTTGGGGTGACTTGAACGCAAGCACTGCCCACCACAACAGTAGATCTGTTAACCAAGATGGCTACTATGTGAGTAACAGGTGGACACCCAGCATGTAGATGCTGGGAGAAGGAATGATTCATGTCCAGGAAGGACAGGATGGATGACTTAAGATTCCATCATGTTCCTTAGAACGACATACAATTTAAAACGTATGAATTGGTTATCTCTGGATTTTTCTGTTTAATATTTTTAAACTGTGGTTGCCCCTGGGTAGCTGAAACCAAGAAGAGAGAAAGTGTGGAGAAAGGGGTACTACTGTAAACATCAAAATCTAGGGCATTTCTTATTTCTGTTGCCCAGTAAGTATTACTAAGTGTTTTAGTGCTTAGATTACATTTAAGAATGGCTATAAGGTAAAAAATTAATGGATTTGTAACAATTGATTACCAAGTAAAGGCAGAATAAAAACACACAAATACAGAATAATCAATTAGAATCAAATGCCAAAAAGGATGAATTTAAAAAATGGGAAAAGCTTAAATTAGAAAACATGAGATGAAACCCGTGTTTATGATCATGTGTTCCAAGAAAGGTGACTACTTTTATAGATTAAATTGAACTGAGAAATCTCTCTTCCTTTCTTCCCCAGTAAAGATTCTTTGTTACAATGCATAACCACTAACACCTATCACAACTGGATTTGTAAGGGAACTCTCAGAGTTACTTTAAAACTTTGTTTCATGGTTCTTCATGTCTTTGGTGGGAAGTAAGATAATTAACTTTTATCTGCCTTTTCCTTGTTCAGTCTTTAAAAGAGCAGAGTATTTCACCTGTGACATTTTTCATTTAGCCATCATCACCTCAGAGTAGAGAATTCCAGAGTTTCACAAAACTCTAGTTCTATAGGCTATTAATAGAAATTGCATCTACTTACTTACAACCTACTTTTGAAAGAAATATGTGCTGTATAATTACTAGCATCATAGCAATCCACGTTCATTTTTTTCTTTAAATGTCCAAAATTATGAAATCAAATGTTTTGTAACTTTATAAAATTATTTTAAATCTAGACTAAAAATTAAAGTCAACTGACTGCAAGAATCTGAGAGACTAATCAATTAACTATAAAGTTTCAAGTTTCTGAATTGAGATTTAATTTGTAGCCAGTAAATAAAGAATGATGCTGCTGCTGATGATGATAAAGATTATAAGTACTTGAGCGTTTGTTGAATGATCACTAGATTTCAGGCCATGAACTAACCACTTGTTAGAGGCTTTATATATTAATGTATATCGACAGGCTCTAGTAGTATAATGTAGTGTGCACCCTTTTAAAAAATTATTTTATCGTAGCGACCCCCCTTGTCATGAGAATCTGGTAGGACTATTATTGATGGAGGACAATTTGGGGAATGGTGTCTTAAGCTCACACTTAGCCTTATAATTAACATCAGCTTTAAGTTGACTATCACTATAGAATTAACTCTTTCTGTAGACTGTTGAGGACCCTGTGTCAGCTTGTTCTATTCTCTCTCCAATACTTAGAAATACTCATGCAAATGTATGAGTTAGCTATGTTTGCAGAACAAGCCCACTAAACTTTAGTTGGCTTAAAAGTAGTAACAACCACTATTTAGCTCACGAGTCTGCAAGCTAATGACTTAGACCAGACTCAGGTGTGTCAGTTTTCTGGTCTTTGCTGGGCTGACTCTACGGTTTTATTCAAATGTGGCTGTGTAGAGGATATGTGCTCTCACATGTCTGGAAACACAGCTAGGGCAACTGATTTCTCCTCCATGTGTTCTTTCACTCTCTGGGAACCTAACCTGGGCTTGTTCATATGGTAGTTACAGGTTTCCAAGAGATAACATGGAAGCACAGACTCTTGAGACCTAGGATTACAACTGGCATGCTGTCACATTCTGTTAGCCAGAGCAAGTCACAAGTACAGTCCAGCTGATGCAGTTTTAGTTTTAGGTTGATCTTTGAACCTTGCTTATAGTATATTCTTGCCAAGCATAAATATTATTAAATAGTAACTTTTATCAATTGCTTATTTATAGATTCTGGGTTTAGTGTCTTGCTTAGACTTGATTATTTGATGATTATCCCTCAAAAATTAAAAAATATATATAGCATTCAAAACCTTAGAGAAAATACAGGGATTTTAAAAGCTGACCTCAAAATGGAAGAGGATTCCTAAGCTGAAAAGTTATGGAAGAAATTACAAAAAAAAAAAAAAAAAAATGGGCACGACAGATTTGCCCCATTTAAAAGTAAAGCATGTGTCACTCTCAGCTGATGAAATTGCCTTTTATTTTGCTGAGAAAACAGAAGCAATCAGAAGACTTCCAAGTGTCTACCATGTTCTCCTCATCTGTTAGCATTGATTTTCACATCTTCTTTCTCCACTTATGTTACTGTCAATAAACTGTTCATGCTCCTTTCTAAAGCCAAATCCCTATTTTACAGTAGACCCTAGGGTCTCTCTCCAACTCAGTATGTTGCTCCATTAAATATTTTTCTATTTTGAATCTTTTTTATTCTCTCTAGATCTTCCTCATCAACAGAAAAATATGCTATATTACTCCTATCTAAAACAAATCCTTCCCTCAACTCATTTCTCCTCTAACTACCACTATTTCCCTTTCCAACAAAACTCTTCCCTAGTGTTTTTAGCTGTTGTCTCCAAATTGTTTCCTCCTATTTTCCTTCAAATTTGTTCTAAGAGGCTCTCATTCCAAATTCCAAACTCCTCTTGTCAAAGTCACTGAAGACTTCCATGTTGTCATAATCACATCACACCTGAATGTCAGTCTCCCTCTTATCCAATCTCTCACCAGTATTTGACCCTAGCAATTATTCTCTCCTCTCTTGAAATATTTCTTTCCTTGTATTTCAGAAGTCTCCTATCTTTCCTCCTCCTAAATGGCTACTTCTCATTCTTCTGCTGGTTGAAGTTCCCCAGAGCTCAGCCTTTGTTTATCTTTTCTTTTTATATCGATGATTATTTAATCTCACCTAATTTCATGGCTTTATATACTACCTATTTGCTGATGATTCCCACATGAGTAGCTCTAGCTCTGACTTCTCTCCTAAAGTCACTTTTTTCCAAATGACTACTGGTCGTCTACATGGATGTCTAATAAGACACAAATTTGACACGTCTAAAACTCAGCTCCTCATGTTTCTCCCCCTGAATCTGTTCCTCCTGAAGTCATTCTCATCTATGTTAGTGACAACTCCATCCTTCTAGTTGCAGGTTAAACACTCTAGAGTTTTATGTTCATTGCAGCACTATTCACAATAGCAAAGACATAGAATCAACCTAAATACCCACCAATGGTAGACTGGAAAAGGAAAATGTGGTACATATATATCATAGAATGCTATGCAGTCAAAAAGAAAAAAAGAATAAGATCATGTCCTCTGCAGGAACATGGATGGATCTGGAGACCATTATCTTTATCAGACTAATGCAGGAACAGAAAATCAAATACCGCATGTTCTCATTTATAAGTGGGAGCCAAATGATGAGAACACATGGACACATAGAGGGGAACAACACACACTGGGCCTATCGGAGGATGGGGGGTGGGAGGAGGAGGAAGAGGATCAGGAAAAATAACAAATGGCTACTAGGTTTAATACCAGGGTGATGAGATAATCTGTACAACAACCCCCCACCACACAAGTTTACCCATATTACAAACCAGCACATTGTCCCTGAACTTAAAATAAACATAAAAAAATCCAGAGTTGTCATTGCTTCATATTCACCTTCCAAACCTTGCTTTGAGTAACTCCTGTCACTTGTTTCTCAATGTATATAGGGGCTGTGTTTATTCTAGATTACTATCACCCTGTTCAAGCTTTTGTTTAGATTATTGCAATAGCTTCCACCTGTTCCCAATCCACCATCCAGAATGAGCTTATAAGTCAGATCATAGCACTTACCTACGTAAAATTCACCAATGGTCCATTTCTCACTCAAAGTGAATGCCAAAAAGTTTACACCAGGCCCTTAGTGTTCTGGGACCCATAACTCGTCAATGAAATCCCAATCTCAATTGATTTCAGCCACGCTAGCATTTTTCCTATTCCTTAAGCCTGGGTGGCATCTAACCTGTAGGCTTTTGTACTCACTATTTCTTCTGCCTGGTTCACCTCCAACCTCTTTCAAGTGTTTGCTCAGATGTCATCCTCCCTGATAATCCTGCTGAAAATCACAACCTCCATCCCTAGCATCTTTTATTTCTCTTTGCTGTTATCACTTTTATCCATAGCATTTATCACCTCCTAATATATCAGTTTTCAAAATTTGTTGTCTTTCTTCTGAACTAAAATTAAAACTTCCTGAAGGCCAGGATTTTTTACTGTTTTGTTCAAGTTTTACAAAGTCTAGAGTTTCGACTTTTTGTTCATTTCTAGATTACCAGTGCTCAGAATAGTGTGAAGTCCATAGCAACCTTTCAGTTGCTACAGTCATTTGCTCCATAACAACATTTTAGTCAACGACAGACCACATACACAATGGTGGCCCTTTAAGGTTATAATACCATATTTTTATTCGATCTTTTCTATGTTCAGATATGTTTAGTTACAAAAATACGTACTGTTGTTCCAAAATTGCCTACACTATTCAGTAGAGTCATATGCCATGACAGGTTTGCAGTGCAGGAGTAATAGGCTATACTCCATAGCCTAGGTGTGTAGTTGGCTAGACCACTTAGGTGTGTATAAGTATACTCTGTTGATGTTCACACAAAGTCATCTAATGAAGCAATTCCCAGAATATGTTCTCATTGCCTGACTGTATTGTACGAACTAGTGTCAAAAAGCGCTCTGAATAAAATTAAACTAGGAATTAAAATTGAGGAGATATTTCAAAAATTATCACTTAATATGTTTCATATCTTGTGTGTTTATAGATTAATATGAAAAAACTAACATCCCCTATTGAAAAATAAGCAAATTGAATATAAAAATAATTTGCAAAAAGAAGGTACATGTACAAAACTGTGCAATCTCATTAGTGTTAAAAATACACATTAAAATAATAAAATTTTATAATTTTTCAAGAATTGGATAGAGAAAAATTTTAATATTAAATTATGTTAATTTTTAATGAAATAGACACTTTTATGCACCATTGATGGGAGTACTAACGGTCTGGAAAACAATTTTGTAATAATGTAAAAATGCTTTTATGATATATAAATGTTTTAACCCCTGAAGTCTACTTTTAGAGATTTCTTTTAATAGAGAGACCTAACAATGTATGAAAGGAAAAAAAAAATCTTAAAAACCACCTACGTATTTACAATGAAGAAAAGAGTTAAAAAAAAAAAAACATAACTCGGCCAGGCACAGTGGCTCACACTTGTCATCCCAGCACTTTGGAAGGCCAAGGCGGGCATATCACAAGGTCAGGAGTTCAAGACCAGCCTGGCCAAGATGGTGAAATTCCGTCTGTATTAAAAAGACAAAAAATTAGCCAGGCGTGGTGGTGGGCACCTGTAATTCCAGCTACTTGGAAGGCTGAGGCAGAGAATTGCTTGAACCCGGGAGGTGGAAGTTGCAGTGAGCTGAGATCGTGCCATTACACTCCAGCCTGGGCAACAGAGTGAGACTCCGTCTCAAACAAAACAAAACAAAAACCATAACTATATAATTAAATGTTATATAGCTTTTAAAATCATGTTTTGTAAAAATAGTTCAGGAAATAAGATAAAGTTTTTATAGATATGACCTTGACTTTGAATTGGTGTATAAACCCAAACCAAAACTTAACCCTTACCCAAAAACTGAATATATAACATAATCACAGTTTTTCAAGAATTAAAATGTATATATGCATATATAAAAATGGAAGGAAATGCAATAGTGTTTTAACAGTGGTTTGTTGTACTGTTGTAGCTCTATGGGTAAATATCATTTGTTTCCTAGGCGTTTACTAATTCTCTAAATATAAAAATGAACATATATTTTGATAGTCAAAACTAACACAACTTAAAAAATTTTAAAAACTAATTTGAATAAAAATAATTACTGTTCTTTGTCCATTTTCCCTTCAACTGTAGATGGTCTTCTACCTTCCTGGGGAGTATCTCCTTACAACATACTTTTGTGTATTGATGTACTGATCGTACTAAGTGGAATTTAAATTCCCCTCAGTGGGTAGAACAGGTATGTTGTGAAACCAAAGCTGCCAGGATCTACATCTACTTTTTAATTAAGTACAGTAATTCCTAGCCAGTACCAGCTGTTATCATGTTTCTTCAATTATGCACCTTGATAAATAGCTCAGGAATGCTATATAAAAGACATAATCATGCAAGCCTCTTTTCACTTTTTAAATAAGCTTTGAAAATAAAATCCCTTTGAATTTCCACTTTCTTGAAAAGCTGTGATTGGACGTTTGTTGAGAATAAACTGCATTCTCCTACCCCCACACTGACAACACCCATCACATTTTTTCTTCCAAAACAGGTTTTTGTTTTTGTGTGTTTTTTTGAGACGCAGTCTCACTCTGTTGCCCAGGCTGGAGTGCAGTGGCACGATCTCAGCTCATCACAACCTCTGCCTCCCAGGTTCAAGCAATCCCCCTGCCTCAGCCTCCCAAGTAGCTGGGACTACAGATGTGCACCACCACACCTGGCCAATTTTGGTATTTTCAGTAGCGTCAGGATTTCACTATGTTGGCCAGGCTGGTCTCGAACTCCTGACCTCAAGTGATCCGCCCACCTCAGCCTCGGCCTCCCAAAGTGCTTTCCATTACAGGCGTGAGCCACACGCCAGGCCCCAAAACACCTTTTTAGTATCAGATTAAAACACTTTCCAAATATTAACAAAAACACTTGAAGAAAGCACAATCATTATTACTCCATTTTATAGCTGAAAAACCTCAGTAGAGTTGCTCATTCTTGGACTTCTGAGTTCCTTGATCTATTCCATACCTGATTTATAGGCTTGGATTCCTGCTATGATCCACTTCCAATCTGAAGTTGCCAATCTCTTTTCTGAAAAAGAAATTTTAAAATATTTAAAAGAAATATAAGGAAATCTTGAATTTGCTAAAGGTTATGTATGCAATGAGGGGAGTGGCAATGTTCAACTAAGATATTCTGATCTGTGCTATATGTTTCTCGTAACCTTAAGTGGACTCGCATGTAGTTGAACGATATCCACTACAGTTGCATGCCACTACTTTTAAAAGAATCTTTGTGTGAGCTGAGGAAGATAAAGGGAAATGATGGTAAAATTTCACTTTAAAGTCACCATAACACCTAATCAATCAGTCCATTCAGCTCATGTTGACTGAGCAACTATTAAATATATATTTAAAACTTCCCAACATGGAAACAAAGATTTTCTGTTTATAAAACCTGAATATATTTATGATACAATATATTGGCAGATAAAGAGCTTCATGTTTGAAATTTTGGTATGAAACTTCAAATTTTGGAAGGTTGCTTCAGTCCTATAGAGGTGTTGTAGAGCTATATAAGAGGAGAGCGAACTTTGTAAGAGAGGGAACTTCTTGAGAGCAGGGATGGTGCTTATTTCACCTGTGTATCTTAGCCATGTAGTGTCTGGGACAAAATTGCTTCAAAGAACGCTTGTAAGGTAAAAAGCAAAGGGGCATTTTCTGGTTTTCTAGACCTTGTCTCTCATGAGATAAAGGGAATTAATATGTTTATATTTTACCCCTGCCCACAAATGTAGGCAAATGGTTTGCTAGCCAGATACATAGAGAAGTTTCTGTTACTCATCAAAGGTTTTTTTTCATGCCTACCATGTAGTCAAGCATTTTATTTTTGCAAACAATGCCAATATCCATCACTTTAAGTATGAGCATGGCAAGCTTTAAAATCTGTCAGGTGAATAAGAATATTTTACTTTTAGGGGTAAAACCCAGAAAGGTAAAGGAACAGAAAAAATATAATCCTTTCTTGGCATTCATTTATTCATGCATTCATTTATGTCTTGAGTGCCCAGTCTATGAGCAGAACTCTGCTGATTGCTGAGGATATAATGATGAGAAGACAGAATGTGATCTCTTGCAGTTGAGGCTTAGAAGCTAGGGGGGAAGAAGACATTAATCAAATAAGTACACAAATATATAAACTGGTGATGAGCACAAGGAAAGGTAGAGGATGATGACTGAAAGTAGAATAGTAGATCTGACGTATTCTGAAGGGATGGGAAAGGCTTCCTTGAGCTGAGATTGGAAGGGTAAGTAGAGTTAACTCAGTGAGGGGTTGTAGGAGGGCAAACATTCTGGCAAAGGATGAGTAGCAGCATGATATTGGGTGGGTTGTCAGGTAGGGAGGATACCTAATGATCACTAGAGAAAATGAAAGGTCAGTATGAGCAAAGCACCAAGAACAGTGAGGGCAGGATGAGATGAACGGAGAGACAGGTGGAAGTGAGACCAGGCAATAACTCGGAAGCCACATTAACAGGAGGTCACAGAGGTGTTTTAAGAGGAAAGAAGTGGGGAAGGGTAGAAAGTAGAGGTTATGGTTTGGAAAGTGTGATCCAAATTGTGTTCTGAAAGTATCACTGTGGCTCCAGTATGAGAACGGATTGAAGAGGGCAGCAGTTTATGTGAGGCGATAAGTTAGGAGGTTATTTAATACATGCTGCTTGGAATTGGGTGACGGTAAACATAGGATGTATCCACTTGAGGGCCACTGGAGAGTTAAAATTTGGATCTTCCAAATAAAAAGTTAGAAATTTATTTAAGCAATGAAGTTCTGGGAGAGAGAATGTCTTGTCGGGGTAACCAACTGTAGCAATTTGCTTATACAATGAAGTAATTCTTGTCATCCCTTGGAGAGATTGATTATTAGGAAAGAAACTCAACTACCTATAAAATGTGACAAATTCAATAAGACACTGTAGCCAGATGGGCTTTCAGACTAATTTTGACAAAGTTATGCCTGACATGCATAATTTTTTTCTTAGAGTTTTTAATGATACTTTGAAATCTGGGGAGTTGCCAGAGTCAATAAGAAAGGCCATACTTCCTTTCTTAGCTTCCCAAGAAGCTAAGCCAAGTTGAGTTTTAAGTCATATATATTGCCTGAGTTATTTTATTTCAGCTTAACTACCAAGGATAGCATCCTTACATGAAATGATTCCTGAAATCATGGTACTAAGAGAGGGAAAGTTTCCTCCAAGGAACAGCGCTCCTCATTATGTTGGTTGTTTTGGTTAAGAGTTGGTCATCACCCACCCCGATACTATTTAATTTCAGTGATGGTCAGGAGGATGTTGACTGAATTAAGTTGTTTAAGGTTAGATTGTCTGTTTGAAAGTTTGTATGAACTTAGCTTATAGAAAGACCACTGAGAAGAAGAATAACAGAAATAATAAACCTTTTTTTTCTTTGATATGTTTTCACTTTAAAACTTCTCCCATAACTCTCTCAGCTACAGTGTAAACTGGTGGCAATTTCTCCATTCCCCTTCCAGCTAGTGCTGCCCTTTGAGCAATCTCACATCCTTTAATTCACCCTTGCGCACTAACTTTTCTCAGGGTCACAAAATTAATCTGAAGAATAAACGAACATTAGCAATACAAAAGGAGTAAGGAATAGTTTTGTGCACGTTTGGAAGCAAAAGAGCATGAAGTGTGTATGGAATGCAAACGAAGCCTGGGAAACACCTGGTGCTTTGCTCCCAGGAAAGGGTGATAACATGCTGGGAACCGAGACCCACTCCCAAGCAGAGGAGTGGAAAGCCATCTGGTCTCTGCAGGTGCACCTGGAAGACTTTTCTGCTGCCAACATTATGTTAAGACCATCATGAAACAGAAATATGACTCTCCAAAAGAAAAGTTGTGGCCACTCATCATGTATATTAAAAATAATACTATAATTCCTAGAGATTTTTCTTGATAGAGAAAAATAAAGTGATCATTTGAAAACTAATACTAAATTTTTCTTTCGTGCCATAGATTGGCACTGACTGTATTTCTTTAGAAACACCAAACTGCTAATTTTTCTAGTGACAGTACACATATACATCATTTTGTGACTATGATTTTTATATATGCCATCAATAATTAACAAGTTAACATATGTAGTTTTTCATTGTAATTATATGTTAATTTAAAAGCCTCTATAAAATTTAGAGGTCTTTACTGCATTAAAAATGATTTGCTGATTATTGCAAGATCACAGATTGTATTTGCATTTTTTAGTCCAACTCCTTCCCGCCCCTCATTAGAATCCTCCTTTGAGCATTCTAACAGTTCCTACTGAAAATCACAGACTTCAGGAATTAAATATACATCATGAATGTGGTAAAAGACTACATCATCTATAGATGTAGTCGTTTTCAAGGGTTAAGAGAATAGCACAAAATATTTGACCTATGAATTTATATGGTCTGGGCTAATATTTACAATGATTTTTTTCATTCTTAATTGACCATCCCTCTTATGCTATCTTGACTAAAACAAATATAGCATATTTACTCATAGTAATAAGTCCCTTCAAAAACCAAACAAAAGGACCGTAGAAAATTGACAAAGTTTTTAATACCACCACTTGATTGCCAGGGTGCCCACACCCCAATTTATGGGAAATTCTGGATACAGAGACATGTGACCCAGTATTTGCTTAATTCCTTTATAGATACCTAAGTAAATCACAGTGAAATCTAATAAAAAAAAAAGACCTACATTTTTAAAACATCAGCTTAGAAATCTAAAATTTATTGGTCAAGGTAAGGATTTTACATCAAGAAGAAATCTTAAAAACCCTAGAATTACGGCCTACTATACTCTATATGAATAATGCATGTGGAATCTCTATTTTAGGGACTTGTCTTTATTACAATATATTTTTAGAAAATATAATATTTACTAATAAATTTGGTTTTTGAAGATTCTGGAATTCTGAAGTGTAATATATAATTTCTAGAGTGATAGAAATTCTTATGAACAATTTCCATAACATATAACAGCTTTGAGCATGTTTCATTTAATTCAGTTTTTTCCAAGAAGAGTTTATTTGAGGGCCTCTCGCTCAGGCACTGTGCTAGTAACTAAAGACAAACCAAAACAAAGCAAAACCCCACAAAACACAGAGACACATTATATTCTCTTACAAAGTCTACTCTAGAAAAAGTAAAGAAATCAGATTAGTGTTGCCAAAAACTTGGAAATAAAATTAGGTAAGGAAGACCTTTCTTATTATCTACATATTTTGAAAGAATAGCAGTTTGGTGTTCATAAAAGAAATAAGAAAAGTCCCACTGTATAACCATCAAGAAAAAAATAGTTTCCAAATGATAGTTTTATAAATTTTCCTTTTTTGTTTCAGGCCTTTTCTAGGACAGTTTTAATAGAAAATAGATGTTCGTGAAACAGAATAAAATATAAATATCAGAACTGTTTTTATACCTCTGGACAGGCATGTGAGGTTGGTTGTATTATCCTCATTTCACTCATGAGAAATCTGAGGTTCAGAGTGTTAATAACTTATCCAAGACATTATACAACTGGGATACAGAGGACTTGTATTTGAATATAGATTTGGCTACCATCAGCAACCCTGTCTTTTTCACTACAATACGCTGTCTCACCATTTTACTACAGAGCCACAGAAAACCATTCATTTAATGTAACTGCAATTACAATTGTCAGAGGCTGAACTGAATTCAAGAACAAAACTGCAGTATACCATGTCATATGAAATCTATTGTCCTGACAGAACCTTCTCACCCTTCTTGACATGTCACACAGCCAAAAAGCAATGACACTGCGGCGCTACGGAAGGCATGACTTTATTTAAAACTGACCCAGGGTAAGAGATAGGTCATATGTTTTTCCTCAATTGTTCTTAAATAACAACAAAGTAATTGCTAATATTTTGATAATTTTTAATGTATTGGCATAAAGTTATTCATGCTATCCTCTTTAACATTTTCAAAAATGTTTTATTGTAAAATAATTTCATATTTATAGGAAGGCTGTAAGAATAATACAGAGAACTCCCATAGACCCCTCATTCAGATTCATATGAATATATTCAATATTCTACCTGTATATACTTTATATGTGTATCTGTTTATTATTATTATTATTTTTTGAGACAGTCTCTTTCTGTCACCCAGACTGGAGTGCAGTGGCACAGTCTCTGCTCACTGCAACCTCAACCTCCCGGGTTCACGCGATTCTCCTGTCTCAGCCTCCAGAGTAGCTGGGATTACAGGCGTACACCACCATGCCTGGCTAATTTTATTTTTTTTTAGTAGAGATGGGGTTTCACTATGTTGACCAGACTGGTCTTGAACTCCTGACCTCGTGATCCGCCCATTTTGGCCTCCCAAAGTGCTGGGATTACAGGCTTGAGCCACTGCGCCCCACCTATTTATTTTTATTTTGTTTTTTATATATTTATTTTATTATTTTATGCATATATACACACATATATTTATTTTGTATATACACACGTCATATATATTTATGTATACATGTAAATGATTCAGAAAAAATACATACACATAAGAATGTATACATATTTTTTTTTCTAATTCATTTGGGTGAAAGTTGCATCTATCACAATCATTTACTCTGAAATGCTTCAAGATGTATTTCCTAAGAACAAAGACATTCCATTACATAATCACTATTTGATGATCAAATTTGGGAAACTAAGCATTGATATACTTATATGCTATTATTTAAAATGCAATTCATCCTCAAATTTTATTAATTGTTTCAACAATATTCTTTATAATAATTTTCCACGATCCTGGGTTTAATCACCAATCATGTATAAAATGTGGTTGTCATGTCTCTTAGGTCTTTTTATTTTTATTTATTTCAATAGGTTTTTGGGGAAGAGGTTGTGTTTGGGTACATGAATAGTTCGTTAGTGATGATTTGTGATATTTTGGTGCACCCATCACCCAAGCAGTGTACACTGTCTCTAATGCGTAGTCTTTTATCCTTCACTCCCTCCCACCCTTTCCCCGAATCCCCAAAGTCCATTTTATCATTCTTATGCCTTTCCGTCCTCATAGCTTAGCTCCCACTCCTATGATATTTTTAATGAATGTACAATAGGTTCTGTAGTGAGGACTCCCTTTTCATTTCTAATGTTGGACCCTCTCTTCTTTCTTCATTGATTTTGCAAACTTTTTATTATCCTGATTCTCCGTGTTGCATTGTTTTTCTCTTTCACAACTTTCTCCTCTTATTATTTCTTTCATTCCATTTTCTTTTTTCTTTTCTTTTTTTTTTTTTTTTTTTTTTGAGACGGAGTCTGACTCTGTTGCCCAGGCTGGACTGCAGTGGCGCGATCTCCGCTCACTGCAAGCTCCGCCTCCCAGGTTCACGCCATTCTCCTGCCTCAGCCTTCCGAGTAGCTGAGACTACAGGCACCCGCCACCACGCCCGGCTAATTTTTCGTATTTTTAGTAGAGACGGGGTTTCACCGTGTTAGCCAGGATGGTCTCTATCTCCTGACCTCGTGATCCGCCCACCTCGGCCTCTCAAAGTGCTGGGATTACAGGCGTGAGCCACCGCGCCCGGCCTCATTCCATTTTCTTTGGGATTAACGTGGAGAGTTTAATTTTTAAACATGGGAGTTTAATTTTCTTACTCCATAAAATGGATGCTTATATAATTAATTTTCAACCATTTTTTTCTAATTAATGCATAAGAGACTACAAATTCGCCTATAAATATGACTTTTGCTGCATTCCTGAAGTCTGCTGAAGACCTAAAGCCAGTGGAACTCTCATACATTAATAATAGAAAAGTAGCATTTTCTACCAAAATTGAATGGATGTATTCTTCACAAACCAGCACTTCCAATCTTAGGTACATACACAGCAGAAATATATACATATGTGCAAAAATACATGCACAATAATACATATTTCATTTTTTGGAATTCTTTTTAATAGTCATAAATAGAAAACAATCTGTCAATTGTAGAATAGAAAAATGAATGATAAATTCTGCAATAGACTACATAAAGTCAGAATAAATTAATGCTAAACGCGACAATGTAAGTAATTTTTATAAATGTTGAATGAAAAATGTAGACAAAAAAGGATACATAATATCAATCTATTTATACAAAATTCAAAAACATACAAAGTTAATCTCTAATACTATTTAAAAATCACTATCTTTGTCTCCTGTGCCAAGGTAATCATTATCCTGTCTTCTTTTTCTTTATTTTTTTAAAAATTGTAGATACAGGGGGTACATATGCAGGTTTGTTACCTGGGCATATTGGGTAATGCTGGGGTTTGAGCTCCTAGTGAACCCATCAATCAAATGGTGAACACAGTACCCAATAGGCAGTTTTTCAACGCTTCCCCTTCTTCCTGCCTCCCCATCTTTTGGAGCCCCCAGTGTCTATTGCTTTCATCTTTACATCCATATGTACCCATTGTTTAGCTCCCACTTATAAGTGAGAATATGCGGTATCGGATTTTATGTTCCTGCCGTTAATTCACTTAGGATAATGGCCTCTAGCTTCATCCATATTACTGTAAAGTTCATGATTTCATTCTTTTTTATGGTGATATGTATTCCATGGTATATAAGTATCACATTAAAAAAATCCAATCCACCATTGATGGACACAGGTTGATTCTATGGCTTTGCTATGGAATAGTGAATAGTGATGTGATAATCATACAAATGTGGGTGTCTTTTTGATACACAATTTCTTTTCCTATGGGTAGATACCCTGCAGTGACATTACTGAGTCAAACGGTAGTTCTACTTTTAGTTCTTTGAGAAATCTTCCTACTGTTTTCCATAGGGGTTGAACAAATTTACATTCCCACCAATGGTAGATAAGCATTCCCTTTACTCTACATTCTCACCAACATCTGTTATTTTTTTACTTTTTAATAATAGCCACTCTGATTGGTATGAATTAGTGTCTCATTGCGGTTTTAATTTACATTTCTCTGATGATTAGTGATGTTGAGCATTTTTTCACTGCTTGCATATCTTCTTTTGAGAAGTGTCTCTTCATGTACTGTGCTCACTTTTTAATGGGGTTATTTTTTTTCTTGTTGATTTAAGTTTCTTATGGATTCTGGATATTAGTCTTTTGTTGGAGTCATAGTTTGCAAATATTTTCTCCCATTCTGTAGGTTGCCTGTTTACTCTTTAATTTCTTTTAAACAAGAAACTTATTTAAATAACAAGATGGTTGACTTGAATATAAAACTAAGATTCATTTACTTTAATTCATCCTTATTTAAAGATTACGTGTTCAAAAAAGTTCGTAATTCATTTTGCTAAATGCTTTTGTGCATTCATGTAATACTTAAGTTAAAACGTAAATTAATGAACTCTTGGTTACCTAGAAAATAACAGTAGGATTGCTAAGGCCTTTTTAAATAAAAATTTGATGCTTCTATACATATTTATTAAATTATGAAAAGCATTATCTTTTTATTATTTCATAAACAAATGTGACAATCAGGTAGGATTTTATTTTTCACCATTATATTTTTATTTTTAATTTTTAATGAGTACCTGGAAAATTATTTTTCTGGAGCTTTAGGTGGGCTAATTAAAAAATAAATTTACCCACATTCAGAATTTACTGCATCATATATTAATATGTCATTTATTTTCTTTCTATTTTTAACCCACCCATCTTCAGCATTCATAGGCTTTCACACTAAACATACTAAATGTAACTCTACGCATCTTGTTTCAAAGAAGATCTGACATGCAGTGTTCACATAATTATACTTCCTTGTTTAGGAGTGGAATACAATCCCATCATCCCCTTTCCTATACTTTGACTCTCCTCATCACTACAGGATTTACTTACCAATCTGTCCAGCTCCACTCCAAAATAGCAATACCTATAGATTTAAAAGTGGACTCCTAATTTTTCATGACCACAAATTGCTTCTTTCTCAGACACTTTAAAGGTATGACTCAGTAATAGCCATCCCCAGACCAGGAGTCACCAAGGACAACTTGAGGAATTTTCTCTGGGAAGGAGCAGAGCTCATCTATCAGGTGTGTGTGCTGAAGAGGGCACCAGGGCCTTGTGTGTGCAGAGAAACCAGAGAGTTCAGGTTAAGAATGAGTGTAGGACCCATGGCCATAATGAAATGTCTCGGTACTTCATTTTTCATCCAAAAATAAAATGAATATCCAATTCTTGCTGGGTCACTGTAACTTTTCTATCTGATTGAGTAAAAGCTATTTCTCAAAGTTTAAAAAAAGTGAACATTTCAAACACTGGTTTTGTACATTTCCTTACTTAAATCTTTTTTGCTGTAGACTCTGAATGAAATGAATATATGTTGAAGATGTTGAGTCTTTGGCTCAGCCTATATAAGGAAGCCTTATTTTTCTTGTTGAGGGACTTACATACACTACCAAATTCCATTTAAAAATAAATCCTTGGGCTGGGTGCAGTGGCTCATGCCTGTAATCCCAGCACTTTGGGAGGCCAAGGCAGTGGATCACGAGGTCGAAAGTTCAAGACCAGCCTGGCCAACATGGTGAAATCCCATCTCTACTAAGAATACAAAAATTAGCCGAGCATGGTGGCATGTGCCTGTAATACCAGTGATACTTGGGAGGCTGAAGCAGGAGAAACGCTTGAAGCCAGAAGGCAGAGGTTGCAGTGAGCCGAGATCGTGCCACTGCACTCCAGTCTGGGTGACACGGCAAGACTCCATCTCAGAAAAAAAATAAAATGACTCCATCTCAGAAAAAAAATAAAATAAAGAAAAAAAATCCTTTTAATAATACCAAAATTCTCTTAAAAAAAGACACTTTGAGGCCAGGCACGGTGGCTCATGCCTGTAATCCCAGCACTTTGGGAGGCCGAGGTGGGTGGATCCCCTGAGGTCAGGAGTTTGAGACCAGTCTGGCCAACATGGCAAAACCCCGTCTCTACTAAAAATACAAAAAAAATTAGCCGGACTTGGTGGCTGGCACCTATAGTCACAGCAACTTGGGGAGGCTGAGGCAGGAGAATCACTTGAACCCAGGAGGCGGAGGTTGCAATGAGCCAAGAACGCACCATTGCACTCCAGCCTGGGCAAGAATTGGGAAACTCTGTCTCAAAAACAAAACAAAACAAAAATACACTTCACCACTTTAGGGCAGACACATTTTTGGTTTTAAGTGAGATGAACCAAAGGTGAGTTCTAAGATAATTATAACAGCTCTCCCTCACCAGGTCCTCTGCGTACAAAGCAAAGCACCTCCTACCACACCCTGTCTGACCATATCAACAACTGAGAACATTTAGTGCTTATATCTATATACTGGATATATAATACTTGCACACACTAGTGCAATGCATGAATATTAAAAAGGTTAAACCGCACTCAAGCCCCGAGTTAAGCCATTAGTCACACAATATAAAGCTTAATGTCAGCACCATATGGTGTTAGACCATCCACTGTGTGCTTTGGAAGCCTGCTTCAGTTCCTGAATTTCAAGAAAAAAAGTGCACACACAATAAAAACACCTAGGAAAGTAATTTAGGGCTAATAAAAAATAAATAAAATAAAATGAAGTCTGTGGTCTTTCAGAGCTGCAGTGGCAGGGTCTGACCTTGGGCATGGGTGACAGAGAAAGGTCAGGGCTGCAGCCACATGTAACAACTGCTCCTGCAACAGCCAAAAGGGGCAGTGCCAACTCAGGCTAGAGAGGGAATCTGCCAGTACTTCATCTATCTTAAAGAGAACAGCAAAGAGTAAGGCATTAGCTGGATAATTTCATGATTGCGAGTAATTAATGGAATTTAGACAAACCTACCCCTTATTTTTGACTTAAAAAAAATTGTGAGTTGGTTTTTCTGAATTATTAAGAGAAAAAGTCATATAATTTTGGAGCCGAGTGGGAACTTAGAGATTTTTACCAATCCACGTGTTATGTATTGAATTGTGTCAAATTTATCTGTTGAAGTCCTACCCCCTAGTATTAGGTTGGTACAAAAGTAATTTGTGGTTTTTGTCGTTGAAAGTAATGGCAAAAACTGCAATTACTTTTGCACCAACCTAAATACCTTATTTGAAAATAGGGTCATTACAGATGTAATTAGTTAAAATGAGGTCTCTAAGGCAGGGCTTAATCCGAAAGGACTAGTGTCTTATAAAAAGGGGATATTTGGACAGAGAGACAGACATCCCTAGAGAGAAGACAATGTGAAGAGACCCAGGAAAAGATGGCCATTTGACAGCCAAGGAGAGAGGCCTGGAACAGATCCTTTCCTCACAGCCCTCAGGAGGAACTGGCCTGCTGATACCTTGACTTACCTTCTACCTTCCAGAAAGTAAGAAAATACATTTGTGCTGTTTAAGTCACCCAGTTTAGGGTTCTTTGTTATAGTAGTCCTAGCAAATGAAGGAACTGTCTTTTTTTTTTTTTTTTAATAGTTGAAGAAACTACTATGGAAGTAGAGGGAATGGCCAAGGAGACCCTGTCATCGAGTTTGTATCCAGGAATTTACATCAGGTCCTTTCCACATCACGCTGCCTCCCAAACACTCGCTTCGTTTGCTACTCAGGCACCATCCAAACTTGTTTTCATTAATGCAGTTGGCTCTCCTTATTCACAGGTCCCATGGATTCAACAAACCATGGATGGAAACCATTTGGGGAAAAAACGGATGCCTGCATGTGTGCAGAGCATGTACAGACTTAATTATTATCATTATTCCCTAAACAATATATAGCATAGCAACTTTTAACATAGTATTTATATTTTAATTAGGTATTATGAGTAATCTAGAGATGATTTTAAGTATACAGGAGGATGTGTGTGGGTTCTATGAAAATACTATGTCAATTTGTGTCAGGGACTTGAATGTCTGTGGATTTGGTACCACTGGAGTTCCTGGAACCAATCCCCAGGGGATAGTGAAGGACAACTCTATTCCCTAGCAGAAGACAGTAGTGAAGATCGACTACTCTGATGCACTTAATTTCTGAGGATTATAAGGAGGCAATTTATGTCCCACTGTGTATCTTTTTTTATCTCTCTTCTTTTCACAAACAGATGCCCCTCATAGATCATTATTTATTATTTGCATTTTGCCAGGGCTTTATCAAGATACTGTTTTCTCTGGTTGAGCAATATTGTGTTCATCATGCACTTAGATGCATAGCCAAGATTAAATTTGAATCTAGAGAAATTATAATCATTTGATCTCGTTATTTATTTGAAGGAGCCAAGCTGCACTGCACTCCCATGGAGATAAGAATAGCCATTCCCTTTGCCTACAGGGCACAAACCTGAGAACTTGAACCTGAGGTAGGAGCAGTAATTGAAAGAACAGTGGTAGATGGCTGAAATGGAAGCCCG
Source organism: Homo sapiens (assembly GCF_000001405.40). Lineage (NCBI taxonomy): Eukaryota > Metazoa > Chordata > Mammalia > Primates > Hominidae > Homo > Homo sapiens. The sequence goes on along the minus strand of NC_000018.10, from coordinate 27,862,291 downwards.
CTTCTATCTCCGGCCCACTCAGAGGCCACGCCAAAAGACTTTTCATGTTAGTGCCTTTTGGATGTTTATAGAAAACCCGGAGGCTGTTCATTTTAAAGCTCTTGATGAAAACCAGGCTCACCAGAAGTGATAACGCTGATGAGCACAAATGTCCTTTCAGTTGAAACCTTGCTGATATAGATTAACCTTTTCTCATAGCAGAAATATCAAGAGAAAAGATTCACTGAAAAAAAGACTAGTGCATCACCGGTATCCAGTAAGGTCTCAATGAGCCTTGTAATCCTCATAATTACTCAATTAGAAATTACCTAGGGGGAAGACATAATTTCGATAATTGAACCAACCTGGCTGTTTGGCTGGTGCATTTTCTTTATAATAAGAATAATCACCGATCTGATAAAATATTTGCTATCGGCGTAAGAGAAACCTTGATGAGTACCGAGTGGCAAGGGGCTGGGGCATTTGTAAAGGGAGCAGTGAGTAATCAGGGGCCAGGGATGGGCATGCTTCACTGAGCAAATTACATTTTCCAGCCAACGCTGGGTCCTATCAAATATCGCTGTGTGAAAGAACATGCATATCGTGCATGCTGGCCCTCCTGGCAAAGAGCAGGCTGTTTCCTCCAGGATTTATTTATGGCTAAATCAATTGCACCTTAAAGGGATAGTTTTTCAAATGGTTTTGCTCTTGCAGGAGAGATCATGCAGCCGTAGCTATCCTGAAATCAGAGACGCAAGGTGGTTTAAGGTCTTCCAAATCCAGGTTGTGGATAATTGATTCCTTTCTCGTTTCCCAGTGCTGTGTAATGCATATGGCTTTGGGATTTCTAACTCTGTGGATCCAGTCAGGATTCAGGATGAGGGAGTCACCTGAACCATTAAAATTATTCTCGCTTCGGGTGACAAAGGTCATGTTTCTGATCTTTTTATTATGTAATTTTTAGGGGGTTAATAAAATTGAACCCCACTGTTTCTTTTTTTTTTTTTTTTGGTGTTTTTAGAATTTTACTGAGTCCAGGGAGTTCACTTGAGAGACAGAAAGATTGTATATTCCTGAAAGGTGCTTGTAAAACAAAACTCACATTTTTACCTGTGCTAGTTTAACTCACCCTTAGCGGGATAAAAAGCAAGAAAGAGCTTTATGGTGAATTGCAGCCAAGCACCAGCAAGCAGGAAGGCAAGATGAATCCTGGGAAGGCCCAGGGCAGCCCAGCTTCAAACACAGTTGTGGGCAGCCAGGAAGCCACAGAAGCTGCTGAGCCAGCGTGGTCGGCTGCAGTCAGCAAGGACATGGCTTCCCAAGAGTGAATGTTCTGGGCTGACCAGGAATTTCATAGTACAGTGCCAGGCTCTGCAAATAGCAGCTGCAGCTACAGCTGCAGATCAAAGGAGTTTTACACGTGGACAGCAAAAAAGCATTGCTGCTTAGGTGTTGGAATTCCTTGCCATCGTGTCATTGTCTTCTTTCAATAAGCATATGCAAAGAACAAGAAAAAATATTTGTGTGGTTTTTGTTTTAGTTTTGTGTGTGAAAGTGAAAGTGTATGATGGCTGCAGCTAATGCCTTTTTGAGAAGAAGAAGAAGTTGTCTGGTCCACAAGATTGAAAAAAAAAAAAAAAAAAAAGTTAGGCTGGGCCTGGTGGCTCAGGCCTGTAATCCCAGCACTTTGGAAGGCTGAGGTGGGCGGATCACTTGAGGTCAGGAGTTCGAGGCTAGCCTGGCCAACACGGCAAAACCCTGTTTCTACTAAAAATACAAAAAAAAAATTAGCTGGGCATGGTGGCATGCACCTGTAATCCCACCTACTCGAGAGTCTGAAGCAGGAGAATCTCTTGAGCCTGGGAGGTGGAGGCTGCAGTGAGCTGAGATGGCGCCACTGCACTCCAGCCTGGGTGACAGAGCAAGACTCTGTCTCAAAGAAAAAAAAAAAAAAAAGTTAGCATAACCTGAATACCTGTGCCCTGGGGGAATTTTCCTGCGCCCTAGCAGACAATGACATTAGCTGGGCGCACACATGCCTATATGCTTGCCTGCTTATACACATCCAAATGCTCTATAAGGTCAAGAGCAGGAGGAAGACACTGCAGGCAGAGGCTGAGGAAGTCGGGCAGGCTTACTCTAGGTGATGAGAGGGATTAGGCTTGTCAAGCAAAGGCACAGGAAATAAGTGACTCGGCACATCTGAATATAGTTGCAACTCAGCCTCCATACCTGGTGTGTTAGGACATGTCCACAAGGAGAATGGTCTCCCTAGTGCAATATGCAATCTCAGCATTGTTACACAGCAGGCCTGAAAATGGTCCCCATTCATCTCTTAGCTATGATCCAGAATAGATTTGTATGTGTGTGTGGAAGAAAAGTCTTAAGACAAATGTTATGCCATATTTGCCTCTCCTTTTTGCTATCACATTCTAATATGTGTATCTCTGCGCATAACCCTTGTACTCTGTTATAAAATAAGGTAATTTTCTTTCTTCCCCACTAGAGAATAATAGCCCCTTGTATTCATGTCTTCTTTTTTATCTCCATAGGCTCAATGCCTGGAAGAGTACTGGTGCAAAAATTGGTTAAATAAAAGTCCCATAAATCTATGGTAGAAAGAAAACGAGGTTAAATTAGTCCTTTTGAATAAATACCATGTACTCTTCCTGATGTTTCTACTTCTGCAGCCAGGTGAAAAATGCATTGCCAGTTATCTCCTACCCTTCTAATAACATAACCAGTGAAATACTAGATATCTGGTCAAATCCTTTCAAGACAACCTTGAGAAGTTAGGAATCACAGAGTGTCTCTAAAAGGAAGTACCCTCTTCTTAAGTGACCACTTTAGATAATCCTTACGTGGTTTCCAGCAATAGAAGGCAACATTCACAGTTAAATGCAAGTCTCCAAAATTGACGGGTTGTCCCTGGGTATTTGTTAGCCTGGAAGCAGTTTCACTGTAGTGGTTTGCATTTCTAATTGTTTAATGGGGAATGTATTGCTTACGTCCAAATAAAAAACAAGAAATACCCATGTTGTGTTGTTGGGTTTAGTAAATACATAATTAGGATTTAAATAGGTATTTTAGATCTGATGACAGCTTTTTCTAGACCGGCATAATTAGAAGGCATGAGGAATTCAGAGTGCTTCCTTTGACAATATGATAATTTTTCTTGGTTCGTTCTGCTGACCTGACCACATCCAAACCAACAACTTCATATATTCAATAAACAATGATTATTTATGATACCTGCTACATGAAAAGTATCACAGTAGGCCCTAGGTGTCATGCTGTTCCTACTCGAGCAACATGTTTCTGAATATCACTGTGCTTTATGTATTCCTAAGGGTACTTGTAATTATATTTGATTGTGGCTTTTGTGCTTACGTTAGATGCTAACCTCATCACAGAGTGGTAATCCACTGTAAGAGCTTTATTTTAGGACTATATTAAAATATCTAAATGGAGATAACTAGTAGACTGTTGTACATGTGGGTATGATTCTCAGAGGAGAGTTTGGGAAGAAAAGTATAGGTCAGGACACATTATAGTTTGCTTTTATTGTTGTTACTCCTTTTTTCTGTAAATATATGTTAGTATTTATGATATAGATTAAGTAATGAACAAAAACAGTCATGATCTTTGCCCTCATAGACTTAACATTATACCAAGAAAGGTAGACATCACACAAATAATGTAAAGTGTGGGAAATATTACAATAGGGTGAGTATAAGGTCCCATAAGGAAGTCACAAGGGAGCCTAATTAGTGCTATGAATAGAGAGTGTTATAGGAGGCCTGACATATTTGAAGATAATAATATTTTAGCTAAGACCTAGATGAACTTCCTCAGTGAGAAAGACACTGTTTTGTACTCAACAACATACCTTTCTACATGATTCTTTCTGCATTTGCTTAAGTGGTAGATGGAGGTACCTTGATGTAAAGCTTTGCATACTTAGTGTAAGTCAGTCATGGTGACCCACACTCTCTAGGCCACATCGTCATTTCCCCCAAACCAGGGATATGATAGTAAAAAGGTTCTGATTGATAAGGTAGAAAGAGAAATCTGCTGGTGGGGACAAATATAAAAAAGATGTGTTTGCCTCTGTCTGTCCTTCTTGCTTGGGACACTGGTGTGAGGTCTTGTGACAGGCACTGCTCCAGTGGCCAGTGGCCAGTGGCCAGGGAGGGCCACATTTCCTGACATCACTGGCCTGCTGGATGCTTTATCTCTAGATAAGGAGCCTGTCAGGTGAACTAATAAAATATATTTGTTCATAAAGCCACTGTTGTTTTGGTCCTTTCTTATTTGTGCTTGAAAGCATTTATAAAACAGGTAAAAGAAGTGGACGTAATTAAACAGGGGTAGACAGTTCCAAGCAGACATGAACAAATGCCAACAGGTGAAAGAGCACGTGGTCTAACAATAGAAGTAAAATCTATATCCTGCAGGGGGTCTGGAGAGTATCTGGCTATATGTAAAAACTGAAAATCCTACCTGCTTCAAAATAATTGACACATACTGAATGGGCAAAAGCTAGAAGCATTCCCCTCGAAAACTGGCACAACACAAGAATGCTCTCTCTCACCACTCTTATTTACATATTATTGGAAGTCCTGGCCAGAGCAATCAGGTAGGAGAAACAAATAAAGGGCATCCAAATAGGAAATGAGAAAGTCAAACTATCTGTTTGTAGGCAACATAATTCTATATCTAGAAAACCCCAAAGTCTCAGGCCAAAAGTTCCTTAAGCAGATAAACAACTTCAGTGAAGTCTCAGGATACAAAATCAATGTAAAAAGAGAAGAATCATTCTTATACACAAGCAACAGTCAAGCTGAGAGCCAAATCAAGAATGCAATCCCATTCACAATTGCCACAAAAAGAATAAAATACCAGGGAATACAGCTAACTATTGGAGTGAAACATCTCTGCAATGAGAACTACAAAACATTGCTCAAAGAAATCATAGATGATATAAACAAATGGAAAAACATTTCATGCTCATGGATAGGAAGAATCGACATCATTAAAAGGGCCATACTGCCCAAAGCAATTTATAGATTCAATGCTATTCCTATCAAACTACCAAAGACATTCTTCACAAAAACTTAGGAAAAATTGTTTTAAAATTCATATGGAACCAAAAAATGGGCCTGAATGGCGAAGGCAATCCTAAGCAAAAAGAACAAAGCTGGAGGCATCTTGCTACCCAAGTTCAAAATATACTACAGTGCTGCTGTAACCAAAACAGCATGGTATTGGTATAAAAACAGGCACATAGACCAATAGAACAGACTAGAGAGCTCAGAAATAAGGTCACACACCTACAACTATCTGATCTTTGAAAAAGCTGACAAAAACAAGTAATGGTGAAAGGACTCCCCATTCAATAAATGGTGCTGGGATAACTGGCTAGCCATATGCAGAAGAATGAAACTGGACCCCTTTCTTACAATAAATATTATATATATATGAAAATATATATAAATATAATATTTATATATGAAAATATATATAAATATAATATTTATATATGAAAATATATATAATATTTATATATGAAAATATATATAATATTTATATATGAAAATATATATAAAGATAATATTTATATATGAAAATATATATAAAGATAATATTTATATATGAAAATATATATAAAGATAATATTTATATATGAAAATATATATAAAGATAATATTTATATATGAAAATATATATAAAGATAATATTTATATATGAAAATATATATAAATATAATATGTATATATGAAAATATATTTAATATTTATATATATAAATATTATATTTATATAAATATTATATAAATATATTTTTATATCATATATAAATATATGTAAATATATTTTATATCATATATAAATATATGTAAATATATTTTATATCATATATAAATATATGTAAATATATTTTATATCATATATAAATATATGTAAATATATTTTATATCATATATAAATATATATAAATATATTTTATATCATATATAAATATATATAAATATTTTTTATATCATATATAAATATATATAAATATTTTTTATATCATATATAAATATATATAAATATTTTTTATATCATATATAAATATATATAAATATATTTTTATATCATATATAAATATATATAAATATATTTTTATATCATATATAAATATTATAAATATATTTTTATATCATATATAAATATTATAAATATATTTTTATATCATATATAAATATTATAAATATATTTTTATATCATATATAAATATTATAAATATATTTTTATATCATATATAAATATTATATGATATATATCATATATAAATATTATATGATATATATCATATATAAATATTATAAATATGATATATATAATATATAAATATTATAAATATGATATATATAATATATAAATATTATAAATATGATATATATAATATATAAATATTATAAATATGATATATAATATATAAATATTATAAATATGATATATATAATATATAAATATTATAAATATTATAAATATATTTATATATAATATATAAATATTATATATATGATATTTATATATAATATAGAAATATATATGATATTTATATATAATATATAAATATATATAAATATGATATTTATATATAATATAGAAATATATATAAATATGATATTTATATAATTATATATAAATATATATAAATATATAATATTTATATATTTATATAAATATATATAATATATAATATTTATATATTATATATAAATATATATAAATATATAATATTTATATATTATATATAATATATAATATTTATATATTATATATAATATATAATATTTATATATTATATATAATATATAATATTTATATATTATATATAATATATAATATATAATATTTATATATATTTATATTATATATTATATATTATAAATATATATTACATATATTATATATATTATATATATAATATATAATATATATATAATAAATATATATATTATATATATAAATATATATTATATTATATAGGATTAAAGACCTAAATGTAAAACCCAAAACAATAAAAACCATGGAAGACAACTTAGGCAATACCAGTAATTCTGGACATAGGAATGAGTAAAAAAATTCATGATGAATACACGAAAAGCAATCACAACAAAAGCAAAAATTGAGAAATGGGATCTCATTAAACTAAAAAGCTTCTGCACAGCAAAAGAAACTATCAACAGGTAAATAGACAATCTATAGAATGGGAGGAAATTTTTGCAATCTATCCAGCTGATAAGGGACTAATATCTAGCATGTATAAGGAACTTAAATACATTTAGAAGAAGGAAACAAACAACCCCATTAAAAAGTAGCCAAAGGACATGAACAGACACTTTTCAAAAGAAGACATACATGTGACCAACAAACATATGAAAACAAGCTCGACATCACTGATCATTAGAGAAATGCAAATCAAAACCACAAGGAAATACCCTATCACACACCAGTCATGGCTATTATTAAAAAGTCAAAAAATAGCAGATACTGGTAAGGTTGCAGAGAAAAAGGAATTCTTATACACTGTTGGTGGATTGTAAATTAGTTCAACAATTGTGGAAAACAATGTGACAATTCTTCAAAGAGCTAAAAACAGAACTACCATTTGACCCAGCAATCCCATTACTGGGTATATACCCTAAGAAATACAAATCATTCTAGCATCATAGCACTATTCACAATAGTAAAGACATGGAATCAACCTAAATGCCCATCAGTGGTAGACTAGATAAAGAAAACGTGGTACATATACACCATGGAATACTATGCAGCCATAAAAAAGAACGAGACAATGTCCTTTGCAGGTGCATGAATGGAACTGAAAGCTATTACCCTTAGCAAAATAATGGAGAAAAAGAAAACCAAATACCGCATGTTCTCACTTACAAGTGATAGCTAAACGATGAGAACACGTGATCACATAGGAGACAACAACACACATTGGGGCCTACTGGAGAGTGGGGGGTGGGAAGAGGGAGAGGATCAGAAAAAATAACTAATGGGTATCAGCCTTAATACCTGGGAGACAAAGTAATCTGAACATAAACCCCCATGACACAAGTTTACCTATACAACAAACCTGCACATGTACCCCTGAAGTTAAAATTAGAAGTTAAAAAAAAATTGATGGTGGATGAATATCCTCTTCTTTCCTTCTTCTTCTTTCTCTCTTTTCCACCTTTTCCCCCACTTATTTTTCTTATCTTCTTCCCTCCTCTTTCTTCTTCTCTCTTTTCTTCTCTCTCCCTCTGTCTCTCTCTTCTTCCTCTTTTCTTTCCTTGCCCAATAAAGCTGAGTTCAGAAGAAGGTAAGATAAATCCCAGGACAAAAATGGAATGAACTGAAGACCAGAATGACAAGCAAAGCTACAAGTGCTGTGGGCGCATTTGTCTGCATGAGAAACTTAAAAGTTATTGCCGCCTGGTGAGGCCAGGAGATAAGGTTTTGGGCCTTTGCAAAGCAGGAAGTAAGAAAAGCGACATTTGCACAAAGCTAGAAAACTCATAGGGCCACGTCCTCATTGAGGGGTTAGTTAGGAAAATTTACCTCCTGACAAAGGAAGATGATACTTGTCTTTCCCAAAGGACTTACAATCAGGTACGAGTTCCTCACACAGATTTAGAGATTAAATCATCCTCTTTGGTGTCATAAAAATCTCAAGACAGGAAAACAAATTTCAAGAGGACCACAGTTGATATGCTGGGGATCACTCAGCAGAACCCAAATTCACATGGAGGAACAAGCTTGTGTTCTCTAATCCCATAGATTCACATCAGTCAAATATAAATGCACAATCCAAAGTCATTGAGAACACAAGGAAATGAGCCCTGGTGACTGCCAAGGACTTTAGATACTAGAATAATTGCACAGAAAATTTAGGATTTAAAAACTGTATAAAAACCAAAAATGGAGTAAAAAAGGAGATAAAAGAAAAAATACCATAAATATAAATCAGGGAAGTCTGAAAAAGAACAAACAGAAGTTTTACAAATTAAAAATATAGTCGTAATACAGCATATAAACAGAACCAACAACAAAAACCACATGATTATCTCAATAGATGCAGAAAAGGCCTTTGACAAAATTCAACAACCCTTCATGCTAAAAACTCTCAATAAATTAGGTATTGATGGGACGTACCTCAAAATAATAAGAGCTATCTATGACAAACCCACAGCCAATATCATACTGAATGGGCAAAAACTGGAAGCATTCCCTTTGAAAACTGGCACAAGACAGGGATGCCCTCTCTCACCACAGCTATTCAAAATAGTGTTGGAAGTTCTGGCCAGGGCAATCAGGCAGGAGAAGGAAATAAAGGGTATTCAGTTAGGAAAAGAGGAAGTCAAATTGTCCCTGTTTGCAGATGACATGATTGTATATCTAGAAAACCCCATTGTCTCAGCCCAAAATCTCCTTAAGCTGATAGGCAAATTCAGCAAAGTCTCAGGATACAAAATCAACGTGCAAAAATCACAAGCCTTCTTATACACCAATAACAGACAAACAGAGAGCCAAATCATGAGTGAACTCCCATTCACAATTGCTTCAAAGACAATAAAATACCTAGGAATCCAACTTACAAGGGATGTGAAGGACCTCTTCAAGGAGAACTACAAACCACTGCTCAAGGAAATAAAAGAGGATACAAACAAATGGAAGAACATTCCATGCTCATGGGTAGGAAGAGTCAATATTGTGAAAATTGCCATACTACCTAAGGTAATTTGCAGATTAAATGCCATCCCCAGCAAGCTACCAATGACTTTCTTCACAGAATTGGAAAAAACTACTTTAAAGTTCATGTGGAACCAAAAAAGAGCCCGCATGGCCAAGTAAATCCTAAGCCAAAAGAACAAAGCTGAAGGCATCATGCTACCTGACTTCAAACTATACTACAAGGCTACAGTAATCAAAACAGCATGGTACTGGTACCAAAACAGAGATATAGATCAATGGAACAGAACAGAGCCCTCAGAAATAATGTCACATATCAACAACTATCTGATCTTTGACAAACCTGAGAAAAACAAGCAATGGGGAAAGGATTCCCTATTTAATAAATGGTGCTGGGAAAACTGGCTAGCCATATGTAGAAAGCTGAAACTGGATCCCTTCCTTACACCTTATACAAAAATTAATTCAAGATGGATTAAACACTTACATGTTAGACATAAAACCATAAAAACCCTAGAAGAAAACCTAGGCAATACCATTCAGGACATAGGCATGGGCAAGGACTTCATGTCTAAAACACCAAAAGCAATGGCAACAAAAGCCAAAATTGACAAATGGGATCTAATTAAACTAAAGAGCTTCTGCACAGCAAAAGAAACTACCATCAGAGTGAACAGGCAACCTACAGAATGGGAGAAAATTTTTGCAACCTACTCATCTGACAAAGGGCTAATATCCAGAATCTACAATGAACTCAAACAAATTTACAAGAAAAAAACAAACAACCCCATCAAAAAGTGCGCAAACGATATGAACAGACACTTCTCAAAAGAAGACATTTATGCAGCCAAAAGACACATGAAAAAATGCTCATCATCACTGGCCATCAGAGAAATGCAAATCAAAACCACAATGAGATAGCATCTCACACCAGTTAGAATGGCGATCATTAAAAAGTCAGGAAACAACAGGTGCTGGAGAGGATGTGGAGAAATAGGAACACTTTTACACTGTTGGTGGGACTGTAAACTAGTTCAACCATTGTGGAAGTCAGTGTGGCAATTCCTCAGGGATCTAGAACTAGAAATACCATTTGACCCAGCCATCCCATTACTGGGTATATACCCAAAGGATTATAAATCATGCTGTTATAAAGATACATGCACACGTATGTTTATTGCGGCACTATTCACAATAGCAAAGACTTGGAACCAAGCCAAATGTCCAACAATGATAGACTGGATTAAGAAAATGTGACACATATACACCATGGAATACTATGCAGCCATAAAAAATGATGAGTTCATATCCTTTGTAGGGACATGGATGAAGCTGGAAACCATCATTCTCAGCAAACTATCGCAAGGACGATAAAACCAAACACCGCATGTTCTTACTCATAGGTGGGAATTGAACAATGAGAACACATGGACACAGGAAGGGGAACATCACATATCAGGGCCTGTTGTGGGGTGGGGGGAGAGGGGAGGGATAGCATTAGGAGATATACCTAGTATTAAATGACGAGTTAATGGGTGCAGCACACCAAAATGGCACATGTATACATATGTAACTAACCTGCACGTTGTGCACATGTACCCTAAAACAAAGTATAATAAAAAAAGTATAATCATTACAATGATAATATTAATAAATGAATTAAGAAGCAGATTAGATAAACCCAAAGAGAGAGAATTCGTGAACTAGAGCCATCCTTCTCAGCCTTGAACGTATATGGCAATCACCTAGGGAGTGTGTTAAAATGCAGATTCTGATTCTGTAGGTTTGGTGTGAGGTCCAAAAGTTGCCATTTCTAATAAGCTGTCAAGTGAGACCCACAGTTTGAGGCAAAAGGAACTAGAAGGTAGATTTCAAAATTGTGTCCCGGGAACACAAAGACAGAAAATCTCTCTTTGAATAAGAGAGTATAAGAACAGAAAGAATAGGGTTGAGGCTATATTTGAAGAGATAATGGCAAAGAATTTTTCGGACCTAATGAAAGACATGAAGCTGCGGATTAAGGAAACCACACTCAAGGAGGGAAAAATGAAAGAAAAGAAGTGGGGGGCGGGGGTGGAGAGAGAGAGAGAGAGATTTTCACCTCAGACAATTGCGTTTTCAAGAAAAGGAAGATGATAAAATTGATCAAAGAGGAGAAAAAAAGTTTACCCACCAAGAGAACAGTTACATTGATATTATGCTTCTCAACAGTACAAATAAATGTGGAATGTTAATATTGATAATAATATAATAAAATCTGGGTTTGTTTTCTTTCCCTCTTTGTCTGTCTTAGAAGAAAATATTATTCCACAAGCATTTGTACTGTTGAGAAGCTTAAGAAACAAATCAACCTAGATTTATGTGTCTATCTAAACTATCCTTCAGGAAGAAAGGCAAATTAAGTCGTTTTTCAGACAAGCAAAGACTGAGAGTTTGTGACCAACACAAAGATGGATTAAAGACATAAAGGTAAAACCCAAAACTATAAAAACCCTGGAAGACAACCTAGGCAATACCATTCTGGACAAAAGAATGGGTAAAAATTTCATGAAAAAGATGCCAAAAGCAATTGCAACAAAAGCAAACATTGACAAACGGGATCTAATTAAACTAAAGAGGTGCTGCACAGCAAAAGAAACTATCAATAGAGTAAACGGACAACCTAGGCAAGAGTCTTCTAGTGATTCTCAAAGTGTGGTCCCCAGCAGCAGCAGCAGCACCTCTCAGGAATACGTAAGAAATGCATATCTTCAAGCCCACCCTGCACCAGACACTGTGGCGGGCCCAGCAAGCTGTGCTACGTCAAGCTCTCCAGGGCTTCTGATGCTGCTCCTGTTGGAGAACCATAGCTCTACACAAAATATATGAGGAAGAAGACAAATGGTTTCAGAGGGAAGGTCTGAGATGTAAAATGGGATCCTAAATTATTTAGTAAACTTTAGGTTAACCTAAACCAATGTTGACTGAGTAAAAAAATAATAATATCAAACTTAAGGATAAAAATAAGATATAGGTAAATTATTGAACAACACAAAAAGTAAGATATATTGGGTGTGATTAGAGTTAAAATGTCCCCTTCTTTAAGAAGGAGAGAAATTAGATAAAATATGGCCAGGTTGGGGGGCTCATGCCTGAAATGCCAGCACTTTGTGAGGCCAAGGTGGGAGAATTGCTTAAGCTCAGCAGTTTGGGATCTGCCTAGGCAGCACAGTGAGACCTTGTCTCTATTTAAAAAAAAAGAAAAAAAGAAACAAAAACAGATACAATTTTTCTGACTAATATACTAAGACTTAAAATTTTTCTACAATTCAATCTAAATGTTAGCAGTATTAATGATACCTATAATGTTTTATTTAAATATTTTACATTATATTTTTCTAATGCTTTCAAATGCATTACATGATTTAATCTTCACAACAATTCTGTTAAATGGGTAGCTGAAATATATTCTTTCTTTTAACAGATGAGAAAACTGGAGGATGTTATAACTTGGCCAAAATCATATGACTGGGGTGTGGCAGGGAGAGAATCACAATACCGAAGTCCTTTTGATGTGATTCTGGCTTTTTCCTTTACATTATCTCTTTTTATAATTAATGAAACTTTTATATGCAAACATTCTCAATTGGAGAATATAAATAACAGAGTGAATCAAGTTCATCTGCTTGGGACTATCAGACTGCGTGCTGGCTGGTGACTATTATGCCATAAGGTAAACCCTAGTCCCTGTCCCTGCAAATCATTGCAGAAAATAAACAGGTAATCCCCCTTTCACAGCCATCAGAGGCAATACGTGTATGTGTCTAAGACTGGCCATTACCAGAGCCGTTGGCCTTATATAGTACTGCAGAATTTTCTGTAACCTTTATCTACAAGTTTAAAGCTAAAAGATCATTTGATTTTAAAATTTATGAAGGGCTGAAACCCGATGAGTCATTTATGGGATTTCTTCTTATAATATTTGAAGGAATTTTCCAGTCGAAACAAATGCCAAGATGAATTTCTTGGCCTTCTGTAACACCTTTCATGTAAAGGTCTTCACATGCATGGCAGACAAGAGCGCTTTAGCTTCCTGACTGCCTCGGGACACAGGTTAAGTTCTCTCACATGTGGAAACTGTGGCTTAAGGAGATTAACATGCTGTGAATGCTGGTCCATCTTGGTTTCAAATCAGGAGAGCTCAGTGTCTTTTCCTTGGAACATAGATTTTTATTTTTACAGGGCTTTATAATTACATATTTTAGAGTGCTCAGTATAGTTTGAAGTGACTCAAATATGGAAACATTCATTACATCTTTTGGGAGATGATTTTGATCTTGTGGAGGGCTTTTTCTGTCTAACTGGTTTTTATATATTTTGACACAGTAAATCTCATTCCATCTAAAAGAGTTATTTTTCCCCTATGGGAAGGGACTTGATATTCTTTTAAGTCTCTGCTGAGTTTAATAACTTTTTGAGACATAAATGTATTCTGTTTTCTCAGTAAACACTGCAGAACACCTACTACGTGCTAATTTCTATGGTACACTGGGGTATACAGAGATCAGTAGACAGTTTTTCTGCACTGGAAAATAGGCATGACATTAAATTAGTGCATTGGTTGCAAATTAAAGTGTTTGCAGATAAGTAACTTGGGCTCAAAGTAGACTACGAAAAGACTTTTTCCAGTAGAGAGGGTCTGATACTATAAATTCCTTTATGCTTCTGCCACAGGAGAAGGGAGAGTTTATCTCATTGTTCTGGACCTTGCAAATGTAGTTTAGAGCAACGAAAATAAAATGACTCCAAGGCTGCTGGAGAATGGAGTAAAGACAAGAGCCCAAGATGCCAAACAACTTGAGTTGTCAGGAAGGCCTGTTACTGCTGGGTAAAGAAGGAAAAAACAGAAAGAAAAACCTTTGAAAGAAGAGCTAGATTAACATCTTTATGGCTCAGTCATAAACACTGACACACTGTTTGTCTAAGTCTGCGATATGTGTGTACAGCAGAGTTGGTGGAGCCAAACATTCGTTTATTCATTAAATATTTATTGTGGGCCAACTCTGTCTCATGAAGCTTATCTTTTCCTGAGAGGGTATAGGAAATAAATAATAATAAGATTAATTCAGATAGTAATCATAGATACAAAGGAAATAAAATAAACCGATGTGATAGAGATTTGAGGAGGTTTATTTTAGATAAAATAAGAGGCATCTTTAGCTGAGATCTACATAATAAGGAGCCAGGCATACAAGGTCCCAGGGAAGCAGTATTCCAGACAAAGGCAACAGTCTGTGGAAAGACTCTAAGCTGAGAGTTGACTTGATATCTTCAAGGAATAGGTAGAAGTATCACTGAAGTGGTGGGGATCAGGGTGAATGATGGGGGAAGTGATAAGAGATGGGATACCCTGATAATATACAAGCTAATAGGTTATAGTGAGGAGCTTGGATAATATTCTAAGTCTGGTGGAAAGTCATTGAAGTGTTTCAAGCAAGGGAATGACAGGGGATTTAAGTGACACGATTTGTTACAGAAAATATAATTCTGAAAGTCATATACAGAAGAACTGATTGTAAGGAGGCAAGCATAGAGGACAAGCAGAGAGACAATTAGGTGGCTGATGCAATATTTTAGGCAAGGGCTCATGGCATCTTGCATCTATGTTGTAGCAGTGGTGATGGACAGAAGTGGGCATATTTGGGTAGTGCCACTGATAGCTTGCTTATATCATATGCTGTGGTCTGAATGTGACCCCCAAGTTTGTGTGTTGAAAAGTTAATACCCAATGTAACAGTGTTGAGGCGGGGACCTTTTGGGAAGTGTTTAGGTCATGAGGGCTCTGCCCTCATGAATGAATTAATGCCACTTTGAAAAGGGCCTATAGGAGTGAGTTTGCTCTCTCTTGCCTTTCCTCCTTCCACTATGAGAGAACACAATAGGAAAGATCAGAGCAGATAGTGGGATCTTGATTTTGGACTTCCCAACCTCCAGAACTGTGAGAATAAATTCCTCTTCTTTATAAATTGCCCAGTCTGCCGTATTATAGCAGCAGAAATGAACTAAGACACTGTTTCTTTGTTTATGTTAGAAAAGGGTACAACTTACTCAAGTAAAAATACATTTTGGCTACTATTCTACAAAAAGAACCACTTTTTGGACTTCCTTGGATCCAAGTTAACTTTTTAATAGTCCAGATGGTCATCAGCCCTGGCTGCAACACAATCAAACCCACTCACTCACTACATGGCACCAGAGATGTTTACCCTAAATGTACCCTAGACCCTCAGTGAGGCAATCATGCTAGACTTAGAGTTGTATGGGTTAGGGGGTGTGTGGGAATCAAACTTCCCAAAATTCTGTTGGGATTGGGCATACCTGCTTGTACACATGTGTTTCAGCGAATTAATGTGTGTGTTCTCTTTTATGTGTGTGTACATGACGCTGTGTACCAATGTGAGATTATGGAGGAAGAAGCTTTGCTTTGCTGCTGTGTGATGTGGCCAGCAGACCACAAAGAAGTATGTACTTCCTCAGAAGCATGAGCTTATTCAGAGAAGGAATGGCTGCTCTAAGGAAATACTTATTGGGCTGAAATCTGAAGAATAAATAGGGTTTAGGTACATGTAAAGGGTTCAAATGTGGCCCCCAAGAAGATAAGTCTAAGTTCTAACTTTATGCAGGAAGAGTCTTTACAGATATACTTAAGTTAGGGATTTTGTGGAGATCACTCTAGATTAACAGGGTGAGCCTTTAGTCCAATGAGAATTGACCTTATAAGAATAGAAAATGTTGGCTGGGCATGGTGGCTCACGCCTGTAATCCCAGCACTTTGGGAGGCCGAGGTGGGTGGATCACGAGGTCAGGAGATCGAGACCATCCTGGCTAACATGGTGAAACCCTGTCTATACTAAAAATACAAAAAATTAGCCAGGTGTGGGGGCAGGCGCCTGTAGTCCCAGCTACTGGGGAGGCTGAGGCAGGAGAAAGGCATGAACCTGGGAGGCGGAGCTTGTAGTAAGCCGAGATTGTGCCACTGCACTCCAGCCTGGGCAACAGAGCAAGACTCCGTCTCAAAAAAAAAAAAAAAAAAAAAGAATAGGAAATGTCACAGAAAAGATGAACACAGGCACAAGAGGAGAGGAGCCATGTAGAGATGAATGCAGAGATGAGTTATGCAGCTACAAGTCAAGAAATGCCAAGCGGCCATCAGGAGCTGGAGGAGGCAAAGGACAGATTCTCCCCTGGAGCCATCAGAGAGGGCATGGCCCTGCAATCACCCTGAGTTCAGATTTCTGACCTCCAGAACCTGAGATTAAAAGTTTCTTTTATGAAACCACCATGTTTCTTGCAATTTGTTATGGTATCCCTAGGAAACTAATGGAGTGGGTGAGGGGGTTTGGGGAGATGATAAGTGATTTCTAGGCAGAGAGGGGAGAATATAAACATAGTTTCTATGGTGGGATTGAGCTTGCTGTTGTTAGAAACAGAAAGGTGTCTGCTGGAACAGGTGAAGATGAAACCATAGCGATCGACAGGAGTGGAGAACTCTTGCCCCTGAAAGTCTTGGTAAGGACTGTGGTCTTTAATCCAGGAACACCAGGTACCATTGAAGTATTTTAAATGGGGAATGGAAAAATTCTATTTGCCTTTTAGCACAGCGCTTTGCCTCTATTAGAGAGAATGAATTGGAGCTAGACAAGAATGGCTACAATAAGACTGGTTGAAAGGCTATTGACTGCTGTAGTCCAAAGTGGCATCAAAGGTAGAAATACTGGACAGATCCAAGAGATATTTGGAAGAAAAATCTATAGGGCTTGGCTACAGTAAGGATATGGAGGGTAAAGGTGATGGGATCAAAGGATCAAAAATGTTGTTTTGGTGGATGCTGGGAGTTGCTGTGACAGTTAAACCCCAAGACTTCTTGAAGAAGGTGGAGAGTTCAAATAAACATTTGTGGGTTGTGGTTTTTAAGATATCCAAGCAGGGACAAGAGGCAGGCTGTTGAATATGTGCAACTGGAGATCAGAGGAGAGATCTGACGTCTAGGCATAATTTATATATAAGTGGTCACAGAAGCCCATGTGGATGATATTACTCAGAAAATAATTTTAAAAAGAGGAAAGACCTATGACAAAGTTTTGAAGAATTGCAATATTTAATGGCTGGGTGAAGAAAGAATCTCCAGAGAGGCATGAGAAAACTAGAGTGTGGATCAAGGAAACTTAGAGAATAGAGAGTTCCAGGAAAAGGGGAATGTTCAAAATAGTGGAAATACTGAGAAGTCAGGTGAGATGAAAATAGGAAGTGAGCTCTTAATAACATCTCCACGTCTCTGGCAGCCCTAGTGAGAGGTGTTTGAGTAGAGTCATGGAGAGTGAGAGGAGATAGGATGCATCAGGACCTGTCTACATCTGTGGTTGTTAAGAGGGTTGATAGATTTTAGTTTAAAGAGTTTATTAGTCATAACATAAAGCCAATGAATGGTAACTTTAAGGAAATGATGTGAGTGATAAGAGAGATTTCAAGGCCCCTCAGAAACCCCCCCACTTTTCTTACTGTCACGCCCCCTGAACATAAAACAACAAGCTTTTCATCATTACAGTGACTAATACCAAAACTATGCTTGCAAGGATGCCATTCTTCATATTCACATTGGGAATCAATTGCCCAGAGGAGGGATAACCTCAATTACATTGTTAGATTCATTTCTGCTTTTAAATTTCCTGATTCCATGATTGAAGCATTGGTTAAGAAAATGTCTGAGAATGGATTTATTAGCAGGGATTAGAAGAGAAGAAAAAAAAAAGTGATGAGTCCCTTGAGCAGGAAGCAAAGACACTGAGAGCAGAAAGCTGTACAAAATGGGATTCTGTGGTTATCTCTGGATCCACCTGCCATGGGACCTATTCAAGTGAGGACACCTCGAATATTAGCATCTTAGAGTGTGGAGGCTCTGGATATGCCACTAGATTGGACTGTGCCAGGAAGGGGAGGGGCACTCACTTCATGCTGGAGATTGTATATATATGTATATATGTAGTATCATTAAATTCTCACCATGGTTTTAGGATACCAATATTAATACTCTCATTTTACAGAAGAGTAAATTGGGAGTTTTTAAAAATCACAGTGTCCACTCATTGTGAGTCTTGGCACTGCATTTCTTAAATTCCAGATTGTTACTCCCACAGTTTAGTTAGACCTACTGATGAAAACTTGCTAGAATTACTTTTCTTTGGGCACAATATGTACTCAGTTCTTCTAAGACAGGGAGAACAAAGTAGAAGTTTCCAGATTTGTCCAGGAGGGTCAATTAGGAACAGATTCCTATCACCCCCGGCAGAAGGGTCAGCAAATCCCAGAGTAGCTTGCGTGCTGAGCCAATTTCTTTCCATGAACCAGAAATAAAGAGTGGAATTGAATTTTGGGGGTTGTGTGGGTCTCCCACGGTTCTGCACCCCACCCTTCCATCCCTGGTTCATGTTTTATAGTGCAATTTCTGGCAAAATTGCCAGTGGCAGAAAAGTCCTAGTGGGAACCAGAGTTAAACAGTCCATGCCATAGTTCTTGGACTTTCAAAGTTCTACCTCCAAATGAATGGATGCCATTGTTCCCTTTTCTTGAGGAAGGGGAGAATCAGCTGCTTTTTTCCATGATCTTCCTGCCATTCTTGAGAGTTTTTGTTGTTGTTATTCCCATCTTGCTTGCATTTGGGCATGTGGATATAATATGGCTTTGTCAACAAAACATTTAGACAGAGAGTGGAGGCTGCTGAGTTTCTTTCTTGGCTCCTTCCCTGACATTGAAATAAGAGGATAGGAGATAATTTCTCTCACTTTTACTAATTAGAATATCAAGGTAAGGAGAGATTTAGAGATGGAATCAGATTGACAAAATTGTCTGTGACTTGCTCAGGGACTCAGTGAGATCATTTCCCCTTTTGGGGTCTCAATTTTTTTTTTGGATGCTGATTTTTTAAAAAAATGTAAGCACCTTTATTGCAGAGGTAAGATGGAAAATAAGTGTGAGCAATGGTGATGGGAATGCTAATTAATGTTACCATTAATGTTTTACTATTAAGCCAGTCTTCTTTTATGACTTGTCTTTAAAATAGATAAAAACTTCAGCTTCTAATAAAATGATACACTTTTGGAGGCGGTTTTGGGTGGGCATCTCAGCTCTGTATTTTTCACCCTTTCTCATTGGGTGGGATGAACTTTTCTGAGCATCTTCCTTTACCGGGCAATAATAGGAGTTACCCCCACAGGTTTATTGTGAAGGTGTTAAAAAAAACAGGTGCATTCCAACAATAACCATATATACTAGGGATCTGAATGTGATTATATAACTTCGTACACTACATCTGGATCCCTTAAATCTAACAAAGAATCTCTTTACATATTTTGCATCTTATGAAGCCTTCTGATTCTACCAGGTTTTTATACTGCTTTAGAAAAGGTTTCGGAGCTGAGACACAGGTTGTTAATCCAAGCATACCTTGGAGAGATTGTGGGTTCAGATCCAGATCACCATAATAAAGCTTATATGACAACAAAGCAAATCACACAAATCTTTTGGTTTCCCAGTGCATATAAAAGTTATGTTTACACTATATTGTAGTATATTAAATGTGTAATAACATTAGGTGTAAAAAATGTATGTACCTTAACGTAAAAATGCTTTATTGCTAAAAATTGCTAATGATCATCTGAACCTTCATAGAGTCATAATTGTTTTGCTGGTGGAGGGTCTTGCCTCAATATTGATGGCTGCTACTGATCTGGATGGTGGTTGATGAAAGTTAGGGTGACTGTGGCAATTTCTTAAAACAAGACAACAGTGAATTTTGACACATCAATTGACTCTTCCTGTCATAAAAGATTTTTCTGTAGCATGCGATGCTGTTTAATAGCATTTTACCCACAGTAGAACTTCTTTCAAAAGTGCAGTCAATCCTTTCAAACCCTGTTGCTGCTTTATTAACTAAGTATGTGGAATATTCTAAATACTTTGATGTCATTACTACAATGTTCATAGCATCTTCAAAAGGAGTAGATTCGATCCCAAGAAACCAATTTTCTCATCCATAAAAAGCAACTCCTCGTATGTTGAAGTTTTATTATGAGATTGCAGCAAGCCAGTCACATCTTCGGGCACCACTTATAATTCTAGTTCTCTTGTTCTTTCCACCACATCTACAGTTCCTTCCTCCACTGAGGTCTTGAGCCCCTCAAAGTCATCCATGGGGATTGAAGTCAACTTTTGCCAAACTACTATTAATGTTGATATTTTGACCTCCTTCCATGAATCATGAATGTTTTTAATGGCATCTAGAATGGCAAAGTCTTTCTAGAAGATTTTCAATTTATGCAGCCCACATCCATCAGAGGAATCAAGAACTATGGCAGCTATAACTTTACAAAATAAATTTCTTTTCTTTTTTTTGTGTGTGTGAGATAAGGTCTTGATCTGTTGCCCAGTCTGAAGTGCAATGTCAAGATCATGGCTCACTGCAGCATCCAAATCCCGGGCTCAGGCAATCCTCCCACTTCAGCTTCCTGGGTAGCTGAGACTACAGGTGCACACTACCATGCCCAACTAATTTTATATATATATACATATTTTTGTAGAGATGGGGTTTCACCATTTTGCCCAGGCTAGTCTTGAACTCCTGGGCTCAAGCAATCCATCAACCTCAGCCTCCCAAAGTACTAGAATTACAGGCATAAGCCATCGCACCTGGCCTTACATTTCTTAAATAATAATATTTAAAAGTCAAAATTACTCCTTAGGGATTCATGGGCTTCAGAATGGATGTGTCAGCAGGCACGGAAACAACATCAATCTCCTTGTGCAGCTCTATCAGAGATCTGGGATAACCAGGTACATTGTCAATGACCAGTAATATTTTGAAAGAATTTTTTTTCTCAGCAGTAGGTCTCAGCAGTGGGTTTAACACATTCAGTAAACCATGCTGTAAATAGATATGCTGTAAACAGGCTTTATGGTTCCATTTCTAAAGTGTAGGCAGACAGATTTAGTATAATTCTTAAGCACTCTAGGTTTTTGGAATGGTAAATAAGCATTGACTTCAACTAAGTCACCAGCTCTATTAGCCACTAACAAGAGAGCAGCCTGTCCTTTGAAGCTTTCAAGCCAGGAATTGACTTGTCTTCTACAGCTATGAAAGTCCTAGATGGCACGTTCTTCTTGGACAAGGCTGTTTTGTCTCTATTGAAAATCTGTTGTTTAGTATAGCCACGTTCATCAATTATCCTAGCTAGATCTTCTTGGATAACTTACTGCAACTTCTACCTCAACACTTGCTGTTTCACATTGAACTTTTGCTATGAAGAAGCTTCTTTCCTTAAACCTCAGGAACCAACTTCTGCTAGCTTCACACTTTTCCTCTGCAGCTTCCTTACCCCTGTCAGCCTTTATAGAATTGAAGATAATTAGGGCCTTACTCTGGATTAGGCTTTGACTTAAGGGAATGTTGAGGCTGGTTTGATCTTCTATCCAGACCACACAAACTTTCTCCATATTAGCAACAAGCTGTTTTGCTTTCATATAATCATGTATTCATTAGGGTAGCACTTTTACTTCCCTTCAAAAATTTTTTCTTTGCATTCACAACTTGCCTTTCTCTTTGTCACAAGAAGCCTAGCTTTCAGTCTGTCTTGGCTTCCAACATGCCTTCCTCACTAAACATAATCATTTCTAGTTTTCAATTTTTAATTTAAAGTGAGAGATGTATGACTTTACCTATCACTTGAACACTTACAGGCCATTGTAGGGTTATTACCTGGCCTAATTTCAATATTGTTGTGTCTCAGCAAACATCATGGCCCAAAGAGAGGGAGAGAGATGGGAGATTAGCTGGTGGTAGAATTGTCAGAATATACACAACCATTATCCATTAAGTTTGCCATCTTACGTGGGCGCAGTTCATGATATCCCAAAACAATTACAAGAGTAGCATCAAAGATCACTGATTTGTAGATCACCATAACAGATATAATAAATAATGGCAAAGCCACAGAAACATGAAGCAAGTACTTGCTATTGGGAAAATGCTTTGATAGACATGCTCAATGCAGTGTTGCTACAAACGCCAATTTCTAAAAAATACATCTGTGGGGCACAATAAAGTGAAGCACAATAAAATGGTATGCATGGTATGCATGTATATCCTCAGGAGCTAGCAGTAGCCCTTATTTCTCCTATTTATAGGCCTATGTGACTCAAAAAGCAAACGGGCAGCTGCATGCAGGATGTCTTAGTCACTCAGGCTGCTGTAACAAGGTGCTACAGACTGGGTGTCTTATCAAAACAAACAGAAATGTATTTCTCACAGTTCTGAAGGCTGGAAGCCTGAGATCAAGGTGCTAGCATGGTGGAGTTCTGGTGAGGGCTCTCTTTTGAGATTCAGACTCCTGATCTGTGTTGCATCCTGTTATGGTGGAAAGAGAGAGAAAGTGAGCTCTCTCTGTAAGACCACTGATATCATTCATGAGGGCCTCAAACTCATGACCTAATTAGCTCCAAAGGCCTCACCTCCAAATACCATCACTATATGGATTGGATTTCAACATATGAATTTTGGGAGGGACACAAACATTCAGTCTGTAACACAGGGCTGTTTCCTTGTATATGAAGCCAAAGGGGAAAGTCTTTCCATCTACAAGGTCATTTGAAAAGCATCCAGTGTGTGTTAGAGAGTTGGGCACACAATTACTATTTAACATCTTGCCTTGGCCATGGAATGAATTTGTCTTGCTCAGATAGTGAACCAAGATCTCTCTACCTTTTCAAGGACATGCTGTGACCAACAGAGTGATACTGCCCAGATAGGAATGATGCTTAACTATCATTTGCTGCTTTGAACAGTCCTGAAAAAACAGCAATGCTTGCACCATTCATATGTAGTTGCTGGCTTTTCACACCACTACCTTCCTGAGGGTGATTAGTTTTTCTTCTGCTCTAACCTTTGGAACTCCTTAATCAGCTTATTCCTAGGCTTGAGGCCATTAGCACTGATCTGAAACTAGAGGTCTCCAAGCATCTCAGTGGTAGATGCACAGCACATTGGTACAAACCATCAACCAGGCAGCTAGTCTCAGGCTTTCTAAACTTTGTGATTCAGCCAGGTGGTGAGATGAGGCATTACCAAAATTATTTTTCTTAGTCACACTTATCAGTCACACTGGTTGGTTGGGGGCCAACCAACAGGCAAGCCAACTACCTTTTCCAATTTGTACTTAATTACATCATCATATAGGCAAAGTAATGGGCTCTGGTTTCTGGCCCTCCTCTAAATTCAAACAAAATCACATAAGCATTAAGAGAATCATATCACCTTGGCTCACTCTGGCCTCTAAGCATGAATACAGAATGAGGGAAACCACCAGATGTTAAGCTGATCATATCTGCTGAAAAAGACACATCCAAGTGTTGTGTGCCAAGGGGTTTAGGGACCCTGCAGTCATATCAGTTTGGCTATAATCTCACTGGATCTTATAAAGAAAAAGAGTGCAGATCAAGCCAGCACCTGGATGGCAGATGCCGAATCTCCTGGAGAGATGCAGTAAGTGATGCATGGAACCCAAGTAACACTTCCCCCTTTGTGCCTATAATAAATCAGTACCTAGTAGGAGACAAGAGATTGCCTTTTAGTGGGCCCTGTCTCTTTACCTGAGCTTTTTTCTAGATGGCCCATAAAAATAACTTCTGCCTTTACCCATACTTTGAGATGAATTGGTTATTTCTCCCCCAAATAAAATTAACCTTTTTTTTCATCATTTATCAGTGAAAAAAATTACTTGATTAAATTCTTTACTTGGTCATGGCTACAAAGATGTGTCATGACTTTTTGTTTATTTCTCCAAAGAGATAGTAGAGCTTGAAGATGAATAAATGAATTCCCCCTAACATAGGTAATAAAATGCCTTTGATCATTGGATATAAAAATAGCTATAAAAATGCAAGTGTTTCTCTAATGGTCCATCTTGCTTTTTTATGAGTCTCTCTACTGCCATTGCATAGGTAGATTTCATGTTGGGCTATGCAAATCTCCATTCGCCTGCCTCTTCTGTTCATAAATGTATTACCCCAGTCATGTTTGAATTAGGAAAGCTTCTAGTGCTTCAATATTTATTTACTTTTCATCGTAAAAATAGTTAACCATAACCACCTATACCTTTATGTGTGATGCTCTATTACTTGAACAGGGTTTCAGCTTATCACTGCATATTTAATGTCATGTCTTCTTAGCTATGTCTCATATAACCAGCTTCTAATTTCAGCCTCTGCCTAGTTAAAACACTTTGTCAAACTTCCCTATCACATTTTTTTTCTCACACACATCATTTCATCCTCACTCCTGAAAAATCTGTTAGTGGCAATTCCAATATTGGCAATGTAAGAGTGAAAAAAAAACTTTAAAAAGGGAAAACTGAATTTAAATTTCATCATTGCAAAAATGAAACATTAATTGAACCCCCGTAAAGAAAGGGCACATTATATCTCAGACATATGTGGCTGGTGACCAAAGAATTACTACACAAAGGTTAAATAATGTATCATTCACTAAAATAAAAGGAATCATTTACATATTTATTTAAATAGATACTCCTCCAATACTTTTAAGCCTAGTTTATGTATTATTAATTAATCAAGAGAAAAATTCTGGCACAACGTAAAATGTGAAAAACTACTGTCAATTGAGGTTTAATAAAAATGAGTACATAATACTTAAAATGACAATGTTATTCACTTGAAATATATAATTTGATTTTTAAGTAACATTTTTGGGAACATAGTTACTACATAAGGCACTGTGTGTGATTGGGAAGTTAAATAGCTTTAGACAATGTAGAATATGAAAATAACATATTTCTACAGGAAGGACATCAGGAGTCTTGGAGGTGGTATTTCAATCTAGATTTATTAAGTACATCTCTTGGAAGATAAAATGAATTCTGGGCTGGAAATACTTGAGGGAGAAAAATAATAGATCTGTTTATAGAGTGAAGAGCTTGAATACTTCTAGCAGAGCTTGAGAAAGTAAGGGCTGAATATATATTTTTTGTTGAATGAATGAATGAAATCTCCCCAAAGATACTAAAATGATAATGATGTTTGTTTAACTTTGAGATGTTACTAGACAATATTTACGGAACACCTATAGTTTGCTTGGCACTGTACTGAGACCAATGAATACTAACCAAGTGAACAAGACAAACTTGAACCTCCAAGGAGCTGATGGTCTAGTCAGGAAGACATGCATAAAAAGATGTCATCATTAATGTGCTGATGGCTTCACACACTCAGCGTATGCAGAAGAGCTAGCCAAGTGAGATGTCAAAGTGGTCTCTCTGAGAATATCTCCTTTGAGTTGAGACCTGAATGATAAGAAGGTGAGGAAGATAAATCTGGGGGCTCAGTAAACCTCACATATGAAGTCACAAAGACAAGAGAGATGATGGCCTGTCAGAGGAGTTGGAAGATGTCTAAAAGCTGAGACTAAAAAGCAAAAAAGGAAATTGGGGAGAGGGGAGCTGAAGTGTAGACAAGGGCCAGGTGGTAGAAAAAATGAATACAGTTGAATTCAATACCAAAATGAATACAGTGCAGCTATTTTCCTAATTCATTCTGAAATGATTTCCACATTCTTGAAATTTACCAAAAGGAAAGTACTTACAGCAATATGTTTATGCAAATATTATTATTTGTGTCCAATTAATGACTGTGTTTTGATATTTTAATCTAATATTTTGGGAGCCATTGCTATGGGGTATATTTGCTCATTGATTTGTTGATTCACTTACCTATTATTACACACGTGCCAGATACAAAGATACACAAGGCACTCCCTGCCTTCAAGCAGGTGATGTAGTATTCAGGGAGTAGGAGATAGGGGATGGACTATCAACCTGTTAGACTTAAGAGGTGGGATGTTGAGAGAGGAACATAAGGGATTAGATCACTGATATCATCAAAACTTCCCACGGCAAATACAAACAAAATTGAAGATCCTTGCCCTGACCCTCTCTCACCAGCAGGAAGCTTCTGTTTTAACAAGTGTTTACTTTGGGAGCATCTCCTAGTTCTTTTGGGGAGTTAGAGGTTGTGAGAATGGAGAAGCGGCCCATGAAAGCAACTCCCTATCAATGAGTCACTTTACACAACTTGAGGAGCATCATTTATACTACATTCTACGTCAATGGGATTATGGTCCTCAGGTACTACTCTCAGAGAATGTGGGAGAAGTCCCTGAATTTGCAAACTAACCCACATTCCCCTCTTTCTTTAAGGACATTCTTCAATAGTTAGTCATTAGCTGTCATAACTGAGCCAAGTTAAATGGTAAAGATGTATATTTATAGGGTCCAAAATTATCAACTAGGGAGAATATTCTGGGATTCCTGTTTAGTGTTGTGAGTTTGGTCTCTTCCAACTCAAAGTTGGTCATTTTGAGGAAACAGAGCTCTTTTGTGTAGTTGGAGACACATACAAACATATACACACACACGTCCCCCTTGTATTTTCTTTTCTCACATGGAGCCTTGCCTATCTAACTCCACAGAATAACATGCTCTCCTGGTTAATTGAGACTTTCTTTAGTTGGTCCACTTTTCACTCCCTTGACATACAAAGCCTTCTTCCCACAGATTGCTATTTTCCCAGTCTTTCTTTCACAGATAATATTTACCACCACATTTTTAAACCATAAATTACATATAATGTTAATAAATGGCCCCTGTTTATAGCCAAAGAAGTAAACTATTCAATGGAAAGAAGAACATTTATAATATTTCTTGAGATTTTTCAGATTGTGTGTATGTTTTCTGAAAACATATCCCCCAGTCTTGGCAATATAGTGAGAATCCATCACTACAAAAATTAAAATAATTAGCCATGTGTTGGTGTCTGTCTATTGTCCCAGCTACTTTGGGAGGTGGGAAGATTGCTTGAGTGCAGGAGTTTAAGGCTACAGTGAGCTATGGTTAAGCCACTGCACTCCAGCATGGGGTGACAGAGTGAGACCACGTCTCAAAAAACAACAAAAAAAAATCCATATAACCAGGGAATGTTGGAAGTAAGTTTAGACCTCTGAGAAAGACACACGGGAGTGAGTTGCTTGAGTGGATAGTGGTCAGTGGCACTATTGGAACAGTCCAGGTGGGAAGCACTGGAAACTGGAATCAAGGCAAAGGCAGTGGGAAAGGAGAAAGGATATAAAATAGAAAGATATATTGCACAGAATAAAATGGAAAATAACCAGCAGCTACAGAGAGGATCAAGATGTGTTGAACCCAGGCGAAAGGAAAGATGAAGTGACATTATCATAAACAAGGTAGGAAGAAAGACGAATTTAAGGACAGGATAGAGGATGGCAAGTTTAGATTCTCTAGATGAACTTTGAGGTTCTCATAGGAAATCATGCTTTGAGGGCTGAGCAGAGGCTGAAGCCCACCTAAGCTATTTTCTTCCCTTTCTTCTCTCTTTTCCTTTCACACCTCCCTCCTTGACAATAGTCCTTTCTGGAGAGCCCTCAAAAAGGGGGAGAGGCCTGACTGCTCTGGCTCATATTCCAGTTTGAGCTCAAACCCAAGTGCATACCTGGGCATCATTCATAACGAACCCAGCTACCCATATGCATGCCTGGGGGTCATTCACAACACACTCAGCTACTCATGTGGATGCCTGGGGGTTGTTTACAACAGATGCTACAGTTTAGTTTTGCCTGTTGGTCTGGAAGACAAATATTTGGGACTGGAGCTCAAGAGAGAAGTCAGGTCTCTAGATAGCTACTTGGATGCTCTCTGCTTAGAGATGATAATTGAAAGAGTGAGAGTAAATACATTTTTCTAGAAGACAGAGGGTGGAGAAGAGGGCTAAATAGAAAATTCCATGACACCTATGGTTAGGGCCTAGAGGCAGGAAGATAGACCAGAGATAAAGTCACAGAAGAAGCGATTCTAGAGAAGAAAACAAACAAACAAACAAAAACAACAACCACCCTGAAAATGAGCAGTGCAAGGAAGGAGTGATTTAGGGAAATAGGTGCTGATCAACGGTGTGAGGCTATGGAAAAGAAACACAATTGAGAAGGTGGGTGGATTTGGTAGCTAGAGAATGACTGATGTCTATTGCAAGTGGGGTTTCAGCAGTGGTTGAATGTAGATTACACAAAATAAAGCGGGGGTAGGTGGTGAGGTATCGAAGGCTGAACGAAGAAGAATTAGAGGCAGAAATGATGGCTTGGGGGGATTAATAATACATGTATGCAAAGTCTTAAGTGCTTATATACTTTACAGAATGCTTTCTGGCTAAGTGGAAACATCCAACAGAAAGGAAAAATTTGAATCCATAGAGTAGAGGAGAAATTGTTGTGAGATACCTGTTTGTGTTTGCGTATATTTATTCTCCAATAAGCCACACAATGTTTTTGAGCAAGCTACACAAAAGTGGCTCTCCCCTGGATGGATGGAGATCCTCAATAGAGTGAATGAATGGCTTGGTGAACAGAAAAATGGGTGCTTCCTTCAGCTCCCACATGCAACTTGGAATCTATACCATGATACATGACAAAACTGTACAAATACGACCTACTGTATTCACACTTAGAAAAAAACTATCCATGTACATTTAACTTGGTTTCTTCTTTATGCTCAGTGACATTCATTACTTTCCCCAGGACACATGCTTGTTCTTATTTATAACCAGAAAATCAGTTAGTCAATGTCCAATGTTGAGCTCTTTTCAAATACTCCCTCCCCAGGGTCCACAGAAGCATCCGTGTAGAAAAGTCCCCAGCTGAAGTGTGTGGTGGCCAATAATCACATTATTAAGGACACTTTTTCTTTGTAGATGTTCCCAATCAGCTCTAATTCTGCCACTGCTCACCAGGCCACAGGGACAATTTTGTGGTGTTATGTTTTGAAAGCAACATTTTTTTTATTTGAGTAGGTAGCTTATAATTAGAAACACACAGTTTAATCACAGTATGCTAGAAACAAAAATAATTGACTTTTTTTATTTCCCACTTGGCAATAAAAGAAAAAAATTAAGAATAAAGATAGTTATGGGTATTATTTAATTTTCTTGGGAGGACACAAGCCATCAAATGCTGAAAATTTTTTTTTTAACATTTGTGCTTTCTTACTTTGTGTGAAAATGTTGCATGTATATTTTTGGTAATTTCTTCAGGGATTTTAAAGAAGACATTTTCTATTTTAATATATCTCAGTGACAGTGATTTGGTTAAGAATCCACTGGGGAATTTAGCAAAGACTCTGTCAATGAACAAAGAAGGCAGGAATGAGCTCTAGAGCTCTTCAGCTCTAGATAAGCCACTCTCCCAGTCCCTTTGTCTCTTTGTCACCTTCGCAAGAAGGGGCTCCAAAACCGTGAGCTACCCTGCTTGGATTAATACTTCCCCTTCACAGAGATGCACAGCTTTACACTAGTGTTGGCCTTGAGACTGTAATTAACTCATTATGTCTCATATCCCTGTTCATATCAGTTACCACAAGAAGCTGAGAACACCAAGTCAGCCCTCATTCCCCTAATTCTAATCCTCTTTGCTCCAACCCCCGCAGGACCTATCCCCTTCACCATAAAGTAATATATTATGCATTTTACTTATTGGTTTGTCTTTTTCTCCAATTAGAGTGTAAACTAGTTTTGTCTGTTTTGCTCATTTCCATATCCCAAAGCCTGGGACAATGACAGGCACGTGGTGATTATTATTATGGGGGCATGTGGCACTCCATAATTATTTGTTGAGTAAATGAAAAGAAAAAGAAAAAGAGCACTTGAACTTGACAGTAGCTTAGATGTGGTCTATGAGAGACCACAGAGATGCAGCATGAACTCTAGGGTTGTGAGCTTGAGATGTTTTTAGGGTCATATGCAGTGGTCAGTAAGAGGAGAGCAGCAGTACAAAATAATGGGCATAAAGAGTAGGAGTTATTTTACTGCAAAAATTAATTTTATATCATGAATGGCCATCTTGTTAGTGAGAGATTTGCTGTAGAAAAACTATTGCTTAAAAAAAAACCACCAATAAAATCTTCAAAACTCTTGAATTGCAGCTGCTATATGTGTAGGTCTTTCCACCATGGAAGAATTTCTCGGTGCTGCATGAGGTCAACATTTGCCTTCACAGAATCTAAAGTAGCATGAAAGAAATGCAAAACTAATACAAGCTCCCAGCATATAGTTGGTGCTCAATAGATCCTTGTGGGGTAAGTGACGCCTGGACACAATTAAGAATTAGGTAAAATCTGTCTTCCACTAGAACCGTCAGAGCAGCTTCCGGGAACTTGAGTCTGCTCTCCTGGTCTCCCATCAGACTATTCTGTGTCCTACCCATTCTGAAAGAGTCTTTTGCACATAACCTAACTTCTCTCTCTCCTCTCCTCCCTCCTAAAGGTCATAATTACATGACTTTTAGACATATTCATGCAAAATCATGCTTTCTCTTTAAGAGTCGGTGATACTGGCTTAATTAGATAAAAGAGTTCCAGAAAATTTCTTGCTTGATAGACCATAGTGCCCAAGAACAACAATGCCTAAAACAAGTTAAAATAATCAGGTTTTAAAGACTCCCATACCTTTCCCAAGAAATGATATTGGTGTTAGACATGTCAAGTAGTATGGCAAGACTTTGATGTAGATATTTGAGAATGATTAGATTTTTTTTGGATTAAGAATTTAAAACTCAATTGAAGGGGTTAAAGGCATGTATTTACATTTCACTGGAAATGATAGGACAATATAGCCTTTTTATAGGAGGAGGGTATATTGTCCTATCATTTCCAATAAGAGACATGCAGAGGACAGCAAGGCATCCTTGTATGCACTTCAATCCGGTATTATTTTCATATATTCTTTCTTAATATGAGAAATTTCAGCTTTTAATGTCAGATCTCCCCATTTTCCTACATATCAGGAATAAATTGAGCATGTGTCAGACTCCCTAAGATAAATGTTTTGTAATTTTTTTCTGTTGCTGAAAGAATCAGTGCATAGACGACACCCTTAGATAGATTGTCAACTTGGAATGTCAGTTTAGATCTAATTTTCCATAGATTCTGTTATTTGGAGATGGTAGAGCGAATATCATCATTTAGAAAAATTACATAGGTCTACAATCTGCCCCTGGAACATAAAGGAACTGAGGCACAAAAATTATATAATAGAACACTTTGCTTGCACACCCTTGACTCTGTGTAGTAGAGGAAAGAAGTGAAAGTATATTTTATTTCATGTTATCTCAGAGACAATCAGTAAATTTTTCTATCAAAGTTTGTTTTTATTAATAGATCACTTAAAATGTTTCAGAATGCCTAACTTATTCTAAATACAAAGAGTATCACATATGTCAAAATTTCCTAGGTGATAATTATGGTTCATAAATGGAAAATGTAAGGGAAAAGATTGTCAGTGATATGGTTTGGGTCTGTGTTCCCACCCAAATCTCATTAAATTGTAATCCCCAGTGTTGGGGGAGGCAACTGGATAATGGGGGCAGACTTGTCTCTTGCGCTTCTCATGATATTAAGTTATCATGAGACCTGGTTGTTTGAAAGTGCGTAGCACTTCCCCCTTCACTCTCTCTCTCTCCTGCCTCCATGTGAAGATGTGCTTACTTCCCCTTTGCCCTTCTGCCATGATTGTAAGTTTCCTGAGGCTACCTCAGCCATGCCTCCTGCATAGCCTGTGGAATTGTAAGTCAATTAAACCTCTTTTCTTATAAATTACCCAGTCTCAAGTAGTTCTTTACAGCAGTGTAAGAACAGACTAATACAGTGAGTAAGGTAAAGAGAGAATGAAAATGAAAGAATAAAGCATTTTGAGTAACATTTAAGTGTTATGTACATTCTCATATACTTTGAATCTTCAGAGTGTGACTATGTGCTGTAGGTTTGGTTGGAACTCCCAAGATTTCCTACCCAGAGTTTAGAAAGCAATGCCTTCCCTTAAGTTGCCACCCTCTCTGATTCTTCCTCTTCCCTCCTTCTCAACCAGTCCATTACACAAAGGTTTATGAGAATGAAATGAGACTCCCGGGAACTTAGAACTTATTCTGTTCTAAGAAAAATACTTATTTAAAAAATGTGATGATTGCTTTAAAAATAATCTATCTTCTACTTGGTCTGAGAACATCATTAACATAAAGAAAACCCATTCACCCAGAAACTCTTATGAGAGATATAAAAATTAAGACTAGAGTATAAGTTCCCCAAACCATTATCATTTTTACCAAAACTTGCCTCATTGGAGGAAATGTGGAAAGTTACATCTAAAAGCATCTACTTATTATACAACTTGTCCTTAATTTAAAATAATTTTACAGTCCCTAAAATAATGGGATTGTGAGGTAAATAGGTAGTGACAGTGAAACTGTCCCCACAGGGTTAACGAGAATTTCATGCTAGGTTTTAGACACAATTATGCATGAATCAGGTTGCCTTCTGGCCTACTTTACTATAGCTACCTACTAACTGAAAGTTAAGTAGCACTAGATGCTGACCATTTGCTTCCCTGTTTTTTCTATAGATAGAATTTATAGGGCCTTTGTGCTTAAGACTCACCTAAAATGTTTTCAGATCCTGAATTCCAGCAGAATGGCTGATGCCAGCTAGTCTGAAGACTCCCACCAAAGAACCAAGTCAGCACAAGAATGTTCTTTCCTCATCCTCCCATTTCATGACCTCACCTTTCACTCTTGACCTATCAGTGATCCCCAGCCCACTACTCATCCCAAATCCCTTAAAAGCCCTAGCCTCCTTAGGGAAGCAGATTTGAGGTCTCCTCCTGTCTTAAGCCTCTTTCTCTGCTGCAATTCACGGTGTCTTGGTGTATTAACTGGCTGCGCACCAGGCAATTGAGCCTGGCACAATTACAATGATTGCTACTCACGTTTTGTGAAATTCATACTTTTGCATTTACAAATAGGGAATGAAGATTTTTTAACAGACACATGACATTAAGTAATATTTCCAAGATTTTGTCTAAATTGATGGGCAAGAAACATTCAAGATGAAAACTGCCGCTCTGTTGAATCCTGTTATGTCCAATAACATCATAATATAAAGCAAATGATAGCAACATCCATATTAAATTTAGGTTGACTACTCCATTGTTAATTCAAATTGGAGAATTTGTTTTCAACTTTGGGTCTAAATCACTGATTTGTGTGTTGCTTCCTGGAATTCAAATGTAGTTACCATTTTTTTTTTTTTAAATATTCCTGGTGATTGTGATGTGAAGTCAAGTTTAGTGGAAGAGTGGCAAGATTACATGTGAGACAGTGTGTTCAGGGCTGCCATGAAATCAGGACCTGGGTGTTAGTCACCTTCATTCAGCAAGGAGACCAGGGTGAATGAAGCAGAGACACCCCCCAGGAAGGGGAGAATGTCTGAACAAGTGAAGAGAGGAAGTTGCTAGAGAGGACAGCATGAGAAGCTGTGGGAATTAAAGAAAATAAGAAGGGGCCAGGCACGGTGGCTCACGCCTGTAATCCCAGCATTTTGGGAGGCCAAGGCAGGTGGATCACGAGGTCAGGAGATTGAGACCATGCTGGCTAACACGGTGAAACCCCGTGTCTACTAAAAATACAAAAAAAAATTAGCGGGGCATGTGGCAGGTGCCTGTAGTCCTAGCTACTTGGAAGGCGGAGGCAGGAGAATGGCATGAACTTGGGAGGCAGAGCTTGCAGTGAGCAGAGACGGCGCCACTGCACTCTAGCCTGGGTGACAGAGCGATACTCCGTCTCAAAAATAAATAAATAAATAAAAAGAAAAGAAGACGACTAAGCTTCCTGACCTTGAGGAGTACAAGAAAATATTGTAGAACAGTAAGGATGCATTTTGCCACGCCTGATACATAGCAGGTGCTCAATATATATTTGTGACTGAATACATAGATGGACCAGATTGCAGAGGGACTTCAGGGGCAAACAAAATAATTTGCATTTCTTGTTCCCCATATATGTCCAGTGCCTAGCATATATTACAGAGTCTATAAATATTTGTTTAAATGTTGATTGACAAATGTGCCTTACAGAGAGTACGCACTCATTAAACGGTTGATGTAATTATTCTAAACAATAGTTGAATACCTTTATTTTTCAGATGGAAAAATCCAATGATTTGTGTATATAAGGCCATTTTTATTCTAATCTGAATGAATAGTATAGAAAAACCATACTATTTAAAGATATTCTACAGTGTTCCAAAGAGAAATGTTACAGACACATGGTAATATATTGCCAGTCAGAGAGTTAAAACTTCCAAAATAAAACCTTTCCTTTAAAACATGAATACAATAAGACTGAGAGGATTAATAATATACCCATTCATTCATTCATTCATTCATGCAATAAAGAATATCTACTATGGACTAGGCACTGCTCTAGTTAAACAAAGTATATAAAAGTTTCTGTCCCTATATGGTTTACCTTCTAACTGGGGCAGCAGAACATAAGCAGAAATGTATAGCAATTTAGAGTATGGCAAAATGTAAGGGTAGGGAGGTGAGAAATTCTACTTTCAAGAATGGTGGCCAAGCAAGACCTTGCTGAGAAGGGAGGCATTTGAGTTGAGACCTAAAAATAGTGATGGAGCAAGCCATGATGCTATCTGGGGGGAAGAGCATTTCAGGGAGAGGAAACAGCATACGTCAAGGTCCCGAGGCAGCTGTGCGCCCGTCACAGTCTAGGAGCAGCAAGAAGGCCAGTGCATCTAGAATGAATAAAAAGGGTGGTAGGAAATCTGCTAAGAGAGGTTAATGGAGGACCTTGTATGTCAGAGGAAGGATTTTGGCTTTTACTCTGAATGACATGGAAGCCACTAGGGATTTTGAACAGAGGAGAGTTAAGGGACTGATTTGCTTGTGCTCCAGGCAGCCACATACCTTGCAATGAAGCTGTCCAAAATTTTATTAACTATAATTTATTGGTCCCTCTTGGGTTCTCATATAATTTCTGTTGGATTACCACACTTGCTTTTTTTTTTTTTTTAATAACAATAGGTATAGTTTTCCATCTTTTTCCCTTGTGATAAGATATAAATATCTCGAGGTTATCTTGTTCATATTTATGTGTCTGGTGATATCATATGTAATCTCTGTACAAGGTAGGTAATTGCCAAATATGTGTTGTCTTTATGTGACTTTTCAGCTTGTTTATGGTGAATCCAATTATGAAATGTCACACAAGTGCAAAACTGGTGGTATTGACTACGATCTTTGACATGACTGAATGAAACTTGTGAATCATTTGTTTGAAAAATTATGTCTGTATTTACATTTGATTTTTTGAAGCAATAAATTGATGTGTCATTCCATGGATGCCCAGAAACACTCAATCAAACATGTCACAGTTGCAATTTTATTTATAGGCATTTGAAACAACCCTGCAATTTCTTTGGAGTTCATTCGGTGAACTATAGCACTGGAATTAGTCCCACAAGTGTAATTTGAGGGTATTGAAAAGCCCCATTTGCCCAAAAAAATTTCTACTATAAAGGCTGCCTCCCCTCCCCCCTCCTCAGACCCTTCAACCTTCAGTTTCCACCTCTGAAGCAATTCCTTTCTTACTTAACAAAAGTAAGCGTGTTGCTCTTGGGAAGCTTCTACAGAATGCATGACTGGCGCTAAGCACTTGGAATGCCTCAGAGCACAGCCTAGCATGGACTTAGTAAAAAACCATGCTTCACTTGCACCTCTCTTAGCCAGCTAAAGATGTGACCATTATTTTACATTTTATTTATTTATTTATGCCAGGTTGTCTAACTGTGCAGGCTGCTACTGACATAGGGAGTGTCCCTTTTCTGCTTGAACATCTATTAGATAAAATGATTTAATCAGCTTTGATGATCTGGAATAACAGGACTTTACCAAGGGACTGGCTATTCTGATGTGAAAGTAAATGTCTTAACCTCCCTCGCCATGACATTTATTTTCCATTAATGGAGCTGGCTCTGCCTTGGCATCCTTTTAACAGCAGGAGACCATTATCCTGTGAGAATGTTCTCTCCCCTTTCACATTATCTCTTAATTATTGCCCTCTTTTCTATAGACAGTGCCAGTAGGAATTTTCATGTAATTTCTCCCCTCCATTCCTCCTCTGACATGTACTGCCATGGGAGAGGATTTGGGTGTTAACCCCAGAAAGCCCAGAATAATGAATCTTGTAGACAGTTGGCTCCGTATCCAAGGAGTCCTTTGAGAGGTGGCTGAGATGCTGTGAGCAACGCACAAGGCAAATGCTTGGGAACTAAAAAATTTGCATTGAAGCCTTCCAGGGAAAGGGGAGGATGACAATGGAAATTGCAAGGTTGGCTGGGAGGTGGGTGGAAGATTTAGTTTTTCCCACATGCTAGTCTCTCAAGACCATCCATTTTATTTATATTGGAGAAAAGGTTTCATCCCTCCCACTAACAAAAATAGCCTTCACTATGTAAATCCCATCTCTGCCATTTTGTTGAGGCTGTAGCCAGCCAGACTAAAACAGCGGCTGCAAAAAACTGCAGAAAACTCCTCTGATGCATCTTAACGGCTGTTTGTTAATCTCAATACTGACCATTTAAATGCTAATCCTATTAAGCAAGTAATCCCTACACAAGCACCCAGTTCAAGTCATATAACATTTAATTATCTAACATTTTTTGTTTTTAATTTACAATACAGGGTAAACTCATACACACACATACAAACACATACACAGTGTATATGTATCTATACACATACACACTTTAGTTTATTGACATTTTACTTTTTTTTTCAACTTTTATTTTAGAGTAGATTTAAGGGGTACATGTGTGGGTTTGTTACCTGGATATATGGTGTGATGCTGAAGTTTGGGGTATAAATGATCCCATCACCCAGGTATTGAACATAGTACCAAATAGTTTTTCAGTCTTTGTCCCCCTCCCTCTTCTAGTAGTTCCCAGTTTCTTTGTTGCCATCTTCATGTCCCTGAGTGTCCACTGTTTGGCTCCTAAGTGAGAACATGTGGTATTTGGTTTTCTGTTCCCACATTAATTCGCATAGGATGATGGTCTCTAGCTCCATCCATGTTGCTGCAGAGAAGATGATTTCGTTCTTTTTCATGGCTGTGTGGTATTCCATGGTGTATATGTACCACATTTTCTTTATCCAATCTGTCGTTGATGGATACCTAGGTTGATTCCATGTCTTTGCCATTACAAATAGGGTTGCAATGAACATGTAAGTGCAAGAAAACAATTTGTTTTCTTCCGGATATATATCCAATAATGGAACTGCTGGGTTGGATGCTAGTTCT
This sequence comes from Homo sapiens, assembly GCF_000001405.40. NCBI lineage: Eukaryota > Metazoa > Chordata > Mammalia > Primates > Hominidae > Homo > Homo sapiens. The sequence continues at coordinate 27,824,275 of NC_000018.10, read as the reverse complement.
AAGTTTTTGAGTAATCTCCAAACTGTGCTCCACACTGGCTGAACTAATTTACATTCCCACCAACAGTGTATAAGCAGTCCCTTTTCTCTTCAACCTTGCCAGCATCTGGCATTTTTTGACTTTCTAATAATGGCCATTTTGACTGTTGTGAGATAGTATCTCATTGTGGCTTTGATTTGCGTTTCTTGATGATTGGTGATATGAAGCATTTTTACATATGTTTTTGGCTGTTTCTTTTAAGAAGTATCTGACCATGTCTTTTGCTCATTTTTAATGGGGTTGTTTTTTGCTTGTTCAACTGTTTAAGTTCTTTACATAGTCTTAATATTAGACCTTTATCAGATGCATAGTTTGTGAATATTTTCTCAGGTTCTGTAGGTTGTCTGTTTATTCTGTTCATAGTTTCTTTCGATGTGCAGATGCTCTTTAGTTTAATTAGGTCCTACTTGTCAACTTTTGTTTTTGTTGCATTTGCTTTGAGGACTTAGTCATAAATCCTTTTCCAAGGCTGATGTCCAGAGTGCTGTTTCCTATGTTTTCTTCTAGGATTCTTATAGTTTGAGGTCTTACATCTAAATCTTTAATCATTTTTGAGTTAATTATTGTATATCGTGAAAGGTAGGGGTGCAGTTTCATTCTGTATGTGGCTAGCCAGTTTATCCCAGCACCATTTATTAAATAGGGAGTCCTTTTTACCTCTGCTTCACATACACACTTTAAAGCAACATTTTAGAAAACAAGTTTATGAAGTTTATGTTCAGGCATAAATGTTTCTCTTGTATTATTTATGAATTCGTGGGACCCTGCGTGAAGGTTACTATTTTCTGTAGAGGCGCATACAAAATCTATTGAGAAGAGCTCCCCAACCCCGTTGCATTTGCACGTTAGCTAAAGGGATCCAGGGAATTCTCTGGAATTTGCCATTAATATTTATTGACTGTAATTATGATGTCATATAATGGGGAATATAAGTTCTGATTGCAGGCATTTCTGGCAATGAAAGAGTAGAGCTTTAAGTCTTTTCCCTCTTTCTTTGACAATACAGGGAAAAAATTCCTGGTGCTTTTTCAACATAATATAAAGGTCACTGACAATAGCCCACCTACTGACGCTGATGTGTGACATTTAAACTGAATACAAAGAAAGCATGATAAGCATTAAAAAGAACTAGTTGCTTTCAAGATAATGTTGTTTACCAAATCATTTCTCTTTGAAAAAAAATAGTAACAGTCCAATTTATTTCTTAGACATTGCTTGAAAATATACACATATAGTATATTTTGAATAAACAGTATCTAGCACTGATATTTAATCTACTACTACTACTATTTAATTCATCAATAATATATTTTAAATATGGCCTAGGCTGTGAAAACTAGAACCTGGGGAAATATTCTTTGGATGATATGATCAGTTGTTATGTTTTAGTTAAAAAAATTGTATATCTAGAAAACCCCATTGTCTCAGCCCAAAATCTCCTTAAGCTGATAAGCAACTTCAGCAAAGTCTCAGGATACAAAATCAATGTACAGAAATCACAAGCATTCTTATACACCAATAACAGACAAACAGAGAGCCAAATCATGAGTGAACTCCCATTCACAATTGCTTCAAAGACAATAAAATACCTAGGAATCCAACTTACAAGGCATGTGAAGGGCCTCTTCAAGGAGAACTACAAACCACAGCTCAATGAAATAAAAGAGGATACAAACAAATGGAAGAACATTCCATGCTCATGGGTAGGAAGAATCAATATTGTGAAAATGGCCATACTGCCCAAGGTAATTTATAGATTCAATGCCATCCTCATCAAGCTACCAATGACTTTCTTCACAGAACTGGAAAAAACTACTTTAAAGTACATATGGAACCAAAAATGAGCCTGCATCACCAAGTCAATCCTAAGCCAAAAGAACAAAGCCAGAGGCATCACACTACCTGACTTCAAACTATACTACAAGGCTACAGTAACCAAAACAGCATGGTACTGGTACCAAAACAGAGATATAGACCAATGGAACAGAACAGAGCCCTCAGAAATAATGCTGCATATCTACAACCATCTGATCTTTGACAAACCTGAGAAAAACAAGCAATGGGGAAAGGATTCCCTATTTAATAAATGGTGCTGGGAAAACTGGCTAGCCATATGTAGAAAGCTGAAACTGGATCCCTTCCTTACACCTTATACAAAAATTAATTCAAGATGGATTAAACACTTACATGTTAGACCTAAAACCATAAAAACCCTAGAAGAAAACCTAGGCAATGCCATTCAGGACATAGGCATGGGCAAGGACTTCATGTCTAAAACACCAAAAGCAATGGCAACAAAAGACAAAATTGACAAATGGGATCTAATTAAACTAAAGAGCTTCTGCACAGCAAAAGAAACTACCATCAGAGTGAACAGGCAACCTACAGAATGGGAGAAAATTTTCGCAACCTACTCATCTGACAAAGGGCTAATATCCAGAATCTACAATGAACTCAAACAAATTTGCAAGAAAAAAACAAACAACCCCATCAAAAAGTGGGCAAACGATATGAACAGACACTTCTCAAAAGAAGACATTTATGCAGCCAAAAGACACATGAAAAAATGCTCATCATCACTGGCCATCAGAGAAATGCAAATCAAAACCACAATGAGATACCATCTCACACCAGTTAGAATGGCAATCATTAAAAAGTCAGGAAACAACAGGTGCTGGAGAAGATGTGGAGAAATAGGGACACTTTTACACTGTTGGTGGGACTGTAAACTAGTTCAACCATTGTGGAAGTCAGTGTGGCAATTCCTCAGGGATCTAGAACTAGAAATACCATTTGACCCAGCCATCCCATTACTGGGTATATACCCAAAGGATTATAAATCATGCTGCTATAAAGACACATGCACACGTATGTTTATTGCGGCACTATTCACAATAGCAAAGACTTGGAACCAACCCAAATGTCCAACAACCACAGACTGGATTAAGAAAATGTGGCACATATACGCCATGGAATACTATGCAGCCATAAAAAAATGATGAGTTCATGTCCTTTGTAGGCACATGGATGAAACTGGACACCATCATTCTCAGCAAACTATCACAAGGACAAAAAACCAACCACCACATGTTCTCACTCATAGGTGGGAACTGAACAATGAGAACACATGGACACAGGAAGGGGAACATCACACTCCGGGGACTGTTGTGGGGTGGGGGGAGGGGGGAGAGATAGCATTAGGAGATATACCTAATGCTAAATGACGAGTTAATGGGTGCAGCACACCAACATGGCACATGTATACATATGTAACAAACCTGCACATTGGGCACATGTACCCTAAAACTTAAAGTATAATAATAATAAAAGTAAAAAAAAAACAAAAACAAAAGATTAAAAAAAAAAAGACAAACTAAGAAGGAGCAGATGTTTGGTTACAGAGGCATTGCTTGTTCAAAGGTTTATACGCCAAGATTCTCTTTAATTAATAAATTTTTAAATTGAAAAAAAAGAAAAAAGAAAAAAGAAACTGGACCATGTGTAGTGGTGCATACCTGTAATCCCAGCACTTTGAGAGGTTGCGGTAAGAGGACCACTTCAGGCCAGGACTTTGAGATCAGCCTGGGCAACATAGTGAGACCCTGTTTCAAAAATAAAATAAACAGCTGAGTGTAGTAGCATGCACCTGTAGTCCTAGGTACTTGGGAGGCTGAGGTGGAAAGATTGCTTGAACCCAGAAGTTCGAGCCTTCCATAAGCTATGATCACTCCACTGTACCCCAGCCTGGGCAACAGAGTGAGACCCTGCCTCTAAAAAATAATTTTTTAAAAATCAAGGTGTTTATGTAATAGGAGCTGGGCATACATGTTGCCAAAACTACCAGTCAAAAAAAAAAAAAAAACTAAGTCATTTAGAAAATTGTTGTATTTTTGCCATATATGTAAGATACCAATAAGTGGCTGAATTGATTTGATTTCTCTCTGTGAAATGAAATGGTTTAGCTGAATTTATAAAATTAACTCGTTTTAGCATTTTGTTGTCTGAAACTGGGTGAGGGGTTAATAGAGTATGTTTCGCCAAAAGAACTCCCAGTGGACTCTCCCACCCAGCAACAAAGATAGCTTAAAACACATTGCTGACACAGGTAAGTTAGAAGAGTCTGAGGGATGAGTAGGAAGAAAAGGTAGGGAGCAGTAACAGTAGCTTGAGTCCATTCATCTGAATGAGGATCCACATTGTAGTTTCAGATGTGGGATTCAAAGGTTCTTAGCCATCTGAATTAGTGGTTCTCAATGTTTCCTGCACACTGTGATCTCCTTTTAAACATTGATCAGGCCATACCTGAGACCAGTTAATCACCATCTCTCAGGCATGGATCCAGGCCTCCGCTATTTTCTCAAACTCCCTGAGTGGTTTCAATGTGCAGTGAAGTTTGAGAACCACTACTGTACATGCATGGGCCTTACACAAGAGAAGATTCAGCTTCTTGAAAGCATTTGTTCCTCCAAAGTGCATATGATAGAACTTAAAGCCCAAGGCAATGGTATTAAGAGGGGAGGCATTTGGGGAAGTGATTAAGTCATGAGGGCTCTGCCCTCATGGTTGGATTAGTCCTCTTATAAAAGAAGTTGAAGGAACCACCCTAGTGCCTTTTGCTCTTTCATCTCTTCTGTCAAGTGAGGACACAGGGTTTGTCCCCTCCAGGGGATGCAACAAGAAGCCACCATCTTGGAAGCAGAGAGCAGCCCTTGCCAGACACCAAATCTGCTGGTGCCTTGATCTTGAACTTCCCAACCTCCGGAACTATGAGAAATAAATTTGTGTTATTTGTAGATTACCTAGTCTGCAGTGTTTAGTTATAGCCACACAAAGAGACAAAGACATATGGTATAGGAAAAGGAAAAGCAAACTTAAATGCCACTTCCCATTTGCCAAAGGACCTAATGAGGAAGAAAGAGATGATTCATTCACTAAAGTGGGTCGTGAACAAGCCCGATTTTCACCCTTACAGGCAAAATAAGTGCTCACTGAGTAGAAGTTGGGGGAATGGTAATTTAGGCAGCCAACTTCACCAGGTCAGGAGAGGAACAGTATTTCCATGAGTGGGTCTTGCATACATCACGTGTGCAAGCTGAGGCCTCGGGTTGTCCTGGAAGAAACGCCATCAGTTAACTAGATCTTCAGGGTCAGCTGAGTGTGGTCATTAATTCAAGTGGACAGACAAGCTGGAAATTTTTGCCTAAACATAGTCCCTTTTGAAATACAGAGCCAAAAGTCAACCACAGTTTTATATTTGGAACATAGCATTGTCACCTAAATTGATACAATCACTTTGTATTCTTGCCTATGTGTTTCAGATAATTTAGGCAACAGTATAGTGGATGAAGGAAATGTGTTGTGAGAAAGAAGATAAAGTCAATACCTCAAACATCACTATCAGTTGAACAGGGGAAAAGAAAACTGGCATGTATTGAATGCCTACTTTTTCTGTATACCCTGCTAAATATTTTTAATATATCTTCACTTAACTCTCACATATAACGCCTAAGACTTTCCCCATTTTACAGACAAGGTCTTTGAGTTCTGAAATTAGACTAAATGACAGGTCAGATGGGCAAGTTGAAAGTTTATCAGACAATATGAAATCAAAGTTGATTTGCAGACTAACTGAAAGGAAGTCGTTGATAGCAAACCATTGGGCTTCACTTTTGCTCTGGTATTATTCAACACAAAGTTGCCAATGGTATTTAATATTTTGGAAAACTGGCTTAAGATGAAGAACAGACTTGAGTTAGCTGGAATGATGGTTCCAGACCAGGATAATAAAATTAATCATATTTAAATATATTTGCCTACATGTGTATTTTTAAAAATCAACTGTTTTAAAGATAGAGCTGAGAGGACCTGAAATCACAATTTGTATTTAAAAAATATAAGAACCCTAATAATATTGCTTGACTCACTTGTCCAACATGTGGCTGTCAAAAAAAATGGAATTTCGGGCAATTTTGAGATGTAATGCATGTTAAAAATTGATTAATAAGTGCAATGAAAGCACTTTGCACAGTGACTAGTAAAAAGTAAATGCAGATTATTGTCAGCTAATGTTATTAGTATTATTATTGAGTCTTATACTATTAATGCAGGGTAGGAAAATATTTTTCTTCTTCAGCCATCATTAGATTCATGGCTGAGGTCCCTATAACAAAAGACAAATTAACAAGAAAAAAAATACAAATTTATTTAATATAGGTTTTATGTGATATGGGAGACTTCATAAGGCAAAGAAGACCCAGAGAAACAGATGAAAACTTGTGTATTTTTATGCTCAGCTTTGAGGAAAAGGAGACAGTCATGGAGACATATGATTGGAGGACAAAAAAGTATGATCTAATGGGAGTAAATTGTGGGAAATTTAGCAAGGACTTATTGTTCAGATTCTTTTCTGCTTCCCTGTGCCTAAGGGTTAAGAATGCTCCTTTCTTCTGGGCATAGGAGTTCTGAAATTAGAGTCCTATGCCTCTGGAATGATGATCTTATGATCTGCTTCAGGAGAGAAAGGCAAGGGGAAGGTGAGAGTGACCTTCTTGCCTCAGCTGTTTTCTCAAATGCCAAAGTGCTATATTTTGAGGTAGCTTTCTTGAACCCTGTCATTAATTAGGGCAAGTCCCTGCATTATATGAAAGGTTCATAACCTCCAAAATGCTCATTTTACACATGAAGAAAGTGAGGCTTACTGAGTGCGTGTAACTGTCCAATGCCCTCAGATAATACCTGATTCCTTTTCTCCCAATTTCTGTGTCATGACACTGCTCCCACGTGCTGGACATTTACTATGCTTTTTGTGTAAAATTTTATCTTATCTTAACAATAACTTAATTACAAGAGACATTAGCATTCCCGTTTTACAGGTGAGAAAACAGCTGCAGAGATGTTAAAAAAAACTTGTACCAAGTCATGCAGCTGTAAGTCAGCAGTCATGGGTTTCAAACCTGGGCATTTGGACCTCAGTGGTTAGTTGGTCCTTAAGGTTTTAGGACTTGGGTCATTTTGAATACTGAGATTCCAGATATTTTTTATTTCTTTTTGTTAAATTATGTACTCTAACCAAATATGGCTTCTATCTCATTTGTTTACATGTTTACTTACACTACTACTACTAACAACAATTAAAATAATTATAAAAATATATTAATGTTCTAATTTAGTGAATGGAACTCTAATGTACAAAAAGACTTAGTTTCTGGCCAGGAGTAGTGGCTCTAACCTGTAATCCTAGTACTTTGGGAGGCTGAGGCGGGCAGATCACCTGAGGTCAGGAGTTTGAGAAAAGCCTGCCAACATGGTGAAACCCATCTCTACTAAAAATACAAAAAAAATTAGCCAGCTGTGGTGGCAGGCAGCTGTAATCCCCGCTACTTGGGAGGCTGAGGCAGGAGAATCGCTTGAACCCAGGAGGCAGAGGTTACAGTGAGCCGAGATCGCCTGGGTCACAAAAGCAAAACTCCGTCTCAAAAAAAAAAAAAAAAAAAGACTTAGTTTCCAAAGCTTTCATCATTTATCGATAAGTTTTTATCCAGTAACACTTGGCCTGGTATTCAGAAACTTGGCCATCATAAAAACGAATGAGGTCATGTCCTTTGCAGGTATGTGGATGGAGCTGGAAGCCATTATTCTCAGCAAACTAATGCAGGAACAGAAAACCAAACACCGCATGGTCTCACTTATAAGTGGGAGCTGATTGATGAGGACACATAAACACACGAGGGTAAACAACACACACTGGGCACCTGTTTGGGGTGGGGTGGCAGAGCCTCAGGAAGAATAGCTAATGGACACTGGGCTTAATACCTGGGTAATGGGATGATCTGTGCAGTAAAGCACGATGGCACATGTTTACCTATGTAACAAACCTGCACATCCTGCACATGTACCCCTGAACTTAAAAGTTGAAAGAAAAAAAAAACAGAAAGAAAATCTGTGCATTCATCATCATTAACCAGCCCCATCTCAAAGAATACACTACCTCCATCAAGTAGAGGAATCTTGAGAATTTATCTCAACTTGTAGTTTCTAATCCCAAGCTTCAGTCTTGCCATCAGCAGAGAAACAAATGCATACACATACACGTTAAGAAACTACTTGGCCATATTTCAGTATGAAAATAACTTAACTCTCACATATAACACTGTAAGACTTAACTCTCAACTTTTTTTTTTCTATTTAGAAATTTTACTATATACACACCATCCATGAACTTTTTATGATAAATGCTTCTCTTATTGAATATGTTGCCAGTTTGTTCTTGCCATGTCTGTTAGAGTTTCAGAAGGATTTTGGTTCTGAATATTTTAAAATTTCCTAATGAAGTAAGCCTCATGGGGACTCTGAGCCCTTCCTTATCTTACTTGATCCCCCTTCTTTCTTCCTGTAAATGTTTGCTGCGTGGCTCCCACATCTCGGGCGCTGCTGTGGGCATAGAGTTTCAGCCATGAACAGAAGACAATCGTGCCTGCCCGTGTAGAGCTCAACTTCCCTTCCTCTCTGCTACCATTTTAAATGTTTACTACTCTCAGACAATATTTAGTGGTAAAGAAATCTTTGTTCTTGGCTATATATTTTTCTTCCAGTGGACATACCTGTGAAATGTAATGTCACCTATTCTATTAATTATTTGGAAATATCTTGGTCTCTTCTGGTTTAAAACTCTTTAGATTTAATTTGGTCTCATTTAGAAAACTGTCTTTGGTGGATTTAAGCTCAGTCAAGTCTGTCTTCTCCCCTTTTATCCTTCTACTGGGATACTTCTAGCTTTCCAAATAGCTACTTACACCTAATCTGCTCTTGGGGAACTGGAACTGAAAGAGCCCAGGGAATTTCACCCCAAAATATGGCACCCTGCCATGCTGATTATTTGAAAATAAACGATCTTGAAGGTCAGCAGATGCTGGAAGAGGCTCTGCCCTGATATTCCTTTATCTGCCCTAAGACTGGACCTACCAGAGAAAAGCAACTGCCTTCCATTCCTTCCCTGAAATCTCACTATCTATGGCAGAAAAGAAAACTGAGGACTGCCACCATACCTGGATGGATTTTTCCACAAGATAATGTCTGACTTTTGGGCTTATTCAAACTCCACAGAGAATCGTTTACAAATTAATTTCTGTCTCCTGGCCCCATTCATTTTCTCTAACAACTCTAACAATTGTTTACTACCCATCAAAAACATTGTTTACACGCCCCATATCCCACCTCTCCTATGAAGAAGGGTATATAAACACCTGCACCTCATTGGGTTATAGGATAATCATTCTTCTGTAATTCCCCATGTTCATGCATGTTAATAAAATCATAGGACTTTTACCTGTTAACCTGTCTATTGTTAATTCACATCAACAAACTTAGAATAGAACCTTCATAGGGAAAGTTTAAACTTCACTACAAAACTAACACACAGGATGTGAGAAAAGTGAATTACTAGGGGCAAGAAATTCTAGATTCACATAGAGCATAGATTTAGCCCAAATGGAATTTAAATCCTCATCACAGTGTTGTATATTTTCTTTGAACTTGATGTCATTTTGTTGCCAAATCTTCCTAATAGTGTCTTGTCTGTATTATGTAGTTGTGCAAAAATCCATGCTAATTGTAGAAGAAAAGCATAGTGAAATGTGACACAGACCTGAGGCTCAGAATGATTGCGGAGGAACAGCAGTCCACAACCTCTTCGACAGGAATCCCAAGTATAACTTATGCTGATGAAATGTAAATGTCTAAATCTAACAACGTATGACAGGAATTTTAATATTTTATTGTACAATAAGAAAAGGTCTTTATATTTCTATTTTTAAAGTCCTGATGCAACGTTTGCTATGTGACCTGGGTCTGATTTGAAAACAGCTTTTTTCACAGTGAACGCTACTAAACGCCGAAGCTTGTTTAAGAGAAGGCTGGAGCAACCACAGATTGAATTTTTATTAGCGTAGTAGGAGTAAGGGTGAGGGAAAAGACAAAAAAGTTCAGAGCAGTCTGAGATATGTGAGGTTTGCAGGCTCAGAGGAACTTGAGTATGAGACTTCACGCCTAGCAAGGCCCAAACCCCGCCCCCCTCAACCTATGACTGGAGGCAACTGGTTAGAGGCATTTTGTTCCTAACTAGCTGCCTGGTCCATTATGTTCATGTTCCTAGAATCTGTGATACAAGAAACAATATATAGCCAATCAATAGCTAATGTAATTTCAATTTAAATTCTTGGTAAACAACTCAGAAACTGCCTCCTCTTTCCCTTTAAATATCCTCCTGTAACTCTTAATTGAAGTTGTATTCAGGGCAGCTGGAACCTGCTCCTGGATTGCAATCATCAAGCTTGGCCCAAATAAACTATTTATATTAATTTTGCCTCAGCTTCTTCCTTTCAGACCGACAAAGGATAATGTATTTCAGTTTCTATTTTATTTTTTTGATTTTGTTTTAGGGACAGCGTCTTGCTCTGTCACCCAGACTGGAGTGCAGTAATACGATTATAGCTCAATATGAACTCCTGGGCTCAAGGGATCCTCCTTGCCTCAGCCTCCCAAAGCACTGGGATTATAGGTGAAAGCCACTGAGCCCGGCCTCTATTTTCAAGTAACTGCTGTTGCATTTTCCCTTTTGATTTTTTTCCCCTTGTGCAACCCTTTAGCTTTAAGACTTGGCTACCGACCGGCAGTCGGCAAAAAAGCTTGGCTGTGCTAGGTATGCTGTGAGAGACACACTTCAGAATTGTTCCACTAAGGGGTAAGAAAGGTGGAGTACTTACCTATTGACTTGGATTCCTTGTTGGTTGAGGATTGCCCCAAAATCATGAACTGTGACCTGCTCTGCTCACTCCTTGGCCTCAGGCGGAGTGCTGGGGGAAGCCATCAGCATGTGGAAGCTCTCTATAGATGACCTTGTAGTAGGCAAGAGCATAGAGGCAGGACACCAATAGTCAACTAGTCAAACTGATTATTCACTAAAAACAAATACTTATTAGCAACTGATAGAGACAGGAGACAGCCAAGGTCCCCGGCAAAACCCCGGCTTCAAGCCTAAAACAGCCCAAAGGCTGAAAAACCGGACTGCTTGTGCTGGATGAAGCCCACCCTTTCCTGACTGATTCTCTCTGAACCCTGCGCACCTGTGCACCGGGAGGATGGGGTGGAGCCTCGGAAAGTTCGCGCTGTTTGCAGGTGGGAGGAGTCTGGCCTCTTCGGTTCCTGGGTGGTAATCTGGGATTCAATCTGTGAGAAGGAAACCTGCCAGCAGGACACTCTCACTTTGCTGAGAGTTACTTTTCCTTTTTCCTTTTCTCCCAAGAAATCTAATTTTCCTCAACCTTCTATGTGTCTGAGAGCCTAATCTTCCCTGGTCATGTGACAAAAGCCCAGTTTTAGCTGAACTAAGGAGAAAGTCATGCAACACAACCTTTATGTACATTTTAGGTACTGTATTGGTGTGCAAGGCCTGCCATAACAAAATGCCACAGACTGGGTGGCCTAAACCACAGAAGTATTTTCTCATAGTTCTGGAGAATGGAAGTCCAAAATCAAGGTGTCAGCAGGGTTGAATTCTCCTAAGGCCTCTCTCCTTGGCTTAGAGATCACCGTCTTCTCTCTGTGTTTTCCATGGTCTACTATCTCTGTGTTTCTATGTCCTAATCTCTTTTTATAAGGAAATCAATCAGATTGGATTAGGGCCCAGCTGATGGCCTCATTTTAACTTAATGACCTCATTTTAACTTAATTACTTGTTTGAAGGCCCTCTCTCCACATGGTCATGAACCACATAATGACCTTTTGGTCAATGAGGGACCACTTATATGACAGCAATTACATAAGATTATAATGGGTCTAAAAAATTCCTATCGGTATAAGGTCTTAGTGCGATGCATTACTCATATATTGTGGTGATGCTGGTGGAAACAAACCTACTGCACTGCTGGTGTATAAAAGTATAGCAAGTACAATTACTTACAGCACATAATACTTGAAAATATTAATAAGTGACTATTACTGGCTTATGTATTTACTCTATTATACTTTTTAGTTATTTTAGAGTGTACTCATTCTACTTAAAAAAAAGTTAACTGTAAAACAGGCTCAGGTATGTCCTTCAGGAGATAGTCCAGAAGAAGGTACTGTTATCATAGGAGATGACAGCTCCATGTATGTTATTTCCCCTGAAGACCTTCCAGTGGAATAAGATACGGAGTTGGAAGACGGTAATATTGACAATCCTGACCCTGCGTAGGCCTAGACTAATGTGTGTGTTTGTGTCTTAGTTTTTAACAAAAATGTTTAAAAAGTTAAAAAAATGTAAATAGAAGAAAGTTTATAGAATGAGGATATAAATTATTTTGTACAGCTGTTTAATGTGTTCGTGCTTAAGCTAAGTATTATTACGAAAGTCAACAAGTTAAAAAAATTTAAAAGTTTATAAAATAAAAAAGTTTCAGTAAAGTCAATTCATTACTGAATAAGGAAAAATATTTGTGTATAAATTTAGTGTAGCCTAAGTGTAGAGTGTTTATAAAGTCTATGTTAGTATGCAGTGATGTCCTAATCCACTGCATTCACTCACCGCTCACTCACTGACACACCCAGAGCAACTTCCAATCCTGCAAGCTCAACTCATGGTAAATGTCCTATATAGGTTGTATTAGTCCATTCTCACACTGCTATAAAGATACTATCTGAGACTGGGTCATTTATAAAGGAAAGAGGCTTAATTGACTCACAGTTCTGCATGGCTTGGAAGGCCTCAGGAAACATAATCATGGCAGAAGGGGAAGCAGGCACATCTTATATGGCAGCAGAAGAGAGTGAGCACGTGAGTGCAGGAAAAACTACCATTTATAAAACCATCAGATCTCAGGAGAACTCACTCACTATCATGAGAACAGCCTGAGGGAAACCACCCCCATGATCCAGTCACCTCCCTCCCTTGACACATGGGGATTACAGGTCCCTCCCTCAACATGTAGGGATCACAATTTGAGAAGAGATTTGGGTAAGGATACAGAGCCAAATCATATCATAGGTGTACCACTTTTAATCTTCTATACCATATTTTTACTGTGCCTTTTCTATGTTTACATATGTTTAGGTACACAAATACCATCAGTCCCCTGGATTCATGGGTTCTGCATCTGTGTATTCAACCAAATGGAGATCACAAATATTTGAAAAACATAAAATTTCATCTATACTGAACATGTACAAACATTTTTTCCTGTCATTATTCCCTAGACAATATAGTATAAAAAGTACTTAGATAGCATGTATATTTTGTTAGGTATTAGAAGTAATCTAGAAATGATTTAAGTACTGTATACAAGAGGATATGCATAGGTTATATGCAACTACTATGCCATTTTATATTAAAGACTCTAGCATCTGCAGATTTTGGTATCCATGGGAGGTCCTGAAACCAATCCCCCATGGATATCCAGGGATGAATGTATTTACTTTTGTGTTATACTTGCCTACAGTATTCAGTACAGTCCTATACTATACAGGTTTATAGCCTAGGAACAATAGGCTATTCCACATAGCCCGGGTGTATAGTAGACCATACACTTGGGTTGGTGTAAGTGCATTCTGTGATGTTTGCACAATAATAAAATGGCCCAGTCATGCATTTCTCAGAAAGCATGTCCATCATTAAGCAACACATGACTATGCAATTATATTCTGAGAAGCTAGGGGTTAGGCCTTCAACATACAAATTTTGGGAGGACAAAACTCAGTTCACAACAGATACTATTGGAAACATAAGGGAAGCAAAGATTATTTATCCAAATCTTAAAGTAACTTGGGTAATGTGGGTCACTACAGAGAGATATTGGTCACTTTTCTGTGTGATGGGCTGTTTTATTGATGCCCTCTCTTGAGGGAACAGTTTGAGATTAAGTCTATATACTGAATGGCAGCTTCTCCAACTTCCTTCATCTACTGTTTCTGTAACTCATACTCCTGGGTAGAAATTTGGAAGGTTTTTCTCGTAAGAAACTCAACATCTATAGGAAATAGTAAATATGGACAGTTGGAGGTCTTCCAAAAGAAATCCAGTTCATATCCTGAGTGTCTTATAAGTAAAATAATCCATAGTCCAAAAAATTGGTCAAAAAAAAAGAAAAAACCAGGACATCAAACCAGGTTTTCAGTGCCTCATTCTAAAGTATATACAGATATCAAAAAACCAGGAGATATTTAAAGAAAACCTCCAAAATGAAAACTCACTAAAATAAACACAGGAGTAAATTACAGGCAACAGAGACAATGAAGAGAATAATTTTTAAAAGTTTAAAAATTATAAAAATATTATAGGAGATATAAAATCTGTGAAGATGCTCCAGTGATAAAAAGGGGAAAATCAGAGAAAAGAAGCTGAAATAACAAAATTAAAGCTGAAATAGAAAACAACATAAAGAGAATTGCATCATAGAACAGAAACATGAGGTATTTATGGTATTCACTAGGACATCTAATATCTGACTAATAGGTTAAAAGAGAGAACAGTAAAAAAAATGAGAGAAAATCAGCTAAAAAATAATTGAAGAAAATTTCCCAAAAGTGAAAGGCCCACAGAGCATGTACTATAAGGAATATAAAGAGACTTATATTAAGGAACTTCATTATATAATATTAAAAGATTAGGGATGAAAACTTACAGCAAGAAAACTAAAAAAAGGCAAATACAGTAAGTGGGGAAAAAAATATGGCATCAACCTGGAGGTGGAAAGTATGAGTGATACCTTCAAATCCTGGTGAAAAACTATTTTTAACCTCAGATTCTATTCACAACCAAACTGATATCATGTATTAGTCCATTTTTACACTACTATAAAGACATACCTAAGTCTAGGTAATTTATAAAGAAAAGAGGTTTAATAGATTCATGGTCCTATGGGCTGTTCAAGCTTCTGCTCCTGGGGAGGCCTCAGGAAACTTAACAATCATGGCCGAAGGCAAAGGAGAAGCAAGCAAATCTTCACGTGGTCGGCGGGAGAGAGAGAGAGAGAGAGAGTGAGAAAGTGAATGGAAAGGTACTACACACTCTAGATCTCTAGAGGTGCTAAACAACTAGATCTCTAGAGAACTCTACCATGAGAACAGCAAGTCTGTTCCTATGATTCAGTTACCTCCCACCAGGCCCCTGTTCCAACGTTGGGAATGACAATTTGATGTGAGATTTGGGTGGGGACACAGAACCAAGCCATATCATATCAAATGTGAAATGAAAGACATTTCAAACATGCAAGAACTCTAAACATTTACTTCCCCCATACCCTTTCTCAGGATACTGTAGAAAGATACACACAACCACAATGAGTCAGTAAGACAAGAAAAAGAGAACTTCAGGGTCAGGCAAGAGTGCATCCAACACAACCTAAGAATGTGGCTGGACAGTTCCATATAGCACTACAGCTAGGCAGGCTTTCTAAGGGAATCCCTAGTTCAAACTCTAGGAGGAAGTTCTCTATAAAAAAAAAAAGAGAGAGAGAGAGAGAGATAATTTTATGCACATTTAGGAAGAGATGCTCTCGTGTCTAGATCTGATGTCTATGTAATTGCAGCATTACTTTTGCGCCCAGGAGAGAGCAATGATGAGGGCAAAACTGACGAATTGCAAACAATTGGGCAGAAAGATGAATTCTTAGTGATGTCACAGAGCCACTTAATTAAGCAACCCTGGAGCTGTCTACATCTGGATTTCATGGTATGTGAGAAAATATATTTTCTCACTATTTATGACAGCCAATGTAAGTACTTGCATTTGAGGGATCCTAAGTGATGGAAGTATTGGCAGGTGTATCTGAAAGAACCGGAGCCTCAGTGAAAGCTACACTGAGGTGTTCCTTAGGGAAAATCATGAGAGAGAATGAAGTTTAGCAGGGCAGGTCAGACTGAGAAGCAAGCTGTAGCTGAGGGAAGGGACAGTGTTTTCCACTAGCTTTAATGCCCCCTTTCCCATTCCTCCCCATCACTGACATAGCTTCCCTTGGAATATCTGCCCTCAGAAAAGGAGGAACATATAATAATGTAATGCAATGCAACATAATTTGATATAATATAGTACAATAGCATAATAATATAATGTAATACAGTGCAGTATTATAATATTACAATATAATATATTATTTTAATATGCTAATATACTATTACATATCACAGGAGAGTCAAATATTTCTGCTATGTAGAAAGTTAATTGATCACAGAGCTAACCTCTATGTGGACAATTTGTCATGGATAGCATATTGTATTAATTATGTATTGCTATATAACAAACCACCACCAATTTTAATGGCTTAAAATAACAACCGTTTATTGGGTTCAGGACCCTGGGGGTCAGCAATTTAGGCTGGTCCCAGCTGGGTGGTTCTGATATTGGCCAGGTTGCTTCATGCATCTGTCGGGAGCTACAGGCCAGCTAGGCAGCCTTGCTTCTGGGAGCTGGCTGGCTGTCCCCTGAGCTGATGGGGGTGACTGACCCATATGGTCTCTCATCCTCCTGCAGGCTAGCTGGGTTTTTTTCTCTTGATGGTTGTAGAATTCTGAGAAACCAATGTAGGTAAGGCACATGTCACTTCCGCTACATTCTGTTTGTCAAGCTAATTGCACAGCTAGCCCATATTCAAGGGGGGAAATTGACTCCACAGAAGTGGGGGTTGGAGAGTTGGTGCCATTTTTGCAAGCAGTCTACCACACATATCCCAGTGGAAGATGGAGCAGAGAGGAGAGCCATCTGAAGTATCAGGCAATGAGGAGAGGGGTTGCAAATGTATGGGAAACAGCTCTAACTGTATGAGAGGCAAACACCCACTTGACCATAGAGCAGTCAGTTTTGACCATCTGAAGGGTCAGAACAGCATCTGGGAAGAGGCAGAAGTTTCTGTTAGTGCTGCATTCCAAGAGGCAGGGTAGGCAGCCCGGGATAAAACACCTTGTCAAGAAGTCAGGAGAGAATGTGAGTGAACTTCTTTTTGAGTTATGTAACACTCTTGGTGATTTTTAGAAATAACAAAAGGAGACTGTGCCAAGGCTGGTGTGATGGAGTTGAGGTGGGTTGGGGTGGCTGGAATCCAGGGTAATTTCAGTATTAATGTGTCACATTTGCACTTGTCATTTATCTTGTAGAGACAGAGTAATTGCTCCTAGAATATATGCAGCATGGTTCTAATGCTAACGTCTAGTTCTTCATCAAATGAGTTTACCAGCCACAAGCAGCCAAGACCACCATTTCTGCCCAGGACCTGCCTGGGACATGCCTTTTTCATCATCCTGGATCTATCTAGGTTGTTACCCTCTTTGGGTAACAATTCAAGAGTCTGCTCTGTTACAGCCACATTTGCTTTGAAACAGCAGTTACCCGGCATCAGATTCTTTGCACTGACTGTAGATTTCTCAGGCTCCTTGGCCTGAAGATTCTGAAATTCAACTACCAAGTTAACATTTGATAGTTTCAGTGTTTTCTTTTCTTTTACTTTTTCTTTTTCTTTTTTTTTGATACAGGGTCTCTCTCACCCAAGCTGGAGTGTAGTGGTGCCATCATAGCTCACTGCAGTCTTGACCCCCTGAGTTCAAGCTATCCTCCCGCCTCAGCCTCCCAAGTAGCTGGCACTATAGGCATTCACCACCACACCTGGTGAATTTTTAATTTTTTGTAGAGATGGGGTCTCACTACGTTGTCCAACCTGGTCTTGAACTAATGGGCTCAAGCGATCCTCCTGCTTTGGCCTCTCAAATTGCTGGAATTACAGGCATAAGCCACCACACCTGGCAAGTGGTCCCTATTCTTATAAGATGATGCATAGATTTTTGGAATTCTGGACCTGAAGGAGCTCTATGCTTTTATAATGCATATTCCAAAGGATTTTATTTCTACATGAGAATAATGTCACTGCACTCTGGTCTCTATTCTGATTTTCCTGTACATGTTGCAGTTTTAGTAGTTGTGGAGTTCATCTTGTTCTTTGATATCTGGAAAGCAGTTTCCAAGTCTATAGGCCTTGAACGCCTCCTTCACTATGGAAAATCACTGAATTTTCTTGTTATTTTGTCAAACATTATTTTACTCTTTCTTTTCGTCTCTGCTGCTTCTCCCCAGCCTGTTTAAGAATCTGTTGCACATTTGAGGTCACACTGACCATTTATCCAGGGTAACTAACTTACATGAACTAATAAAATAATTAAATGCCAAGCCTTGTCTTCTTGATGGAAAACAGGAAATGGGGATATCAAGAAGAGTGATACCAGTTGGAGGAGACCAATTAATGCACAGTGTGTAGAAAAATTGAGGATGGGGAGGTGGTCAGGGAGAACCATCCCCTTTCCCTACAAATCCTCAATTTATACAGACTGATGAGAATAATGTATTTTGATTATATTCTTATGATGTATTAAATGTGTACATGTATTACATGTAAAGTGTATTTTAAAGCCACAGATTTCTTATTGTATATTTAATTATTCATTAGTGTTATCTTTAGCCTGAAAGTTTTCTTATTCTATTTTTAGAGGAAAGGTAAATTGCAACACATGCAAAACAGCTTACTCTTAACGCATATGGAAGATGACTAATGCTTATTTGTAAGATTTTCCCCATAGTGTTAAAAGGTTCTGTGTATAACAGTTTTTCAAATAATAAATAATTTATTAAGCATTCCATAAATATTCATTACTGTTGTTAAAATTGATATAGTCTGTTACATTTTTTGATGGGATTAGTTTTGGGAGAGATGGCTTTTAAGAGAAACCTTCACTCAGTAAAGGTTTCCCTACCTTTAGATTTCACAGTGAATCAAATGAGTTCTGAAATACTATGTGTATCTTATTTATGTGTGTAGATTGTTATGCGAAAATTACACAGTGGAAACATATTTGTGATAGTTAGAATATACATTTAGATAGATGGATGGGTGGATAGATAGATGATATATATCTACAGATATAAATTCATATTTGCAAGCTTCTAGGATTGTGGCAGAAGAGGGTCGACTAAAAATGCTAAATCTCCCTTGTGGGCTGAGATAGTGACCAGAGAAAATTGTCTGTTTTCCTAAGTAAGATTCACATATCAAGGCAGGTTGCCCAAGTGTGAGAAATCTGAGCAGGGTGGCCCCTCAGAGAGATGGAAAAGAAGGCTTAATCCAGGCAGAAGTCTTAACAGCTGGGACCAAAATACCAGACTTCTGGTTTTATTTCATACGATACCAGGAGATACCATTGTTGGGTAAAGTTTGCAGATGACCAAAGGAGAACCATTTCTATCATGAGTCGCTTCCATGGGTCTCCTTGTCCACTTGTGACTCCAGCTTTCCTGGCTGTCTAGAGCTCCCCTTCTAACAACTTTCCTCTTCTTCCCATGTCATTTTGTCTTCCGGTAAGTTAGGGATGAGGTGGAGGAGGGAATAACCATAAATACCATTTTAAAAAGCCATGAATCTCTGCCTTTCTCTTAGTCCTGTCCTAAAAACAAACAAACAAACAAAAAATGAGAAGTTTTTGCTAGGGAGAAAGTTAAGAAACTTTAATTAATGTTTTAAAATTTAAATCAAAGTCTTCAATATTCAAAACATTGCATAAAAGTTACAAAAATCCTAAGAAATAATGTACAATAGAATTTTCATTGTAGTAACCCTTGCACTTGTGTTTATCTGTTTCTGTTTATCTAAACATAGCCATATTTTAAGAGCTTAGACTCTAATTATTATGCCTAATGTTGAGATCATTCTTGTTCATTAAAAGTTACATTACTCATGTCTTTATAAGCCTTTTTCAATCTTGCCGTGAATAAATTGGCATTTATTTTCTCTGAATGTGTTGGTTTTAAGTATTCTACTTATTCAAAGACTGCAAAAGATTTGTGATATTATGCAGAGGTTTATATTTGCCATGAAGTATTACTATAGGAAAATTCACCTATTTTAAATTTAAGAAAGTTTTATTTATAACTTTCATGTTTTCTTCAGTTTTGTTTGCTGTTTTTTAAATTTTATGGTTAGGGATCTTGAGTATGAAGTCTTTCTAAACGTGAATCACAGATTATTTGCCATTATTTTGGGGATGTGACATTTGCAACTCTGTTACTCTCCTCAAAGAAATGAGTCACATTAGATTGCACTCTAAGATACTAAATTATGAATCATTTCTGAGGATTCACACTCCTTTTTTTTATTATCTTTGACATGAGTCCCCTACAGCTGAGTAAATGTAGTTTTTGATGGCAATAGAAATTATAGGTTCACAATCCCCTAATTTGCCCGCCAAAATCCAACAAATGCTGAAAAGTGATAAATTTTTCATAATTAATTTGGTAGCATGTTGACCTATTCTGAATATGCTCAGAATAATGTGGTAAAACCAAACCTAAAACGACATGCAACTCATTAATTGATGAGGAAACCAGTTAGATGGCAAGTCTGGTTCGAAGGAGAATTTAAGTATATAAGTTTATATAGTCAGGCAGTCAAAGAAACGCTGTAAGAAATTTTTGTGAATAGATTTTAAAAATGGTTAATGACATACAAAGTAAAGAACTGGGTTATCTTTTCTACTCCACAGAACTCTATAAATTATCGTGTAATTTCAGAGTCTTTGGACTCTAATTAAAAATATTAAATAACATAATTAAATATAGGTGCATTCTCCTTGATATTTATATAATCTATAATTAAACAATGATACTGAAAGAACATGTAGCTATTGTATTAGTCCATTTTCACACTGCTACTAGGAACCTCCTTGAGACTGGGTAATTTATAAAGGAAAGAGGTTTAATTGACAGTTCCGCATGGCTGGGGAGGTCTCAGAAAACTTAACAATTATGGCAGAAGGGGAAGCAGGCACCTTCTTCACAAGGCGGCAGGAGAGAGGAACAAAGAAGGAACTTTCAAAGACTTATAAAACCATCAGATCTATGACAACTCACTCACTATCATGAGAACAGCATGTGGGAAACTACCTTCATGATCCAATCACCTCCCTCCCTCTACATGTGGGGATTACAAATCAAGGTGAGATCTGAGTGGGGACACAGAGCCAAACCATATTAGTTATCCTTAAACTTTACTTCTAATTTGGAACAATTTTCTCAACTGTACCCCTACCCCTACCATGATCATAACTAGTCTCTAAAGTTTATTCTTTTTTACTGAGGTAAGATACACATATATAATTTATCATCTTTACCTTTTTCAAGTGCACAGTTCAGTGGCAATAAATATTTACCTTCTTTTTTTCCCTTGCATCCCTTCCCTTTCCCCTTCCATTCACAGCCTCTGGTTACCATCAGTCTGCTCTTTACTTTTGTGAGATCCAGTTTTTTTAGCTCCTGCATATGAATGAGAACATGGATATTTGTCTTTCTGTGGTTGGCTTAATTTACTTAACATAATGACCTCCAGTTCCATCCATGTTACTGTAAATGGCAGGATGTCATTTTTTTATGGCTGAATAGTATTTCATTGTGTATATATACCACACTTTCTTCACCTATTCATGCTTTGATAGGAACTTAGTTTAATTTCATTATTTTGGCTATTGTGAATACTGCTGCAATAAACATGGGATTATAGATAACTTTTTGATATGTTGATTTCCTTTCTTTTAGCATATACCCAGTGGTGGAATTGCTAGATCACCTTAGCCAACTTGAGTGTGAGATGCCTCATTCATTGAACCTTTTTTTTTTTTTTTTTTTTTTTGAGACAGAGTCTCACTCTGTCACCCAGGCTGAAGTGCAGTGTTGCAGTTATGGCTTACTGCAGACTTGAACTCCTGGGCTCAAGCGATCCTCCCACCTCAGCTTCCTGAGTAGCTAGGACAACAGACATGTGTCACTGTGCCTCGTTAATTTTTTAAATTTTTTGTAGAGACAGGGTCACACTATGTTTCCCAGGCTGGTTTCAAACTCCTGAGCTCAAGTGATCCTCTGACCTCAGCCTCCCAAAGTGCTGGGATTACAGGCATGAGCAACCATGCCAGCCTGTATGTCTTCTTTTGATAAATGTCTTTTCAATCTTTTGCACATTTTTAAACCAGATTATCTATTTCTTTGCTATTGAGTTACTTGAGCTCCTTGTACATTCTTGTTATTAATCTCTTGTGATGGATAGTTTGCAAATATTTTCTCCCATTCTGTGGGTTATCTGTTCACTTTGTTGATTGTTTCCTTTGCTGTGCAGAAGCTGTTTAGCTTGATATAATTCCAGTTGTTTATTTTTGCTTTGGTTACCTGTGCTTTTGAGGTCTTACACAAGAAATCTTTGCATCGACCAATGTCCTGGAGTATTTCCCCAATGTTTTCTTCCAGTAGTTTCATAGTTTCAGATCCTAGATTCAAGTCTTTAATCCATTTTTATCTGACTTTTGTGTGTGGTAATAGATAGGCATCTAGTTTCATTCTTCTACTTATAGTTATCCCTCTAAAATTATTCCTGACAACATAAAAAGGCTACCCTCATTTAATTTTGACCTGATTATTTACGTAGGTACAGTAAGAAGCATAAATTCACAATATAAGGCTCTTCAAGCATACTGTATTTCATAAACTAAGACAAGAAAATTAACTTCTACATGAACATTTTCTAGAAAAATCTTGTCTTGGACTTTTAAAAGCCTCTATTATTTGTTCTTTTATCCTGAGTGTAGAAAACCAAGATCAAGAAATGCCTTCTGTGAAACTTCACATGTGGTACCTGTAAGTCAGAGTGAAATCCTACCTCATAAATATTCCCAGTATTTTATAAGATTCTGAATAGCAATAAATAACATTCCTTGCCCCTTTGAGTCTGGAATCTTCCAGACAATGAAACAAGTTCCAGGCCAATTTTCCTAGGAGGGCCTTGTAGTTATTGGCTGCACACATCATGTGCAATCCTTATTCTTTAATGGTGAGCTTGTGAAACCATATCAAATAAGAATCATTCTCAAATACAAAACACCAATTATGGTCCTGGTTGCACAATTAATTTTTGCAATGATACTCTAGTAAGAAGGTGGACAGACTCTCATTGAAAACATGCAAATAACCACATTTTCATTAAAAATAAGAAGACTCCGTAGAAGTATTTGAATTCCGAGGGGAATCAGATGTCATTTACCAAATATTTCATTTCAATTGGGAAAAGCATAGTCTCCTAAATTATGAGTAGAAATAGATCTAAAACAAAGAAAAAGAGCTTTCTTATATACTGATTAAATAATAGAACTTTAAACCTAATACTAAATGTATTCCAAAATAAATAACTACATTTAAATGTTTTCCATTGTTTCATTTAGTTTGATGTAATTAATTTTTGTTTTACTTTCAAGAAATTGTCTCCTTCTGGAGTAAAAAAACTTGTTTTGCAAATCCTGGCTTTGTCTTCAGGAAAAGTTAGTTGCTTAAGTAATGTCATCTTTAAGTTCTAAACTCTGACCCCTGAGTCTTTGCCTTAAAATCACTGGTACAGACCTTCCAATGAGTTATTGAGACTGCCTTTTGACGAAGATAAAAATTCAAGCCTGTGGTTTATATATAGCAGAGTCTTCAGGCAAGCATCCAGGGTAGGACAGAAAAACCTGATTGGTAATGAATCTAAATGCTGTAATTGATTTATCACAGTAACCAATAATATAAAAAAACGCAAGAGTATAAAATTCTCTATTTCAGTAAATTGCATAACATTTTCATGAGGATTTGACCAATGTTTCTCCTGAGGATAAGAAAACATAGTGGACAGTAAGGATATTAACACATTTCCAGGGCCTTTCCATCTATTCTGTAAGGCAGCGGTTTTTACCCTTTATCGGGCATCAGTATCACTTGAAAGACTTATTAAAACACAGATTGCTGGATCCCATCCTCATAATTTCTCATTTGGTAAGCCTGGGATGGGGCTCTATAATTTGCATTTTTAACAAGGTCCTGGACGATGATGTCTAAGAACCTCATTTTGAGAAATGCTGCTGTAAAGAGTATAATCCCTGAAACTGTTTTACTAATAATATTTAACGCACACACATTTATCCTTTGATTTGACAACTTACAATAGTATTGAGCTCATTGAGAAATATGGAGCATACCTGTGCTTTCTAGCATCCCTCTTTTTATAAGGCAACAGAAGACATATTTGTGATTATCCAGGGGCTGAGTGTAAAACCTCCAAGTTAGTTTTAGATAATAATAAAAAGTATCGT
The DNA here is from genome assembly GCF_000001405.40 of Homo sapiens. Taxonomy (NCBI): domain Eukaryota; kingdom Metazoa; phylum Chordata; class Mammalia; order Primates; family Hominidae; genus Homo; species Homo sapiens. Next base: position 27,800,071 of record NC_000018.10, on the reverse strand, counting down.
AAAAATTTGTCCTTTTCTAAATTTGAGTTCTGATCTTGAGAAGGTTAACTCAAGAGTTTTTACAAGTGATTTCTTACCTGATTAGGCAAGATCCAGGGCTTCCTGAGGTAGAATAGTTGGCTACTTATTGAATCAAGGTAACAGTACAATATTTTAAAATAAACATAGCAGAAGGTAAGGTGGCTGCAGGAGATTGTGGCGGGCATGAAAGTGAACTGCCCAGATTCCAGTTCATGGAGGCACTTGGTGCCCAGCTGTCGGCAGGCTGCCTTAAACTATCAACTCCCTCAGGGCTGTGCTCAGCTAACATCTCCCAGGGTGGCCCATAACCAGTGACCCATCAGGTCTTGGGTATAAAGCCCTGGCCATTTTGGTCCAATGTTGGATACTCTGATGAGCCATTTGTGTTCCGGAGCTCCCCTAGGGTTGGGAACTGCAGCGTTGTTTGACTTCTGCCAATTCCTTACCTTGCTTCTGCCCTGCCCTGTCCCTGGAGATGTTGAGCCCTGCCCACCAAAGTATTTCAGCATCTGCTTCTGCAGAATCCATTCTCTGATGACCTTAGCACTGTTATGAGAACAAACTTTTATTTGTTTTAATGATAATCAAAGACATTGTAAAGCAACACAAAGCACAGAAAATTAATCTGCTGTATGGAATACTATTTGGACAGGTTACACAGAAGTGAAGAATAATCATTTATTACCCATTGTTCAGACTAAATATTTTAAGATCAGTTGTCATTTCAACAGACAGAAACTGACTTTCTAGTTTGCATGAATACTTGTTTGTGTTAATTTCTAGCTGGCAGTAAAGTGTTCTCAAGCTTCTTTACAAATTAACAAGAATAAGTCCATTAAGGCTGTGCAAACTTTTTCAAAATTTTAACATAATTCATTATTTTCAGACTTGGATATTATAAACCAAGGTAAATAAAGTTCACTTCCCTCAAAATGTCTACAACTTGCTAGACAAACTTAAATTTTGTTCTTCTCTGTGATGTTTTATAGTTTAGAACAAGCTGACACTTTCATTTAGGTCAACACTGCTCTCATTTTTCTAGGAAAACAAAAACATATCTCATAATTTTGCATACAGAGTTGTATTCCTCTGATGCTCTGTTTCTGGTATAATCTCAGTTACCCATGCTAAATGTAACTTCCACCAAATAAACTAACTTCGATTTTGCCAAGAGATAGGTCATTCATAATTTTCTATCACATAAGCAGTTTAGCAAACTAGTCAGGAAAGCTCAGTCCCTGTAGCCACATGCATCAGTTTTATGCGTTCTTAAAATGTCAAGAATGAGCAAATTTAATAATATTATTTAAAACTGTAGCCACTCTATAATATATTAAAGAAGCAAAAGTACATATATTAAAACTGTACTTGGGTTTCAGTATTCTCTTTTACTTAGAAATTATCCAGGTGTCTGAAGATTATCCAATAATTAACTCTATTTAAAATTAGTCCAACTTTTTGTAGTTAACTAAGGACTTTGAAAATCACATTGAGGTTGAAACTCTACAGAACATCAGAACATAATTGCTGTTTATATCCAAAAGCCTATCAAATTTATAATTAATTTTAGTAGAACATGGTTTTATATGTTTCAAATTTAAAAAAATAATGTAGGAGTAGGGTTAGCTTATTTGATCAATAAACCTGTATAAGAAGTTTTGCAAATTTATTTAAAAATTTTAAAAATTCTTATACTAAACTCTAATTACAAGAAAGATATGTAGCTATTTTCTTAATCAAAATTATCAACCAGTCTTATTTGTCCAATGGTTCATCTTGATTATGTGAATTTAGATTATTATATACAACATGTTTCTGGGCTAGAAGTTAATTTGTTTTGTCTTAAAATGCTATCACATTTAAATTTCAGTTTATTTTCTGGGGGAATTTAAAGAATGTTCTACTTACATAAGCATTTACTACATCAATACAATACAAAGCTTCTTTATTTTGAGGGACTTTATCTTCAAATTTATTAATACTCCTCAGAGGTAGGAAAATTTTCAAATTCACACAATGAGAGGTTAAGGCTTTTCTCAATTATAGACACACAGACACATTTCACTTACATAATCTGAGCCACAGGTTTTGCAAAGTCAACAGAAACACAAAAACCTCACCAATTTCTGTCTCAAAGAGCTGTTTTCCTTTTTAGTGGGTACAAAATATATTCTTAATTGATTTGGGGACATAAAGAGACATACACAAAAAAAAATTATCTTTGGTCTCTCCCCTGACAGAGGGCAGATGTCCATCATCCTGATACAGACCATCAAGGCCTCCAGTGGGAAATAATGCATTGGCTGTGCACAAACTAGAATCAGAACTGAATGAGGCCAAGAACCAGAAACAAAACAAAAACACAGACAGGAAACTAAAAAGAGAAACAGAAAGTCAGCAAGAGAGTCTACTGCTGCTTGAGATTCACTCAGAGAGCCAAGAAAAGATGTGCCTGGGTTTAAACAACGCAAGAACTTATATTTCTTGGCCAACATGGATTAATTGGCCTTGGCAGGTAAGTGCAGCTGAGATCTCAGTGGTACTCCAAAACAGTCAAAGCACAATTCTCAGAAAAATTCAAAAACATGTCTCTCATACAAATATAAAATGAATACATGTCAATTCTTTCATTCAACCCATTGCTTAATGAAAGAGTCAGTAAGATGGATTCAAAGGAGAATTTGACAAATTCATATGTAGTCAGGCACACAAAAGAACACTGAGATAAATTTGCTCATAGATGCAAACCTGATTAACGTTTTACAGAGCAACACAACTCTAACTTTTGGGATTAGATACAAGTTTACATGTAACTTCACGATGTCTGGTCTCCAAACTAAATATTAAATAGCAGATACTCTCCCTTATTAATTAATATTCTTTGAGAGTGTTAAACAATAGCTTTGAAATATAATAATATGCAGTCATTTGCTTGCTTTAATTAACAAAAAGTTTCCTAATAAGAGAGCATACATAGATCTGTATTTACTTTGGCAAGTTTGATTATATAATTATTCAACTAATTTCCATAATGTTTACGGTTTGTGACATATTCTGTGAAATTTTACTTTTCCCCACCGTGATACCATGGTCAACAAAATAAAATGAGCTCAAACTGCCAGTAAGCATGAGTTGATCCAATTCAGTACTTAGAGACAGTCATGGTTCCTATATGGCATCTCTTTAAAGCCATTCTATTAAACAACTGCATTGAAATCACCTAAGATACTTCTTAAAAGTACAGATTCCTAGTGAGATATTGGATCTACTGACTTGAAATCTTTAGGGATGTGGCTTGGAAATCTAAATTTTATAAATGTTTCTAAATGATTCTTATGCACATTAAAGGTTAGAGTTATTTGTCTATGGGAAAGAAAAGAAGCCTGCCTAAGATAAGTTAATACCAAGAAATGCTCAGGAAAAACAGATCTAAATCATTTAGGCCTCCAGAGATCAAGTCACTGTTTGAGGAAAAAGGGATATTGTTGACAGACTATTCCAGGGTTAAAATCCTGTATGTACTTACGGGAACTTGTATTTCGCGAAGGTATTGGTGCTACTGACCACTATTTACGTAATTTTAAGTGTGATATTGAAAACTCTTGTTGGTTTACAATCTTTAATTTAACCTTCATGTAAAGTTAACAGTGAACTTTGCTGCTGAATAAAACCCTGGCCTCAAAGTGAAGGAGGCCAATTTGTCATAAAATACATGTGTGCTCTGGGAGAAACTGAGAGGAATTTTCTCTAAGGAAGGTACTGGCAGACTTCCCTTTTTACTTTACCTTCTGTGTTGCTTGTCTACATAAAATCCAGACCACTGAATTTTGTGTTTTAATACAGAATTTCTAGGAGCTACACTGGAATAAAATTTTAATATTTTAATAAAAATAAGTTAATTTTAGCTGGGCATTTATTACTTTAGAAGTATAATTATTTATTACATGATTTGTACCAAAAATATGTATTTGCTAAGCTTATTATTTATTAATAGTTAAATATAGTGTTTAAACAAAATGGAGCTATTACAATTCTCATCAGCTCTTGGTTTATTGGTGTGGGTATGCATATGTGTGTATTGAAGGGGATAGAAAAAGGGAGGGAGTAGGTAAAGAGTGAAGGATATGCATGTTAATATTTGAATAAATAAAATTATGAAAAGGAAAAAGTCATAGTAGCAAATCTTATTTCTTATCCTAAGTCATTTTAAAAACAATTTCTTCCTGGCCAAAACCTTTAGGCAATAGTATCAAGACCGCAAGTAGCAGTTTGAGTTACATTTGTATTACTCCTTAAAAAATTCATTTTCTTTGAAACAGATCTCAAATGTCTCAAATTCCCTTGCTTTATTTTAAAATTCCTTTATCAACAGACATAGAAAAAAAAAAGAGGCTGAGGAATGTGTCTTCAGCAGGATTTGGGATTTGGAGCAAGAAAAGATACAGGGAATCTAAAATCTTTCCATTGAAATGTCAGAGTAGTCCTCAATTAATAGGAGCTAAATTTTATTGGCTTTGACCTGATTGTCCTGGTGGAGGTAATCAGCAGAATGTTGGTAGCAGGAGTTCTAAAGTCTTAGAGGTTTCCTGTTAGCCATTATTAGCTATACACCTGCTTGTTGTCATGTGGGATCCCAAAGCTCACACAGTAACAGCAAAGCTTGCTTTCCCGTTTCTCTCAGCTTCATCAAGCCCAAGGCCCCAGGCACGCAGATCTTTAAAGTAACACTGAAAGAGCAGAAATGGTCTTGTGATTGTCAGGGTTGCTCTTAGACCTGGGTAAGAGGAAGCCCCTTTTGGAAGTCCTTGGCCAGGCCCTCCTGAGGCTGGACCCTTCCCCATGGTGGGTGGGTCTGTGGGCAAAGGGCTGTGTCCCTCAGGATTTTCTCCTCCTTCCCATTCTAGGCAGAGCTTTTCTACCCATTTATGGGTAAAACCCCAACCCCAGCTTTAAAAATTTCCTATTCTTGGCCCACCAATATATATTTTTTAATATGAAACCCTGCCCTTGGATGTTGCAGCAAATGTCAGATTGTAATGAAAAGCTCTAGATGCGTACTTTCACTTTCTGTACTTTTCTTGATGCAGACTAGTAATAAACAGTTCAATGACCAAGACAGGTTTAAAGACAGTACTTTGGATATCACCTTATAGGCCATACTTGGGTTCCCAGGATCTCCTGTCCAGAGGAACCTGAGCTTACCTCTAGGACTTGTGTGGGACTTTTCCCTAAATCTATACTCTGGAGGTGGATCACATAACTAGTAGCTAAGGGACAGCTGTGTGGGGGTTGTGGATGGAGTTTGGACATGTGGGATGGGGTGACAGCATACATGCATGCCAGGTCCCCTGTAGTGTGGGACAGAGCCAGAACTTGGAAGAGTGTGTGTGTGGGAGTTGGAGGGGGTGGACTTGGGGAGACAAGGTGCCATGTTTAGAGCCGAGAGATTCTAAATTTGACCCTGACCCTCCAGTCATTATAAAATATATTTATCAAGGCAAGGGTATAGAACATATTTTATTTAACAGCTTGTTAGACTGATTTATTACTTTTAATATTGAGACATATGGTACGTGGATTTTCATTTGTATTCTTGTCCAAGGCCTTACAAATGATGTTAAAGGCAGGCCTGGTTATGGTCCAGAAGTCTACTTCCCAGATAACAAGTCCTCTTTCATAATCTCAGATGCTGTTAATAAATGTCATCATTTAAAAGTCCTTGGAGGGAGCTCTGTTTTTCTCTGGATGTTGTATACTTTTTAGACCACAGGTTTTAGGACTGATAAATGTATATTTGAATCCAAATTCTTCTACTTACAACATATGAAAATTTAGGCAACTTACATAATCTCCCTGATTCTTATTTATCTGTAAAGTAGATGTGATAATTTACTATCTGTCACAGAAGGTTTTGGTTTTTTTAAGTGCCTAATACATGGTAAGTAGTAAATGAATGGTAGCTGTCATGTTTCTGAAGAGTTCTTTATTGTTGGCAGCTCTGATTACAATCTCATTTTTTTCAGATGTAATTTTAGAATTAGGATAGGCTGGGGACATATGTGCCAACAAGTGGAATCTATTCCCAACAACCCATCTCACCAAGACTGATGAAAATCTAGTCCTCTGTTGAATATGGCAACCAATCCCAAGAAGAGATTGCCTTCTGTCCACTTAAAAATTTACCAACTCTGGGAAATGGTCATTTTAATTTTTTGAGTTTGAGGGTTTTTTCTAACTTTTACTTGAATAAGATGCTACTGATGAAAATCCTTTCCCTGTTCTCGTGTTGACCCCGTCTGCCTAGCTTTTCAATTGGGATTAAATTTTAACAAATTCTCAATTGTGTGTGCTGATGTTATCACAGAATGTTATATCAGGCATTATAAATAATTCCTAGGCAATATTTAGAATGGCTGCAAGCCATTTTTAGAATTGGCTGAGAATTATTTACAATACCCTGCTCCCACATTTTGCCTGTCATATGTTCACTATGCATTTTTCTTAAAATCCTTCAAGGCAGTGAGGATATCGCTGCTACTGAGGGGTGTATTCCTGAGCCAAGTTAAGGATGGTGAAAAGTATATTTTTCTCCCCAAAAGCCTAAGTGAACTACTCGCAGTTCCTTAAATTCACCGTGGTTTAGTTTGCCTCCAGGTTATGGCTCACACCATTTCTTCTGTCTGGGGCCCCTTTTTTCTTGTTCCCTTCCTATCCACCCATCTCAATCTCTTTGCTAATTGCTACTGTTGCTCCAGAAAGCCTGTCCTGACTTTTAAAGTTAGATTTAGTGCCTCCCTCTACAAGTACCTTGTGCTTATCTGTGCTCTGTTTACTGGTCTGTCTTTCCCATTGTACTAAGAGCCCATGAAGGACAGAAACTGTCTTTTTCTCTATTGTGTGCCGGAGGGATAGTAAACATATTTAACAAGCAGTGGTAAATATTAACAAGCCTGGAAAACTGATAGAGTGGGGTTACGAAGGCTCCCTGCTGTGTCAGGGTATAAGAAGACAATGTGGAAGACTTCTAAATGAACCCAAATTTAGTAGGTGTCTTCAATAGAAAAACAGCACATGACATTGAGCACTTTCTCCTAGACTATTTGATTTTATGGAGTTTAGACCTTTCATTATCTTGAGCTATCCTATAGCTCTGTAGACAGAGAAATTAGCTTGCAGAAAACTGATAGTAATGTAATTAATTATTGTCTATAGGCATGTGAAAAATATCGTCTAGTAGATGTTCAACTGATTCTGCCCTGCCAATACCCAGCTCCCCCCAACACCCCCGTCCACACCTACTGTGGAAGAAGCCAGTGTTACACCTACTAAGTAAATTAATTTCAACATGTCTGAAGGGCCTATATTTTTCTGGCCTTTGAATTCTCCTTTGAACTGGTTGTAACAACTTTTCCAGTTCCTTTATTCATTGATTAATGAGTTAAATAAAATCTTTGACACCCGTTCATTTTATGTCTGTATGAGAGTCATGATTATAACTTTTTTCTTTATAAAAACTATCTTAAAGGGACGTAGAGATTTTCTACTGAGATTCTTTAGGGGAAAAAAATCTAACGAAGAACAAATCTTCCTCTTTCATGAAAGGCTAAGGTTCTTTTTAGTTGTGTTACCTTTATGTTTACTTTTAAATGCTTTGTTGTCTCTTTGATTAAATGAACAATCATGTATTGTCTCTCAGGCACCCACAGGAGGTTCTATCTTAATCACATGTCTAAATTTCCTCTGACATCCTTTTTGATTTTTGCCTTCAAAAAATCAAATTCTAAGAAAAGAAAAAATAAAACTTTCAGAGTATCTTTTATACCTAAAACTATCCTTGAGATTTCCCAGAAGATCTCTGGAAAATTAATGATTAGTTTCTATTAAATGATGCTAGAAATAATTAGGTTTGTTTAACGAATTGGCACAGCAGAAGAGATGCTCAGATTTCCCAAGGTTAAATTTCAATACATAAGACGTATTAATATAAATATTTCAGAAATTGTGTGTTGTTTTCATGGGAAATTCTTAGAGGTCTATCAATGCCCACATTATCTAAAATATGTTCCTATTGATCAGAATTCTGGTGGTAGTTTGCCTGATAATATTCTGCAAAAATAGTATAGTGTTAGCAGTCAATTTCAGCTATTTTTTAAAATGCCTACTTGGAACAAACCTACTTTTATAATTTGAATCTAGCATCGTCTGGCCGGTGATTCTAAATTAGAGAGGCACATCAGACTTACCCATAGAGTTTTATAAAAATACACATGTCTAGTCACTACTCCAGAGTTACTGAATTTCTTTACTTGATATTCCTGGTATAGTCTTGATATATTATGTATGCAACATCTCGGAAATATTGTATATTATATCTCAGGTTTTTTCTCTATAAAAATTATATTCATGCATTTATAAATTAGATATAACATTTGTATATGGACTTAATATTATCCTTAGAAATATTTTGTCTAAACTCAATATTATCCTTAGAGATATTTTGTCTAAACTTTTTTTGGAATGGTAATATGATTTTGTTTTGTATCCCACAGAAGAAACCAAATTTCAGTTGCTTTGTTCTGAACTAATATAAGATCTTTCATATTTGAAAATTATCAGTAATAAATAACCATACCTATTTCACATTTCTGTCAAGTGCAGATAACTTTTACTTTACTTACTTTACTCTGATTCTCACCTGAATAAGCAGAATTGTATCAACATTTGTGTTGCCAAAGATCAATAAGAATTATCTAAGAATAAATTCTTGTGTAAAGATGGCATTGCTTACCAATGGGCCGAGTCAGGATTTTCAAACTCTTTTTAGCCAAGAGGCATAAGGCTTCTTGAATCCAAGATCTGGTGGAACATAATTTAATTACATAGGACCGAATGAACTGATGAGGAAATTTTTATTATAGATCTTTATTTAGGATACTGTTGGTGTTCTTTTAATGTACTCTCTTCTTTATCTGCAAGCAAGTCCTCCTTTTTTATTCTTAACCTATCTGTAACCAATAACAGTTTAGTAGATGCTGCTATTGGAAACGAAAATGAAGCATTTTTAAATGATATCTAATTGTCACTAACCCGTTTCCCTCTCCCTTCCTCCCCTGCCTCCCGTAACCCCAAATCAGAAATTCTTACTCAATCTCCTTATTGTTCATGGAAAAATAGTTATTTCAACAGGCTCAATAAGAATCTGTCCACCTTTATACCATGATATAATTAGAAAAATCAGGTATGCAACTAAGTTCTTGCCTGGAATGTCATATTTGAGAATAATTCTCATTAATCAGGTGTGACAGCCACTGTTAAGAGAATAAAATTGAATATTTTACTTATGACTTTCTTATGGAACCAATGCCCATAAAGGCCTCTCAGAAAGACTGGCCTGGAACCTGGCTTACAGAGGCCCTGCCTGACACATACTGAGAAAAGCTACCTTCTGCTAGACCAGGGACATTGAGAAGAGAGGAATTCGCCCACATTTGTAGGAACTGCAGGTAAAATTAGGTCAAGAGAGTTTTTTGGGCTTAGTTTCCTAGCTTTGGCATAACAAATAACAGGCACTTTGAAAAGCCCAAACTGAAATTCTTTACGAAAACTTCCCAACAGAGGTTAATTTTGTGATTATTCAATACCGCAGAGCTCTAGATTTCCAAAGCAAACTGTAGAAGTCCTCTCACTGCAGCTGTGCAAACGATCAGGCCAATTGTAATGAGACTGGCCTTACGAGAAATTTTCCTTATCATTATTCTTGATCAAGGTTGGGGAGATAGTAACAAAAAATTTGAAAGATTTTTAATTGGGCCAAAAGATTGCCAGGTGTCATCCGTGGAAAACTGTGCCTTGTTTGAAGCACACCGTTCAGTTCAGGATTAGCTGATTCTACAGGGTTTGTGCTTTTAATTGTCTGAGTTATTTTATAATTGTATAGAGATAACTAGATATAGTTAACTCTATAGAAGCAAATTGTACAACACTGATATAAGGCAAATAATTCTTGTCTGTAGACATGCAAAGAATTGTTGTGCTGTAGAAATTCAATTAACTTCCCTCTCTGCTGTGGAGGAAGCCAGTTTTGCATTGCTTAGCCAAGTTTGTTTCAACATTCCCTCCTGATGGGCTTATACATTTGTCTGGTCTTCAGGTTCTCACTGAGGTTTTTGTGACAGCTTTTCCAGTTATCTCATCATTTAATAAGTTAAATAAATTGTTGACATTTGTTTATATCTGTATAAGAGCTGTGATGATACCCTATTTTGAAAAAATTTCCTTGAACTAGGTATAAACCTTTCTACTACTGGATGACAAACATCCCTGGAAGTTTGGGGAAGAGTCACTGGGGAGCTTAAGGTAGCCACTATAACTAGTGAAATTATTTTAACACCTGAAGAACTGGTTTGTCTTCATGTTGTCTGAATACTAGCCTGGTCATGTCCTAGTATTTGCATAGTACCTACCAGGAGCAGGCACACCAAAAGCCACATCCACCCCCACTATCACATTGAATCATAGATTAAAAAAAGAAAAAGACCTGTATAGATGGTTGGATGGAGACATGGTTTGGACATTTGTCAACTCCAACTCTCATGTTGAAATGTGATTCCCAGTGTTGGAAGTGGAGCCTAGTGGAAGGTGTTCGGATCACAGGCGCAGATCCCTCATGAATGGCTTGGCACCATCCCCTTGGTGATAAATGAGTTCTTGCTCAGTTAGTCCACGGGAGATATTTGTGTTCAAATTTTCTCATGATTCCACAAAAATTCCAGACAATTCCTAGAATAAAAACACAAAAATAATAAAGCATTTTTTTATGTAGAGTTAGTAGCTCAGGTAAGGAAGTTTTAGGAAACTTCCTAGAGCTACTTCTCCGATTAATAATAATTAACATTTAATAAACATGTGCTATGCATATGCCTGTTACCACTGTAAGAATGTTACTCATATTCCCTAATTTAATCCTAAATAGACCTAAGACCAACATATTTCTATTAGATCCATTTTTTATATGAAAACAATGGGGCACAGAGCTATTAACTTGCTCAGATTATATAGCTAGTTGCATTCTCAGGATGCTAACACAGACATTCCTAACTGTTCTCCTATATCACTTCTCATGAAATGTGAGCTTAAAAAGCTTACAATTGAGTGGGCCCAGCGGCTCACGCCTGTAATTCCAGCACTTTGGGAGGCCAAGGTGAGTGGATCACATGAGGTCAGGAGTTCAAGACCAGCCTGGCCAACATGGTGAAACCCTGTCTCTAGTAATAATCCAAAAAAAAATTAGCCAGGCATGGTGACACATGCCTGTAATCCCAGCTACTCAGGAGGCTGAGGCAGGAGAATTGCTTCAACCCAGGAGGTGGAGGTTGCAATGAGCAGAGATCACACCATTGCACTCCTGCCTGGGCAACAAGAGTAAAATTCCATTTCCAAAATAAATAAATGAATAAATAAAAGCTTACAACTGTTCACATATCATAGTTTTCTTTTAAGATTAGAGTCAATTTACTCAGTTGGTCTTCTGATCAAAATTTTATTTCCCCTGCAGTTCTCACAACAGCCCTATAAGAGAGGTGGTCTTATTCCCATTTTGCAGATAAGAAAACTAAGGCTAAACTGTCATAATATTTAAATTTATCACCACAATGTAACATTTGCTGTGAAACGTTTTCTGCTGAATTAGCCCATATTCTTTTCTACTGTGCCCACATGTGCTTTGCCTGGTTTTAATTTGTATAATTGCTCGAAGCTACATTTCCTTTGTTATAGGCATGTGATTTCCGACCTCTGGCCTCTGCACCTGTTAAAGTCTGGCGTGCTCAACTCTGTCCCTCATGGAGTAGGTGCACCCCTCTCTAAGAGGAGCCTTTTCATGCTCTTGAGGGCACTTGGGAAACTGTTTTGGGACGTTATTGTCCCTGTCAGTGGAAGATGTAAAGGACATAGCCAACCAAGTAAGAGGATCACAAAGGTAAGCCCAGAGATAAGCACATCTTCGAGGGGAGTGATGTCCCTTCTTTTTCTTTGTCTTGCCATCCTATGTACTGTATTCACTAGCTTTAAGTGAGTACTTTTTTTCTTTTTTTTTCCTTTATTAGCAGTTTTTCTGCATGCTTTGTCCATCTCCTTTGATCTGGACTTCTGTCAGAGGAAGAATCACAGCACTGTTGCTCCCGTGGCAATCCTAGTATTGCTCTGTAATGACTTCAGTGGTGTGTTCTTGGCTGCCTCTAGCTTGATTTCAGCTGCTTTTTGTTCACTCAGTGGCAGATTGTTAAATAACATGTGTTTCTTATGTACCAAGTTCCTCATCCATGTGGCATCTGACATTTTCATTATTGCATGTAACAAACTTCACAGCATCTACAGTTGCAGTCCTTAGCTCTTAGTTCAGCATTTACTTATGCTGGGTCTTTGCTCTCTAACACACAGAGACATTGCCAACCCATTGGGGTAGATCAGTCAATGTGAAAAATAGATGTGTTGTTTGTTTCTTGTAGCCACTGTGTGTGTTAAAGCTGGGGCTTAGTTCCTCTTTCTGGCACGGGAACATGGAAAACTTCCACCTCTGCTGCTGTAGGGGTGGGTGGAGACGAGAAGCCATCTTCACCTCTGCCTGAAGGGATGGGTGGAGACAAGAAGCCAAACTCCCTCTGGAGCTCCAGCCTCTGTTTCCAAGTGCTGGTGAATGTCATGGAGATGCTTTTGTTTTAGCATGTTTAAAATCGGACTCACTCACCTCTTTTCTCTTATCTCTGAATCTTCTCCCTTCCCCTCTGTTTCTATTAAAGCAATCGCCATTTCCCCATTAATTCCTTCTCTGAAACTGCTTTCTCTGCCTCTTTTCATGCTTGATATCTACCTGGTTGCAAGTCTTGCCACTTTACCTTTTGTACCTCGCTGCTATCATCCCTCTTCAAATTCTCTACGTTTAGTTCCTCTGTATTATTCGCTTTTTCTTCAAGAATTACATTTAGGCAGGACTCCATATCCCCATATTTTCATACAGTTGCCTATCACCTTCCACCATATTAGGTCCTAGAGAGATCTTTGCACAATGGGGAGGGGGTGTCCCAGACAAAAGTGTCTTCCTTATTACTAATTAGGGTTTGAGTTTCAAAACACTTTCAGCTCTGCTCCAGTGAAGGGGGCTGGGCTGTATTTGAGATTCGAACCCACCTTCCCTCCAACTCCCATACTCCTTACTGCGGAGAGAAGATATCGTTTAGGCCACGTGTTCCAGCTGTTCCTTACCTGAAACTTACTGAATTTGGCTGGAAAAGGGAAGTCTGCCTTCCAAGCAGGAGGGATGCCAGACATTGCTCTACTAATCAGATAAATTCAAATATGAGCCAAATTATTTAAAAAGTAACTTTCGGCTCTTCTTGCCTCCCACCAATCCTTCATGCTACTAAGGCAACCCCATCCTCCACCCTTCTGGATCCCATTCTGGCCTTGACGTCCCTCCACAGAGCTTAGACTGGAGAAGCAACAAAGGACCAGTTAACTTCAGTTGGATGCAGCCTTCCTGCCTCGTGCTCCTCTCTGCCTGTGCGTCCTCTGCACACACAGCTTCTTAAAATGTGAAGTCACTGCACCTACTTCAATTGCTTCAGAAACGGCGTAGTACATTCAGAACAATGGCCACACTTCCTGTCTCTCCTCTCTGACTCTTCTGCCCCATCCCCCACTTGTCCCGGTTCCTCGCCAGCCCAGCTGGACTGCACTGGCACCTGCTACTCTCGTTACCGGAGACATGGCCACTGCATTATTCAGTAGCTCCTCTTAGGATGTATACTTTAGTGTTCAGTGAAGTGGTTCTGCACTCCGTGGGGTGC